>NC_000006.12:90148261-90773261 GCF_000001405.40 Homo sapiens | reverse complement strand
GTGAAAGCACTCTTCAATATTTAGAGGATGTCAATTGAAGGAGAGTTAAATTTGCTTTCTTCCATTCCAAAAAAAATTTTTAAAAAAAGAACTACATCCAATAGAAACCAGATAAAGATTTCAGTTCAATATATGAATAACTTCTTAATAAAATTGTCCAAATGGAATGGACTATTTCAAGAAAAAGTGAATTCCTCATCTTTTAAAATTTAAACACAGTCAGGATGACCAGTTGGTAGAATGCTACAATAGACTTTTATGAATTGAACAGTTCCTCAAATTTGATGTCCTTTGTATGTTCTTGCACATATTTTAGCTCAACTTCTATTCTCTTCTATATCTTGTTTTGTTATTCAAACATAGCAAAGCATGGGTGAATCTGTGCATATAGTTATCTAAACATTAAAAATAGAGAAATAAAAGTTGACATTTACTGACTACTTATTTCATGCCAGGCACTATTCAGAGTGCTTATGCATTAACTCACTTAACCACATGAAAAAGGAATCAGTTTCTAATACGATCTCCATTATACACATGAGGGAACTGACATAAAAAGAGGTTAAGGAACTTGGCCAAGGTAACATAACTACTAAGTGGAGAAATCAGGATTCAGCTTTAGTCTGTCAGGGCACTAAACAAAAGCATAAGGCTCTGTTAAAGAAAAAAGCCTATATTCTCAACTCTATGTTGATGACTAGGAATGGTATTTTCTAACTTAAAACAATGGAATATTTCACCAGTCAGAGGTCTACATAGAATACATATCCCTTTAAAAAGTGCATCATAAGGATGAATCATATGAAACTTAAAATTATCCACATAGACACAGAATTCAAATTCAATCTTATTTTCCAAATTTCTAAGAACATTTGCACAGCCCTACATAAATAGAACAATTTTCACTCTCGAGCTTAGAAGTGCAGTCTCTGCCATGTTTGGTTTGAAGGTGAAAAGGGCAAGGGCATGGTACTGAGCTGCAGGAGGTCTGATTGTGGTCTCAGTCCTGCCACCAGCACACTCTGAGATGTTGGGTGAGCCACTTGGCTACTCTTTAAATAAAACCATAGGGCTCTGTTAAAGAAAAAAATCATTCAATCATACTTGGTAAAGCTCAGTAAGGAAAACTTTATTCAGGACCATCACAATAGGCATAGAGACCACTGCAACAGGGTCTTGCAGTTGGGGAGGGAGACTGAGCTCAACTCAGATTACAGCATTGACAAGTGGGAATTTATAGGCAAGAAGCAGTGTGTGGATCACTGGATGGAAAATTACCAAGTGGAAACCTCCTGGGTAAGGGGGAATCTGGTAAAAACCAACCTCACAGGACTCTTGCTAAAGACAGGTCAAGGTGATCAGACATCACCTGGGGAATGGTGGAGGATGAGGAACCTGGTCAGATGTCAAGGATGATCAGATATCAAGGATGAGAGATCTTGTTACACTGAGTTAGCAGGATTCTTTGCTAAAACTGGATTTTACAAAGAATTGCACAAATGGGCATAGAAGAAGATGTGGAAGCTTGACTAAAATTAAACCAACCAAGGAATCTTTGTCAGCTCCAGGAGTTCTATTTAATCCCAAAAGATCCCATAAAACATTTAACTGAGAATTGTGTAATATGTATTTATGGCTTTTGTTTTTCTTACACAGGACCTTCATATTTATTGCAATGCAGTATTACCTTACTCTGAGCTGGTCAGAAATATGTAGATCCCCTTCCTCATGATTCATCCATCTCTCGTGATCCCTCAAACTTTTCCCTGGAGATCTTAGCTAGAAAATGTCTATCCTATAAGAAGAGAGATTAATTCACAGAGGTGGTTATATTAACAAGGAATAACATGCTGCATAGCCAGTGAAAACACTTAAAGTTAAAAGGAAGAAGTAACTAAAGTAATTGACTACATAATCTCATAAATACATATAAAATACCCTACATTGCCAAAATTTTACTCAGCCCATCAAACAGACATTATTTCTCACAAGTGTTTTTGTCTTTCAAACAAATCCCATTTCCTATTTTTTTTGACACACGAGCATTTTTTATAACCGTGATACTGTAAAATATATATCTGGTCCTCATCCTCATTTCCTGACACACAGTCCCCAAAATACTTGGAATCTCTGGAGTGATAAGAGGGTCTTTTGTATGCTAATGAGATGGCTGGTGACTGACAGCCCCTCTGTAGCTTCAGGGGAACTGGTTGCCTGAAAGACCAGGATTATGGGGTTTGGGAATTTCAGCCTCATTCCCTAACCTCCAGGGAAAGGAGAGGGGCTGCATGTTAAATTGATCATCACTGTCCAATGATTTAATCAATCTCATCCACATAAGAAACTTCCATAAAAACCCCTCCAAAAAAGGACTAGGTTCAGAGGGCTTCCATAAAGGTGAATAAGAACACATCCATGTGCTGGAAGGGTAGTGCACCCCACTCCACATGGCCAGAAGCTCCTGCACTCAGGACTCTTCCATACTCCGCCCTATGTATCTTTTCATCTGGCTGTTCATTTGTATTCTTTTAAATATCCTTTACAATAAACCAGTCAATACAAGCGTTTCCCTGAGCTGTGTGAGCTGCTCTAGCAAATTAAGCGAACCCAAGGAGACGGTCATGGAAACCCCAATTTACAGCAAGTCAGTTAGAAGTTCTAGAAGCCTGGACTTGTGACTGGTGTCTAAAGTAAAGAGCAGCCTTGTGGGACTGAGCTTTCAACCTGTGGAAACTGACGCTACCATGAGGTAGATAGTGTCAGAACTGAATTAGAGGACACTCAGCTGATGTCCACTGTGGGACTGATCACCTGTTTGGTGTATGGATCCACCCCCCCACATCTGGGCACAGAAGCCTTCTTGTTATGAGAGTATAGTAGGAGAAACAGACAGTTTGGGATTTTTCAACCCAATAACTGACACACTGACAATTCACCAAATCAGACCACACTAACCACCCCCAACCAAAAAAAAAAAAAAAAGGCAAAAGCAAAATGTATTAACATTTCTTATAAATGTTTTATAACAAGTTTTTACACAAATTCTTTGAAACAGCTCACAAGATTACTTATACTAAAATGTAAATAAAGGAAATCATATCAAGACCTGGAAACATATAAATTAGGATAGAACATCAAGACCGAAAGAAAAGTCAGATTTGCATGTATGTTGTATGCTATTACTAAAATTGAGCTAGGCCAGGCTCAGTGGCTCATGCCTGTAATCCTAGCACTTTGGAAGGCCAAGGTGCATGGATCACTCGAGGTCAGGAGTTCAAGACCAGCCTGGCCAACATGGTAAAATCCCGTCTCTACTAAAAATACAAAAATTAGCCGGGCATGATGGTGGGCACCTGTAATCCCAGCTACTTGAGAGGTTGAGGCAGGAGGTTCACTTGAACCCAGGAGGCAGAGGTTGCAGTCAGCAGAGATCACTCCACTGCATTCCAGCCTGGGCAAGAGAGCAAGACTTTGTCTAAAATAAAATTGAGCTAAAATTTTGCCTCCAAGCATTGGGGCAACTTCTAAAGAATGAAACAACAAAATCAAACATATGAATTTTTTTGTCATATAAAAAGAAGAATTCAAAGAAGTTCACAGAGAAGTTTTTTGCAGGCCTTAATTCAATAAGGAATATAGAGGACAATGTTTTTGTTTGTATCCCTATCATATATGCATTAATGAGTGTTACAAGATTTTTTTCCCTTTGCATAGTAACCCGAGGGAAGAATGCCAAACCGTAACTTGGTGAAAATAATTTTGCAGAGCATGAGGGTAGAGAAGGGAGCAAAAGATTGAAATTGTCTCCCCCGTCTTACACCTATGCTAGTTATTTTAGTGGATTCAAAAAGCCTTTTTAACTGCAGTCACCATGCTGTATAACAGATCTACAGAACTTATTCATCCTATAACTGACAGTTTGCACCCTTTGACCAACATCTCCCCACTCAGCAAGCCCTGTATGGCTACTCACAGCAAGAAAATCCACTGAGGCAATAACCTGACACAAATCCTTATAAACCAAGAAATGCACAGAAGTCTTTGGGAGAATAAGCTCTAAGGTCTCCAAAATGTGATGATGTGGGATCCCATCCTTTTTCCCAGAACAACTGTCAAACCTTCCGTGAAGGTAGAGCTAACTTGGTCATATGTAATTTCACCCAGGATGACCATTTACTTCCTTTCCACATTGTTTCTCTCGTTATGATGTTCACTGATGGGAAAAGGGTGTTCATGGCTATACAGAACAGTCTCCGGTGGATTTTGATTTATTTGGCTGATTCCAAGTTGTCTTATTCTTGTGATCCCCAGAATATGAATGTTTCTCTTTGAAATCTTGTCTTACTGAATGGTTGGTGCTCTTCTAAAATCATTGTCTTATGTTTAATTTTCATGTACTAAACCTTATCTATGTCTCTTCTCCAGTATGGTAGATTTTCTTTCTTATAAATTTACCCAACATTTTCCAACCTTTTACATGTCTTTCTAAATATTTTATCTTCCTACAAAATAAAGTCCACTTACATATTTTCATAACTTTCTTCTCTGATATTTCCCGCTTAAGACTCAAAAATAATAACAAATAATGTTTTTTCAGAGTTTACTCTATTTTGGTCCACTGTTTGTGGCTGTTAATTTGGATTTTTACTTAAACTTGAGTGTAAGATGTTTGTGATCTAGATTAATATACAACATTGGTATACCTCCCTTCAGTTTCCCTAGGAAACAGTCTATGTCCTCCAACTCTATATAGAAATTAAATATTTAATATAATGTTTGTATCTGGATCACCCTTTTAAGAGATTTCATCCTTAGTGATGATTTCTGTAGACAAGGACCCACTCAGGCACTGTTCTTGCCAGTGCCGAGAAGATATCTGGACATGGGCCCACTAGCAACATTCCCAGGGTCCTTTAAGAACTCCTCATTTCCTGACCGGGCACAATGGCTCACACCTGTAATCCCAGCACTTTGGGAGGCCGAGGTGAGTGGATCACTTGAGGCCAGGAGTTCAAGACCAGCCTGGCCAACATGGTGAAACCCTATGTCTACTAAAAATAGAAAAATTAGCCAGGCATGGTCGCACAGTCCTGTAATCCCAGCTACTTAGGAAGCTGAGGCATGAGAGTTGCTCGAACCTGGGAGGCAGAGGTTGCAGTAAGCCTAGATCGCACCACTGCATTCCAGCCTGGGCAACAGAGCAAGACTCTATCTCAGCAAAAAAAAAAAAAAAAAAAAAAAAAAAAAAAAAGTCCTCCTTATTCCCCTTCTGTTCATTGTCATTGTAAAATACACTTGTACTATTTCTCACATGTTGACATTTCTGAAATGAGATATTTTGTTGGTTGGGAACATAGAATACAATCATTATTTTTCAAACCTTTATTTTAAATCATTGGTGAAATTTACAATTAATGGCCTCTTAGATTCTAGGAAACATGATAGTGGAACTGATGTTATTACTTTAGAAACACTGAGTTAATAGGACCAGTCACATATTCAGGCCTCTCTTGTTGCGTGACAGATAAACCATACCATGTAATAAAAAAGAAACTTCTTTATGATTGAAGACTATGTTTCTGTATCATTCAAAATTCTAATAGTTTGTAAATAACCTGTAAACAAATAATAAAGGCAGGGACAGAATACAGCCTTCTTTATGCCCTCATGAATTTTTCTTTAATCTACAGAAGACCATACATACCTACCTAGATGCTTTTTTAAAAACACGTTTATTGAGGTACAATTGACAAATAAAATTGTATAAATTTAAGGTGTGCTTTAGATTCTTGGTGCAATGTTAAGACACAGAATTTGTGTAGACATCAGTAACTGTATCAAATTCATGGCATTTAACTTTGTTCAGACTAGCTATTCAAGGACATGTTCACAGTCCTGTGATTACTAAGAACTTTATCATAAGGCAATAAAGACTATAACATTGGCCAGTCAGGAGGTATCCTAAAACCTGTTGGTTCCACAAATAAAATACAGACATGAGAAACCCAAAAATTATTTAAAGAAGAAACTATCATTAAGTGTGGATGGAATGTCCAATAAAATATGTAGTTTAAGGGGTACAGCATGTTGCCTTTTATAAAAGGAGAGAAATTTAAATCTGAACCACACAGATGGGAACTTAACACATAGAATTTGATGAAGAAGGAGTCCTTGAAAAGACTTTGAACAATTCTGATGAAAAAAGAAAAAAGTTCACCCAGGACTTTTTAAATAGAGTCTTTTGATGCATATTTTTAGGGTGGACTTAATAGGTACACTGGTTATATTTTTAAATTACCAAAAATTAAAAAGATAGAATTGCCTTGAAAATGTATGTCATTCTAGTTACGGGTCATAATAATGTGTATTTGCCTAACTTAGACTAAATCTTTCTGAGTGGAGAATGAGACATCACAATTGCAAAATTTGGGAGTCCTTTTATATCTTACAGCATATGTCTTGGAGAAGAAATTGCCATTACAAACTAGATATAATAAAAATAAACATTTATTAAACATTCACCAAATATTAGGTGCCATGCTAATCATTTTACATATATTAGCTTATAAAAGTCAACATATCCTTTCCAAGTAGGCACTTTATTATTCTCATTTTACAGGTAATGAAATGAAAGTCAAAAAAGATGTAGTTTGTTCTGCAAATAAGTGGCAGAATAAACTGTCAAACCCAAAGGATTTGGTGCGAAAGCCCCTATCTTGACCACTATGCTATCAAGGACCATGGACATTCCTGTTGGGCAAGCTTTGTATGTAAACCCTCAGTTTGGTTTCTCTGCAATTCCAAGGTGAATGGAAAACTATTTTACCTCCAATAATGATCCTCAGATCTGCACACATACAGCACTTCTATATTCTGAGAAGAGAGGCTCACATATAA
Organism: Homo sapiens; assembly: GCF_000001405.40. Classification (NCBI taxonomy): domain Eukaryota; kingdom Metazoa; phylum Chordata; class Mammalia; order Primates; family Hominidae; genus Homo; species Homo sapiens. The sequence goes on along the minus strand of NC_000006.12, from coordinate 90,766,364 downwards.
CTAATTCCAAAACTAAAACTTTTTTCTCTCTACTGGATTTAATTCGAAGGATATAACTAACTTGATTAAACAGCTCAGTGGCCTCACATATTACCATTTAGAATGTCATACTGCTACCGTTCTTAATTCTACCATAAGTGCCCTTCCCTTTCAGGTTAACTGCATGACCGATTAAATGCTCTGCACAAAGGCAAGGTGACTCTAGAAGGAAACATGCAATTATGTAGTTTCTAAGTAGTAATTATCTCAAATTAATTGCTGTTTTATGGGAGTTTTGATCAAACCAAACAATATTTACAATTGTAATTCAATTTCAAGATATCCTGTTACTCTGCTTAGCTATTTAGCTATCCGTTCAGTCATGCCTTCTCATGTTTGGGAAACATATATGACTTATGGTACAGTTAAATGAGGTTTCATTAACTCCAAAGGGAGCTGTCTGAACAGGAAATATATGCCACAGTGTGGAAGAAATAATGCTGGGGAACCCAAGGGGACTACGAAAAAAATACTGGCCTTCCTTGTGTCCACTTAGGTCAACATTTCTGACTTCTATTATAAAGTCTACTGTTGTTATTGGTATAACCTCATCAAGAAAATTAAGGGTTCATTTTCCATGCTTTTCTTCAATCCTCTATCCCTTGTCTGCCACCAAAAGATAAGAGATCTAAGATCCTGTCGCATTTAAACAATGAGTCATGTTAGCCATTTTTTCAGTCTCTCAGGATAGTGATTTGCCTATGTTCTCTTTTTCCCACTAAAAAAGAAACTTTAGAAATTGAAGACTGGGGCTTATTCTCAAAGATCCTTTGTTGTTAATAAGCACAGGAAATTTGTATCTCTGATGTCTATCACATATTTAATATGAAGATATAATTACTGCAAAATGGTTCTCTGTTTGAAACCAATGACCATTTCTATTATACATCTCTTTGAAATAACCACTTTTGATGAAAATACCAACCAGGAGTGTTTACTGAACACTCACTGGTGACAAAGCACCAGGATAAGAGTGTAATCAAATAATACTTGTCTGAGGTCTCTGACATTCTCTGCATTAAGAGGGACAATATTAACATCAATAGACATGAAAACATATGACTAAGCTTACATTAACTTCCACTCAAAGTCCCCATGCTTCTAGGCAACTCCCTAAGAAAACACATTCATTTAACATTGATGAGATTGGGTTCAACCTGATTTATAAACTTTTCAATGTTATATTTTGCTGTTGAAGCTGTTTCAAAATCAGAATTCTTCCCTCTCTCCACCCATCCATTTCTTCAAAAGGTTGCGCTCATTCTAAAGCAGAGGGAAAAGACTTTACCATTTCAATATTCTCTGATGGAAAGTGTCTTCCTTTCCCAATCTCATCTGTCCCCAGTTTCTCTCCTGCAAGTCAGCTGTTTCTCAGTCAGTGCATTTCTGTTTATTCCTCCATATCTTCTATCTCCACATCTTTTGGCCCCCTTTTCCTACAGGGTTTAAAGTGAGGGGAAGCACACTCACACTCAGAACCCCAGAGAAAGGGACTAATCGAGCTGTTACAACTCAGCAGTGAGACCATCAGGCATCTTAGAATGTAGAAAATAAAGGGAAATCCAGTTCATTTTTGAGTCACTGCTTTTAATCATGAAATAAATATTTCTCAATGGCATGAAAGAAGTGGGTATCTTGTATATGTGAGTGAAGTTTCATGTATCATTACTTCTAAGGTGTCACTTTGGTGAAGGTTAAAGGGGTTGTACCTTAGTAGCTAGGCTAAGTCAATAGATATTTATGAACAGGCATTTCTCCTTCCTAATTATTGGGGAGAGTGAACAGACAGGATGATGTAGAAAAAAACTCTAAGCAATGAAATATAATAAAACTTTATGAACAGTAGTCTACAAAACAATAAAAAAACTTACTACAATGCAAAAGAGTGTTCACAGAGCTTCTCATGCTTCAAACTTTGCAGTGGAGTTGTCTGTCCATTAAAGTAAAGGAAGTTGCTGAAGTCTTTGACTCCGGAAATGAAACTTAAGCAGTTGACAGCACATATTCCAAACATCTAAAATATAATAACTGAATATATATCCATGATTTTCTGATAAACATTCTTTCCATCTGCTGGGCTAGTACCTTGAAGAACTGCAACTAATTCCAGAATCATTAGTGTGTGTCCCTGAGTCATAAGTACACTCCAATCCTCAAGTTTCTAGGGAGAAAGGCTTAGCTGACCCACTATTACCATCCTACTCGAACATAATCTCTTATAATTCCCTTGTCCTTGCACAGAAAATCACGGTGTTTCTCTGCAGATTAGGTTTGCTAAAATATCCTGAATTCAGACAGATCAGAAAATTTGCTAGAAATATTTTTTTAAGTTCAACTGGAGGGCTACCGCAAATTTTCAGTGGTAAGAGATAAAGATTAAATAGATAGACAGTCAGATAAAGCAATTAATTGACTGACTCATTGACTAATCTTGCCCCTTCCTCTGAGTAAAGAGATCTCAGCTTTTTTTTTTTTTTTTTTTTTTTTTTTTGAGACAGAGTTTTCACTCTTGTTGCCCAGGCTGGAGTGCAGTGGTGCAATCTCAGCTCACTGCAACCTCCACCTCCTGAATTCAAGCAATTCTCCTGCCGCAGCCTCCCGAGTAGCTGGGAATACAGGCATGCACCACCACATCCAGCTAATTTTTTTGCATTTTTTGTAGAGATGGGTTTTCATCATGTTGGCCAGGCTGGTCTCAAACTCCTGACCTCAGGTGATCCACCCACCTCGACCTCCCAAAGTGCTGGGATAACAGGCGTGGGCCATCGTGCCCAGCCATGAGATCTCATCTTTAATCACCTAATCTAGTCTTGGAAGTCACTTTCAAAATAAGTTCAAGAAAATCACATTAGATTTAAAAAGTTATACTTTCTTCAAACACAATATTGTCATTCCATTCATTGCCAACCAATTTCCTAATAGAATTTGCCAGTGCTTTGAATTCTCCTGTCCCAACTCAAAGACAAAATTTGTACGAAAACAAGTCCAAAATGATAAGTAAACCATTACACATTTCTCTGAGGCCCATTGTTTGATCCATTTGAATAGCTGAACCCAGAATCCAGGTTTTGCCTTTTATATTTTACCTCATAAACAGTCTAATTAATATTCCGTCTCTGGACAGTACAATTTCATAAGCCAACCCCCAAAGAGAGAAATATGCTCTTTTCCTTGAGATCTGGAGAATGCAATCAACATCCACTTTATAAGAAGAAGGATGCTAATAAATAAAACTACAAAATTGCATCACCTACTGGGAGCAATCCATTGCCAAGGAAAGTAATTTTACAAATGAAAAACCAAACGGCAATCAGTCCCCAGTGCCAGAGGATAGTTTTGATGAAAGAGCCACATGAAAGAGGGATTCTCACACTCAAATGGTTATTAGAATTATCTAGAGGACTATGAAAATGTACCAAATCTGAATGTCTCTCTAGACCCACTGACCTCAGATTCTCAAGAGGTTAGCCCAAGAATACAATTTTTTAGAGCTGCCAGTGATTCTGATGACCCACCAGATAGGCAATTCATTGATACAGGACAGTGGTTCTCAAATTGTGGATCCCAACCAGCACCATCAGCATTAGAAGTGCACATTATTGGGCCTCCTTGAAAGCCTCCTGAATCAGAAATTCTGGGGGACAGGGCCCAGCCAGCAACCTGAGCTTTAGGAAGGCCTCTAGGTGATTCTGATGCAGGTGAAATGTGAGAATCATTGCTCTAGAGAACTTCAGTCAAGCCTGGGCCAAAAAGAACAAAAAGATTTCATCCTTACCTAGTTACTTTCTAGAGATTCTGACAGTAATTACTTACAGAGGGAGCAAACAGAGCATAGGACTGTACTAAATATGACTATGAGGAAGAAGAGACACCTAAAGATGCTTAGAAGATTTCATGCCTGACAATAAGCATGTGAGAGAGTAATTGGGGAACTTCTGTTTCCTGACATTTGCTGGGGCATTTTAAAGAGCTTGTAATAATATCTTCTAGTTACAGGAATAAACCTAACTTAATTGTTTTATTTATGTGAATTTTTGCCTGTCTGAACAGAAAAAAATTCTCTTATGATGCTTGTGTATTTGTCCTTTTCCCCATTTCCTTCTGTTCCTGCAATCGTTGCACATCTATTTTCATTCCTAAATCATGCTTGATAGCTTCCTCTCTGATCTTTGTAACTTTGACTATTTCTCCAAGAATCTGAAACTTTAGAGCAATATTTCTTAACCGTTTTTTATTATCACATCTCTAAGGAGGCTTTTAAAACATTTTTTTCCTAATCTCTTCTCCCCTGTTTTATACCACAAATACATGGCATAGCTGTTTCTGTGCTACAGTTGATCCTTGAACAATGCTAGTTTGAACTGTGTGGGTCCACTTACTTGCAGATTTTCTTCTGTCTCTGCCACCCCTGACACAAGAACACCAGGCCCCTCCTCTTCTTCCTCCTCCTCCTCCTCAGCCTTCAACATAAAGACTGTTATAATGATCCATTTTTACTTAATGAATAGTATGTATATTTTCCTTATGATTTTCTTAATAACATTTTCTTTTTTCTAGCTTACTTTATTGTAAGAATACAATCTGTAATTACATGTAACATTTAAAAGTATATGTTAATAGACTGTTTATGGTATGAGTAAGGCTTCCAGTCAATAGTAGGCTATTAGTAGTAAAGCTTTGGGGGACTCAAAAATTATACTCAGATTTTTCGCTATGCGGGAGGTCACCACCCCTAAAATTCAAGTTGTTCCAGGGTCAACTGTATATCTATACCTGTTCTTCATGCATAAAAAAAGAAAGACTTCTTTCACCCACTAAGAACTAATTTATATCCCCTTGGGGGATATCACCCTGTTGAGAATGCGCCCTTTAGAGTTATAGGTACGGTTGTGTTCTGATACATTAGATGTAAAAAATATCCCATTTATTTTTCTAAATCAAATTAAATCTAGATTAACAATCAAATCGAAAACATGGGGCAGAAAACCCAGTCTCAGTCATGTTGGCGTACACTCACAGCTGGAGTGGTACAGTGCTGGAAAATTGCAGAAGGGACCCTGGATTTCAGTTCATCATGACGGCCACTGAGATGCTCACAGTCCTGCCCCTCCAGGGGGCCGCAGCAAATCAGAGCAGAGGTTTCCCACTCCTCACTCTTCTCCTCCCCCTTCCTCTACTTGCCGAACACACACAAATAATGCACATTCCAACTTTTCTAGAATTGGGCAAATTTTCTGCTCCTTCAATCCTAGGAGTTACCTCCCTATTAATCCAACTCCTTCACTGAGCTCAGACTTTAAAAAACAAAAGCCTTTTAATTTAAGTTCCTCAGATACAAGGCTAACCTAGGTCACACAGAGCTGCCCTCTGAAGGTGGGGCGGGACATTGATACCTCCCATCCTCTGGGGTAAACCAACAAGCCACTTTTTTTTCTCAATTACTTTTTCCTGCTATGTCTCAATTCTAGACTTTTCAGAGCTGGGCTAGATTTGACTGAAAGGGACAGTTTTAAGCCCTGGAGAAATCTCTTCTCCAATAGGCTACTTGTTGGAAGAGTTCTTTTTTCAAACTGACATCATTCTAAAGAAGAAGTTCATGTTTGGCCTCAGCAGGACAAGAGTTCTAATCCCATCACCACCATTTAATACCTATATGACCTCTATAATCTTTCATGTCTTTATCTGTAAACTGAGATATAATAATAATAATGCCTACTGAAAAGGGTCATTGTAGGGATTAAGAGAGCACGCATGATAAATTCTACCACAGTGCCCAGTATAAGGTGTAGGCTAAATAAACGGCAATCTTATCATTGTTAGCACTAACTAACTCAATCAACTCAAGTAAGATTTTTCTCATTCATTCATTCATTTTAAGCACCAATTCGGGGAAGTGTCAAGGAATACTGATTGGATAAATAACTTCACCATAAAGATTTCCTCTCCCTATGTCTACAAATGGAGAAGATGATTTTCTTTTAGCTCAAACCCTAGCTATCATTGTCCTAAGGAAGTAGCCAGTGAGGAAACTATATTCGAAAAGAAAGTGAAGTAATTCCTGAGTAAACACTGCCTGAAGGGGAAAAGCGAACTAAACTGAATATACCACAAAGTAGAATTTATTATTTTGGGACCCTCCTTGATTATAATCAAACTGTATCTGACCTCATTCCCTGGAGTGCAATGCCCTATCACCTGAGGACACTTCTCCATTGACACCTGTTTTGATCCACGAATGTAATGTTCCAAGCTTAGAATTGGCTAACAAGAAAGTTAACTGTGAACTGTAAACAGGTATGAATTGATATTCATCAGTAGATTTTTCTAAGAACTTCCCAACTTTTGCCTTGCTGTACTGCTCTTATAACTGATGCAGTCAGCCGGGAATAATTAGCAGCCATGCCACACGGGAACAAAGTGTGCAGACCTGAGTTGATGTTGTGCTTAATGAGCCTATTTAAAAAGTTACAAATCACCCAGCTTCCCATCAACCTCCCTCCACTTAGCACTTTCTCATGTAGAGTGTGGCAAAAATCAGAACCCATACTGATGGGGCTAACTCAGCCTTGAAATTTGCCATTTGCCTACATGCCAAAGGCCAAGGTATGTAGCAAACTAAGAAAGAAGGCAGCTTTTTCTCGTTTGTTACATGTACAAATACTACTGTGAGGTTAGTGGGAAATAAAGATCAGGAGAAACTATCAGCTGGTGACTTTCTTTGAGATATTTGAATGGATAAATGTATGTATGACTATCATCCTGATCATCAAATTATATGTGAGTTACTCCTTTTAGATGGCAAGAACTTTTAAAAAGGGGCTGTCTTATAAATGTCTTAACAATGTGCAAAGTCATTTTTATTTTGTGAATTATTTTCCAAAATCTTCTTCTTTATGTTGATCCTTCCCCAGGTTCAGAGAAGAAATTTCGCAACCACTCACAATTTGCTGCATAGTGACTCTATAGAGATCCTCTTTTAAAAAGTCTAATGAATTTTGCACAATTGGGATGTGGGAGAGTCAGAGAAGGTGGTGGGAGTCATCCCAGGGCTGGCTCTTAAGCTGCCTCTTGCTCAGATGGACACCTCTCTAGGAGACTTCCCACTCGAAGAACAGGGAAGGTTAAGTTCGTTGTCTTTTACTTTTTCTTATTCTCCTTTTGCTTTCTGTCTTTTTCTTTCTCCAGTTAAGCTTGTCATATATCTTATGCAATTGCCACTCTCCTTTTCAAATCTTATCTTAAGGGGAGTAAAGAGGGTTTTTTTCCTGCAAAATAAGCAGACGAATAGGGATGTTTGACAAAACAGCTTTGCAGATTCCCCATTGCAAGTGTCTTTGATTTGCCACACCTACTCGATGACACAGCTGCCCCACTGCCCCACCCCTTCCTTTCCTCATCACCTACCTGGATACCTCTTCTTGACACTCCTCCCTCTCCCACTTGTACTGCTTATTGCAAACATCGTCAGATTAATGTTTTCAAAACCCAAGTCCTCTTGCCTTGCTGTTGCCCACAGCAGCCACCAACCAAGAAGGAGCCAAAATTCAACAGTTACTAATAGAAAACTATAGTTATTTATTTCTCAAATATTAATACATCTTTTTTAAGCATATGTAAATGGGCCCTGATATTTCTACATGAGCATGTCATTTTAGGGACGTAAGCACAATTACTATACTTCAAATCATAATATCAATATGATTCAGAATGGAAACTTTTCCTTTTGTCATCCAGGAGCCACAGATAACACCCTGAAAAACTGCACAGATTTCAAAAGCTAAAGATCAGCTAATCCCACGATATGCTCACCCAAGAACTTACGTCTGAATGTCAGAGTCTTCAATCCCAACCCCATAGTGACTATCCAACCCCTGACAAGTTCTCTAATGGGATCTTGCCCCTCTACTCAGACCTGACTCCCCAATTTCCTCTACTCTGCAATCCATTCCCTCAGGATATTAGCACTGCCAAACAATGTCCCGTTTGTTCCGCCAATTCCTTTCAGTTCTATATATACCAACACTGAAGACCCCTAAAGAATTACAAATCCATGCTGTGCCATGCAGGTGTACCTTAAGTTTCTATAGCTTCTTCATGCTATAGAAGCAGTGTGATGAGTTAAGCTAAATTTGAATAGATTGTCTGGAATGTCTATGTTGCAGCTTCTTAAATCTTTCAAGAATTCTTCAGTCTACCACAGTGCTTCCCTTTAACATTTCTGTATCACTTATGTAAGAATGAGTATGGCTTGCTAACCTATTAGTATGAGTCTCTGTTTGTTTCATGTTTATAATTCACAATTCTACAACTACATTGTACATTCTTGGTGGGCACGAGCCCTGTCTTTATATCTATTTTATTACCAACAGCATTCACCTTGTGTTGAGCACATTAATAAATGTTTGTTGACCTAGCTTTTTATCTTGACTAATGTTTCATCTATGCTACATACTTTAGATTGGAAATAAATTTTACGATTTTAGAAATATGTTTCAGTATTATGGATGAGTAGTACTATTAAGGGAATTAGTCATAGTAATAGTAGTTTAGAGGTAACTAACCTCATAGGCCACTGGATATCAATTAGAATAAATTGAAAATATGATCTACAACATGCATGCATGATTAAGTACAAGCATGACAAAGGAAAATGTGACAAAGGAAAAAAGGGTGGAAGAACAAACACTATTCTAAAAAAGAAGCCAAATAGCATACAATAAAATTAAGAAAAGATTGTTGATGAACTTCTCCAATAATAACAGAATCCTCCTAAAAGAAACAGTTTTACATATAAAAGGAAATCTCTTTGGATGTACACCAGGAGTGGGCAACAGTTACTAAGTGTCACTACATGGCAGATACTATTAAGTATTTTACACATGATAATATTCATATAAGGGCTATAATTTAGGATTAGCATCCCCATTTATCAGATGAGAAAAGTAAGGCACAAAGAGAATAAGTAACTTGACTAAGATCATAAAGTTTGTTGTTGGTAAAGTTGGGGTTTGAACCCAGACAATCAGGTCTGGAGTCTGTACTGGTAACCTTGTGTCTTATAGTGTTTCTACATGAAGCAGAAGTTGGCATGCAAAAAGATTTTAGACAGTTTTTCTTAAGGTTTTTAGTCTCTATGATATGTCTTTGGAAGAAATGTTAAAAATCTGAAATTAAAACTAAAGAAAGTTCAAATGCAGTTTTCTTTTACATGCTAAAACCTATTTTCTATTTTAAAAATTAATTGACTTGAAAACAACTGGTGATAAATAAATATGATAATGAAATTTGGAAGTGGCTGAGCCTGCTTGTTACCTGGGAAAACAGAGTTTGAATCAAAACATATCCAACAAGCATTCACACCACCAGAGATTTTCCATTATCTCTATTACAACACACTTCTAAAAATGTTTCTTTAATAATTTACTTTATGGCTGGATCAAAAGCCATATTACTTTTCACTCTGTGAAAATAGTATGTGAAAGTTGAGCTAAATTTTAATCAAGTGTTTGCCTTAAGCTTTCCAAAAAGCATATTGGAGGTTCATAATAAAATAGGAAACATTTCAATTTACAGAATATCTTTGTTACAACTTTAATGAAGTATAAAATTATTTTCATTAGATTTACAATTCAAAATGGCTAGAATAGATTTATGTTGTGCTATGGTAACAAAAACAAATCAGTAACTTAAAAAAGAACAAAGACATTTCTGTCTTGTGCTACCTGTCTAACTGTATCTATAGGGATCCTGTTAAGCGGAGGGCAGGGGAAGAACTCTGCTAATTTTGTCACCAAGGATGCACACTGAAAAAGGCCCTACCATTTTATGACTTCATCTCAACTTAGATTTCAAGCTCACCATGGCTGGGGAAAAGAGTGTATAGAATCACACACCAGATCTTTGATATGTCCACCCAAGAGTGGCACTTCATTATTAAAACATGTCACACAGCCATACCTAACCTCAACATAGTCAATGGAGCTTATGCCCAAAGGAGAGAATTCTACAATCTTGGTGAGCATAAATGATGACATCCACACATTTTTATTTTCATTAACTTTTTTAAAGTATATCTTGTTACATTAATGTATGGATCTAAAAAGTTACTAAATTCAGATATTTCATTTTTAAAAACTTACTGTACAACAAAAGTGAAAGCTTAAGTAGTTTTATAATTTTTATATTGACATGAGCTGCTTTGAGAGAAAATTTATTTATTTTACAAATATTTATCAAGCTTTTGCTTATGTGAGATTCTCTTCTAAGTGTTAACAGCAATTCAAAAATAAATTTTAAAATATCAGGCATCAGGCTGTGTGTGGTGGCTCACACCTATAATCCCAGCACTTTGGGAGGCTGATGTGGGCGGATCACTTGAGGTCAGGAGGTTGAGACCAGCCTGGCCAACATGGTGAAACCCCATCCCTACTAAAAAAAATCCCAAAATTAGCCAGGCATGGTGGTGTGCACCTGTAATTCCAGCTACTTGGGAGGCTAAAGCAGGAGGATCACTTGAACCAGAAAGGCAGAGGTTGCAGTGAGCCAAGATTGCATCGCTGCACTCCAGCCTGGGTGACTCTGCCTAAAAAAAAAAAGAAAAAGAAAAGAAAAATCAGGCATTTACTGCCACAGAGCTTAGAAAACAGATGAGATAAAATGTCTAAATAAATAAACAGGATATTTAATAGACAAATACACCAAAAAGGGTAAATGTGTGTTTAAAGGAGAAAGAGCTTTGAATAACAATTTCAAGGCTAGGCGCAACCTTAGGCATTGTGGGTTCTAATGCCTTTATTTTAAAGATGAGGAAAATAAGACCCAAAAATATTCATAGAGACTTGTCCAAAATCACTGAGTTAGGTAGTTGTTCAATGATTGCTCAAGGAGTAGAACTTATTTGCTGTGCTATAAATAAATGCTGCAGGAAAAACAAATACAAAAAAAAAAGGAATGAATATAGAAGTTCAAGGAGCACTAAGAGAAAAAAAAGTTAGAGTTGACTAATTAAAAATCAAAATTTCATTTCCGATTAGAAAAAGACTGATTTCCATAATGGTTAGACTAACACATTTACACTTTCAAAGCAGTGCAAGTAAATGCTATTTTTAATGAACTCATGTACCTTTAAAAATCCGTAGTGAAACTGTTTCTATACAACTTATTTTCTTGTCCCAGAAAGCACTAACCAAAATCTTTGAAAACTGGAATAGTAATTTAAATGCTAGTACCTTTTCAAAAAGCCAGAGAGGAAGAGAGAAAATCCAAGATTCAAATTACAGCAACTTTATTAATTGCTGTTCAAAATGCCAAATTTACATATGTTTAAATAAATCTAGATGGCAGAACTGACCGCTAAGCATTTTTAGACGAGTTTGAAAAAAATTAATTATGTTCTTCATCTTTAAAAAAACATCTTAATATTCCAAGCATTTGCCTTTTTGACAAAGATAATAAATTTGATTAAGTTTATATAAATTACACTGTACTAAACAAGATAATAACTAAAAACACATGGAGAATAGAGTCAGCCTTACTCATTGCATCACTTCCAAATTTAAACCTAAGACCAAGCATATATGCTTGGATTAGAGACTTTTTCTAGTCTTCTTTTTAAAGCTGCTATTCATAAAAAGGTCAATAGGTTGTCTTTTAAAAATAAATCTGTAATCACTACAAACTGTCACTGTATCTGACCAAAACCATGATGAAAGACCAGAGGCTAAGACTTGAGTGCAGTAGCTCAAAGAGTTAGAATGAAACAGTAGATGGAAGAATTCAAAGGCAGGGGCCAAGACCTATCCCAGTCCCTCAACTAAAACAATCTATTTGACTTTTGATAGTTGTAACCTAGGCCATCTGAGTATTTCTTAATCCACAGTGACTCTAAGCGATGAGCTCACTGTTTCCAAAATAGTAGAAAACCACCATGAAGCCATGGGTCTTAGGTTACCTTCTGAATCTTGCTGGGGAAGTTTCTAGGACACCACTATTTATTCTCCACAGCAGTGGCTTTCAACCGTCTTGCTTCCCCAGCCCACCGATGCAACGCAACTCACCAGCCAAAAGAATTAAATCACATCACCAGTGGTTTTCATCCAGGGAAGGTGGGAGGATGCAAACTTAAGGAACATATTAAAACCCCAAGTTGCCTCCTAGTTCAGCATTTGTTTCTTTTCCTCCACAATGACTATCAGTCGAAGAGCACTTCTGTAAAGATTTGCAGTGAAACATCCTGACTGTTCAAGTTTGTATTGTAAGCCTGTAAGGCTCGGTGAAATGGAACGATGTCTGCTGAAAGACAGCCTCAGATAACACTGTTGACATTAGTCAGTGGGCAGAGTGTGAGCTGTGCACACATGCTTATCATGCAAACTTTAGTGTTCACAAAGCTTTAGAAGTTGAATACTTAATTCCCAAAATAACCTCATAAAGAAGGTGTTATTGGCCCCATTTAAGATATCCTAAAACGAAGGTGCAGAGCAGTAAAGAGTCTGCCCAAAATCTCAGAACAAGAAAGTGGCAACGTGAAGAGCCAGACAGGCTTATTTGACCTTATAAGATATACCCCAGATAATTCTACAAATCTACGTCTACTAGATCATATCCCAAAGACTGCTCCTACTTCAAGGGTAAAGAGGGAACAAATGGCAGTCCCAGGGTTCTAAGACAAGCACTCTCATGGGGACCACTGATCTTGGCACTGCTCCACCTCACTCCCAGATCCCACTACGCTGTGTACACATTAAATTGATTGAGAAAGGTGAAGCCATAAATTCTGATTTTATTGCACATATCTCTCCATAGGATAAAGTCTGAAACATCTTAACACAGCACCCAAAACTCTTCACAACCCCATCTGAACACATAGTGACAAGCTCAACTGCCATTGCGGCCTAAGTGACTGTAACTTCTAGTTCTGCCAAACTAATCCGTTCACTCTTCCCCAAGCAAATGTTGACTTGACCAACCCACTCCAGACTAGCCTCTCCTTTATTAGAAGTTTCCACGAAATCCCCACATGACCTGTTCATTGGGCATCTATTTTAGAATGTCCCTAACTGTACTTTATGTGACAAGAGTGTCTTGTGTCCATAGACTGGTGACAGAAATACAGAATGTCATAGCTAGGAGACAGCTGAGAGATTGTCTGGTCCAAAGCCCTCAGATTATAGAAAAGGAATGTAAACCCAAGGTCACGCAATGGATGGACAAATCATATAACTATGATGTTTATTCAAACTTAATTATTTTATTGTACTATTTAGATAAAGGAGTTATCAATATTAGTTATCAGCTGTACATTAATTATGTCGCTAGTCAAAAACTGGCAATGAAATAAGTTATGGCAGAGCTGGGCTTAGAACCCTATTGCTCTGGCTCCTTCTTGGAACCCAAATCTCTGTTAATCAGATGAGTATATTCCATAGCAGCTGGCCCAGGATGTGTAGACAGCAGGCATTTATTAACTGATTCCTTAATTACAGTGTATTTATCCCAAGAAGTTCCCATCCAATTAAAATGTTATTCATATGCATGACACATGTAAACAAGATTTATCAGGCCAATAATCTTTTAAAGGAAGTATTCATCCTTGATCCCTCCCTTTCCCTTGTACACTATATCCATGTGCTTTTCATTTTATCTCCAAAACCCATCTGCTCACTTCCCACTCTCTTCACTTCCACCATCCCAACCCAGGCCATTATCATTTCTTTCCTGGACTAGCACAAAAAATTCCCATTGGTCTCCCTTCCATTTTCCCTCAGACCTCGTTCAATCATTTCACTGCACAAGCACATCATCCACCCACCCACCAACTTAAAAACATTCCATGGCTTCCCATTTCACTTAGGGTAAGATCTAAACCCATTACCATAATGTGTAACCTGTCTCTACATTCTCTCATCCTTCATTTTCTGCCCACTCACTGCTTGGTTTTCCTTCTGTCCTTCAAGCAGACCGAGCTCTTACTTGCTCCAGAGCCTTTCATACACATGCTGCTCTCCTGCCTGGAAGTGCTTGCCCCTCCACGCCTCTTAGGACTGTCTTTTCAGGCTTCTTGAGTCAGTTCATGTCACGTCCTTGGAGAAGCCCTCCCTTTCAAATCAATTCCCTCATTGCTACACCTCCATCATTCCTTACTTCAATATCTTCTTTCCTACATTCTACTTGCTACAATTTGTATTTATTTAGGGTACTTATTTTATACCTGTGTCTCCTTCACACCAACCCAGACTGAACAAATGAAGACAATATCATGGCTATGTTATTCTCACAATAGTATACCCCTGTCTGCCATCAAGCCTGGCTCAGAAGAGCTACTCAACACATTTCTGTTGAATAAATACATGCCTTCAAATATTCACAAATATTTATAGATAGATAGATGATAGATAGATAGATAGATAGATAGATAGATAGATAGATAGATATGACTTCATCTAAGAGGCTACCATAAATAAGATAATATTTTACCACAAAATGTAATCTACTATATGTATATGAGTTATACTGACTTATTTTGTTCTTTTACAGAGAAATGTGGTTGAAATAGTAAATCTAGATTTCAACAGAGATTTGACTACTCCTCTGATCATATTCTTTTGGAAGAAAATGTCTTATGTATGAGTTATCAGTGTTCCTAAGTTTCTGAAGCTTCCCAGGATATTCTGTCTGATTCAGTGACTAAGGGATGACACTAGGAATTTGACCTTATAAAATATACCCCAGATAATTATTTTGATCAAAGAAGTTTGGAGAGTATTGGGCTATATCAGTTGTTTCCAACCTTGGCTGCCCATTAAAATCACCTGAGGAGCTTTAAAGAGTATTAATGCCTGGATCCCACACCAGAGATTCTGACTTAATTGGCCCAGCACGGGGACTAGACACCAGGATTTCTAAAAGTTGTTCAGTTAACTCTAATATTCAGTGAAAGTTGAAAGCTACTGTGCCTGATGACAGCATGATAAGATAGATTGGTAATGAATTGAACAACCATACCAAAGAGGCACCAATTAACAGATTGATGACAACCTGTGAGCCAGTTCCTTCAAATAGTAAGTACAGGCTTTGATATTGAGGCTTTCCTGATCAGGATTTACCAGTGATTTGGAGCGAGGTAAAGAAGCATGCCTAACAGTCTTTTCTATTGCATAAAACTGTGAAGAATAATAAATAGTTTGGAGACAGAATTAGAATCTAAAATATTCACCAGGCTGGAGCCATAGGACAACAACTGTTCTAAATGAGTAACTGCATAAAGATAGAATGGAAGGGACACTGCTCGGCAGCACAATAATTTGAAAAAGACAAGGATTTATCTAGGAGTGAGCTCCATAGGTATTTACAGGATGATATAGCTATCAAGTGTATTGTTTTCCTTAAAGGCAATATAATATTTGGCATCAAAAATTATTTACCATATATTTATTTTGTATATAATATTTATTTAGCATAAATATATTTAGCACCCACTATATCCTGTAATCGGGAGCATCATAGAGAAAGAAGGACATGATAAATGAGACCACACATTTGCAGAGTGGAGCAAAGTAGCCTGTGGAGAAAGAAATAGGGATAACAGGAGAAACAGACATGACGTTGTCTTACAAATATTTGAAGGATTTTGTGTGGAACACGAATTAGATTTATTTTGAAGGCACCAAAGGTTAGAACTGTGAACAATAGATAGAAGCTGTAAGAAGACAGAGACTTCAGCTCAATGTGAGCAAGAACTTTCCAATAGAAATGTCTAGAGGTAACGTGAGCTGCCTTGGAAAGTGGGGTATTCCTATCACTGAGAGTCTTCCAGGCCTGGAAGGAAGAAGCCTCAGGTGATCGTATCTTTCTACGTAATCCGTCCTTACTGACCCATTTGTTATTACAGTTGCAAAGGCACAGAGTACACGAGAAAAGTTGGCAAATATCTATTAGAGTCTTGAACTTTCTTGTTTGGATAAGGAGGATTTTGCCAAGGCTTGATCTTTATCCTAAGCAGTAAACCTCTCCACTTGTGCTTCCCTTTTTGTCTCATTCATCCATTTTTTCTGGTTCAAGCCCAATAGTCCCCTATTTCTCTTTCCAATCTAGTTTTCGTAGCCCCTGAAAAGAAAAGATTCATAAGGCAGTCTTTGACTTTTTTTTTTTTTAATTAGAGACGGGGCCGTGCTATGTTGCCCAAGGCTTGTCTTGACCTCCTGGTCTCAAGCAATCCTCCCACCTCAGCCTCTCAAAATGCTGGGACTATAAGCATGAGCTACTGTGACTGGCCTTTGATTTATAACAATACCCAGTAATTTGGCAAAGGTAGTTGTAGAATTTACACTTTTTTCAAACTGTTTATTTTAGTTTCCTCCTTTTCCCCAGTTCCAACAAAAAACATTATGAAAATAATGTATAAATCTGTCTTGACATAGTAATCCCATGTTTATTCCTAATTCTGTCTAAATTCTGCTTAAATTTTAGTCTTTCTATCCTCCACTTTTCTTCTTTTCCTCTCCTGTCATGGGGAGATTATTCTGTCAACTCAGAAACAGTTTTCATTTCAAAAAGGACTTCCCTCCTCTTTTACCTGTATTTTTACCACTGTTGCTAGATAGGTATGATCCAGTTTGCAAAATCAAAGAAGACCACATACTATTCATCAAGATCAATATATTAAGGTCATCTGGAAAAACTCATTTCCATACAGTGAGATATTTGCCATGTGCCCTCTTTGTCAAGTACACTCTAACCTTGAAACGTATCAGAAAAGTACAGAGTTCCAGACTTGTTAAGCATTTAAAAACTGTATATCATTTGTTCACTACAGAAAAATACATATAATGGTTGCACATCTGCAACCAGTAAGTTCATTGCTGGTGCCTGGATGGAGTAGAGAGGAACGACTAACCCTGTCCCTGTTCCCACAGAACTCTGGGGGAGAAGGACATGAATCAAATAATTACCCCAATAAATGTGGAATGAAAACATGGTCAGTGCTATAAAGAATAATACATGGAGCTTTTAGAGCAGAAGAAAAATTGAACAAGGTCAGAAGGTCATGCATGACTTGAAGGCAGAAATGGCCCATATAGCTAAAAGTAGACATTTTCAGTATCTCCATAGAACTAAAAGCTGAGATGCACGGTAAAAGTTCAGTCCTTAGAAAAGTCTTCTCCTCCCTCCATTGTCACTCTCTAATGTATTGCCAGTTTTATTTTTCCTATAGCATTTATCTCTTTTTTTATATAGTCACTGTTGACATTTTTATTTTTTGTCCCTTACTAGAATCTAAGCCCCAGAAAGGCCATTTTTTTCTGTCTTCTTCACCACTATCTCCTCAACCACATATAGTAGTTACTCAATAAATATTTTGAGTGTTGTTGAATATTTTAATCTTGCTCATTTGTAAATGGCTTGCCATTGCAAAGAATGAGAAACATACTCAACAAGTATAGAAAAGCCATTTGTGACCATTTAGAACCAAAAGAAGTATTAATATTTTGAAAAGGAGATTTTCATTAACATAAATAGTAATTTTCTGTCACAGTTATTTCCTCAGGCAGCCAACCTGAAGCTAGCATTGGGCAAAAGTGGATAAATGTCATCCCCTGTGAGTGTCTCCAAAAAACTGTGATCATCACCAAGTTCAAAGAGTCTCTTAGCTTCCCTATTGCTATGAGATTATTCCAGCCACTTAAGAGCTCAGCTGGGGCACGGCATCCACCAAAGTTGCCCACAGGATCCATGTAACACAAGCTTGGCCTCCAGTCTCAAAGCCACGTCTCTTCCCAGAAGTCCACCTGCCCAGGCAAGACCTTTCACATATACTACCCTCAGTCCAGCCAAAGGGAGCTCCTCTCGTTCCCTCCTCTGACCAGACCAACCCCACAGAGCATGGAGTCTCTGAGTCCCAGAGTATATGGATACTTGCAGCCCAATCTCTCTCTTCCTATATAACCCTAAGCACTCAAGAGTCTGGAGCTCCCTACCCCAACAACTCCAAGCCTGATTTAAGGCCTGCATGAGGCTCTTCCCAGGGCTCTGTCCTCCCAAGGGCAGATGGAGCTACTCTGCACACCTTCAGGCCTCAGACGCTGCTATTTGTTGCGGAGGGACTAGGACACAATTATATGGGGTGTCCACATGCTTGCAGGAGAGGCTCTTCATGGTAAGGAATGGAGCTGCAGGTGAGAAGAGAAAAGGCCCATTTGTCCCCTGATGCCACTCTCCCTACAATGAATCTACCCACAGGGCCTCTGCCCTTGTCTCTGGGGCCACCCCTAAGACTATCACCCCGTCCCTGCTGATGTAGTAGTCTTTCCTCTTCTTCTCTTCTCATCTCATGGCACATCTGATTTAAGTCTTGGGTTTTCTTAAGGCTATTTCCATACTACCAAATCCATCACCTCTTCTTTATTCCCACGACTACACCCTATCTTTTTAGAAGCTATCCCTAGATAACTTCTAAATGTCTCTATACTCTTCTCCCCAACACCCACCTAACCTCCATCCTATTCTGCCATTGTGAGAAGTTTTCTAAATTGGCTTAAAAGTCTCTGGAGGCTCTCCAGCACTTTCTGAATAGATTTGAAACTCCTTAGCACGGATGGAGGGTCTCCAGCCTATTGCTCCAGTGCCAGCTCCAGTCCATCACAAGGGAGGACCATGTGCTTCCACACCTCTGTTCTCTTGCACCTGCATTCTGCTTGGTCTGCAGCACCCCCTCCAGCCACTTAGCACTCATTCTTTTCCCTGATGTAACTTAAGGGGCACTACTTTTGGAAAGCCTTTTAGAACTTTCTTCTGACTTAGGGAGCCCTCCTCTGTGCTCCCAAAACACTGAAGCACCACTCTGTCATATTTCTCTACTTTAACCTAAAATAATAAATCCCTTAAAAGCAAGGATCAACTCTTTTGTCTCTATTTCCACCACCAGAAATATAGATGACTTTTTTTAAAAAAAATCTTTGTTAAAATCACCGTAAATAGCTGTATGTAAGGCACTCAGACTTGGAAAATCTTCCATAATCATTTTGAAAACTGAAAATCGCTTTCTACTTCTGGTTTGTGAGAGCTGTATTTACTATTCTTAGCTTAACATAAAATAAAGACCTTGAAGGTAAAACTACACAATTTACATCAGTGAAAATACTATTAGTAAACAAACACTGTGAAAAATGCTCATCCATGCTAGTAATCAAGAAATGCAAATTAAAGCAATGTTGAGAAACATTTTGCACATTAGACTAGCCAAAAATATTTAATGACAAAAAGCTAGGGTTGATTAGAGTGAAACTGTTACATCTTTGACTATTTCTGGCATTGCAAATTGTTACAACCTTTTTGGAAAGCAATTAGGCAATATTTATTTAGAATTCATGAAGATATTCATACCTTTTGACCTAGTAATTGAACTCTTGGGATTTAGCCTACTCAATACAAATTTTTTAAATTCTACAAAATGCTACAAAATATTCAATGGTGCGTTATAATAGCAAAACCCTGAAAGTAGTCTAGTTGCCCAAATGTGTCTTAATATACATAAACATAAGCTGGGATAAGATGTTTGCAACCCACATAATAACCAATAAGGAATTCATACCAAAACAAGATTTTAAAAACTTCTACAAGTCAATAAGAAAAAACAAACCAGCAGGAAAATATTTGAGCAGGCATGAAATGAAACATTTTATCTCAAAGATTATAAAATATTAATTGTCAATAGACATTGAAAACAATGCGCCACTTCATTGAGTATTCAGAAAAAATGTAAATTAAAGCCAAAATGAGCTATCATTTACATTCACCTAAATGGCAAAAATAAACAAGTGACAGCCAAATGTTGATTGCCCATGACTTATAACCCAGGAATTTTTGTCTTCAGAATCTGTCTAGCCTAGAGGACCTGGAGTTACACTACAAGATAGGCACAAGAAGGCTGGTAGCAGCAGCTTTTGTGAGAGCAAATTACCAGAAATAGCTCAAATGTCCATCGGCAGCAAAATAAATTATGGTATATTCCACAATGAAATACTACATACCACAAAAAAACAAATAAACCATACTGTACACTGCAACAGAGAGGAATCTAGGTTAAATTGTTGGGTGGATAATCCAAGTAAGATGAAAGTGTATAAAGTACAATTCCATTTGTAGAAATTTCAAAAAAATTCACAATTAGGTTTATTGGTTAATTATTGGCTAACTAATTGGTTAGAGACATGCTAATATGAAAAACTGTAATTAAAGCCATGGGGGAAAAATACAAAATTTAGAATAATTTCCTCTGGGGAGGGTAAGAAAAAGAGATTAGAAGGGGACACAGGAACTCACAGGTAAGGGAGGGTTTCCATTTCTATAATTGGGTGGTTAGCATATGAGAATTAGTTGTATTATTGTTCTTTACATCCCCACATATTTTATACATATCATTTTATATCTTCTCAATATTTAATAAAAATTCTTTATATTAATAAAAAGGAGTAGGTCACAAGATGGCAAATATAGTATGTCCCACCCATATAAAGTAGAGACATATCAGCACAAATGGTCACATGAGATGTAGACAGGGTAAGTAGACAGAATGTTATCAGTGGTCTTGGGCATGGCTACAAGGCAACTTATATTTCATTGGAAAGGTTAAATTTTCAGTATTATTATGTATAATCTTAATGTAGCAAAATAAAATTATAAACTTTCCATTTTGGAAAATAAAAAGAAGTAGATCCATGCGATGGGATTGAATTTGGATATATTTTGCCTGTAGGACTTTTCCTGCATTTCCTTTTTGTCCTTTTCCCTTGATAGCCATCACTTTAATATCATTCACTGTCTCAGAGGTCATTCATTAATTGGAGGACACCAAAGAGAAAAAAAAGAGAGGAAAAACTCTTGGCTTTGAACTTCAAAATAGACTGTGTGCATCCCTAACAGAGGAAAAGGCTTGAAAGCCAAGGCTATTGATTTGCCAGATCATGCATTTGGAATTTACTGAAGTAAGCTGAGCTTAGAATTCACGCAATCCATAATAACTGGTAATGACAGTAGTTGCAGAGCCTGACGATACTTGAAAGAACCCTAATTTCTCTTGTATATCCAAAAGGGGTACAAAACAGGACAGGTAGAGCCTTCTAATTAGGAGTAAGGAAACATAAAGTGAGCTATATGGACATAACTCATGGCCCGGGCAGACTCCAGCATATCAGCAGATGCAGCAATGCAGAGACCAGCAATTAAAGATAAAACGGATGAGTTACACCTCAGCAGATGCCATAGGATGTTGGCCATATGCCCCTTCCCGCTATTGCCTAAACACAGCATAACAACACATCACCCGAAACTAAAATGTTACACTGAGGAGAAGCGAGGGGGTGAATTGACTAAAAACTCACTTCAAAAAGCTGAATCTATCTAGAAGTAACTCCTTAGGTTTCATCATTAGGAAGAATGGACCTGGAATAAAAATAAAGTTTGTGATAAAAGAAATAAAGGCATATTTGCTGCACAGAGCTTGGGAAATGTCATAATCAATACGTCTACATTTTTAATCTCATTAAAAAGACATGTGGGTTTACACAATATTCTGAAAAGAACAGGGGTTTTTTATTCATATATATATATCCTAAAATATTTTACAATAAGCATGTGTTTTGAGACTGGACAAAAATTATAAAGCTAACTCCATTTTAGAAAAATAAAAAAACTATGTAAATTCAATGTTATTACTTTTCCTCCTTCCCAACACCGTGTATTTAGCATCTGAATTATTGTAATGTAGGGTTTTTTATACCTACACATATATTACATTTTTTATGAAAGTAATGCATTAAAAGAATATCCAAAAGATTTAATCAGAAAACAAACTAAGAAAATTCATCATGACCTGTCCTGTCCTAAAAGAAATACGAAAAGGAGTTCTTCAGGCTAAAATCAAAGAATATAATATAGTAACTCAAATCCACAAAAAGAAAAAAAGGTCAACAGTAAAGGTAATTACATAGGTAAATATAAGAGACAGCATAAATGTATTTGTGTTTGTAACTCTTTTCTTCTCTCATATGTTTCAAAAGACAACTGTATAATGCAATAATTATAAAATTTTGTAGGTGGGTTTATAATGTATAAAGATGTAATTTGTGTAACAAGAATCACACAACTAGAAGGTGGGAATGAAGCTATATTGAAACAAAGTTTTGTACTGAAATTAAGTGGATACTAATTAGCAAATAAAATTTTAATTGATGTTAAAATCTCCAATGTAACTACTAACAAAATAACTCAAAAAATACAGTAAAAGAAACAAAAAGGGAATTAAATAGTACATGGGAAATATCAATTTAACACCAAAGAAGGCAGTAAAATAAAAAAAGACATCAGACTTACAGATAACAAATAGCAAGAGGTCAAATGTAAATGCTACCTTACCAGTAATTACATTAAATGTAACTGATTAAACACTTTAATCAAAAGGCAGAGATTAGCAGACTGGATAAAAAAAAGAAAAAAGTATGATCCAAATATATGCTTTCTATAAGATACACATTTTAGTATCAAAGGCACATATAGGTCAACAGAAAAGACATGGAAAATATATATCCTACAAAGAGTAACCAAAAGAGAATTACTAAAGTGGTTATACTAATATTCAACTAAATATGCTTTAAGACAAAAATATTTTCTAAAGACAAAAGGTATTTTATAATAATAAAAAGACCAGCCCATGAGGAAAATATAATAACTATAAACCTATATGTACCTAATAACTGAGCCTCAAAATGTATGAAGCAAACAGTGATGGAATTGAAGAGGAAAATAGGCAATTCAAAGTGAACAGTTGGAAATTTTAATATTCCCACTTTCCATAAAGAATAAAACAAGTAGGCAGAGATCAACAAGGAAATAGAATACTTGAATAATTATCCCTAACAGACATCTTATAAAACACTCTACCTAACAGCAGCAGAATATGCATTCTTCTCAAGCATACATTCTCCAGGATATCTCATATGTTAGGCCATAAAACAATCCCTGATTTTTTTAAAGAATCAAAATCATACAAGGTATGTTCTCTGACACAGTAAAATGAAAATTGAAATCATTAAGATAAGGAATGTTGAAAATTTATAAATGCGTGTAAATTAGATAACAAACTGTTTGTTTGTTTGTTTGTTTGTTTGAGACGGTGTCTCGCTCTGTCGCCCAGGCTGGAGTGCAGTGGTGCAATCTCGTCTCACTGCAAGCTCCGCCTCCCGGGTTCACGCCATTCTCCAGCTTCAGCCTCCCCAGTAGCTGGGACTACAGACGCCCAACACTACACCCTGCTAATTTTTTGTATTTTTAGTAGAGACAGGGTTTCACCGCGTTAGCCAGGATGGTCTCGATCTCTTGATCTTGTGATCCGCCCACCTCGGCCTGCCAAAGTGCTGGGATTACAGGCGTGAGCCACCGCGCCCGGCCAAACTCTTAACCGTTGGATCAAAGGAGAAATCACAAGGCAAATTAGAAAATACTTTGAAATTAATGAAAATAAAAGCACAACACAGTAAAATTATTAGTGCAGTCAAATATGGGCTTAGAGGAAAATTAAAAGCTCTAAAAGTCTATATTTTGAAAAGAAGAAATATGGCAAATCAATAACATAATCTTCTACCTTAAGAAGCTGGAAAAAAAACAAAGCAAACTAAACCCAAAGCAAGCAGAAAGAAGAAAATAACAGAGTGAAAATAATTGAAATAGGGGATGTAAAAGCAATGGAGAAAAATCAGTGAAACCAAAAGTTGAATCTTTTAGAAGATCAATAATACAGACAAATCTTTAGCTAGACTGACTGTATCAGTCCACTAGGGCTTCCATAGCAGAATGCCCTAGTCTGGGTGGCTTAAACAACAGAAATTTATTTTCTCACAGTTCTGGAGGCTATAATTCCAACATCAAGGTGCCAGCAGGGTTAGTTTCTGGTGAGTTCTCTTTCCTTGGCTTACAGAGGACTGCCTTCTTGCTGTGTCCTCAGATGGCCTTTTCTCTATGTGTTCCTAGTGTGTCTTCCTCTTCTTACAAGGACATCAGTCTTAATGGATTAGGATATCACCACTATGATCTCATGTAACCTTAGTCACTTCCTTAAAGGCCCTATCTCCAAATATGATCACATGGAAGTTAGGGATTCAACATATAAATTTTGGAGAAGATAAAATTCAGTCCATAATACTTACCAAGAAAAAAAGAGACTTGAATTACTAATAACTGGAATGAAAGAGGGGACAGCACTATCAATTTTACAGAAATGAAAAAAGGATTGTAAGAGAATACTATAAACAACTGTACAACATATTAGATGCACTTGATGAAATGGACAAATTCCTAGAAAGACACAAACCAACAAAACTGACTTAAGGAGAAATAGAAAATATGAATAGGCCTGTAACAAGTAAAGATATTGAATTAGTAATTTTTAAACTTAACAAGAAGAAATCCCAGGCCCAGATGGCTTCAATGGTAAATTCTACTAAATGTTTAAAAAATTAATGAAAATTCTTCCAAAATTATTCCATAAAATAGAAGAGATGGAACATTTCCCAATGTTATAAAGCCAGTATATTCTGATACCAAAACCAAAGGGACCACAAGAAAAGAAAATTAGAGACCAATATCCCTTCTGAATATATATGCAAAAATCATCAACATACTAAAAAGCCAAATCCAGAAAAGAAGAAAAAGGATCACACATCAAGACACAGTGGGATTTATCCCAGCAATCAAGCTTAGTTTAACATCCAAAAATCAATCAATGTAATGTACCTATGAAGAGAATAAAGAACCAAAAGTACATGATAATCTCAAGAGACATAGGAAAAGCATTTGACAAAAGCCCAACAACTTTTCATGACAAAAAGAGTAAACAAACAATGAATAGAATAGAACTTTCTTAACCTGATAAACCACATCTACAAAAACCTCCACAGATAGCATACTTAAACGTGAAAAACTGAAAGCTCTTCCCTAAAGTTAGGAATAAAACCAAGGTGTCTGCTCTCCCCACTTCTATTTACCATTGTACTGGATATTCTAGCAAGGGTAATTAGGCAAGAATAAGAAATAAAAGATATCCAGATTGGAAAGAAAGATGTAAAACTACCCCTATTTGTACATGATATAATCTTATATGTAAAAAATTCTAATAATACACAGACACACACAAATACTGTTATAACTAATGAACAAGTTCTGCAAGGTTGAAGCATGCAAGGTAAATACACAAAAATCAATTCTATTTCTATACACTAGTGATGAGCAATACAAAAATGAAATTAAGAAAGCAATACATTTACAATAGCTTCAAGTGGAACGAAACAGTTATAAATTTAATAAAAGAACTGCAAGACTTGCAAGCTGAAACCTACAAAACATTGTTGAAAAATTTAAATAAAAGCTAAAAAAAGGACAAGATGCTTCATGTTCATGGATTGCAAGACTCAACATTGTTAAGAAAGCAATACTACCCAAAGTGGTCTATAGATTCAATGCAATACCTATCAAAATCCAAGCCGCTTTTTTAAAAATAAAAATTGACACAGTAATCCGAAAATTTGTATAGAAACTCAAGCAACACAGAGGAACCAAATGAATTTTGAAAAAGAACAAAGCTGGAGGACTCACATGTCTGGATTTCAAAACTTACTACAAAGCTACAGAAATCAAGACAAGGTTGTACTAGGCAAATTGAAAATACGGACAAAAAACCTTACACTTATAGACAATTAATTTCAGCAAAGGGCTCAACACAATTCATGAGGTAAAGAATAATCTTTTTAACCAATCATACTGGAACAACTATATTTCCACATGCAAATGGATGAAGTTGAGCTCTTACTTCACACCATACATAGAAATTAACTGAAAATCAGTCATAGACCTAAATGTAAAGGCTAAAACTATAAAATTCTCAGGAGAAAACACAGAAGTAAATTTTTGTGCCCTTGTATTAGGAAATGGGTTTCTTAGATATGACACTAAAAACTCAGATGACAAAAGAAAAATAGACAAATTGGGCTTCATCAAGATTTTAAAATTTTGTGCTTCAAAGGATATCAAGAAAGCTAAAAGGCAGCACAAAGAATGGGAGAAAATAGGTCAGTGGCTGGCAAAATGGCTGAATAGGAACAGCTCTGGTCTGCAACTACCACCAAGATCAACACAGAAGGCAGGTGATTTCTGCATTTCCAACTAAGGTGCCCAGCTCATCTCATTAGGACTGGTTAGACAGTGGGTGCAGCCCATAGAGGGCGAGCCAAAGCAGGGTGGGGCGTTACCTCACCTGGGAAGTGCAAGGGGTTGGGGAACTCCCTCCCCTAGCCAAGGGAAGCCCTGAGGGACTGTGCCATGATGGTGCATTCTGGCCCAGATACTAGGCTTTGCCCATGCGCTTCACAACCCACAGACCAGGAGATTCCCTCAGGTGACAACACCACCAGGGCTCAGGGTTTCAAGCACAAACCCAGGCAGCCATTTGGGCAGACATCGAGCTAGTTTCAGGAGTTTGTTTTTTCTTTTTTTCATACCCCAGTGGCACCTGGAATGCCAGCGAGACAGAATCATTCACTCCCCTAGAAAGGGGGCTGAAGCCAGAGAGCCGAGTGGTCTAGCTCAGTGAATCCCACCCCCATAGACCCAGCAAGCTAAGATCCACTGGCTTGAAATTCTCGCTGCCAGCACAGCAGTCTGAAGTCAACCTGGGATGCTCGAGCTTGTTGCCGGAGGGGCTTGAGTAGGCAGCTTTCCCCTCACTGTGTAAACAAAGCCACTAGGAAGTTCAGACTGGGCGGGGCCCACCACAGCTGGGCAAAGCCTCTGTAGCCAGACTGCCTCTCTAGATTCCTCCTCTCTGGATAGGGCATCTCTGAAAGAAAGGTAGCAGCCCCAGTCAGGGACTTATAGATATAATTCCCATCTCCCTGGGACAGAGCACCTGGGGGAAGGAGTCGCTGTGGGCGCAGCTTCAGCAGACTTAAACATTCCTGCCTGCCGTCTCTGAAGAGAAGAAATCTCCCACCACAATACTCGAGCTCTGCTAAGGGACAGACTGCCTCCTCAAGTGGGCACCCCCACCGCCCTGTGCCTCCTGACTGGGAGACATTTCCCAGCAGGGGTCGACAGACACCTCATACAGGAGAGTTCTGGCTGGCGTCTGGTGGCTGCCCCTCTGGGACAAAGCTTCCAGAGGATGGAACAGCCAGCAATCTTTGCTGTTCTGCATCCTCTGTTGGTGATACTCAGGAAAACAGGGTCTGGAGTGGACCTCCAGCAAACTCCAGCAGATCTGCAGCAGAGGGGCCTGACTCTTAGAAGGAAAACTAACAAACAGAAAGGAATAGTATCAACATCAACAAAAAGGACATCCACACAAAAACCCCACCTGAAGGTCACCAGTGTCAAAGACCAAAGTTGGATAAATCCACGAAGATGAGGAAAAACCAGCTCAAAAAGGCTGAAAATTCCAAAAAACAGAATACCTCTTCTCCTTCAAAGGATCACAACTCTTCTCCCACAAGGGAACAAAACTGGATGGAGAAAGAGTTTGACAAATTGACAGAAGTAGACTTCAGAAGGTGGGTAATAACAAACTCCTCCAAGCTAAAGGGGCATATTCTAACCTAATGCAAGGAAGCTAAGAACCTTGAAAAAAGGTAAACGAATTGCTAACTGGAATAACCAGTTTAGAGAAGAACATTAATGACCTGTTGGAGCTGAAAAACACAGCATGAGAACTTCATGAAGCCTACACAAGTATCAGCAGCTGAACTGATCAAGTGGAAGAAAGGATATCTATCAGAGAGACTGAAGATCAACTTAATGAAATAAAGCATGAAGACAAGATTAGAGAAAAAAGAATGAAAAGGAATGAACAACGCCTCCAAGAAATATGGGACTATGTGAAAAGACCAAAACTGAGTTTGATTGGTGTACCTGAAAGTGATGGGGAGAATGGAACCAAGTTAGAAAACACTCTTCAGGATATTATCCAGGAGAATTTTCCCCAACCTAGCAATATAGGCCAACATTCAAATTAGAGAAATACAGAGGACACAAAAAAGATACTCCTTGAGAAGAGCAACCCCAAGACATGTGATTGTCAGATTCACCAAGGTTGAAATGCAGGAAATAATGTTAAGGCAGCCAGAGAGAAAGGTCGAGTTGTCCACAAAGGGAAGTCCATCAGACTAACAGCAGATCTCTCTACAGAAACCCAGCAAGCCAGAAGCGAGTGGGGGCCAATATTCAACATTCTTAAAGAAAAGAATTTTCAGCCCAGAATTTCATATCCAGCCAAACTAAGCTTCATAAGCGAAAGAGAAATAAATCCTTTATAGACAAGCATATGCTGAGAGATTTTGTCACCACTAGGCCTGCCTTGCCTTGTTTAGTTGCTCTTGAAGGAAGCACTAAATATGGAAAGGAAAACTGGTACCAGCTACTGCAAAAACATACAAAATTGTAAAGACCATCAACACTATGAAGAAACTGCATCAACTAATGAGCAGAATAAATAGCTAGCATCATAATGACATGATCAAATTCACACATAACAATGTTAGCCTTAAATGTAAATGGGCTAAATGCCCCCAATTAAAAGACACAGACTGGCAAATTAGATAAAGAGTCGAGACCCATCGATATGCTGTATTCAGGACACCCATCTCACGTGCAAAGACACGCATAGGCTCAAAATAAAGGGATGGAGGAAAATTTACCAAGCAAATGGAAAGCAAAAAAAAAAGCAGGGGTTGCAATCCTACTATCTGATAAAACAGACTTTAACCCAGCAAAGATCAGAAGAGACAAAGAAGGGCATTACATAATGGTAAAGGTATCAATACAACAAGAAGAGCTAACTGTCCTAAATAAATATACACCCAATACAGGAGCACCCAGATTCCTAAAGCAAGTTCTTAGAAGCCTACAAAGATACTTAGACTCCCACGCAACCATAGTGGAGACTTTAACACCCCACTGTCAATAATAGACAGATCCATGAGACAGAAAATTAACAAGGATATTCAGGACTTGAACTCAGCTCTGGACCAAGTGGACCTAATAGACATCTACAAAACTCTTCACCCCAAATCAACATTATATACATTCTTCTCAGCACCACATCACACTTATTCTAAAATTGACCACACAATTGGAAGTAAAACACTCCTCAGCAAATGCAAAAGAATGGAAATCATAATGAACAGTCCCTCAGACCACAGTGCAATCAAATTAGAACTCAGAATTAAGAAACTCACTCAAAACCGCACAACTATATGGAAGCTTAACAACCTGCTCCTGAATGACTACTGGGTAAATAACAAAATTAGGGCAGAAATAAATAAGTTATTTGAAATCAATGAGAACAAAGACACAATGTACCAGAATCTCTGGGACATAACTAAAGCAGAGTTTAGAGGGAAATTTATAGCACTAAATGCCCACAGGAGAAAGCAGAAAAGATCTAAAATCGACACCCTAACATCACAATGAAAAGAACTAGAGAAGCAAGAGCAAACAAATTCAAAACCTAGCAGAAGACGAGAAATAACTAAGATAGAGATAGAGAAACGAAAAACGTTTCAAAAAATCAATGAATCCAGGAGCTAGTTTTTTGAAAAGAATAACAAAATAGACCGCTAGCCAGACTAATGAAGAAAAGAGAGAAGAATCAAATAGACACAATAAAAAATGATAAAGGGGTATCACCACTGATCCCACAGAAATACAAACTACTGATGGTACTATAAACACCTCTGATGGTACTAAGAACAAGTGTATGCAAATAAACTGGAAAATCTAGAAGAAATGGATGAATTCCTGGACACATACACCCGCCCAAAGCTGAACCAGGAAGAAGTCAAATCCCTGAATAGACCAATAACAAGTTCTGAAATTGAGGCAGTAATTAATAGCCTACCAACCAAAAAAAGCCCAGGACCAGATGGATTCACAGCTGAATTCTACCAAAGGTACAAAGAGGAGTTGATACCATTCCTTCTGAAACTATTCCAAACAATAGAAAAAGTGAGACTCCTCCCTAACTCATTTTATGAGGCCAGCATCATCCTGATACCAAAACCTGGCAGAGACACAACAAAAAAAAATTTCAGGCTGATATCCCTGATGAACATTAATGTGAAAATCCTCAACAAAATACTGGCAAACTGAATCCAGCAGCGCATCAAAAAGCTTATCCACCACGATCAAGTCAGCTTCATCCCTGGCATGCAAGGCTGGTTCAACATATGTAAATCAATAAACATAATAAACATAATCCATCACATAAACAGAACCAATAACAAAAAGCACATGGTTATCTCAATAGATAAAGAAAAGACCTTGATAAAATTCAACACCACTTCTTGCTAAAAACTCTCAATAAACTAGGTACTGATGGAACATATCTCAAAATAATAAGAGCTATTTATGACAAACCACAGCCAAAATCATACCGAATGGGCAAAAGCTAGAAGCATTCCCTTTGAAAACTGGCACAAGGCAAGGATGCCGTCTCTAACCACTCCTATTCAACATAGTATTGGAAGTTCCAGCCAAGGCAATCAGGCAAGAGAAAAAAATAAAGGGTATTCAAATAGGAAAAGAGGAAGTCAAATTGTCTCTGTTTGCAGATGACATGATTGTATATTTAGAAAACACCAACATCTCAGCACAAAATCTCCTTAAGCTGATAAGCAACTTCAGCAAAGTCTCAGGATACAAAATCAATGTGCAAAAATCACAAGCATTCCTATACACCAATAATAGACAAACAGAAAGCCAAATCATGAGTGGACTCCCATTCACAATTGCTACAAAGAGAATAAAATGCCTAGGAATACAACTTACAAGGAATGTGAAGGACCTCTTCAAGGAGAACTACAAACCACTGCTCAAGGAAATAAGAGAGGACACAAACAAATGGAAAAACATTCCATGCTCATGGTTAGGAAGAATCAATATCATGAAAATGGCCATACTGCCCAAAGTAATTTATAGATTCAGTGCTATCCCCAGCAAGCTACCATTGACTTTCTTCACAGAATTAGAAAAAACTGCTTTGAATTTCATATGGAACCAAAAAAGAGCCCGTATAGCCAAGACAATCCTAAGCAAAAAGAACAAAGCTGGAGGCATCATGTGACCTGACTTTGAACTATACTACAAGGCTACAGTAACCAAAACAGCATGGTGCTGGTACCAAAACAGATATATAGACCAATGGAACAGAACAGAGGCCTTAGAAATAACACCACACATCTACAACCATCTGATCTTTGACAAACCTGACAAAAACAAGAAATGGGGCAAGGATTCCCAATTTAATAAATGGTGTTGGGAAAACTGGCTAGTCATATGCTGAAAACTGAAACTGGACCCCTTCCTTACATCTTATACAAAAATTAACTCAAGATGGATTAAAG
The DNA here is from genome assembly GCF_000001405.40 of Homo sapiens. Lineage (NCBI taxonomy): Eukaryota > Metazoa > Chordata > Mammalia > Primates > Hominidae > Homo > Homo sapiens. The sequence continues at coordinate 90,734,886 of NC_000006.12, read as the reverse complement.
ACTTAAACATAAGACCTAAAACCATAAAAGCTCTAGAAGAAAACCTAGGCAATACCATTCAGGACATAGGCATGGGCAAGAACTTCATGACTAAAACACCAAACACAATGACATCAAAAGCCAAAATTGACAAAAGGGATCTAATTAAACTGAAGAGCTTCTGCATGGCAAAAGAAACTATCATCAGAGTGAACAGGCAACCTAAAGAATGGGAGAAAATTTTTGCAATCTATCCATCTGACAAAGGGCTAATATCCAGAATCTACAAGGAACTTAAACAAATTTACATGAAAAAAACAGCCCCATTAAAAAGTGAGCAAAGGACATGAACAGACACTTCTCAAAAGAAGACATTTATGCAGCCAACAACATATGAAAAAAAGCTCATCATCACTGGGCATTAGAGAAATACAAATCAAAACCACAATGAGATACCATCTCATGTTAGTTAGAATGGAGATCATTAAAAGTCAGGAAACAACAGATGCTGGAGGGGACGTGGAGAAACAGGAATGGTTTTACACTATTGGTGGGTGTGTAAATTAGTTCAACCATTGTGGAAGACATTGTGGTGATTCCTCAAGGATCTAGAACCACAAATACCATTTGACCCAGCAATCCCATTCCTGGTTATATACCCAAAGGATTATAAATCACACTACTATAAAGACACATGCACATATATGTTTATTACAGCACTGTTCACAATAGCAAAGACTTCGAACCAACCCAAATGACCATCAATGATAGACTGGATAAAGAAAATATGGCACATTTACACCATGGAATACTATGCAGCCATAAAAAAGAATGAGTTCATGTCCTTTTCAGGGACATGAATGAAACTGGAAACCATCATTCTCAGAAACTAACACAGGAACAGAAAACCAAAGTCTGCATGTTCTCACTCATAAGTGGGAGTTGAACAGTGAGAACACATGGACACAGGGAGGGGAACATCATACACTGGGGCCTGTCAAGGGGTCGGGGGCTAGGGGAGGGATAGCATTAGGAGAAACACCTAACGTAGATGATGGGTTGATGGGTGCAACAAACCACCATGGCACGTGTATACCTATGTAACAAACCTGCACATTCTGCACATGTATCCCAGAAGTTAAAGTATAATAATTAAAAAAAAAAGAATGGGAGAAAATATTTTGAAATTATATCCAAGAATTATAAACAACTATTCTAAGTCAACAAACAAAAAATAGCAAACATGGAGGAGTAAGTTCTAGTGTTCTATATCACTGCAGAATGACTATAGTTAACAATAATGTACCACATCGTTTCACATAGCTAGAAAGAAGATATTGAAAGTTCCCAACACAAGGAAATGATAAATGTTTGAGAAGATGGATATGCTAATTACCTTGACCAGATCACTGTACATTATATGTATCGAAACATCACTATGTACCCTAATATGTGCAATTATTATTTGTCTATTTTTTTAAAAAGCAGTGATATATCCCCCCAAAAAAGGCAAATAACCCAATGAAAAATGGGCAAATAATTTGAGTGGATGTTTTTCTGAAGATGTAGGGTTGGCATATGAAAATACCCTCAGCGGGGAACATCACACACTCGGGCCTGTCGGTGGGTGGGGGTCTAGGGGAGGGATAGCATTAGGAGAAATATTTAATGTAGATGACAGGTTGATGGGTGCAGCAAACCACCATGGCATGTGTATACCTATGTAACAAACCTGCATGTTCTGCACATGTACTCCAGAACTTAAAGTATAATAATAATAATAAAAGAAAATACCCTCAAAATACCCTCAGCATCATTCGTCGTTAAGGAAATGCAAATCAAAACAATAATGTGATACCACTTCACACCCATACCCACTAGGATGGGCTAAAATGACACCAACAGATAATAACAAATGTCAGTGAGGGTATGGAGAAACTGGAAACTTCATTCATTGCAGCAAGATTGCAAAATTGTGCAGTTGCTCTGGAAAACAGTTTGGCAGTTTCTCAAAATATTAAACATAGAATTATACAATCCAGCAATTCTACTTCTAAGTATATACCCAAAAGAAATAAAAGCATATGCTCACACAAAAACTTGTACATGAATATTCACATCAGTGGTATTATTATTATTATCGAGACAGAGTCTTGCTCTGTCGCCCAGGCTGGAGTGCAGCAGTGCAATCTCGGCTCACTGCAACCTCTGCCTCCTAGGTTCAAGCAATTCTCCTGCCTCAGCCTCCTGAGTAGCTGGGATTACAGGCACCCACCATCACACCTGGCTAATTTTTGTATTTTTAGTAGAGACAGGGTTTCACCATGTTGGCTAGGTTGGTCTTGAACTCCTGACTTCAGGTGATCCATCCACCTTGGCCTCCCAAAGTGCTGGGATTACAGGCGTGAGCCACTGCACCTGGCGTAAGAGCCAAAAAGACACAACCCAAATGTTCATCAACTGTTCAATGGAAAAACAAAATGTGGTATTACCACACAGTAGAATATTATTTGGCCATAATAGAAGGAAGTCCTGATACATACTATAACTTGAGTGAGACTCGAAAACATGTTAAGTGAAAGATGTCACTGAGAAAAGATCACATATTACATTATTCCATTGATATAAAATATCTAGAATAGGCAAATCCATGGAAACAGAAAGTAGATGATGGTTGGCAGGGGCTGACATGAGGGCAGGTGAGGAATGAAAAGTAACTGCTAATGGGGATAGGATTCCTTTTAGTACGAGGAAAATGTTTCAAAATTTAGGCAGTGGTAATAGGTGCACAACTCTGTGAATACACTAAAATTCACTGAATTGTATACTTTAAAATGGTGCATTTTATGGTGTGTAAATTATACCTGAATAAAGGTGGGGGGTTTTGGAAAAAATAATATTAAGAGCAACATTATATTGATCATGCCCCAAACTGGAAACAACCCAAATGTCCACCAAAGGTAGAAAAGATAAATGGGATATTATACTACAATGGGAAAAAGCAAACTGCTCCACTTGCAACAATGTGAATGACTCTCGTAAAAGATAAAATGAGCAGAAGCCTGTCATGAAGAGCACGTAGTGTGGTGTTGGAGATTATAATAGAGACTGCAGTGGCGCATCAGAGGGACTTCGAGGGAACTGGTCATGTTTTGTTTATTCATCTGGATGCTGGGTGCTGATAACGTGAACGTGTAAACTTTGAAAAAAAAACTCTTCAAACTGTATATTTGTGATTCATGCACTTTCATATATGACTATTATATTTCAGTAACAAGCTTGTGTAAAAAAAACTGTATTTCTCTTCTGTACTATTTTCCAACGTAACCAACCAGAAAATATAACAAAAAGGAATTAGATACCATTATAATTATTTAATTATGTGTGATCATTTGATATTCTCTAACTCAGTGGTTCTCAACTGGGGACAATTTTACTATCCAGAGGACATTTGGCAACATCTGGAGACATTTCTGATTGTCAAAGTTGAGGATGTGCTACTGGCATCTAGTGGGTAGAGGCTAGAAATCCTGCTAAATATCCTAAAATGCTCAGGAAATCTCCAAAACAAAGAATTATCTAGCCCAAAATATCAACAGTGTCAACAGCGTGATCTAGTTCTTCCAACAACTGTAAATCCCCCGAGGACAGCAATCATCTGTTTGGTTTATATCTTTATACCTAGAACCCATCAAAGTGCCTGGAACACAATAAGCTCCAATGAAGTCGTTGAATTAATGAATGAATCCGTTTCTGTCTCTCCCTTTGTTTTTCCCTTCGTCCCTCCCCCTCCCTCACATACACATGCTCATGGAAAGATGCACACCTTTTGTCTTGCATCTTACAGTTTTCTAACTCTGTCAGGCCTAAATGCACTGCATGCTTTAGAAGAATTTGCCTTTATAAAACCAAGGCATACAGGCAGATCCCAAGAGGTGGCCCAGGAAAAATGAGGCATGAAGCAGCCCACTCAGACTTCCATGTAGTAAGATTAAGCAAACTGGTAGAGGGAGACTTTGAGGATCAAACACTTCAAAACTGTCACCAAGAAAAAAAATCAAATAGGAATTTGGAGTTAAATCCTGAGATGATATTTTAAAATATGATTTTTCCCAGAGAGTTCTCTGTCCTTTATATCATATCCTTCAAAAATTTAGAACTGATTATAGCTGCAGTAGGTGGGCAGCTTCCTAAAGGATCTAGGATCATAGCCATTTCTCTCTGACTGATGGTCTGCACCTCTCATTTTGAGAAAAGCTGTCTGAAAATGAAACATGTCTGGGTTTAATTTTTAAACTTTTTCTGAAGTCCTGAATGGAGGACCTCTACTGTCTACTTTCAAATCTAACCAGATAGTATTTAGAAGACACGGGCAGCCAGCAAAGAAGCTTAATAAACACCTCTCAAATTATTTGTGTGAATTCGGACAAGCCAGTACTTGCAGGCTTTAGTTTTCTCATCTGTGAAGTATGTGAATTAGACTGAAAAACCTCAATGCCTTTTCACCTTAAATTTGATGATTCAATGATTGAAAAAGGCAGAAATTGTAAGCTCTAATGAGGTGACATTTTGAGCTTTGCCACATCACAGGGTTTTTCTAGATAGTTTCCCTATTAAAGCACAAAGCAACAGCTTCACTTGATACCACCAACAGGTGTGTAATTAAGCCTGATCTTTCTCCAGCATAGTTCATTTTCCACTGATGGGTCTACAATTAAAACAACTCCCTCCCCAGAGAAGGATACATCAGTGTTATACTTTTCATCTTTAATTACACTGGTTGAAGATGAGTAAATGCACCCGAGATCCCAACTGGGAGGGAGCACATTCATTAGGTGGTTGGTAATGTGCCATCCAGTCTGCATTTCAGGTTACTGTCTGCACAGCAAAGATGGCCTTCAACAAATCTGCTCAAATATCTTGATGATTAAGTCCATCCGCTACTGCCTACCTTTGCACTAGAAATGTAATTAAGGAATGTTAAAGATCTCAACCTCTCAGAAAGATAAGTACAGTGTCAAAGCCAAAGGTAATTTACTACTTCAATGCTTTTAGTAGAAGGGCCAAAATAGCCTGTTAATACTTTATAGAAGAAAAGGGAGAGTTTCCAAATTTTTATATTACCATCTCCTTCCCAGTAGATCTCTATTACAGTGTGCACTCGCTCGCTCTCTCGCTCTCTCTCTCTCCCCCTCTCCTCATAGCACTAACACAATCAAACTTCATCTATTCATAATTATTTGTTCATTTGTATATTGTCTGGCTTCTTTCTTCATTGGAATTTCAGCTTTTCATGTAGGGAGTGAAAGGGCATCTGTTTCATTCAAAACCGTGTGACAACTAGCAGCACAGTACCTGACCTTTGGCACCCACTAAACATTTGGGGGTTTGAGGTAAGCAATGTTGAGCCAGTTTGCCAGACTTGGCATTTCACTGGCATACTTAGTAGGGTTTTCATCATTTGATTTTCACTCAATTCAATGACTTAATATTCAATTTCCATAGATCTAGTTAGGCCAAAGTTTTTACGTCTGGAACCCAATCTGGGAGTGTTGTCCTTTAGCAACAGGTCTAGGTGCTCAGCTCATCCTCTCTGGGCCCAATTCATCTTGGCTTCTGCATGGGAGCATTAGTCACCAGGGTCTAATTCGCCTGCTCCCTAGGCTGCCTCCCAGCTACTGTGGGGGAAATTGGCCTGTTTTTCAGGCAGAGAAGCATAACAGAACTTGCCTGAAGGAGCTTGTGAAAACATACTTTCCCCAGGCCCCAGTCTGACCTCCTATTATGTTTCCCACCTCCTGTCTGAACACACCATCCTGACTTTGTGTAAATATCCTGAACTCAAAGCAGAGAATTAGGATTTTCAAAACCTGTAAAACCAGACCCCTAAATGGTCTTGGATTCTGGGCTGCATGCAGAAAATATCTCTCTTGGCAAAAACACATTTTCTTCTGTCTCTGCCTTCAGACAGGACTGCATCTACCTGAACTTGCCTTTTTTTCGGTAGGACGTTACTGAGGCTTCAAAATATAGTCCATAAGATCCAGTATTTCGTCAGTTTGCTACCAAGCTCCTTAATTAATGTCCCAGCCTCGATAAGCACATGGCCCAAGCAACAAAATACCAAAAGTGGCACTTTAATCATCTGCTTCACTATCGCATAACACAGCTTTCCATTTCACAACCCAAGATAATATTTACAAGTGTGAATTTATTGAAGTGTGATGGAAGGGTCTTCACTTTCTTCCACTCAACTCTAAATCAGCCTGCTTATTTTACATTATGAAATCATTTTTTGTAACCCCAAATTCTAAAACTTTGTATCAGTTAGAAGTTTTTCTGATGCAAGTGAGAGAAAATATAGCTTAAGCAACATCAAGCAAACAAAAATGTTTTAATGGCTCACATAACTAAAAGGTTCAGACTTGACTAGCTTGAAGACACAATGGATTTAGATGTATCAAAGTGGTGGCCAACACTCCAGGATTACATCCTCCTAAAGTCAAATCTAGTGGAAAAGAACCCACATTTTGGCCGTTCAATCACAAGGACTGGATTTAGGATTAATCCAAGCCAATTGGTTTGATTTTGGTCATATGCCCATCCCTAAATCAACAGCTTAGGTACAGAAATGGCCAGACTATGTCCTATGTTCAGTAGTGCCAGGGGCATAGTCAACTCCATCTGAAGCAAGTGGGTAGAGAGTGTGAGAGGAAGTTGTTTCCCCAAGGAATATTGAAATGCTGTTGCCAGAATGACAGTACAGCAACTAAATCCTGGAAGGTCAAAATCACAGATATCCCTGACTGCTGGGTTCTCAGCTGGGGGTTATTTTGCTCCTCAGGAGACCCTTACCAACATCTGAAGACTTTTCTATTCTCACCATTGGGGGAGATGCTATTGGCATCTAACGGGTAAAAGCTAGGATACTGCTAAACATTCTACAATTACAGGCCAGCCCCCTACAAAAAGAATTACCTAACCAAAAATGTCAATAGTGCCAAGATTGACAAACCCTGCCCTACAATAACTGAGATGAAATATTTCTACGTGGGTGCACCAGAGGAAATGGAAGTATGTGCTGGAGAAGGCAGAGAATATCAACATACACAGAAGACTCACTACTCAGGTATATTAGTCTCACACTGCTATAAAAATACTACCTAAGGCAGGATAATTTATAAACAAAGGAGATTTCATTGACTCACAGTTACATAGGGCTGGGAAGCCTCACGAAACTTAACAATCATGGCGGAAGGGGAAGCAGGCGGCTTCTTCACAAGGTGTCAGGAGAGAGAGTGAGTGTGTGAAGAAGGAGCTGTCAAACACTTAAAAAAACAATCAGATCTCTTGAGAACTCACTCAGGATCACAAGAACAGCATGGAGGAAACCGTCCCCATGATCCAATAACCTCCCACCATGTCCCTCCCTTGACATGTGGGGATTATGGGGATTACAATTCAAGATGAGATTTGGGTGAGGACACAGCCAAACCATGCCACCAGGCAACTTATGGGATGAAGTGGGGAAAGGGTAAGTTTTCCCAAACATCTGACAAATAATGCCTAAGACCTATGTGCATACATTGTTCAGCCATATCTGAACTACTCTTCCAAGAAGATGGCTACTACTATATATTAGTTTTTCATCCCACCAAAATTGTAGTTTCTATACAGTAATCATTAGGCTAAAACTAATTGTTAAATATAATTAATGACCATCTTTTAACTCAATGGTCATATTTTAGTTCTTATTCTCATTGACTTCTCTGCAACATTTGAAATTTTTTACTACTTACCCATTTCTCATGCAAAATTCTCTCTTGGTTACTATGGCTCCATGTTTCATATTATACTCCATCTGCCCTCCTCAGCTATCTCATTGACTTTCTCTTTTCTTTAAATAAAACTTACTGTGTATATTTAAGGTACACAACATGATGCTAAGGGATACATATAGATAGTAAAAAAGGTTACCGTAGTGAAGCAAATTAACAGAGCCATCATTTCACACAGATACCCACTTTTCTTTGTTTTTGTGGCAAAAGCAGCTCTGTAGTTGTCAGATTAAACAGTGTGTCAGCACCTACACCCAAAGTCAGCTCCCTAATTTCTGTCCCACTCTAGTAGAGAGGTCTCATTCTAGGCCTAGCACCCTCTATCCTGGACTAACCCACCCAGTTTTAAGTAACTGACCAAGATCCACTTCCTTCCCAAAACATCATGCTCTCTGATGTCACAAATATTGCCCCTGCTTCAAGCCGAAGCTGAAACCACACTCTCCTCCCGAATTACCCTCAAGGAAGCATAGCCTGACAATGAATCTTCAGTCTGAACTAATTCCTACTCTTTTTATACTGCGATAATATATGGCCTATACAATTTATTTGACAATTAATCATACACTGCATTTTGACGTCTCTTCTACTACTTCCAATGGCTATTTGAATCTGAGTTTATTTTAAGCTCCCACACATCTCGACTCATCTATTTCAACAGTACAGGAGGCAGTCTTTTCACAGAGGTTAACAGTATGGTTTCTGGAGCCAGATGGCCAGATTTAGTACTGCCTCTTCCTCTAGCTATGTAATCTCTAATTGCAGTTTTTCATATCTAAGGTGGTTAAAATAATAGTCCTTCCCCCATAAAGATTAAGTTATGCACATGAAGCGCTTTGGACAATATAGTTGTGCTTATTTTATAATCAGAAAGTGCATGTTACTTTTTAAATATTATGAAAGGAGATGATTTTTACCTCAGATAATTACTGTCTGTAGTGCCTGGTATATCCTTAAGGCCTCAGCTCCAACAGAGAGGGTGCATAGGTTAACAGCTGCAATGGAGACAGGCAAGCAAGTAGGATCCAGTGGCTAAGCAGCCACAGCATTTATAAGAATGCTATCACTACACCCTCTGCTTTGGGCCCAAGTTGTTTGCTCTTTGCTCTATTTGTCATTGTCAGCTGATCACAGAAGGCCTTGGAAAACCAAGTTTTGATCGAGGCGCAGGATCACAGGCTTCCAATCACGGAGCCATGGATTTTCAAATCTTGCCCTCAATTGAGTTACATATGGAAGTGCAAGGACTGCTTTATGGTGTTTAGGTTTTTAAAGTTGTCTCTGAGCTGCCAAAAGCAATTCACACGGGAAAGTAGTAAAACATCAAAAAGTAAAATAGCTTCATTTTTAAATTAATTTTATTACTTAAAAAAGTTTACTGCATACTCTTCTAATGTCCTTCAACATATTCATTTGTTATGGAGAGACATAAGGTTAGATCCAACGTGTATATACAACATGTTTGCAATCATTGAAATTTCTACAGTGTTGTTAACAATTTTGGTTGCTTGCCACCAAATCAACAATAGTGATTCAAATATCCCTTCCCCTCTCCTCATATTTTGAATAGCCAGGATTGGCTCAAAGGGTTAACTAAGCATGAGAGCAAATGTGCGTTTTCATTTGGATTTTGTGTGTGATGGATGTTGTGATGGCAAGACCCCTGAGAACCTTCTAGATGGTGATTCAGGAGTTCCCAATTAATGCAGTCATGGAACCCATCCAGCCTTCTCCCTTTTCTTCCCCAGTATGTCTTGCAGGAGTAGTGTTCTTTAGGACACCAGTCCAGAAAATGCAAAGTCAAAAACCCTTTCCAGGACACATTTATGTCTCCAAAACTAACCCTGGAAATATCAGCCTGCTTGATAGAAAAAGACTTCTGATAATTTGATCTCAAATCCTTACTCTCCAAGTTTTCAAGGAAGAAATGTATTAACTTGAAGAATATTTTGTTTTACTGAATTGAGGATTTTTGTTTGTTTATTTTCCAGGCATCAGAAGCTCTGTCTACATGTTTCCCAAGCAAACATTCAATGATTTTTATGAAATTCCATTAGGATGAGGAATTTTCAAAAACTTTCCACTCCAAAACAAGAGAGAGATATGATGTGACATGCTCGGATCGATTATTAGAACGCAATTTCTAAAAGGCAGAAGAATACCATCACCACCACCATCACCTGCCAGGATGAGGACAGGCATTTAGAAAGTCTGCTGCATTGGAGTAAGTTTAAAAAAACCTCAAGAGATTCTGATATAGTTTCCAATTACCAGGTAAGACTAGGTGAGAATGGTCCTTCTCTCTGCTCCAGTTAACAAACCCTAATGGCTACTGACTCATTTCCCCATCTTCAACAAGTCAACGACTGGAGAGCTTCAGCTCTGAAAGAATTTGTGTACACAAGTAGAAAGCTGACAAATATGAAGTATATCTTTCCTGGGACAAAATGAATCTATTTTCAACTAAATAGATAATGACCAATAGATAATTTTTTCTTTTAATTATAGAGTTGTGTCTGTATAAAATTTGTGGTGATTAGAATTCCAAAAACATGGAAAACCTAAAATGACTACATTGTAAGACAGCAGGAGAAATAACCACTCACCTTTTTTCCCAAGGTGAGAAACAATTTATTTAAGGGAGTAAAATTGTATGCTGATTTTGTTCATTTTTATCATCAATGTAATACACATGGTAGAAAGAAGTCATTTTTTTAATAAGTGGGCTAATAAACTTTTTGCAGTTATTTATCAGGCTATTATAATGCAATCTTGGCTACATATTTCTAATCCCATAACTTCTTTATTTCTTAATTTCAGAAGGTCAGCAACATAATGGGGCTGAGAATTTTCCTCTGCTACTAAATCCCCAGAGTTGAAGCCTTAAACTGATCACTTTTCTTTTACCTCTCTGCAAAGTTCAAATTGCTAATCAACAGAAAAGAAAGTCCCAGTTGTGTAATGTTTTTACATTAACTTCTTTGGCTATGTACTGGGTTCAATAGTCTGAAAAAAGATTTCTCTTAATGCTACATTTTTCCTAGAAATTTACATCAGATGAAAGTCCCCAGGCAATATTTAAGATAATAAATGAGTGTCAGGATGAGGGATTATCTAAATCTTTCCATGGCCCCTCAATCAAAATGCAATTAATAATGAACTCTGTGCCTGATAAAATATATACAGTCCGTCTCAGTAAATAAACACAATGAGAGCAAGAGTTTCTTAGATGAGGTGGTTTGTGTTATGACAATATTCACTTCAGGTAAGAACATAATAGTTTATATTTTTTACATTCCTATCGTCTGGCACAAACCACTCTGTACTTTTTGTTCATTCATTAATTTGTTAATTGAAAACCACAGAACAAAATGTAAAGTGATTATTATGAGTGTTTCCATTTATTATTATCATTATTATTTTAGTTCACAAGTTTCTTAACTAGTCCCAGTTTCCATACGTGGTTAAGCCAGTATTTGAACCCACTAAACTGCATTACTTCATGGAGCACATTTGTGAACATTACAATTTCATCTCCAGAACTAAGAGTTTGTTGACTTAAGAGCTAATGCCTTGATTATAAATCCCCTAATAAATTTAAATTGCTATGTTTCTTTTAGTTTGCTTTTCCTCCTCTCAAATTTTGCTTTCATGAGATTTCCACTTTGTAGTAAGAAGCCTGAGCTAGAAAGTATTTCCTTGTGGTTACATTTCTGATAAGGACACAAATCCTAATTAAACGAAAAATAATAATTTACTTGAAGAGTAACTGTGGACAGCTTTTTCTGCTTCACATGGATGTTGGTTGGGTCTGAGTTTCTAACAATATTCTAACAATTGTATAGAGGCTGGCACACCCAGTTTGGTTTGGAATGGCTATAATCTGTCTACCAAATAGATGACTACAAAATCCACCAAGGACATGATTAAAACAGTAATTATTTATGGACAGTATGTTTCTGTTTGTTAACAGACAACAGTAATAACAGGGAAAGTGGAAAATAGGAAGTTTCAGTTCAAATTATGTTCACATTCATAGGACGAGACATTAAAGCCATGTGTCTCCTTTCAATATAATTTGAATAAGTCATACATGCAGTATAGTTACCTTCTAAAAAAGAAACCACTTAACTCATTTCATTAGATTTTCTTATTTTACACAGCACTGAAACTTGAAACAGTCTTAAAAATAATTGTGCAGGATCTACCAACCTAATGCTTTTTACTGTTTCGCTTTCCTATAAAGAAGTGAGTAAATATTGACATAAGATAAACTTAAATTCTTTGTCAGACAGTGTTTAATGTACCCTTTATAAGTCACAGGATGAAGAGCTAAATAGCAATGGTAATAATAACTATTAGTAATTGCCTGTTCAATATAAACCACCCACTCTTGTAACAACAATCCCACACATAAATTACTCTTGGTATATACATTTTGCAGCTGAGAAAAAGTATGGCTTTGAGACATTAATTAACTTGCCCCAGATCACACTGTAAAGAAGTGACAGAGCCATGTTTCAAACCCAAATGTATCTGACTCTAACTCTTATGCTACACTGTCTCCAGAGCAACGTGGGCATCATCTCTGTCCTAAGGAAGGTTCCATTCTCTACATAGCCCTGGCATCCACACACAAAACCCTTAAGATCATTTGCCAAGGCAAAACTTATTTGTCAGCAAAGAGATAAAGTGGATTCAAATTAAAGCATTTGATCTCCAATTCAATGACTGCTTATTGAGTGCCTAGAGCTAGCCTGGGCCATACACTGGGTGCCTGGGGTTATACAACCAGAAAGGTCACAAGCCAGTCCTGAAGGGCCTTGGTAGCGAATCACAGTGTATGTCACTATCTCTCCTGGAATTTCAGAGGAGCAGTATCTCTGTTCCTGACCCTCTCCTCTCCTCTCTGCTGGGAATCCAGCACCTAGCCCACCTCCCCTGAAAATGCTGTCCATGACTACCCAACTTATATTAATGCTCCTCTTTTCTCTAATTTTTGGTGATTTTTATATTATTTGGGATTGTCTCTGTGGTTTTGTTCTTTTCTTGACCTAAACACCATTTCTGTCTGTGACAGTCAACCTCAACAGCTACCACATGAGATCACCAACGGGACCCACAGATTTGCTGGGCCAGTCGTGACCTCTCTCCCACCCCCCATTCCAGGGCCTCAGCCTCTTGCTAAAGAGTGAGTCTAGTCTAGTCACCAATCTCAGCCTCACAGGTAACACAACCAAGAAATCAGGGGAGTGAATGCCGTCTGGAGTAAATCTGAACCAACGAGCACAGAAGACAGAAAGGGTCAACAAGTCAATTCCTCACCCTTCTTTGGTCCCAGGGTTACTGGCTCCCTAAGGCCCCTTCAGAGTCACAGCATTTTGACTACACTGTGTCTCTCACAAAGCTCAGTAATGTACCACCTGCTTCTGTGCCTCCCTTCACTTCCCTCCTCACTCTTGCTGCTTTGGTATTGCACCACTCCCCAATAAAGCATGAGCAATTTTGCCTCAAATATTCTGTTTTCTAGGAAACCTAGCTAATACCATCACACAATTCCCAGACCTTTCATTGTCAGTTATTTCTGGATCAGCATCTCTTCTCAAAAAAAAAAAAAAAAAAAAAAAATGTGTTCCCAGAGCATTAGTGCATCTAAAGCAGTTATTGTTCAACATCCCTTTCTTGAGACTCTTGATGGGTACTCCCAACCTAGAGAAAAACTTTGGAGTAAAACTTTTATTCATGATTCCATTAAGCAAACACTTCTACTGTCATCTCATTTACAGATTCATTCCTATGTACAAGCATTATTGTTCCCAGCCTTCTCTTAACTTAGGCATCCTTAACAAGGTAAGCATTATGTTATTCAGCATGGTTCATGTAAATTAAGTTATCTGTTTGATAGATTGTGATTGATCTAATCATTACAACACACTTAGAGAAAACTAAGGCAAAGACAGCATCCTGCATATGCCTAGGTAAAGTTCTCCTACATCCACCACAAGGATCCAGGAAATTTGAGGCGTCAAGAAACAGGAAGGGATGCAGGAAGATGAGATGGGTGAATACGAGAGACCATCACACATGCTTCACATTCTAGCCAGGGAGAAGACCTACATCTATAAAACAATAAGTCAATTTCATTTCTTCTTTCCTTGTAACTAGTTTTTTTGGTGTAAAAGGCTTCTGTAAACTATTTTTAAAACAAGTTCATTACAAATTAAATAGAGATTTTTAAAATGAATTGCTCTGTTGTGTATTCATTGCCATTTGGAATACTTTCCTGGCCAAGACCTCCACCAGCTGAAATGAAAGGCAGAGCAGAGGACCAGAGAGCATTTCTAGAGGAGGGGAGAGAGAACCTCCTAGAGGCATTGGTGCTGTGAACAGTCATTAAATACTTTTGTTGCTGTACAGTCCATAAATCATCATGTGAATAGAATCAAATTTTAAGCTCCATGAATAATAGCAGGGTTCTGACTAGGAGCCACAGTAGAAATCTGAGAACATGTAGATGAAATGGCTAGTGAATGGAATGAATAGTGAATCACTTGGTACGACTTGCAAAGTGCCCATGTGGGCATAACATTTTAAAAAGATAAATCAGAAATTGCAATTTAAGATTTCACAGCCACTCACTGTGAGCATTTAGTTAATCTTCACTCATTTGTAACTCTCATATTATTTCCAAACTAGTTGTGGTATCAGTTATACAAACTAAGAGAAAGCCTTAGTTTTAGCAACCAACTTTTCTAAAAATAAAAAAAATAAAAAATAAAAAAACAGACTAAACTGCATATTGCTTCCTCCTGAAACTGAGTTCTTGACCTTTTTTCTCTTTTTTGTTATCTCTTCTTGACTTCCTCATTCACCTCATTTTGGCCAGTCTATATGCTGTCATACTCAGTCTATTCATTTTTCTTGGCAAAAGAAGGCATTTAACCTCTTGGTCATGGAACAACTTTCAAGCAATACAATACGTACTACCCTCCAAAATTTCCCCGTGACCTGTGCCTGGAAGCTGCCCTCCATTGGGTTTAAGGTGTACTTACATGCATAACCTGCTTTGACACTTTTGACTGACTTGACAGCTCATGTGCCTGATTCATAGCCTTTCTGCCTTCTGGAATTTCCAGAAAGAATTTTGCTTAGTGTCATGATTGGAAAGAGAGGGGGTGGTTTCATTGAGCAGATGTAGAAAGCTGTTTCAGACAAAATCATAATACTTTCTGTCTGATTTGCTTCTAACTTTCCAAAATACTTTCACATCCATCCTCTCATTTAATGTCTAGTTTGATGTGGGAAAATTAAGGGAGGTCAGAGTAGAAAGAATAAGAGAAGATAAACTTAAGAGCCCCAGGAGAGGTTTACTTTACTATAGTATACGGGGGGAAAAAGTTAGAAAGCACAAGGGAACATAAGTAGATCTGTAGTGCTGGGAAACCCACTAGATGACCAGAAACACTTTAACTCATAGATGGAGCATGGTGAGTAACAATTTGATTATAATGGAAAGTGTAATCATTCTTCTTTTACATGACATGTTTCAACTGAAAACTTCAAAGTCTTTGTTCTGTGGTATACAGACTAGCACAGGCATTTGGAACATGGTCTCTGGTCCCTGACAAACCTGGGTTTGAATTCTGTCTGGCTCTGCCACTTACAAGTTGTTTAACCTCAGAAAAGTTACATATCTTTAAGACTCAGTTTTCCTCATCTCTAAAATGGGGATAATACTGTAATGGGACCAATGCCATAAGGTTACCGTGAGGATTGCACGCATATAAAGTACTTAGTACAGTGCCTGGTGTATATTAAGTACTCGGTAAATGGTAGCAATTGTTACACAGTAAATAAAAGTGTTTTTGGCATTGTCACCTTTTCCAAAAAAGCCTAAGGAAACAATGACTGGCCATAGTCAAACAAAAATCTCATCATGATCAATAATTCTCTTTATTAAGTTTTGTTAGTTCTCTTTACATAATTGACAACCATTCTTCTTCATGGAAATGAAAATAGTGATAAAGTTAAATTGATTAGATGATTATATGATGTCTATGTAAGACCAACTTAGTATGCATGAATATGCTAACTCTACCATTGAAGAGAAAGAAGTTTACAGATATTGTTGGCTCTTTTCATATCAAAAGTCCAAGATGAATCAGAGCAGGTCATTTAAATTTAGATTAGGGACTTTATCCTAATAGAAAGTTTCTGCTCCTTCCCCACTCCTCATATCACCCCCTAAAATGTACTTTTTAAGGAGGGGGTGATGCTTAATGAGTGCTTGTATTTGCCAAGTATTGTTCCCATATGTGCTTGAACAACTTGCAGAGGTACCATCAAGCTCCAGCAACAGCCACATCACTCTATAGGCTCCCGCTCAACCCATCACTTGGAAGTTCCTTTTAGCTAATGAGAAGTAGTACCACTGAAACCCTTCATGGATTTTATTATAGGTATTCATCGTGGTCACTCGGATAAAAACTTGGGACCTTCTTCATTAAAGAAACTGCATTTTGGGGGCCAGACAGCACAGAACACAATTCCATGTTTCTCTGTGTTCTAGCCTGGGGCTCCTTGGCAGAATTCAAAGGCTTTATTTCTCCTTAAACAACTTACTTACAAATAGAAACATTGTCCTGTACTTATCTCATTAAAAGAATCCAACCTCCAAAGAAATTTTATGTGTTTCCCCATCCTACAAAGACAGGCATGGTGCCTCAGTCTGGTTTATAATTAACATTGCCCAAGGACTAAATTGTTCTTTTATTTCCAGATAAATAAGACTTATAAAATATTGTGTAAAATGAGACCAGGCTCAACGTGTACATTCCTGTCTCTGAAATTGAGTGTAATCAGATGAAGTGAAGTGCCAGATGTAGGGTTAGGACAGAATTTTCAGTTACTAATTTTAAATGTGAGTAATTCTGTTCTGGAGGTGAGCAGGTAGGAGTTAAGTATGCTAAGAACCAAATTTTTTAATGGCTTCTGAAACAAAATCTTTCTTATAAATTAACATTTGTAATTTTAATGGGCTCAGTGTCAGGAACCAGAGAATATTTTGGCTTATCATAGTGTACTTTTTAAAAAACTTCCTATTATTCATGTATTTTCCAATTATTACTTAAAACATTCATTCTCCTCAGAGCCAGAAGTAGCGTGCCTAAGAAAATTGTTATTAACTTCATTTCTATGTTAAACGGAACAGAGGCAAAGAAGTTGACATAACTTAAAAATGCCAGGGTTAGAAGCCAAACCAAGGATTTCTCTGCCAGAGGAAAATTCTGTCTAAATACAGGTGGCATCACCCTGAGAAGGGCCTAAGCTGCCTGTTTTACTGCATCACTCCACAGCCTTATCAACAAAACCCTCCTCCCCACAAGGGATCTTAACCATGACACTCAGGTCAGATCCCCTCTTTGGTGTCAGTTAGCACAATGATCCTCAAATTTTAACATGCATGCAAATCCTCAGAAGCTAGTTCAAAGATAGATTCTGATTCAGTAAATCTGAGATGGAGTCTGGGACTCTGCATTTCCAACAAGCACCCAGGTGATGCTGATGCTGCTGGTCTGAGAACCACACTTTGAGTAACAAGGCTGAGCATTCAAGACAGTGTTGGCACAGAGACAAGACTCCCTATAACTTTGTCCACTTCTTGAGCCACATACCTCTGGATTTACATGAATCCTTCCCCTTGTATAACAAGTATATGATTGAGCCTTTACAGATTTTGCTCCAGTAATTTCAGTTTTCAAAAAGCACTCAAAATAGCTCACTGTACCAACAAGCACTCTTCAGTCCCTTAACTTACTCCAAGACTGGTGGAATCCATCACTGCTGTAGGGGGAAAACGCTTTTGAAATGGAATTGAATATTGGGTGCTGCCTAGCATATCAATGAATCCAATACTGGTTTTTTTCCCCCTTTCCCTTTTTTGTTACTCACCGACTTTTTTTGAGAGGCAAAAACAGGCTAGAAATAAAATTTCCAGGTGCTCTTGCTTCAGCCATTTGCTTCTTGCGTACACCTTAAAGCCCTGGCTGCCTCTGAGCCTCAGTTTCTCCAAGCATAAAATAGAAGGATTTTCCACTCAGCTCTGTTAGAGTAGGATTTATAGTCTCTAGTGAAACCTGCTGTGGAAAGATGCTATAAAAATGTAGAGTGTTCTTTTGATTATGGATCACATCTGCACCAACCAGAAACATTTTTAAAAACAGAAGAAGGACTTAGTGTTCTCCATTCTTCACATTTTTTTTTCTCTAATGAGGTATGGAACTATGTAGACCATAATGACTATAGCTTAAAGTGTAGTTTCAGTTACTATGTAATCTCATAAATCTCTCTTAGCCATAAGTAACAGCTAACCTCTATTTCCTCTGATATTTTATTTACCCTGTAAATCAGTTCTATTCTTTCACTTCACACAAAGGAAGTTGGGAGCCCCAGCTCTCCCAGGAATGTAGAGGTAGGACAAGCCACTTGTGTGTGCCCCTGATCCAGGAGCCTTCCTGCAGGTGGGCCACCCCCTAGATGGAGGGTGTGGAGCCCCATCAATCACTAAGGACAGTTATGCCAGCAGGGTCCTGGGAGGTGAAGAAAATACTGGGCTAAAAATCGCAGCTGCCTGAACTTCTGCAGCTCAACCATCCAGAACAAAGAATGGAATCACAGAAGGGGAAACATTTGCCAAAAACACTTGTTTGGCATCAAAGCGTGTGTCTTCCTCTATTTGTCTTTGCTTTTAATTAACTTCAATCACACAGTACGTGTGTAGACACAATGTGAGCAAACACACAGTGCAGCTTTGCTTCCTCACTGAAGATTTGTCCCAGGTGGGGTGAGGTGCGGTGGCTTCTTTCTTTTCGGAAGCAAGATGCCCAGCAGGTAGGACCAGTGACCTGTTTGATAGGAGTGGTGAGGTTTGATGCCCCCTCTTTTGTCTTCCTCCACCCTTGCCCTGCTCCAAGCGTATGGTATAGAAAGATAGGACATCAGTAGAATTCTAAGAAAAAAGACTTTATGTTAACCTATTTGTCAGGAACACACAGACAACTTTGATTTCAGTCTTTTAATGGAAGGCAAAATTTCCCCTAATCAGTTTAAAAGAGTATCTTTTGGGCATCGGTATAATGAAATACAGTACCCTTTAATTTCTTAGAGGTCATTTGGTGTCCAATTTTACAGACTTCAAAGAAAGGTTTAATCACACATTGAAGAGAAAGGCTTATAATAAAATTATGTACACTCCTCCTTGCTGCAGCTACGGGGAGGTGACGAAAGAAACAAAAGCAGGAAAACAAATTACAGAAAAAAAGGAAAGGTGAGGATGAATAGTGCTGGAGGCAAAAGGTGAATATGAGGTCAAAGACAAGATAGAATAAGTCTCAAAATCTACGTTACTGGAGATTGGTTTTGAGTTAGAATCAGGATGAACTTTGTAGTTAGATACAAGAGCTCCAAATTAAATACCAATAAAAAAAGGAGAAAAGCGGTCTTTTCTTAGATCACATTTTTTTAAGATGCTCTAAATTTTAAGTCAGCTTTGCCTGTAGTATCTAGGTCTACTAGATACCGTGTGTGTGCGCGCGCGCGTGCGCACACATCATAATGGCTTAGAAGAGATAAAACTCTGATTTTCCCCGTAAGTTCAAATCATTGACTCATGCTATTGCTACATGGATAATTTCCAAACCGAGCATTTTCTAAAGACGAAAACAAACCTATGTCTGCACCGCCTAAAAAGCATCCCAGATCACTTTCAGCTTAGTTGTCTCTTACCAAGATAAGAAAATTCTGCTCTGCTTGTCTATCCCACACTGAATCTCGATGATTCACCAGCTCACTCACAGCTGCCAGCTTCTCTATGTTTATAACTCTATATTAAATAATAAGCTAAAGCATACTAAGCATGCTTTCAAAACTACTAGAATTTATCTTTACAACTGCCTAGAAATTGAAGAAAACTCATAGTTTTGCATTATTAAACTGAGATTTGAACCATGGTGCTAGATCTCTCTGTTAAAAATCACAGTTCCGTGTTCATCTTATGATACCAACTTCCTTTGTCTACAGGCCAATTTAAAGAGGATTTTATACTCTTCCCACTTTTCCTGTGTTTAAATGAAGTGCTTCTTTGCATAGTTTTTAA
Organism: Homo sapiens; assembly: GCF_000001405.40. Classification (NCBI taxonomy): domain Eukaryota; kingdom Metazoa; phylum Chordata; class Mammalia; order Primates; family Hominidae; genus Homo; species Homo sapiens. The sequence continues at coordinate 90,714,915 of NC_000006.12, read as the reverse complement.
GCTTTGGAAACAACCTGTTTCTTTAGGGCAACAGGGTAAAACTATAATAAGGTACGTCTCAACTGACAGCATTCATTCATTCATTCATTCATTCAATACACTGGCTGAATGAGTGTGTAGGTGTTTGACGCTGATGGGAGATACAAAAATAGGTATTGCGCTGTAGCTATGTCGGATGTCACCACTGAAGGGAGCTGAGGGAAGGATACATGGGACTCTGTACTATTTTTTGCAACTTCCTATGACAAGTCTATACTTATTTCAAAGTTAAAAGTTTAAAAAAAAATACAGTGACCAACTCTCCAGGATTCTATCAGTTTTAGCATTGAAATTACCACATCCTGGAAAACCCCTTTTTAGTACCTGGCAAACTAGGACAGTTGGTTATCCTATAAAATGAATTAGATACTGTCTTTGTTTTTGATGATCTCATATCTGAAGATTCCATAATAAAATTCATGGGGAAAAAACACTACTCAGGCAAAACAATGCATGGCACATGTGTGACCATGCCCACATGTCTCATCTGTGGTAGATATTACTAAAAAATCACAGCTTTTTTTTTCTGAGCTCAGACATAGCCTCATAATCCTTCTCAACCCCATGCTATTCCAGATAGCAACTATCAATGAACTGGAGTTGGATATAGAATTTGCTATCCCTGCATTCTCCTATCATACCAAATAATTTTTCAGGCATTTTTACTTTAATATACAAGCTTAAAAAGAATGTTTCAATTTCCAGGTTATGCTCCAAGCTGACTGGTAAAATAATTATTGAGAGTTGCTATATATGGTTTTGCATTTCTTCTGCAAGATCCTCTCAATGTTGTGCAGAGTATCCCAAGATTTATTTGATCACATTTAAAATCACAATCCTTCTTGTAGATGGCTTTAAATTACAAGCTGTTTCTGTAAGATATACACATACAGCAGTAAATTATTTTTTTCAATGAAAATGGTGCTAGAATTTCACACTACATGACTTGTAAAACAAATTTGCAAAATATGTGCACCGTCCCTTCAGACTCTGTATATTTTTTAGAAAAAAACTACATATAGGCTCACGCACACATTCTTTTTGTACTTTCTCTTTCTTCTACCTATCTTTCAGGCAAATGAATGGGCAAATAACATCTACTCCAATTCTGTTAAGTACACTTGTACTTACTAAGAAGAGAGAAGGCTCTCATTCTGATATACATATACTGTTCCAGACTCAAATACGGCTCTGTAACATCTTTGAACACTTAATGCAGGAGAGCATTAAAAGGTTTTAGAGTCATACTGGGCTGTGCTAAAAGACTGGCCCTGCAAATTTCTAGCTATATGACCTTAATCTCTCTGAGACCCAGTTTCTTCACCTATAAAATCATTTAAGTGGTCTCATTGGGTTACTGTGGAATTCAATAAGAAAAAGTGCTTAAAATACAATGTATGGTAAATAATAGCATTCATTTATTTTGTTATATTATTATTACTTTAGTTACCATCTTTGGTTTTCAATAATAATTAAAATCATAACTTACATTAGTAGGTCATTAGAAATTATTTTGGGATTTTAATATCCTTTTTTGATTATAATTATTTCTGTTATACTTCTAGGACTAGTGCTTATATGCCACACAAATATCAATTATTTCAGTAAATATTTGTAAATGTCTGATCAACATTCAAACTGTATATATACCACTGAAGCACTGCTATTTAGCAATTGTGTCACTATTGAGAGAGTGTACACCCATTGCCATAATGGGACCAATTGTGAAATAAATTTAATTTTAATTAAAAGATAATTGATTTTCCTATTCTAAACTATCAAAGTTTGAACTGTCTAATATCTCAGAACCACTTAAGTGGTCAACATTTAGGTGACAACACTCACCTTCAACTTTTAAATTTTTACATTAAACTAGCAGAAACAAGATTTTTAAAGAAATGAAATAGTAAAGAATTGGAATTTTTCCCTCTTAATTTTTTAAACATGCCCAAGACCCAGAAGATTTTCCATAAATGCTACTGCCAACTGGCTGAAAGGCAAATATCACTGTATGGAAACTGTACCCGTTAAATTCATATATTTGGTAAATGATGTAATTTCTAGGTTATTTAATTCATTAAATCACAAAATGTTCAACAGTGTGATGGGAGTGCATATTTGAAGCTGGTTGCCTTTGATCTCATAAAGTATTGGAGTTTTATAACTATACACATATATTTTTAACAGAGTTTATCTCCCCAGTAGTCTATTTGGTTTAATTGAGAATATTGAGTTGGGAAGAGGTTCTAAAATTATGATTCAATCACAAACCTCAATTATTAATTTGACAATGATCTTAAACAGCACATATACAAATGCTACAAAGACAATTTACAGATGAACAGACAGGCTAAGTCAATCTGATCGTGTAGGCATGAAATTTTCCCTCTAACTTGCACTCCGTTGAAAAAATCAAAGCAAGTCCTGGAATTACTGTTGCATTGGTTTCCGTCAACCCAGTTTCACAGTGTCCAGTCATTCTGTGTGTTCTATATTCAGTGCAGCTGTTGTTGTGGCTCTTGAGATGTTAGACTCACTAATAAGTTATTTTCCAGTCTTTTGGCAAGAATGAGGCTATAAGACAAATGGCTTGTCTCGATGTGTTCCAGCTGGAAGTAAATACGTTTTTCCATTGAAAAACAGGTCATTGCCTGAAGGTTTCCAAATTTTGCCTAACTGAGCACTGGATTAGGAGTTAGTAAGGAACCCAATGGTTTTACGCGATTAAGGAAATAGAGGGGCGTAGTGATCCAAGCCCCAGGAAGAAGCGAAGAACTCTTCATTTCAGTCCCAGGTTTCCTTGCTAACACATTTTACAACCTTGAAAACACCACTTAGCCTTTGGCTGTGCTTCCTTAGCTATAACCCTAATTATTTAATATTTGTTGAATACTCATAAAGAACTGGTTCCTGAAGAGAACATAATGCAAAAACAACTAGCTCTATTACTCTAGTGTTTATTTTATAAGGACCCCATTAGCAGTATTTCACAACCTACCGTTTTGAAAATGCATTCTGCACTAGCCTAGAAAAAGATCATTCAATATTTAGATAATATTCGTTAGTAATTTTTCAAATGGATGAAAGAGAGCAGATGGAACTGGCTTACATTTGTGACCCAGTGCACAATTCCAAGAAGTCTTTGGTCAGAACAAAGTGAAGGCTTTAATTCTGATAACTCGAGTCTGCACGATGAAGATGGACAAAGAAAACAGCCAAACATAGGGAGAGTTTGAGGTTTTATTTCTTTTGCTTTGATTTAGCTGAGTTTTATGTTCTTTTGGTTATTTTGTCAAAGACAAGTTTACAATGAGGCCAAGGAAAAGCAGGGTTTTCCCTCTGCAATAGCCTAGAGGAGGCTCTCTTGTGCTAAATGCACACCCCGTTTTCTTTGACCCATGTCACCAACACGTTTCATCCTCATCTAACAAACTGTGTTTGCATAGATATCACCAGAGTTGCTAAGAACTATTTGCATCTACAACCATGACTAGTCACTGAAATTTGCGATATTCAATGTGGTACCACGCTTCTGCAGCTTATTCATGGATGTGTATAACCGATCGGTTTTCCCTGCAGTGAGGAACTGTTTTCAAAAGCAAATCATATATGCCAGGATCTTTAAAACAGTTATGCTAGTGTGGGTTTTTTTTCTTTCTGTTTTGCTTGCAATCCGTGTTTTAAAATGAGGTTCCATGATTATTTATCCTAGCCTCAGAAGCCATGGTGAACTGTTATATTTGAAGACAACGACACAAGTTGAAAATCACTTAATCAGCTAGGGAGAATCATTTTTACCTGTTTTTGGATTCAGTATGTAAGTACCTCCACCACACTACAATTTACAGAAAGATACTTTTCTCCCATTTTCTGCGCATGCTTTAAATTTTTATAAGAAATCTGCTGTGTAAAGATAGAAGTGAATATAGGCAGGAAACAGTTAAAATATCTGAATGAATCTAACTACTTTTGCTTTCAAAATTATATTCTTGGAAACCTATCACTTTAGTCCTAACTACTTCAAACTGTATGATTATTTGTGCAAAAGCAATACTGAAGAATTTTACTTTAGTACTATCTCTGAAAAAAAAACCAATAATAATAGATTGCAAAGTCAGTACATTTATCCAGCCCCATTAGATAATAGGAAGTTCCACACCAATATATTTACTTATAAAAGAGCGTAAACTTTTACTGAACATCATTTGGCATTTTGATGACACTTTGTGTTAGCGTTGTAAAAATTATTGCTGCTCTATACTTTTATATAGTAGTAATCTCATGAGTATTGGATATGCAGGCTGGTTGCCCCTACGCTAAAAGGCCCCAGCCTGATAGCCTCAGCCTCATCCACCTTACACTGTGAGCTGTCATTTTTCAGTATTTGGCCCTATCTAAAACCACTTTTGCTTCTAAGGTAGAGGTGAGAAAATAAGCAAACTCCTTAAAGTTTGGTTTCTCCACTGGCTTTATTTCCACTGAAAGAAGAATTGACAGACAGGAGGCTGAATTATGAAATGATGGAACAACAGAACAGAAAATAATTTAACAAGTCCACAAATTATGTTTTCTGCTGGAATGTATACTAGCCATTATTTCCTATCTGATCACTGTACAAAATTGTTTTCTATGTTTAGTACTATAATCTTGTCTAGCATCGTCTTTACCAGACTTCACTCTCCTTTATTCTACTTCTACAGTGTACCAGTGTGATTTTAAATCCTAACCCTGTCCAACCAAAGTTCTATTTACCTTTCTATGGACATCTGGTAGCCCTATAGGTATAATTTTCTATTCTGGTCATACAGGTCTTTGATGAAACTATGACACTTTCACTAGGTTCAAGCCCAGCTCATTTTGAATACTGGTTATAACTAGTAGCTATACCTTCTGGTGTTAAAGACCACCCTTTGTAAATCTCATTAGAGAAAATTTCATGACTTACCTATAACGCCCTGACATAGGACAGCATTCCCTTCTTAGCCTCTCATTTAGTCCAATAAGCCAAGACAGGCTTCCCTGATAAACATTACCACCACCTCAGCACACAGTATAACAGAGCCAAGGAAATTCCAAACTGCTATTCATCACCCATGTGAGAGAAATACTTTATGACCTTTAAAGTCAGCCTTTGTCCATTAGTACAGCTCTCTGACAATGCTCAACACTTTTACTCATGGTGGATTTGGCTCTTGGCTCAATGAGATCTAAAGGAAGTTAACTCAAAACACAGAAGGGCAATTTTTATCGCTTATTTCTGTGGAAGCCTAGAGAACTTGCTTAGGAATGCAAGTCCTATAGCCCGCAGTACTCAAACTGTCACTGACACACACTGCAAGTTCACAGACTGGCAAAGACCACTTGGACCTCTCAGTTTCCCCTGAGGGGAATCAAATCTGTTTGTCCTACAGCTGTGCAGAGGTATATTTTAATAGTACCACTATTCTTTAAAATTAGTGTCTGTTTCATGACTAAATTTACAGGATTATGTGTGGCCATTAAATCAATATTCTCCTTTGCAGCATGTGGTACTCACTTCACTTTCAAAAGTTAAGGTTCCTTTAAAATCGTATTATTTTTATCTTCCAGAACAGCCAGTCAGTTAGAACTGTTAGAATCACCCTCAAATGATTATATTTTACAATGTGTTTTCACATTGAGCAAAGGCAGAAGTGGGGAAATGAGCCAAAATCTCTTCATCTACATGAAACGTAAAGAAGCCTAATTGAAGAGGTCATTTATCCAGAGGCCAGGACTGCTTCAGAGAGCTTAGATCAGAGTTCATCCTTTGGCAGACTACAGAGTCTGCTCTGTCTTCACCTGGGGTCAGTGTGTGCCAGGGGTCAAACCTGAAACTGAAAAGTAGAATAATTATCCATTCAGCACCTGACTCCACATCGTGAAATGTCCCACTAAATTATGCCTGGGTGATCAGAAACAATATCCAGGTGCCCCAGGTGCCCCTCCTGCTGAATGCCTTTCCCTGTCCACCTGCTTCTCTCTTAAGCCCGGGGCAGCCCATGAGATGGCCAAGGTTGACTCCATCTCTCTGCTTTCCCTTGGTTGCGATGTCTTTAAAGAATGGAAAATCTTTCTTTCAATTCTAACACCGCTCCCCACTTTTTGGTCTGTTTTCTCCCAAGCAATGTAACTCGAGCTGAAATGCAAACAGTCCCTCACTCTTTTTTTTTTTTTTTTTTTTTTTTTTGCCCCTGTTGCTTAAAAACTGAAAGGAGGAAACAAAGGCTTGCGTGAACTTTGGAGATTAATACCTCTTCTGGTCCCAACTGTCAGATTTATTTCTTCTTTGTCGCTAAATCAGGTCATTATGCTACAAATCTTTATTCTGGATGAAAGATTTAAATCTGCACAGAATTTGGGAACTTGGGGGAGGGGAGTATAATAAGCCATACATAGTAATTGGCTGTAGTTTTATCTGGATGTTTGTATAGAGGCTGCTATCAAATTCCGATAAACTTTTCCTGACCCCTTTCACTTTCCAGAGTCCCTGGGAATCCCAGCAACCAACTGCCATTGTCTCCACACTCAGACTTGTGCTCAATTATAAGCTCTCTCCACATCTAAGATGTTATGTTTCCACACAGCTACTTTAAACAATCAAAGAAATTAAAAGATCTTTGGGTCGCTTTGTAATAATAATAGTAATAAAAAAGTTTCTATAACTCAAGCATTTGTCCTTGGTATGTTCTAAATTATTTCTTCAGAACTTTTTTAAAGGCGGGCATAATGGAAGGCTTAGAGATTCTATTCAGCTGCTTTAAAATCAAAACCAAAGAACAGCGGTGGCAGCACAAGTCTGAAAAGGCATTAAGTCATCGAAATCGCCATTCAGTGAACCAGCTTTGGAACAGATGTCGCTCCCATCACCTTCATCCAAAGAACCAAGGAGGGGACATTGACTATATTATGAAGATAATAAAGCCAACAGCCTTAAGTCAGTAATGCCTTCATACAAAACTCTTCAGGCAGACTCACTAAATGGTCCTGAAGACCCCATCATAGTCTTTGCTTGATGTAACAACATCTTATTTTCTCAGCATTTCAGGGGGTGAAAGGATGATGGCTAGCATTGAGCCCTAAATCAGGATACTTATGCTGTACCTACAGAAAAATGAGAGTAGAAACTCTTACATTGGCCTGCAAGGCTGAATGGAGGCCACATTTGTTCAGGAGCCCCAAGCGCAAATCCAGATCTCAGCAGCGCCTTCTGTGCACAGGCCTCCAGGAAGCAGCAGTCACTGTAATTCTATGTGAATGGGTGCTCTGGAGCTGAGCAAAGCAGGGGCCCTGGATTTAGGACCTCTTTTGAAAATGTCCATTTGCTGCCACATGGTTAATCACGTTTCTTCCCAACTGCTAAAGAGGTTTTCTTTTCAGTTGTTTCAAGAACAGTCTACTCCTGTGAAGGAGGAAAGGTGGAGCCTGTCAAGGAGCAGGAGGAAATGCTCTTGGGTCAAAGTACTTATGTCAAAAGTCCTGTGAAAGCTGTTGGGATCCTGCCATAAATGTCTGAAATCCTGACTGAGACAAAGGCTAGAAACTAGGGCTGACCCTGCGCATAACCCCAAGGCCCCATCTGACAAAATTATCTTTGACCTGGTCCTGTCATCATGTCTGAAATTGCTCCCTCTGAAGACCTCGTCCCTGTTAAGTGTGTCTCCTTCAGAAGGTCCCTATTTAAATGCTAATGTTTTGCTCACCCAATATCAGTCATTAGTTTATCACATTAGCCTCAGTCACCCTGGGAAAATGGAACTTGGTCGGGTAAGCACTAATGAAAGACAAGGTGAAAGGGATGTTCCAGAACATGTGTGGGGAGTGGAGATGAGAGTGGTGGTGGGTAAGCAGAGTGTCCTGGGGTCAGAGCCAGAGTGACAGGCAATAAACCAGTCTCTCCTGGTCGGAAGTGGGGTGCACACACGCCTCCTGGAGGAAGATACTAAAAGGAAGATTAGGGGAAACCTTAATCAAGCCTCATCTCCATCATAGTTTTGTCTGGGGCTGGTCCTCGTTGGGTCTCAGCAACTCCAATAAACAAGAGAGAAGATATGAACCCACATCCTAACAAAAAGAGATGGTCAAACAGTTCCGACGCTTCCAGAAGAAACAGCTCAACTGGGAATCTGAAACACACATTTGCCCCTTGCCATTTAAGATGATCCACAGAAAACTAGGCCATCTCTATTTGACAGAATGACAGCAATTCCCACAGTGGCTTTAAGTTGTTATTTGAAAATCAGATTATTTATTTTTTTAAAGGCAACATCCATTGTCAGGCTTGTTTTTCTTTCAGTTAATCTAAATGGGAACATCCTTATCTGCAAGGACACAGATACCTTTTTGTGGAGCTTTCTGCAATACACAAATGTGTTTCATGGTAATGATCTTTCTGGTTAAATCAGGATGTTCTGTACTACAAAAGCCTATATGTACTAACAACATGGGTTAGATGTAGAAAAAGACGATTCCTCAGGTGCCTAAAAAAACTGAATAGCACAAAATGGCATAATATTTGTGCAAAGCTATTTTTTGAAATATATTTAAAATCCAACTTGTTTTCTTAATTTTTAAAAATGATGCTTATTCTTAACATGCTTAAATGTCTCCCAGAGGGGAAAGTGGTCTATGAAAAAGCTTTTGATCTTCATTCATTTTCAAGCAACTGCAAATTAAAGGACCTGTTGGGAAAATATTCTGCTCATTTGTTGGCTGAGAGGCACTTTTGTTTTCAATGGGAAGAAAGACATTCAGTTAAATTTGGAGAAAACCCCTTAAATTTAGGAAATAGCAGTCTCTCCATGCATATAGGAAAATGTGATTTCCCAGGTATTTTCCAGTGGCTGTACACTGGAAGGAAAGTTTCAGAATATTCAATTAATAAGGCAGGAACACATGTCCTTCAAAGTATACCTGTGTTAAAGAAGGCATCTTTGCAGTCATGGCATTACCATAATACCATGGAGATGGAGGATGTTTGAGGATGAAGGTGAGGCAGTTGGTATCTGGGCAGAAAACAGATGACCCAATGAGACAGAACTGAGTAGTGTTGGTAAAAGTAAAGCTTTCTGGTGAAACTGACATGGATTTGAACTCTAGGTCTAACACTTTCTAGTAATGATGAGTCTGGAGACATCACTTAATCTCTCTGGGCCTCAGTTACATTACGGAAAAATGGGCACAAAAACACTCCTTCTTTTATAAAATTGTTTATAACATTAAAATGAGATCATTCCTATAAATGGTAATGTGTAGATAATGCACAGTAGCTGGCATGCAATAAGCATACCAGAAATGACAATAATCTATCACATCAATTTTTCATCCTTGAAATTTTAGGCTATGCCTATATCAAGCCCATGATATAAACATTCTTGGTCATAACAATTTTGTGCAGTGAGGTAGGTTTAAGACAGGGAATCATTTACATAGAAACAATATAAGCATTCTAGACATTGTATACTCTTGTAGGTGAGTCCTCTTAGCCATATATAAAATATTGGAGTCAGTCATTGCACCAAGCTCTGGAAAAATGCTGGAAATACGTAACCATAAGCACTGGATCTAGAAAGGAGTCAAATCTCTTAACCAATGGCTGCTCCAGAGGCCACACCCATAAACTAAAAATCAGTCAGTCAATAAGAAGGACAGAGACCACTCGAAAAGATTACTGTCATGTGTGGCTCAATCCTTCATTTTTAGCTAGCATGCTGCAGACATCTTAATAAGAAAATTCTGATTCAGTCATTCGTCTTTCCATTAAAATTTTCCATCTGTTAACATAAAGAACCTTTGGTGTCCCTGTGATTCATTCACTAAACAATACCAAATATACAGAACCCCACTGGTGTTTCTTGTTCAAATCTTGTAGAGCTTTAGACATGCCTAAATTATAAAGAAAAATCATAAAGTCCATTCCCCATAATTTTACACATGAGGAACTAGGCCCCAGCGAAGCTAAGCACTTCACCTGAGGTTGGAAGTCTTGTTACTGGCAAAGCTGGTATTAAAGAGACATGGCTCCTGAGACTCCATCCAGTCCTCTTTCTACTATCCACATATGACTTAGAAGGAAGACAAGAAGCCTGCATCTCTTCTAATTCCAAAGCACAAAACTCAAAGGGAAGATTTCCACTGGGAGTTGCAAATCAGACCACTCCAGTGAAACCAGCAATTTTATCCATTGTTTATTAAAACAAATCAAGCCATGCTACTCTATTAACTTCGGAAAGCTGAATATACTCTGTTCTAATAATAACGTAAAAGAGTAGGAAACTATTTAAGCAATGAGAAAAGCCAGGCCATGGAGTATCAGTGATTAATGCACAACTTGAGAGCAGGGAAAACTGAGTTGAATTTCACTGATGCATTCAATGAAGGCATCGACTAGTAAATGACAATATTAACAGCCCAGTTAAAGATGTAAAAGTTTTCCTTTAACAAATAGGCTCAAAGTGAATCTGATTTTTAACTATAAAGCTTTTTCAAATAACATTTTTGTTATATATATATGAATTTATATAAATATATATGAATATATGATAGATATATATGAATATATATGATAGATATATATATGAATATATATGATAGATATATATGAATATATATATGATATATATATGAATATATATGATAGATATATATATGAATATATATATGATAGATATATGAATATATATGATATATGAATATATATGATAGATATATGAATATATATATGATAGATATATATATGATAGATATATGAATATATATATTATATATATATATTATATATATATAGGGTTTTTTAGGTTTTTCTCTAGTTACTCCTGTTCCTTCCTCAGTTACATTCTTGAGGTCTATTGAAGTCTACACACACACACACACACACACACACACACACACTCTATCCCCCATTCTTCTCTCATTTCTGCCAGAAATTGTACACTGTGCTAATTTCAATAGTACTTCTGCAACAAGAATAGTTGCCTTTTTCTCACTTTTTTTCTCTCGTTTTTTAATTCTGGTTTGTAGTCAAGGAGGGAGAAGTCAGGCGCGTCTCTATGTAGGGTGAAGAACTACTCAGCTAGTTCTCAGAGCTGGGAAGGTGTGTCTTTAGGAGGCTGAAGAGAATTGAAACATCAAGCAAGAATTTTTCTGTTCTCGTTCAGTCTGAAAACCAATATAGAATTGGAAACCTTGCTTCACGCTTCCTTACCCCAGTATCTGCAAAGCTCAAATAGCACCCTATAATTCAAACAGAGAATGAGATGGCCTGGGGGCGTTGTGTGAACGAGTCAGGAGCCAGGCAAGGCAGACTGAATTCAAGCGTTCCTGGTACTGATGACAACCGTTAGCTTCCACTATTTCTGACTTTTCCATGCTTGCTATCTCATTATGTCACATCTTGAAAATGCAGCAAGAGAAAATTCCATTTCAGCTCTAATAATAGAAATGGGTAATATTTACCACTTTAACAGATTGTGCTGTGTTGTGAACGAAGGCTGCCTCTTCAGTCACATCATATAGATGAACTTTTTTCAGCTATAGTGGAGCATATGGGAATTAGAAAACTAAGTATACTATGGGAGCAATGTGATTTTAAGAAAATAATTTAATCTAAATCGTGGTGTTAAATGGAAATCTCATCCTTAAAATAACGTATGTTGGAAAAGCAAATAAATGTCTAAATGGGGGGAAAGGCAATTTTAAAATGTTATTTTAAAGTATATTAGTGGCACTAAATCCTACTGTATTGAAAAATCAGATCATTTCCCAAACAAAAGCATACTATTTAAATTTATTAATAGCAATACATTATATTGGTCAAAAATAGAAGAAAATGCCAAGATGTCCTTGAGCCACAGATGAAAGCAAAATGACTGAATTGCCTTCTATATAAACCACAGCCAATATAGAAGAGCAGCAAGAAACAGTGTGAGTGAAGATTTGAATAAGGGTGTCTGAGGAGAAACTGTGCATCTTCTCTACCTAGATTTTCTCATTATTTTAAGTCTACAATTGACTGCAAATTTCAGATTGCCACCATCATCAGGAATATACTTTCCCAACAGTATTCAACCAGGAAGTTGTATGTGGACTCTCACCTTGAGAAAATCAGGAATGCTTTGAGCACATCAGAAATAATTCACTTTTTCCTGTGTCACAGTAGAGGACAGACAAATAATGTCAGCCTAGTGCAAAGTGCAGCAGTCTGTCTGGGAGAAAAAATGAGCCTGTTTGATAAGATGCAGCCAATCTGCAGAAAATAAACTTTTTGAGATACCAGAGCAATTGATTACATTCTGTGTCAATTAATATCCAACAAAACTTTATTGTGTCATATGTGTCCCAACAGCTGAGTAGGGGCTAGCTACGTAGCACCTGCCTTAGGTCCCTTCTAAGTCACCATCCTCAGTAGATCTCTCATGAGAAATGTGGGGTAAGCGGGACAATGGAAGATGGGGATACCCCCATCTTATCTTAGACCTTGGTCCCCTGCAGCCCCATTATCTGCATCCTCCCTCAATAGTTGTAGCCTTCTTACATCTCTGGTATAATATAGTGAGCAATGAAAACTTGCCTCTCTATTGAATCTCAGAAAAGAGTTTTACTGTCATGATACACACACGTTCTGGCAGAAAATTTGTAGATGTCTACATGAAAATCTGTGACTGTGTATATCATTTTTTTAAAAAAACTATGTTATCCTGCATATTTTACATGCACCATAGTTGAAATTTAAATGCCAAATTGTCTAGGTAGCACATACTGCCAAATGTGCCTTAAATAGACATAGAACTATGTTATTTATACCCTACAAAACACCATGAAAAATCTCATTTTCCTAAGTGTAAAGTGTGGAAGCTAGGATGAAAGAGAGTGTTTCACTTGACTTATAAGCTTTAAAAATATTAAAAATAAGTCACCCAAAACTAAAGATTTGTGAATGTGTACACAATTTTTAAAAATTCTTTCAGGGGATACAAAAGCAAAATATTTGAAGAACATGGAATTTTGCCCTACTGTGAATATCAGATCTTTTCGAGGAGCAAATCGTTTTTCAAGAGTAAAAGATATTTCAAAGGCTATGACTGAATACCTAAGAGGAGTAGAGAAGAACCGCCCAACAAAGGAAAAGGGATGTGGTGGAGAGATGAAGGTAAAGAGAATGCAGATGAAGCTGCCTATTTCATCATTTTGCCTATGGATGGAAGTAGCAGCTATGAGGATGCTCATTGCAGACATCCTGTAACAGGAAGTGAAACTGACCCAGGGGCCCCCTGCTGTTTTATGAAATCCTTCTCAGCCTTTGTCCCAAGGCTCCACTCTTCACAGGCAGCTGCCTGGCAAGGACGAGGTATACCAGGGAGTTCCTTGGAGACACGGGGCTTCTGTATCGTCCACCTTGATCTCAAGGACTCCTCAGAGGTTTTGTCAAATTTCCTTAGATTACTGGGCAGTCTAGGACACTTCCACTCAACCTCTCTCCCTCTTTCACTTATAGCCAGACTTGCCTCATGGGTCTGACAGTTCTCCCAGCTATACCTGGCTCCCTCTCTGTTTCCTTTCACAAGTATTTCCTCTAGTAAAAACCTTGCACGTTCAATTTCATCTTGCTGTCTGACACGAGAAAGTACACACGTGGCCTAAAAGACTGAAAGCATTTCTGCTTCCTGCAAGCCCTATTTTGCCTATATATACAGCCTCCAGAGGTTTCTCCCAATTTTCTCCAGAAAAACTGCATGGACTTTAAAAAATCCATCTTAGTAAATTTCCCCACCTGGCCAACTACTCACTCCTACCTGGAAGAAAATATTTCTGAACTCTTTGAAAAAGCAGTCCAACCATAATGAGACAGTTTGTGCAGAGACAGCTCATGCAGTCAGTTAAATACTCATCAAATGTTGGAAGCTAGGTTTTGGTTGAGGATGCCTTTTTTTTTTTTTTTTTCATATTTTAAAGCTCATAAATCAAGTGAAATACTCTCTTTCATACTAGCTTCCACACTCTACACTTAGGAAAATGAGGCTTTTCATGGTATTCCGTGGGTTATAAATAGCATAGTCCTTGTCTATTTAAGGCATATTTGGCAGTATGTGATACCTAGACAATTTGGCATTTACATTTCAACTATGGTGCATTTAAACTACGCGGGATGACATAAGACAAAAGCTAGGCTTCTAAACTTTGGCGTTTTTATGACTGATATTTAAAATAATGTACCAAGAGGTTAATACCCCCACTTGAAATTGTCTCTATGTCTCTTCCTACACACAATTGGTTTGACTGTTACGACTGTCAAGATAAATTAGAAAAGAGTTGAGCCAATTGTGCCTTTAGACACAGCTTTAAATATCCCTGCCATAGATGAAAAATGAAAAGGTTAAACTGGAAACTTCTAAGGTTTCCTCAAGCCTTAATAACATAGGATTCTATAATTCTATGGTTTAATGCAGTCAGATATGTTTAGAGTTCTCCCTCCCCAACCATGAGTTCCTTTTACATGAAATCTAAGTACAATGGAATTTCCTTCTCTGAACATTTTAGGCAACTGTGATGATTCCAGTTCTAATACATGGGAATTGCTGGGACACTTCTGTACCAGCCTCAATCAGATGATCAGGGATCACAACATTGGCTCTGTGGCTTTGACACATTTGCTCTCTAAATCTTGCTCTTCCTATCTTATTTTTCTTCTAGGTCCTTACGTTCTCTCACCAAAAAATTAATAAAAGTTTAAGAAACTCTTATACCATGAGGATTTTAGAAACTTAGCCCTTATGGGTGAAATGGGATTTCTGAACTCTGAATATCTGTAAATGCAGGGGAAAGGTTTCTTCCCTCTTTTCAAAGTACACAAATTCCATTCAAAACTATCTTTCTCCTAACTCCATGTAAATTATTGTTTTTAAAAACTAAATTAAAACAAACCATTGTTTGTTACTTTTCTCTCAACAAAAACTGCGTCTTAGAAATCAATTGAATTTGATATCAAGATTTTAATAGGACAAACGTTTTATAATATGTAAAATTTTTCATGTCAAATTGATTAGCAATGTTAACAGCATCTTGCTCTAGGTTCCACAAACAATACAGTTATTCTTTACCTTAATTGTGTGATTAGATCCAAACTCATCAAGCAAACAATGCTTTTTATTTCTTTATAGGTTCTGTCACCTGTGGACAGTTAGTTTAGTTGGTTAAAGAACTGCACTAATGAAACCAAGGTTAGGAATACCTTCTTTATTAGCCAGTTATCCTCTCTTAGTTTTAAGACAAAAGACTTCATCTAAAATCAGTCACAGTCTCCAATTTATGCTGTGAGTCACAACAAGGATTAGGTAAAAGATCTTTACATTTTTGGCTATTTCCTTCATGTAAATAAATACTTCAATTTTAACTATGAACTATTTCAAACATATAGAAAAGTATAGATAATAATGTAACACACCACAATGCCCCCTTTCCTCTAATTTAACATGTGTTGTTATTTGACAGTATTTGCCTCAGATATTTGTAAAATAAAATCTAGCAAATACAGATAAATAAAATATTGGAAATACTGTTTATTCCCTCCCTATAAAAGCCACCACAACACTATGTACCCTTCCTGTCCATATGTTTCATTTTTGACTGTATATGTATATATCTATAAACATGTAGTATTGTTTTTATGTATTTTCATGTTTCACCTAAATTTTACCATACCATATACTTTGATGACTTGTGTTTTTCCACTCAACATTGTAATTTGCAATATATCCATTTTGGTACAGGTAGATCTAACTTATTCATGATTAATGATATTTAGTATTCCATTAAATTATCTTTAGTTTCTCCATTTCTCTATTCTTGAACAATTATGTTTGTTCAAGTTTTGCTAACACAACAATGCTGCACTACCGTATTTAAGAATACCTCCTCGTTTAAGAATTCAACAAGTATATATAGCTTAAAAGTAGATTTGCTGCCTTGTAAGTTATACACATCTTTAATTCCATGGATATTGTTAAATTACTCTCCAAAGTGGAAGTACCTAATAGTAGCCGTTTTTGAAAGTTTCTATGTTCCCATGGTATTGCCAAGACTTTATATGATCAGAGTTTTTAAGTTTTGCCAATCTGCTGGTCATGGAATGCTGTCCCATTTTGTTTTAATCTTAATCTCCCCTAATGATCAATGAGGTTGTGCAACACTTTATGTTTTAAAAGATTTCTTCTTAATTGACTCATCATGTCCTTTGTTCTTTCTCTATTGAAATGTTTCCTTTTTATTGTTTTTTAGGCTTCTATTTAATACGTATTTTGTTTACTAATCCTTTACTGGTTGCTTGGACTACAAATATCTTCTCTTAGTCTGTGCCTTATCATTTTATGGTCTTTTATTCATATAGACCTTTTCTATTTTAAATGATTAAAGTTATCAATCTTTTTAAAGTCTGTGCTTTTTGAGTCCTGTGCAATAACTCTTTCCCTACCCTTCAAGATCACAAAGCTATTCTGGCCAGGCACGGTGGCTCACGCCCGTAATCCCAGCACTTTGGGAGGCCGAGGAGGGGTTAATCACTTGAGGTCAGGAGTTCTAGACCAGCCTGGCCAACAGCGTGAAGCCCCGTCTCTACTAAAAATACTAAAATTAGCTGGGTGTGGTTGCAGGCGCCTGTAATCCCAGCTACTTGGGAGGCTGAGGCAGGAGAATTGCTTGAACTCGGGAGGTGGAGGTTGCAGTGAGCTGAGATCTCACCACTGCACTCCAACCCGGTCAATAGAGTGAGACCCTTTCTCAAAAAAAAAAAAAAACAAAAAAAAAGATTATAAAACTATTTTTCTTAATTTTTTCATATTTTTCAACTCATTCTTGCATTTTCAATCCATTTAGGATTTATTTTTATGTGTAGTATAAGGTAGATTTATAATTTTTCTCCACATGACAAATTAATTGTCTTATCTAAAATAAATATGCTCTTTATTTTATATTTCTCCACTAATTTGAAAATCGCCTCTCTCATATACATGGTGGTGTCCAGGCTCCCTGTTTTGTTAAGTTGGTGTACATGTACCTCCCTCTACTGACACAGCATATTTTAATTATTATACTTTTATAATAACCCTTGATAAATGATAGAATAAGTTCATTACATTTAACTTTCTTCAAATGTTTTCCTTTGGCTATTCTTGGCATTTTATTCATCCATATACATTTTAGAAACAACTAGTCAATTTCTGAGAAAATTTAAGATTTAGATTGAACTGGCTTTTTATAGATTATTTTTGGGAAGAATTGGAAATTCAAAATACTGAGTATTCCTATCTATATATATGGTATAACTCTCCATTTATTTAGGTATTCTTATATCATTCAATAAAATTTCATAATTTTTTATAAAATCATGTATATATTATGTTATTAAGTTGGTGCAAAAGTAATTGAGGTTTTTGCCATTACTTTTGCACCAATCTAATTATTTCACATACTCTGTAGTTTAATGGCTATGAAAAATATGATATTTTTAAATTACATCTTCAAAACAATTTTATCTGGTATATACAAATACTACTAATTTTTGTATATAGTTTCTTAGACAACAACCTTTATGAACTTTCTGGTTACTTCTACTGTTAATAGTTGGCAAGGACATTCTCTTGAATTTCATATGTAGATAATCATATCATCTGTGATAGTGACAATTTGGTTTCTTATTTTTCCATTCCCCACAACTCTTGTTTATTTCCATGTCTTATTGAGCTGCTGTGGACCTCCAGTACAATGCTGAATAGAAGTGGTGACAGCAGGCATCTTTAAATTATTTCTGACCTTAAGAGAATGCTTCCAATGTTTCACCATTAAATGTGAGGTTTACATTGTTTTAGGTAGACACCCTTTTTTTAAAGGAAGTCCCTTTCTATGTATCATTTTCTAAGGTTTGTTAACGTGAATGGCTGTTGAACCTATTATGTATGCTAAGAAGAGTTATTTTTTCTTTCTTTAATATGTCAATATGGTAAGTTACATTAAATTTTATAAAGTTATATTATTCCTATAATCCTAGAGTAAACCCTACTGATATTTCTTCAGTTCTGAAAAATTCTCAGCTAGGCAGTATTCAAATATTGCCTCCTCTCCCATTCTTTCTATTTTCTCTTTCTGGAAACGTGTTTATATATAGATATAGATGGTAAAGAGAGAGAAATGTAGGGAATTCCTGTAAGATGTATACTGTTTCTCCTTATTCTATTGCACTTTCTTTAATTTTTTGTTTCTTATCTGTTTGTTGTATCCTGGGCAGTTTCCTCAGGGCTATCTTTGAAGTCACTAATTTTAATGTTTGACCTACCCACTTGATTTTTTAATTAATGACTACTTTTTTTTAGACAGGGTCTCACTCCGTCACCCAGGCTGGACTTCAGTGGCATGGTCAAGGTTCACTGCAGCCTCGACCTCCCAGGCTCAAGAGATCCTCCCTGCTCCACTTCCCAAAGTGCTGGGATTACAGACATGAAGCCGTTGCACCCACCCAATGACTACCTTTTGTATTTTTTAAACATTTAATTTAATTCTTTTTCAATATGCCTATTTCTTTTCATAGAACCCTACTATTTATTTATGGTCTTTATTTCTTTTTAAAATATTTTATTCATTTTAAGCATACTTATTTTCTAATCATTTTGGGATGGTTTACCTCATGTTCTGAGGGTGCTAATTGTTCTGCTTATTATGGCTGCTGATATATCAGTCAGGGTCCACTCAGGAGACAGAGACCACATCAGTAATTCGAACAGGGACAATTTAATATCAAGAATTATTAACTTCTAAAAGATGATTAACACACAAAAAGGCGGGGAGTAAAACAGGATGCTAAAGAACATAAGAATAGCAAATGTAGAAAACAGCTATTACCTCTAGGGTTCAGGGAGGGTATACAAAGCAGAAGCAAATTTGGAAATGGCCGCACCCCTACTACAGCCAATATTGAGACTGTGTTGGAGAGGGTGTGGTTACAGCCCACTGGATGGTAGAGTTTTCTAGGATTACATGGGTCAGAAGTGTTCCACAGAAAGCTGCCACTGAGGTGCCAGCAACATTTCCAGAGGTACTGTGGGTTGGAGCTGGTCTACTGAAAGCTGCCTGCTGATGTGTGAGCAGGTCAGAGCTGGCAAGCAAAATATTGCCCACTGGGGTACCAGAGAATTTCAGTGGAAGGTGAGCTCCACTGGGACTCCCACACACCACTGAAAGCTGGGCCTTAGGAGGAAGAAAAAAGACACAAGAACCAGGAAGAGAAGCCCCCTCCTCCACTGTGACCTGAAGGGCCCACCAGCACCCTGTATTAACAAAGCCTAAGATTGCATCAGCTGGCAAGGAGCCAAGCTCCATTAACAAGAATCAGGACAACAAAGGGCAGATTTGGATCTGAGAATCAGTAAGTTGATAACTGTCACAAATGACTTTTCTCTTGTGGTAAATCATTTCCTCCTATGGTTTGTAAATTTTTATGCTGAATTCATCTTCTCACGAAGGATTCGTTTTTCTGTGAACGTTTCCTTAGGGTTACATATCTTTCTAGGGAAATTTTACATTTATTTTTCTTCCAGATCTTCAGTGCTTTCTCTGGTCACCACTAAATTCTTATATAAATGTATTGGCTTAGCTGGGAGGCTGCAGCAAGTGGATCACTTAAGCTCAGGAGTTCAAGATCAGCCTGGGCAACATGGCAAAACCCCATCTCTATTTTTTTTTAATTTATTGGCTTAGGATTCTCACACAATACAAACAGAATAAATATCAACCTCAAATCTATATGTGGCACAGCCTTGTGACTTCAGTTTTCACGGAAATCTTTTTCTATTCCTCCCAGAACCTTGGACAGCATCCTAGCTGCGTTTCTGCACTTAATCCTTTTGGTGGATTTCCTATAACCATGTTCTGTGTGTTTGGAGCAGGGCAATAAGAAGGGGAGCTAGGGAGAGGGAAATGCCAGATTAGTCTTCTATTTTGTCATAAGTTGAATGCCTACCTCCCTCCATGTCAAAACTCTTTCCAGACTTGTCTTCTGTCAATAATCTATTATATGTTGATGACTCTCAAACCTATACTTCTAGCCCAAACCCTCTGTTAAGATTCATATCTACACATCCATCTTTATATATAAATCTACAATTGAACATCTCACAGACACTTTACATTTCTATCCCAAACTGCACTCATTGTCTCTTCCCCCAAACCTGCTTGTCTTCCTATATTCCCTATCTCAGAGAATGATGTCCCCAGTCCCCAGACCTCCAAGTCAGAAACACAGTCATTCAGGCTTCTGCCTTGCCTTCCCCAACATCCAAAAAATATCACAAGTCTTGTAAATGCTATTTCTTTATACTACTAGCCCCAACATCACTTTTTCATATCCATAGCCTTAATTCAGAAAATGCACTTTTTGCCTCCAGTCTGACCCTATACCAAGGCCTTCAGAGTCCTGCATGATCTTGTCCTGCCAGTCTTTCAGATCTTAACTCTGCTGCTCACTTACCATGTTCCAGACACTGGCCTTTCTACTCCTTGAACACAAGTTCATTTACTCCTTAATTCAGTAGAAATTTCATACTGAATTTTATAGACTCTATAAGATCAGTACTACTCCCATTTCACAGGACAGAAAACTGAAGTTTACAGAGGTGAAGTAATTTGTCTACAGCCATCCATCTAATAAATGGACAAAATAAGATTGGACTTCAATAATTTGATTCCAGAACCCCTGTCTTTTTTTTTTTTTTTTTTTTTTGAGAAGGAGTCTCACTCAGTACTGAGGCTGGAGGGCAGTGGTGCTATCTCAGCTCACTGCAATCTCTACCTCCCGAGTTCAAGCAATTTTCATGCTTCAGCCTCCCTAGTAGTAGCTGGGATTATAGGCACACACTACCAAGCCTGGCTAATTTTTATAGTTTTAGTACAGACGGGGTTTCACCATGTTGGCCAGGCTGGTCTTGAACTCCTGACTTCAAGTGATCCACTTGCCTCAGCTTCCCAAAGTGCTGGGATGACAGGCGTGAGTCACCGTGCTCGGCCAGAACCCATTCTTTTAACCACTGCACTCTCCTGCCTCCCAGATTCACCTCAGTTATACAGTCAATTAGGAAGCTGTTCTTGTGGTCTGAACAGGTGACCATGAGAATGGTGGTGAGAAGAGCTGGGACAGACATTTCAGAATAAGATATGACAATTCAGGTCAATTAAATATAACAGTTATCTCAAGATATCTCAACTTCAAATGTTCTATCCTGTGATCCATAAGGGCATTTGCATTTTACAGATTATAGGTTCATAAAATGCGGTCCTTGTAAATATAAGGCATACATAAAAATCAATAAATAAATCCTAACAGTAGCATTGAGTAACCCCAGTATTCCTTTTATATGATCTTATATAAGATTTATAACCAATAAACATTTTTATATGGAATAATTATGCAACCACACACATACACACACTCACAAACACACATCCTCAATATGCTTAGGTCTGAGTTTGTTTTTACACATGCCATAAATATTTTGAAACTTAAAATATTTCAATTAAAAGCAGATCATGTACACAACTTTGTTTAAAAGTGGACTTCTCTCCAATTATTCTTTTACTTAGTAATCTCCAGTCTTTTTTTGGCTTTTAGTGTCAAAAGATTTATATACAATAGTAAAAGCAATTGAGAGGATGTCTAATTGGGGCTTGTGTATACTCTAAACGTCCTTTCAATCACTTTATTATTGTGTATTGATCTTTCCACATGAAAAGAATGAACAAATTCAAGACACCACCTCCTCTAGAAGTAGCCACATCCTAATTCTTGGAACTTGTGAATATATTGCATTAAGTGGTAAGGGGGAATTTAGTTTCCAGACAAACTTAAGGTTGCTAATCAACAACCCTGAAATGGGGAGATTATTCTGGATTTGCCGATGGATCCCATGTTATCACAATGGTTCTTAGAAGTGAAAGAAAGAGAGGAGAGTCAGAGTCTGAGTGAGGCTGAGAGAAAGATTCTCCGCCAGAGCCTCCAGGAAGCATCGCAGCCTCTTCTGCACCTGGATTTTAGCCCTGTGAGACCCACTGCAGGCTCTGACCTCCAGAACTGCAAGATAATACACTGGCTTTGTTGTGAGCCACTAAATTTGTGGCAATTTGTTCATAGCAACCATAGGAAACTGATATGCCCTCCCCCACCGTTTGAATAGGAGGAAATTTTATACTTTAAGCCCTAAAATCTATGTTCAAAATAATTTTAAGGGTGATTTAATTGGTTTTATTTGTTTGGATATGCATCCACTGCCTGCTCAGATTGTCAGGCCTCCTCTGTGATTTTTCTTTTGTCTGTAGGCAAATTGCTCCCCAGGACTATGTCCTGCAGCTTCACAGTCAGAATTGCTATTTTAAGATAATAATGTCTCATTCATTCATCCAATCAGTCAGTCAGTCAACAAGCATGTATACATACCTCCAGCCACACCTTGCCCCTGAACCACAAACACAAATATCCAACTCATGGTCAGCATAGCCACGGAGACGCTCAATGGACACTTCAACTTAATATGTCCCAAACCGAACTCCTGATATTCCTCCCAATCTGCAAGGTCCAGAGTCTTCTTCATCTCAGTTGATGCAAAGCCCATTCTTCTACTTGCTCAGGTCAAAATCTACAGAGTCATCCTTGACACTTTTCTTTCCCTGACACTTCACATTCCAACACATCCACATGTCCTGCCTGCTCTACATTCAAAACGTGTCCACTTCTTACCATCTTGCCTATCCATCCAAGCCACTATTTCCCTCTCACCTGAGAGACCTTATTTGGTCTCTGGCTTTGCCCCCTGCAGGCTGTTTTCAACACAGCAATCACACTGATAATATTTAAAATGTAAGCCTGACCTCTTCCCATCTCTGCTCAATACTCCTCAATTTTTCTCATCTCAGAGTAAAAGCCAAAGGCCCTGCTCCATCCCTACTGTCCCACTGCCCTCATTTCTCTGACCCTCTGCTTTAATCACTCAACTCTAGGAACCCTGGCCTCCTCATTCCTAAGACAAGCCACACATTTTTGCCTCAGGGACATTATGCTTGCTGCTCCTTCTTGGCAACTGATTCCCTCAGTGAGGCCTCCCTTTCCACTTTACCTAAAAGATCAACCCAGCACCACTTACCCCTTCTCCTGTCACTCCCTGCCTAACTTAACCTGCTTTATTTTTCTGCATAGTACTCATTGCCACCTGACATATTGTATATTTACTTGGTTTGTTGAATATCCAATTCCCCTCAACACCACTAAAGTGTAAGCTCTATGAAGGCAAGCACTATTTTTTGTTCATCACTTTATCGCCAGAATCTAGAATTGTACTTGGCACTTAATAAGCATATATATGAATGTTTGTTGAATAATAAATCACTGTTCCAGGACCTAGGGATACAAAGATGAATGAAACACAATATTTGACACTGAGGAATTCACCATCTAGGGCAGCACTGTCCAACAGAACTTTCTGTGATGACGGAAATACTCTCTACCTGTGCTATCCAATATGGTAGCCACTAGAAGCATGTGGCTATTGAGCATTTGAAATGTGGCTGGTATGATTGAGGAAGTGGATTTTAATTTTATTTTAATTAGTTTAAATTTAAATAGCCACATGTGGTTAATGGCTGCCATATTGGATCACACAAGTGTAGAGGAGGAAATAGATACATAAACCCATAATACTGGTAAGAACACAACCTAATTACTGTCATGGTAGAGATGTACAATAAAGTGTCATGGGAACCCAGAGAAGGTAGCCACTAATTTTGTGTTTAGTCTCCTCCACTAGACCAGCCAAGACATTAAGTACTTTTCTCTCATATAACTTTACATTCTTGTAATAATAATAATAATTATTATTATTATTATTATTTTGAGACAGAGTCTCACTCTATCTAGACTGGAGTGCAGTGGCGCGATCTTGGCTCGCTGCAGCCTCCACCTCCCAGATTCAAGTGATTCTCCTGCCTCAGCCTGCAGACAGCTGGGATTACAGGCACCCGCCACCACGCCCAGCTAATTTTTGTATTTTTAGTAGAGACGGGGTTTCACCATGTTGGCCAGGCTTGTCTCGAACTCCTGACCTAAAGTGATCTGCCCACCTCGGCCTCCCAAAGTGCTGGGATTACAGGCGTGAGCCACCATGCCCAGCCTCTTGTAATTATTATTTAATGAAAGCTGGAACTGTGATCATCCTCAGCTACTGACAGGAGGCTTTGCACATAGTAGATGATCCATAAATATTGGTTTGACTGAAAACTGAGATGGTTATGGGAGGATTATAGAGGAGGTGATATTTGAGTTGGACCTTAAATGATGAGTAGGAGTTTGCCAGGGCAAGACAGGAAAGAAGGGATGTGAGGCAGCGAAAGCAACACACGCAAAGGCAGGGGGAGTCCTGGTGCTTTTATAAGTGGAATCAGGAGTTCAGTGTGGTTGTAATACCTATATAAAGGTGGATGTATTCAGTTCTCACTGCATGACAGTTCAAGTTAGACAATGACTTCATAAGTAGGAAAACCCAAAAGCCAGTGTTAAATAAAGAGTCGGGCAATTGCTTAGTGAATTGTGTCAAAGTAAACTTAGTATTTTAAGCATATTCAGCCCATTACAGCCCTTTAACAAGCACAGACTAAAGTTTCTCTAACTTTTCCCTGATCTAGAATATTATGACATTTCATCTTGTGAGGAATTTAGAGATTATTTAACTAAAACTTTCTTTGGTCAGATGAAGAAATTAAGATCCAGAACGCAGAGCTAATTAATTCAGAGTTGGGACCATAATCCAGATGTTTTAGCTCACAGTCTTGGATAATTACCAACACACAGTGAATACACAACCACGTTTCTTCCTCTCACCTGACACAAAGCAAGCTTCTGGTACCAAAATGTATCTGTTTATAACCTCCAATCACCACAAAACATACGGGAAGAATGTTCCATCATAAGTTATCTGTCCATGTATGAAAAGAATCATCAAGGTTGCTCAATAAAATGCAGATACAACAACCAACCATTAAAGCCTTAAGAAATAGTAACAAACTTTGAAAAATTTATTTTCATACTGCAGTGTAAAATGAATTGCTATCTTCACAAACACAACAGGGTATAAGAACTGTATGGTATATTAAAATGGCATCCATACTGTAGGTCTGGTTTCCCATCCTGAAACAACTGCTCACTAGCTAGGTTACCTAAGGAAACTAGTTAACCTCTATGAGTCTCCATTTTTAAATTCCTACAATGTAGGAATTAGGTCTTCAAGATCCTTTTTGGTTCCATGGTTTTCATGTTATTTTGCTGAGTTAGAAAGAGAGGAAAAGCAGCAGAACAAATTCCCACTTGGACAGAGGGTCATTTATGCTGCTTTACTGCAGTCAGATCAACAATCCTACTGATATTTCTTCTCTCAGTTCCTAAATCTGTCAGACCATGCATAAGTCACCTGTCCCAAAACAGGAACTAGTATTACAGCCTTTTCTATGTTCTGCATTTGATGTGTGTTCCAAAAATGTTGACTAATTATTGTCCCAATGTCTTACCTACCTTGGGCCAGCACTCCAAGATTCAAACTCATTCTGTGAGTTCTCATGAAGTCTCTTCCTTTGCAAGCTGTGATGTCTTCTTCACCAAACTACAATCAATTTTTTACATTAAAAATATATTGACTTCCACAGACAGAGATGGGATAGAGGATATGCTTTATCTATCTTCGTATAGTCTTTCTTCGAAATCTCTGGGGGTCCTGAAGAATGACAAAGTCTAACTCATAACAAATAAGAAGAAATAGAAATAGTTTATTGCTACGGAAGCAATTATGTCTTCCTACATGATATGCATATATGTGGGTCCCCAGACAGAATCACCATGGTTTATCTTTGGCTGTTTCAACCAATGAAATTGAAAATATCTCCTGCTTTTCAATTAGGTTCCACCTTTCATGCAGAAACACAAGTAAAATTTTTTCCTTTGACTAATTTGTTTAAATATATGTGATGCTGATCCCTACTTTCTTGGGCTATTCAGCATGTGCCTGAGCATTCACAGTATGTCTTTTAGATTATGAAAATAATCTTCTCCAAGCTCAATTAAGAACAGATGGTTAAAAACTTCAAGTTAGTATTTGCATAAAAAGATCATCTTACTTTGACACTGTAAAGTTTTATATTACTGTTAATTGTTTTCCGCGAAAAAAGCACCCCCTCCCTTGTCCAGAAGATAACAAGAAAATTTGGCTTATTTTTTTACTGAAAGGAAAGCATTTCATGCAAAGGCATTACTGGGGGGAAAAAGTAACACAAGAACATAAAACAATATGGACATACTGTCAATAAAGGTGTCACATCTGCTCTGATGTATGGGAAACTTACGCTTAATCTGATAGTTAGACATTAGCCACCTCACCTTCTCAGAATCCAGACCAACCCAAGTAATCCAAAAAGCCTCTAAGCCAAGATCATGTGCTTTATTAGAGAATTTTAAAAGTACCCTTAAACTAGGGCTTGTTGACTTACTCGCTTCTACAGATGAAGGTAAATCAAGCTTACTGATATGGTTATCTTATGTGGTAATTTTATGTTCCCATTACACTTCTGTTCTTCCTGCTCTGATTCATAGACTGAAGGTTGGATAACAGATTAGCAGCTTGTGAACAAGGTGATAGAAACAGATAGGGATGAACTATTAAAAGCAGACATAAAAATGGTGTTGTCAAATCTTCAACTAGAAAAATTCAACAATCTGGTCATTACAAGTGATTCATGAAACACAAAATAGCTCCTTCTGTAGAGGCAGCCTTAGATCATCATGTTTTACACCACAGAAATTTATCACCCAGACCACAGCTGATTGGAATAGGACTGGTCACGTGACATAAATGTAGCTGAAAGTGGCTGAGCAGTGAGCTTCAAGATAACCTGATCTAAAAAGCTTTGCTAGAAACAAAGAAAGGTCCAATAAGATTCTTGCTAAAAACAAGGAATGTTCCAATCCAATTCTACTTCGAATAATTTGATTCAAACAAATGGAGAAAAATCAGACTGTTAGCAGTGGGAACTAAAGCTGAGAAGATACTGTGAATTAGATCCATGAATGGTCAGCAGCAAAGCAAAGTCATGCAGAAATCAAAGACATAAAGAAGCACAAATCAGGAATAAGCAAGAGCTGTGATGTAGGTAAGGTATAAAGGAGTGAGTCAATGATATATTAGATGAGAGGAAATGTGACAGAGACTAAACAAGAGGAGATAAACTACGTTAACAACAGAGCGCTGAAATGTAGATTCTACTGTCAGGATCCTTAGAACTACTTTAGACCTATATCCAATCTTGTGTCGATTTCCTATTCTTGCATCTCCGAGACTCTATCTCTCTTAAAATTTATTCTTCAAAAAGTCCCCATTTACTTAAGCTAGCCCAGAAAAGGCCTCATTCCTTGAAATAAAAAATACTAACATATTCTTTGTCGATAAAATTTAACATACTATTTTTCCATAAACTCTAGAGTTTTTATCATTTCTCTTTGGTTTGTTAGAGTTCTTAACATATTGTCTATATGAAGAGTCAATAATATATTGACCTCTAAAAATAAAAATAATAAATAGTCAATAATATGTTTATCATTTGCCTTTTAACAGATCAGTATGCAGCATTTATTGAACAGTTATTGTGTTCCAAGCACTATAAAAAGCACTTTACAGAAATTATCTCACTGAGTCTTCAAAATAACCCTGAGATGAGAAAGTTTGGCACACAGAGTTTAACACATTTGCCTACACCCATTGAGCCAGATAAAACCCAGCTGTGCCTGACGCTAGAGCATGCTCTTGACTCTAAGCACCACCATTCCTCTTTTGTTTATTATTTTTTAAATTATTATTTTTTAAAATATTTTTACAAACATGCATAACATAAAATTTACCATCTTAACCATTTTTAAGCGTACAGTTAAATGACATAACGTACATTGTTATGCGACTATCACCATCATCCATCTCCAGAACTCTTTTCATCCTGCAGAACTGAAACTATGTACCCAATAAACAATAGCTATGCATTTTCCTCTCCCCTCAGCTTCTAGCAATCACCATTCTACATTCTGTCTCTAGGGATATAAAGAGAATCATACAGTATTTGCTCTTTTGCAATTGGTCTACTTCACCTAACATAGTGTCCTCACTGTTCACCCATATTGTAGCATGTGTCAGAATTTCCTTCCCTTTTAAGGGTGAATGATATTCCATTGTACATATATACCACAGTTTGTTTATCCATTCATGTCAAGGGACATTTGGGTTGCTTTCATCCCTAAGCTATTGTGAATAATACTGCTACGAACACAGGTGCACAAATATTTCTTCAAGTCTCATCTGTCCATTTTTGGGGATCTATACCCAGAAGTGGAGCTGCTGGATCATATGATAGTTCTATTTTTAATATTTTAGAAACCAACATACTATTTTAGACAGTGGTTGTACCATTTACATTCCTACCAGTAGCACACGAGTGTTTTCATTTCCCTATATCCTTATCAATACTTGTTTATTTTCTATTTTCTGTTTATTAGCCATCCTAATCGGTGAGACAACATTTTTTTCTTTTGTGTTTGAGTGTGTTTAAAATAAAGAAGTCTTAAAATTGATATGTACATAAATTATCTGTCTTTATCTTTAAGACTTTAAGTTCTCGCTTTAAAAACATCCTTCCCCATCCCAGTATTATATAAATATCTATTTCTACTACATTTTCTAGTACTTTCTTAATATATCTGAGATTAATCATACAAAGTTGACTAAACATTATTTTTGGTCTTAATGATTAAATAATTGTCCTGCCTTCATTTTAATAATCTATTATTTCCTGACTAACTTGAAATTCCACATTTACTATATGCTGAATACTTATCTATATTGGCATAAATATCTTGGCTATATATTGTGTTTCTATACCACAAAACACTGTTGATTACTGTAGCTTTATAAGGCATTAAAGTACTTGGTAGAGACTCCCTTCATTAATCATTTTTATCCAAAATGTTCTAGGTAATTGTTTTACCTCCAAATAAACATATGAGGTGTATATGGAGGTAAAACAGTTTCACATAACTTAATTACCTACCAAAGATATCACCACATTACAGAGTAATATATTTAATGTTCTTAATTATAAATCAAAAATTTATCATAAAAAATTTAAATATGCTTCACAGCATTGACATAAATAAAGCAAAGAAGAATATGATCCATTCTAGTGAGATTTATTAAAATACTAATAAACTGAATCTTCAGTTCTTCAAAAACTAAGGGACAGAGAGATTATAATATTAAGTATCCACCAAAAAAAAACCCTGTTAAGCACAGGAATGCACTGGTAAAAATTGGGTTTAATTATAATTACCACTTAAGAGTCAATAAAGCATCATTCCCAGAGAGATAAGATACCCAAATCCCCAAGTACAGTTGCACTTCCTTTCTTATCAAATCATCTGAAATTATTATATTCTTCTGACTGTATCTTCTCTCCACTATCATTCATTATATACAGTTGTTGGCTGGTTCTCTCAGGTTGCAATGATAACTATGATGCCCTTCACGATTTCAAAGAACATCCACCCACCCTTTTATGGCTAGAGATGCCTAACTATCACACAGCTTGTATTATAACATCCAACAAGATCTTCTTTCTTTGTCTCTTTGCCACAGGTCTAGTTCTCCAGTACACAGATGGCATTAAAAAGAGACTACAGAGGAAACTACACAAGTTGCAGTACACGCTTATCTCAGGATAGTGTGATGGAAGGCTCATTAACCAAGAACATTTGCAGTATGAGGCGCCAACATCCATTTGTATTATATTCAGCAAAAAGTCCACCATAGTAGCTTTCATTGACACAGAAGCTAGAAAGCACCTTGAGCAATATATTTTTTAATAGCATATTGTAGCCCGGAGAAGGCAAGACTGGCAGGACAATGGCAGTGTTTCAGAAAGCAATGGAAGCCTGCATCAAGCTAATGACAGCAGGAATAGAGGAAGGTGTGATGCCAGGCTGAACATGAAGAGAAAGGCAGAAGATTTCTTAGATAACTCCCAAGATAATTCTTAGGTTACTTACATATATTAGTGCAGTAAGTGTTTGATAAATGAATGAGAGAATGACTATTCAAAGTTAGGTCCACGGACTAACTGTCAAGCTATTTATTACTAACCCACATAACAGGATAAAGAGCTTGCTTCAGAAAGTAAGTGAATTAGGTCATGAAGCACATTGTTTAGTTCAACTGACTTCTTTTTTTCCATAGGAAGATTGTGTGAAGGAAGCAGTACATTGGTACATTCTCCCATAGCCTCACCTTCATTAGGAACCAGCAGTTTGACAGCATATGTGGTTCTGTTCAGATCCTAAACAATAGGTCACTACATTTGATTCGGCTGGGGATCCAGAGGCAGTAAAGTCTTCTGACAATATCTGTGATATCAGTGCTGAACAAAGATGCTCTTAGTGCCAGGGTGAGTCTAGGGCAGACTTTTGGAGCTGGAGAATTGATGGCTCTAAGGAACAATGCATTTGACTCTTACGAGCCAGTTCCTGCCTTGAGCTCAAAGAAATGGCTATGCTGATATTGCTATGAGCTAGAGCTGGATTAATGATAACTATTGTAATTGCACAAATGGTAAATTGGATCTCATAATCAAATGGCTGTTTAAAAGATCTCACTCACCAAACTGAGAGTATTAAAAAAATCACATATAATGAATAGCTTTGGTCATCTGCAGAACTTTTCCTGATGGTTTGTGAATATAAAATGGATATGAGAAAGTCATCCTTCAATTGATACATTCAGCTGCTTGTATCAAAAAACCTAAATTAAACTGGCTCCCACAAAAAGGGAATTTACATGAGTGAAAGTCTAGAGGCAGGCTGGGCTCTGGCCTTGACTTAATGCAATGACTCTGGCCCCATTTCCATGCATTGCTCTGTGTTCTTCCTTCTGCCATGAGGCTTTGTCTTCAGATTGTCAGAAAAGTAGCTTTAGCCATTCTGGCCTTACACCCATACTCTTTCTATGGCTCCCACTTAAAAGTAGGGAAACTTTTTCCAGAATAGCCCTTCTGCCAAGTTTACCTTCATATCCCATTTATCCAGACTGTCATAGCACAAATTCTTTGACCAAGCCCTCCAGCCAAGGATATGCTATGGGAGCTTAAGCCTCACATCCTGAAAACGGTACTGGTGCTGGCTTGGGAGTAAGGCTTTACTGGGATTTTCATAGACTAATTAGAGCTCATCCTTTTAGCTGAAATCAATGCCCCAAACCTCCTAGCTGCTGCAAAATGGATGACTCAAAGCCCCATGTTCAATAGAAAGTCCAACCCAAGCCTCATTAAAGAGCAGACGACCTACAATGTAAACTAATAAAGATAAATAATAATTTAGAACATTATAAAATGAAGTAATGTGACAAGAGATGTTTTTGATAATAGATACTTCCAAAAGAGAAAGATTGCCTAAAGAGAATTGAGAGGTTAGACTGTCTGTGTGTCTGAGTGTAGCAGTGACCAAGGAAAATTATGTTGTGATTCTAGAAGATGGATTCCAGTAATTTAGGCAGAAACAACCGCAGGGCAGAGAAGGATTAACTCCAAGTTAGGTTAGCCTGAGGAGACTTCCCTTGGGCAATACCTAATCTTTTTGTTGTAAATTCTATGCTTGCCAAGCAACCTTCTGAATTATTATTTGTCCTTCTGAGTGACTGACCCCACAAAAAGGGAATGCCTGGTTGAAAAAATGCTCCTGATTTTAAAAATAAGTTCTATTTCCCATGGTAAATTGGGACTGTGGTTTATAAATCATTCTCTTTTGTATTTTATTAGAGAGAAACTATCCCTCAAAGTCTGTTCACTGTGACAAAATAATAGAAGTGAGATCTTGAAAGGGAAAAGCTAAGACCTAAACCCAAGACCCTAATGTCTCCATCAAGGTATAATTCCCAAGAGGCCTGCCCTAAATCTGCCAGCTGCCTTCTCCTTACCTGGGAACTAATGTGAGAGCAGCCCAACAGAAAATCCACCAAGCAATCTCCTAATCCTTAATTGAACAGAGGGCTCTGAGAGAGATGCTTAAACATAGGGGTTATGAACCAAGTTTTTAAGATCAAAGAAATCTGGGGATAAGTCCAGGCTCCTCCTACTAACAATGTGACTATGGGCAAGTAGTTTAACCTCCAAGATCCAGTAACTCCAATGATGAAATGGTGAATATTTAATAGAGTTGTTACAGTGATTAAATAAGACAAAATTCACTAAGTGCCTGACATGTGATTAGTGGGGTTTTGTTTTGGTTTGGTTTTTGTTTGTTTATTTTTAGAGATAGGATCTCACTTTGTCACCCAGACGGGAATGTAGTGGCATGATCACAGCGAACAGCATCCTTGAACTCCTGGGTTCAAGCAATCCTCCTACCTCTGCCTCTCAGTTTAGCTGGGGCTACAGGCACATGCCACCATGCTCAGCTAAATTTTTTTAATATTTTGCAGAGACAGGCTCTTGCTATGTTGCCCAGGCTAGTCTTGAACTCTTGGCCTCCAGCGCTCCTCCTAGCTCAGTCTCCCAAAGCACTAGGATTATAAGCATGATACATTCCACCCAACCTTTTCTTTGTTTTAGTTTTTGTTTTTAATATTGTGGCCCTTGTGTCAATATTATGACTTCTGCATTTGACTGAAAATTGTCTGCTAACTTTGTCCAGTAAAGTGCTCCATGATAAACAAGGGCTCAGTAAATGTGCCTGAGCGAGGCCACTGAAGAAAATGAGAGAAAAATGTAATCTGAGAGGGCTCTGTAATTTGCCACATCCAATCTTACTCCAGATTAACTCAGTGTGAGACCCAGCATAGTCTGACTATTGTCTGCTTCCTAATCAAGTAGCAGTATAGCTACACAGCTTGTATTTATTTCTGAATTGTTAAGGACAGCAACCTAGATAATACCACAGAATATTAATCTAAAAGAGTGAGGAAACTGTGTTATGTGAGGAATCATTAAGGAAATTAAAGTATACTTACTTTAGAAACAAGGAACCAAGAGAGAAAAAGTAGGAAATGTTAGCCTTCCTCAAATATTTAAAGGACTATAATGTAGAAGAGAGAATAGAGTCCATCTACATTTTACTCGTCTGTCTCCCCAGCAGATTGATAAATGCCTTGAAGGAAGAGAATGTGTCTCATCCATCATTGTATTCCCAGAAATCGACTTGATACTGGGGACATTATAAATACTCAATAAGTGTTTGTTGATTGAATGAGAAGACAGATGGAAGGATGGGTGGAAGATGGGATGAATGGATGATAGGATGGAGAGAGAGTGACAGATGGATACATATTATTTAAACCATTATAAGATGTTAATGCTAGCATGAACACTGGAAAAGAGACATTGAGACTCTAAAAGAGAAAGGATTTCCTTAAGATCACTCACCTAATTTGTGTGAATGCTGACTAGACCAACAGAAGCCATGATATCAAGTTCAGTACCCTTTCTACTACCTTTCTTTCTATTCAAATCTGATAAACTGAGAGGATACCCATTATAATGTAATCCTGGTGTTGGACTCTTATGGGCTGAGTTGTAACCCCCTGAAAATTCATATGTTGAAGTCCTAACCCCCAATATCTCAGAATGTGACCTTATTTGAAAGTATCACTGTTACAGACATAATTAGTTAAAATGAGGTCATACTGGAGTAGATTGAGCCACTAATACAGTATGACTGATGTTCTTATAAAAAGGGAAATTCGGACACAGACAGGAATAGAAGGAAGATGATGTGAAGAGACACAGGAAGTAGATGACAATCTACAAGCCAAGGAGAGAGGCCTGGAACAGATACTTCCCTTCCAGCCTTCAGAAAGAACCGATCCTGTTGAGACTTTGATCTTGGACTTCTGGTCTCTAGAACTGTGAAACCATACATTTCTGTTGTAAGCTAGCCAGTCTATGATACTTTGCTATAGCAGCCTAA
Source organism: Homo sapiens (assembly GCF_000001405.40). Lineage (NCBI taxonomy): Eukaryota > Metazoa > Chordata > Mammalia > Primates > Hominidae > Homo > Homo sapiens. Next base: position 90,680,801 of record NC_000006.12, on the reverse strand, counting down.
CATAATAGGCTACATATATTATAATTTATAACTAATACAGATAGATGGTAAGGCCAGAAGATAGGAGCCTGAGTTCATGATTCCTGAATCACCTCTGACTAAAAGCACTTCACTGCAGATATACCTACATTGGATTCAGAGTTGATGAAGAAAGGAAATATTTTTGTGTGTCAAACCACTGAATTTTGAGGGCTTATTTATTATAGTAGTGTATAGTTTATCCTCATGCTGCTTATAAAGATATACCTGAGACTGGATAATTTATAAAGGAAAGAGGTTTTATGGGCTCACAGTTCCACATGGCTGGGGAGGCCTCACAATCATTGTGGAAGGCAAACGAGGAGTTAAGTCAGAGCTTACAAGGCAGCAGGTAAGGGAGTGTGTGCAGGTGACCTCCCCTTTAAAAAACCATCGGTTCTCTTGAGACATATTCACTATCACAAGAACAGCACGGGAAAGACCCACCCTATGATTTGATTACTTACCACTACGTCCCTCCCATGACTCATGGGAATTATGGAAGCTACAATTCAAGATGAGATTTGGGTGGGGACGCAGCCAAATCAAATCAAGCAGCTAGCATTACCTAACACAGACTTTAAGTAATTTAACTGTCAAGAAATTTTAAAAGTTATTTTACCTGAAAACAAATATGGACATAGCACAAAGAACAATGTAACATCCATGATTTTTTTTTTAAGTGCAGGCTGGTCTCTAACTCCTGGTCTCAAGTGATCTGCCTGACTTGGCCTCCCAAAGTGCTGGGATTATAGGCATGAGCCACCACACCCAGTCCATGAAAACTTTTGGAATTAAAAAAAAAACTTCTAAGAAAATTTAAGTTTACAGAAATACATTTTGGCATAATTCCCACAAATTCTCCCCAAGATATAAATTTACTCTCTTCTGTATTTGGAGATAAGGTCTTTAAACAGGTAAGTAAGATAAAATGAGATCACTAAGGTGGACTGTAATTCAATAGGACTCGTATCCTTATAAGAAGACATTAGGAAGACACAAGCACACAGACAGGGAAGACCATGTGAAGATATCTACAAGCTAAGAGAAGTCCTCAGAAGAACAACCCTGCTGACCCCTTGATCTTGCACTTCAAGCCTCCAGAACTGTGAGGAATAAATTGCTACTGTTTAAGCCTGTGGTATTTGTTATGGCAACTCTAGTAAATCAACAGACTCAGAGCCCTTTCCCCCATGTAATGTGAGTTTAATGTATTTAATCCAACTGCTCTATATCACAGCACTGAAGAGGGCACTTTGCCTGGTGTACACAATGGAAGCCTATCACGATTTTTGCCAAGGACATTATACTTTACTATGTCCTCATTACAGCACCACATATCTTTCGCTTGAACCTCAAAAGAACCATGTGACATTGGTAAGACACATAGAACATGAAGGCTTAGGCTGATTTAGTGACCTACTGAGAAATACAAAGCTGGTAAGTGGTGGAGCCACCCAATTCAAAACCCAGCCTTCTAACCCTTTCTCTCTCTAAGAACAGCTGCAAAAATTTATTGAGCACATACTATGTGCCAGCACAATTCTGTGTACTTTACATTCACTATTTTATTTAGTATCTGCAACAAACACATGGGACAGGGGCTATCATCAATCCCCATTTTGTAGATAAGAAAACTGAGAATTCTGCAGGATAAGTGACTTGCCCACAATCACACAATAAGTGATGATATCAGGCTTTGAACCCAAGCCACCTCCCTCCAGAGACTAGATATTTAACCATGCACCTATTGCTCTAATTCATCTCGGTCTTCTCTTCATGAACCTCTTTCTACACGTCAACCTGGCATAATGTTCTCTCTTTTCAGCAAATGCTCCAGCTGTTGCTAAAATATCCACCCTCCACACCTCCTGCCTTGCAGAGCAGGTGCACTGGGCCCACCTCTGGAGTCAGGGACTTCCTGCCCTCTAAATGCAGGGGGTGACCCAGGGCTTGACATTTGATGTCAATGAGTGACAGTTTCTGATTAAACCATGTCAGAGGCAGAGGAGTTTGCGGCTACTGTATTTTTTCACTCTGAGCACTCAGTGGCTTTCCTCCTTGATTCAGGATCACAGCCAACAGGGAAGCTGAAATCCTTTCTGACAACGTTTGCTGGATTGCCACAGTGAATTAGTCCAGATCCCCATGGACTGCCTTTCTCTTTGTGCCAGCTTGTCACAGTAGCAGCAGCAAGGAGGGTGACCCAGTGCTTTTCGTCTAGACACATAGTCATCAGAGGCCCTCAGGGCTCCGGGCAAATTTACAAGCTTTTGAGACAAGGACCTGTCTGATAACAAAACCAACACCTGATAACTGACACCCTCAAGATAGAGAGTGGTGCAAAGAAACATAGAAGTGACAGCCTTCTCATCATGTCATTCCATTTCACCTCATCTACTTTTGCTTGGTTTCACGATGTCAGCTTCATATGTACAGCCCTCTTTCTAAGAGACTCGATTCACCTCTTTGACACCTGAAGTGCCCTTGCCAGGCCTTCCTCTCTGCCTTGGGGAAGGTGGTGTGTTCTCCTCCTCCTTCCCTCTACTGTTTTCTGGAGTCCAGAGTTCCTGCTGATCTCACCAGCAACCCCTGCAAAGGCCGGTGGAAAAAATCCTACAGCTCTCACCCCCAGAGGCCACCATGCTCAGAACAAATACGTCTAGGAAAAGGCCTGCAAAAGAAATCAGACAGTCAGGCGAAGGTCTTTGTTTCTGAGATCTTTATGTCCGGATTTCCATCCAGGTACAGGGAGGGCTACTACAAAGGGAGAAGTGCCTAAACAGGACATGAATATACATAGATGGTAGCCCTAATTCAGATCATGGAGAATAAAAAGTATCCCTCCTTGAGTTTAAAAAAATACTCTCTACTCAGGATGAGCAAAGTAAAGCTAAATGAAGGTCAAGAGTTTTTCTCTCTCTCTCTCACACACACACACACACATACACATGCACAGCTTCTGAAATCAACCATTTTATTTATGAAGTTCTTAGAATGCTGGATGACGTGGCAATGTGTGAATTCCTTATAAAATGCAAGTGACATGTGCAGAAAAGAGTTTCAGACCATTCTACCCAGTCACTCTGGCTGCACTGCAAGTCCGGGCTCGAGAACTAAAAATCTATCTCAGATAATTGACATTTATTTGATTGAAACAGCAGGGTGCCCTCCATCACCATGGGAGGAGACCATATGGAAGAACAGTGCGAGTGAAGATAATGTTTGTCTACTGAGTGTGCCAATGTGTTTAGAGATTATTCACAGGGCTCTGGGGACTCCAGTATGATAATGTTTCAGCCAAATTAGAATCAGATTAATTGCTCTAATCTAATGGAAAGACAATGTTTATCAAATTATTGCTCTTTTCACCACATGATATTGCAGTGTCATTATTCTTTGAGTTTAAAAAAGGAAATGAAAAGACTCTTGTAACACATCTGCTCAAGAGTTACATGATAGTGCTTTTCCCACTACACACGGGACTGTAATGCAGTTGGCAATTCTGTGAAGTAACCAATAAATTAAAGTAAAAGATCTGTAGTGGATAAATCTGCTGGAGTCCTATGATATCAGTTCGTATTTTGATAAGACTATCTAAAGTCAATTAACTTTTTCCAGATTTGAGAGTTTTTCTGCTTCATATTATGTATGAAGTGTTTTCCTCTATAAACAGGGAAGTGCTTTTTTAAAAAACCATAAGTGGCACTTACAACAAAATTCTAAAACTCCTTTTCAAAATATCAAAAATCAGCCCAGTTTTTTAACACCCAGAGAGGAAATGGAACTCTTAGAAACTCATAACTTGTAACGCTCTATGGATTTATGCAAGAGCGTGAAATCGTCTCTGCCTTATAAGACATAGAGGACTCCATCAGCTCCTCAGCACTAAAGGAGTTGCCCATCTCACTGCCTCTCTCTGGCCCACCATTTGCATCCCTGAGAATTCTCAGAGGTGTCAAGCACCGACCAGGTGTCAGTCTAAGAGGTACAGAGAGTCACATCCAAGCCAGTGGCCTCACAAAAAGGCACTGGCTATGAGTCAGTGCTTCCCAACACCTACTAGGCTGTAAGCCCAGCTCCAACAGGGAATTTGGGAGGGAGATAGAGAAGGAATTTTCTCCCATCTACATCTCCACAGGGTGCCCTGTTGGCCCCTGCAGAGAAGGGAAGAAGAATCAAGCGGCACAATTTGTATGTTCATTCGTGTGCACACTGATTATTTCAAAATAACAGCAGTGCAGAGCCTTCAAATGTCCATGAAGGCTGTTAGGAGATAACCGTCAGGCTTCCAGTGGACCACATGACAAGTCCAATCATCACTTTTTTCTTTTAGAGCCAGTACCCCTTTGGAGAAGGATCTTAGCAAACAGGACAAGACAGAGGATAAAAAATTGAAATTATTTTTCTTATCACTAATTCTGCATTTATGTAATACTTCTAACAGGAGACAGAAATATCACCCTCATCTCCCTTTTGTAGTTGGCTCTTCAGATTTACCGCTTACAAATCATTGATTAATATCTCTAAGGTTACCCATCCTCCTTCTCCCTCCCCAAACATGTGTCATATTCTCTAATTCAGACTGGCAAACTCATGTAATCACAGAGGCTAAACCATCTAGGTTGAGATCTAGAATACACATTTTAATTTAAACCTTGCTAACTTTTCCTCCCTTGTACTCTAAACTCATGCTTTCGGCTTGAAATTTTTAAAAAGACCAAGATTATACCTATGATTACTGAGTTGGTCTAAACAATGTCTCATATGTCATTATAGCCTACATTTGTCGGGTGTTGAGAAAAGGTTAGGCACACATGAATAGAGTCGATTGCTCCCTGATCTGTCGAAGCTCAAATCTTGCTGTGATTTTCATGTTGCTGCTGCAACAGTGGACTCCCCTGTGCTAAAAAAGAGTTATTCTTAAGAAATAAGTGAAGGATATCGTAGCTGTATTGATGCCTAAGAAAACAGTGTATGTTTTCCAAGACAAAGCACAGAGCTGTAGATCTTCATTAATTACAATGCACTGGAACAAAAGCAAATACAACCACTGTAATTAACAACGTGATGCCTATAACCCTTGTCTAAATGCTTTCATTTCACTATTATTTAACAGTAAGAGACTGATAAATTATTTTAATCCTTATTTTTGCAGTTCACTTTGGAAAGGTTGTATAACTCAGTCTGAGGCATATTCATACATTCATTTACATTTTTAAATACTTTCATTATCAAACTTCTTTAAACCCTACCCTATCATTAGAACTGAATTTCAAAACTTTTATTGTAAACTAAGTATTTGTAGTAACATTAAGGGAATTCACACAAATATTGTGAATGTCAGGCCTCTGAGCCCAAACCAAGCCATCGCATCCCCTGTGACTTGCACGTATACGCCCAGATGGCCTGAAGTAACTGAAGAATCACAAAAGAAGTGAATATGCCCTGCCCCACCTGAACTGATGACATTCCACCACAAAAGAAGTGTAAGTGGCCGGTCCTTGCCTTAAGTGATGACATTACCTTGTGAAAGTCCTTTTCCTGGCTCATCCTGGCTCAAAAAGCTCCCCCACTGAGCACCTTGCGACCCCGACTCCTGCCCGCCAGAGAACAAACTCCCTTTGACTGTAATTTTCCTTTACCTACACAAATCCTATAAAACGGCCCCACCCTTATCTCCCTTCCCTGACTCTCTTTTCGGACTCAGCCCGCCTGCACCCAGGTGAAATAAACAGCCATGTTGCTCACACAAAGCCTGTTTAGTGGTCTCTTCACACGGACGCGCATGAAATTTGGTGCCGGTACCCCAACACCTTCTCTCCTTGTCTCTACCCCTTCTCTGCTTTCCTGGGGCAGGGGCAAGTACCCCTCAACCCCTTCTCCTTCACCCTTAGTGACAAGTCCCGCTTTTCTAGGGTGCAAGAACCCCCACAATCCCTTATTTCCGCACCCCAACCTCTTATCTCTGTGCCCCAATGCCTTATTTCCGTGCCCCGACCCCCCTTCCCACTTTTCAGGAGGGTAAGAACCCCCGAACCCCTTCCCTCCGTGTCTCTATGCTCTCTTTTCTCTGGGTTTGCCTCCTTCACTATGGGCAACCTTCCACCCTCCATTCCTCCTCCTTCTCCCTTAGCCTGTGTTCTCAAAAACTTAAAACCTCTTCAACTTACACCTAACCTAAAACCTAAATGCCTTATTTTCTTCTGCAATGCCGCTTGACCCCAATACAAACTCAACAGTAATTCCAAATAGCCAGAAAATGGCACTTTGAATTTTTCCATCCTGCAAGATCTAAATAATTCTTGTAAAATAGGCAAATGGTCTGAGGTGCCTGACGTCCAGGCATTCTTTTACACATCAGTCCCTTCCTAGTCTCTGTGCCCAGTGCAACTCGTCCCAAATCTTGCTTCTTTCCCTCCTGCCTGTCCCCTCAGTACCAACCCCAAGCGTCGCTGAGTCTTTCTAATCTTCGTTTTCTACAGACCCATCTGACCTCTCCCTTCCTCCCCAGGCTGCTCCTCTCCAGGCCGATCTAGGTCCCAATTCTTCCTCAGCCTCTGCTCCTCCACCCTATAATCCTTTTATCACCTCTCCTCCTCACACCTGGTCCGGCTTACAGTTTCGTTCCGTGACTAGCCCTCCCCCACCTGCCCAGCAATTTACTCTTAAAAAGGTGGCTGGAGCCAAAGGCATAGTCAAGGTTAATGCTCCTTTTTCTTTATCCCAAATCAGAAGCGTTTAGGCTCTTTTTCATCAAATATAAAAATGCAGCCCAGTTCATGGCTCGTTTGGCAGCAACCCTGAGACGCTTTACAGCCCTAGACCCTAAAAGGTCTAAAGGCCGTCTTATTCTCAATATACATTTTATTACCCAATCTGCTCCCAACATTAAATAAAACTCCAAAAATTAGAATCTGGCCCTCAAACCCCACAACAGGACTTAATTAACCTCACCTTCAAGGTGTACAATAACAGAAAAAAGTTGCAATTCCTTGCCTCCACTGTGAGACAAACCCCAGCCGCATCTGCAGCACACAAGAACTTCCAAATGCCTGAACTGCAGCGGCCAGGCCTTCCTCCAGAACCTCCTCCCCCAGGAGCTTGCTACACTTGCCGGAAATCTGGCCACTGGGCCAAGGAATGCCCGCAGCCCGGGATTCCTCCTAAGCCACGTCCCATCTGTGTGGGACCCCACTGAAAATCGGACTGTTCAACTCACCTGGCAGCCAATCCCAGAGCCCCTGGAACTCTGGCCCAAGGCTCTCTGACTGACTCCTTCCCAGATCTTCTCGGCTTAGCGGCTGAAGACTGACACTGCCCGATCGCCTCGGAAGCCCCCTAGACCATCACGGACGCCGAGCTTTGGGTAACTCTCACAGTGGAATGTAAGCCCGTCCCCTTCTTAATCGATACGGAGGCTACCCACTCCACATTACCTTCTTGTCAAGGGCCTGTTTCCCTTGCCTCCATAACTGTTGTGGGTATTGACGGCCAGGCTTCTAAACCTCTTAAAACTCCCCAACTCTGGTGCCAACTTAGACAATACTCTTTTAAGCACTCCTTTTTAGTTATCCCCACCTGCCCAGTTCCCTTATTAGGCTGAGACACTTTAACTAAATTATCTGCTTCCCTGACTATTCCTGGACTACAACTATATCTCGTTGCCGCCCTTCTTCCCAATCCAAAGCCTCCTTTGCGTCCTCCTCTTGTATCCCCCCACCTTAACCCACAAGTATAAGATACCTCTGCTCCCTCCTTGGCGACTGATCATGCACCCCTTATCATCTCATTAAAACCTAATCACCCTTACCCCACTCAACGCCAATATCCCATCCCGCAGCATGCTTTAAAAAGATTAAAGCCTGTTATCACTCGCCTGCTACAGCATGGCCTTTTAAAGCCTATAAACTCTCCTTACAATTCCCCCATTTTACCTGTCCTAAAACCAGACAAGCCTTACAAGTTAGTTCAGGATCTGCGCCTTATCAACCAAATTGTTTTGCCTATCCACCCCGTGGTGCCAAACACATATACTCTCCTATCAATACCTGCCTCTATAACTCATTATTCTGTTCTAGATCTCAAACATGCTTTCTTTACTATTTCTTTGCACCCTTAATCCCAGCCTCTCTTCGCTGTCACTTGGACTGACCCTGACACCCATCAAGCTCAGCAAATTACCTAGGCTGTACTGCCGCAAAGCTTCACAGACAGCCCCCATTACTTCAATCAAGCCCAAATTTCTTCCTCATCTGTTACCTATCTCGGCATAATTCTCATAAAAACACACGTGCACTCCCTGCCAATCGTGTCCGACTGATCTCTCAAACCCCAGCACCTTCTACAAAACAACAACTCCTTTCCTTCCTAGGCATGGTTAGTGCGGTCAGAATTCTTACACAAGAGCCAGGATCGCACCCTGTAGCCTTTCCGTCCAAACAACTTGACCTTACTGTTTTAGCCTAGCCCTCATGTCTGCGTGCAGCGGCTGCCGCTGCTTTAATACTGTTAGAGGCCCTAAAAATCACAAACTATGCTCAATTCACTCTCTACATTTCTCATAACTTCCAAAATCTATTTTCTTCCTCATACCTGACGCATATACTTTCTGCTCCCCGGCTCCTTCAGCTGTAGTCACTCTTTAAGTCCCACAATTACCATTGTTCCTGGCCCGGACTTCAATCTGGCCTCTCACATTATTCCTGATACCACACCTGACCCCCATGACTGTATCTCTCTGATCCAGCTAATATTCACCCCATTTCCCCATATTTCCTTCTTTCCTGTTTCTCACCCTGATCACGCTTGATTTATTGATGGTAGTTCCACCAGGCCTAATCGCCACACACCAGCAAAGGCAGGCTATGCTATAGTATAAGCCGCTAACCCACCTCTCAGAACCTCTCATTTCCTTTCCATCCTGGAAATCTATCCTCAAGGAAATAACTTCTCAGTGTTCCATCTGCTATTCTACTACTCCTCAGGGATTATTCAGGCCCCCCTCCCTTCCCTACACATCAAGCTCAAGGATTTGCCCCCACCCAGGACTGGCAAATTAGCTTTACTCAACATGCCCAAGTCAGGAAACTAAAATACCTCTTAGTCTAAATAGACACTTTCACTGAATAAGTAAAGGCCTTTCCTACAGGGTCTGAGAAGGCCACCGCAGTCATTTCTTCCCTTCTGTCAGACATAATTCCTCAGTTTAGCCTTCCCACCTCTATACAGTCTGGTAACAGACCAGCCTTTATTAGTCAAATCAGCCAAGCAGTTTTTCAGGCTCTTAGTATTCAGTGAAACCTTTATATCCCTTACGGTCCTCCGTCTTCAAGAAAAGTAGAACGGACTACAGGTCTTTTAAAAACACACCTCACCAAGCTCAGCCACCAACTTAAAAAGGACTGGACAATAAATACTTTTACCACTTTCGCTTCTCAGAATTCAGGCCTGTCCTCAGAATGTTACAAGGTACAGCCCATTTAAGCTCCTGTATAGACGCTCCTTTTTATTGGGCCCCAGTCTCATTCGACACCAGACCAACTTAGACTGTGCCCCAAAAAAACTTGTCATCCCTACTATCTTTTGTCTAGTCATACTCCTATTCACCGTTCTCAACTACTCATACGTGCCCTGCTCTTACTTACAGTGCCGGTTTACACTGTTTCTCCAAGCCATCACAGCTGATATCTCCTGGTGCTATCCCCAAACCGCCACTCTTAACTCTTGAAGTAAATAAATAATCTTTGCTGGCAGGACTATGCTGAATCTCCTTAGGCACTCTCTAATCAGATGTCCTAGGTCCTCCCAATTCTTAGACCTTTTATACCTGTTTTTCTCCTTCTGTTATTCCATTTAGTTTTTCAATTCATACAAAACCGTATCCAGGCCATCACCAATCATTCTATACGACAAATGTTTCTTCTAACATCCCCACAATATCACCCCTTACCACAAGACCTCCCTTCAGCTTAATCTCTCCCACTCTAGGTTCCCACGCCGCCCCTAATCCCGCTTGAAGCAGCCCTGAGAAACATCGCCCATTCTCTCTCCATACCACCCCCCAAAAATTTTCGCCGCCCCAACACTTCAACACTATTTTATTTTTCTTATTAATATAAGAAGGCAGGAATGTCAGGCCTCTGAGCCCAAGCCAAGCCATTGCATCCCCTGTGACTTGCACGTATACGCCCAGATGGCCTGAAGTAACTGAAGAATCACAAAAGAAGTGAATATGCCCTGCCCCACCTTAACTGATGACATTCTACCACAAAAGAAGTGTAAATGGCCGGTCCTTGCCTTAACTGATGACATTACCTTGTGAAAGTCCTTTTCCTGGCTCATCCTGGCTCAGAAAGCACCCCCACTGAGCACCTTGCGACCCCTACTCCTGCCCGCCAGAGAACAAACCCCCTTTGACTGTAATTTTCCTTTACCTACCCAAATCCTATAAAACGGCCCCACCCTTATCTCCCTTCGCTGACTCTCTTTTCGGACTCAGCCCGCCTGCACCCAGAATAAACAGCTTTATTGCTCACACAAAGCCTGTTTGGTGGTCTCTTCACACAGACGTGCATGAAAATGAATACAATGGGCATTTTTTTAACTTCTTCAGGTGGAAAAAATAAAGCCATTCTTAACTAAGTCAAAGTAATAACTTCAGCAATACATTCAAATAGTTGCCAACTGAGGTCAACTTACATACACATGGAAGAACAACCTGCCCATCCACAAATATTTATCTAATGTTTATAATGTATACAAGTTAAAGGAAAAAGACATGTCATTCTGACCCACAAGTTAGGGAGGCAAAATAAAAAGCAATGAAAAATTCAGAGAACAATTATATGCTGACTTAAGTGGCTGTGACCATAATTACAATAGAAATTCAAATGAGAGAAATTGGTTTTGAATAAAGTGAAAGAATGCTTTTATAGAGAAAGTAACATTTATATTTGTCCTTGAGAGCTAAATATGATTCAATGAAGGGTAAAAAGCATAACAAAATCTGAGCACAGAGAAGAGAAAGAATGAAGGATTGAGTGAGGAGAGGAAAAGGCCCACCTGCTGACCAAGAGAATATTTAGTAATCCAGACTAACACTAGAACAGTAGTGACAGGAAATAGTCCGCAGGAAATGTCAAAAACAAGCAGACAGACGTAACTTAGTACAGTAGGCAGTGTTGGAAGCAATGAGAGCCAGGCCCCTCCCACCCTCACACCCACCCACTGGGTTCATTACATTAAATCCAACTATAACCTCAACTAGAATTAAATTTTAGCCAAACTCCTCATTAAAGCATTTTATTAAATTGCAAATGTTTGATAAAATTTAGTTTTCTGGGCTAAATATTTTTATTTATAAGGTTACCAAAAATGACTCCAATACTAGCAAAGCATTTCTGCTTACTATGCTTTTATGAAGAGAATTGATGATATTTGTAGGAAGCTAGTAGCTGGATTGATTGGAAGAAGGAGGCCCTGGATTCAAAGAAGTAAGACATAGAGCTGACAAGATTAGGACTTCAGCAGGGATAGTGGCACCAGGCTTTTATACAAGCAAAGTAGGTAATCATACAAGCTGCTTATTTTCAGAGGCTCTTATTTATAGTGATTGAAACTCAGATTTAGAGCCTCATTGTTTCATTCAAAGCTTTGATTCCACTTCAATTTAAAGAACCTTGAGTTAAGCTAATAGGATTGGGCAATGTGACAAACTGTTAACAGATAATCCTACCTCAGGGATGATGAATTTTAAGAGTTTTTGTGTTTTTGTTTTTTGAGAAAGAGAATTTTGACTAGAGGAAGGAAGATAGACTGCCAGAACTGTAAACTTGAGGGAATCGTAATCAGATATCATTGAGGGTGCTCAGAGTCCACAGCTATTTGAAGGAGGCTACCCAAAGCAAATTTTGCAGGCTTCAGTTTTAACCAGGATGGTGCTGGGGGGTGGAGGGAAAGGCATACAGAAGATGAGAAAATATGAAAAGCATTTTGAAATAAAAGGACAAAGCTAATGCAGATTGTATGAAAGAGATGGATAATGTAAAACATAACTTCAAAGTTATTTGAAAACTCTAATATGGCTGGGATGACTAACAAAAATAAAGGGGCTATAAAAAGGAACCCATTTTAGAAGTAAGAGCCTTTAATTTTCCTTCCAATTAGGGTTCAGCTGTAACCAATTGGAGATGCACAATTGGTTCAAGGGTAAAAGTAGGATTATAAATGCAGATTTGAAAGTCATTCATCATAAGTGATTGCTGACATCAAGAGCTGTGTGGGAAATGGAGAGCAAAGAATACAGCTTTGGCTCTGGGAAACAGGAATAAGAATGAGAGTAAGAGTAGAATAGGAGGTAGCAACAGACAGAAAAAAGAGCAGGGAAAAAAAAACAGCACATTGCTATGAAAGCAATGAGAGATTTTTTTTTAATGAGTAGTCAGCATTATCAAGTGTCTGAAGGAGTCAAAGTTGATAGGAACTGAAGAAAGTCATTAGATCCAGAAAGAAAGAATTTATTAGTAATCTTTGAGAAACCCAATGCACTGGGGTAATACAAATATAAAACATAACAACAGAACCCAAATGACTAATTGTTAAGATGTCAGAGAAGAGAAAGATTTGGCAGAAAAGAGACAAAAATGGTAAGAAGTGATGTCCCAGAGTCCAAAGGAGGCTATAACCAGAGCTAAGATCCTGCTGCCTTTGAGTCTGAAAGGCGGAATGACAGGGAAAGAGGGGTGAACAATTCATTAAAATAAAGACAGAGGTAATAAAAATCTTGGAGTTGATCTCCACATTGAATACTTTGCCTTTCCTTCACTGTATTATTCTCTTTCCTCCTCAGTCTTCTGTATGAAATATATGTGATGGCAATGGAAGATTTTGGAGCTTAAGGAAAGAGAAGGGTGACTCTCATGAAGTATGCTTTAGGTCAATAAGAGATGAAAGTGGCTGACAAGCATAGTAGGGTCAGAGTAAAGCTGGGGAGCAGATGCTATGAACTGAATGTTTGTGTCCCCCAAGATTCATGTGTTAACATCCTAACCCCCAGTGTTATAGTATTAGGAGGTGGGGCCTTTGGGAAATAGTTAAGACATGAGGTATAGTGCCCAAATGAATGAATGAAATTAGTGACCTTATAAGAAGAGACCTGAGTGCGTGAGCTCTCTGTCTCTCTCTCTCTTTCTCTGTCTCTCTCTGTTCTCTGCCATGTAAGGATACACAAAAAAGATGAAAAGACAGTCATTTGCAAACCAGGAAGCAGACCTTCACCAGACACTAGATTTGCTGGCTCTTGGATCATGGACTTTCCAGCATCCAGAACTGTGAGAAGTAAAATTTTCTTGTTTAAGATACCCAGTCTATGATCATTTGTTATAATAGCCTGAACTAAGCTTATATCTGCCATCATCTAGATCTGTGTGACTCAGTTTCTCCTCTAGCAGTGCCTAGAGATTAGCTGCAGTAGAAGAAAAAGCCCTTGAAGGGATCATCAGGGCAGAATTAGCTCAATGCAGCATTAAGTAAAGGAAGTGAGGAAATAAAAATTGCTGGAGGGTATAGGATTGCTGTAGCTCACAGGCTGTCTGAAATGGAGGTCCCCAGTGTATCCTCAAGAAGCAATAGAGACCCACTGATATAGGATGGGCTTTGGGGAAGAATATATCTGGTTTCAAAGTCCAGCTTTACTTTTAACTAGCTATATGCCCTCTCAAAAATAATTTAACTTCTCTGAAATGTTCCTGGATCACACTGATGTAAGGATTAAATGCGTTGATTCATGTGAAGTACTCAGGAAGCAATAGCTGTGATCGTCATGATTGAATTTATGTGAGTGTATTGAGAGCAATAAACTAGTAGCAGATAAGGCAGCTGTTGTCAGAAAATGAGAACCCAAAGTTCAAGGGATCAGTAGTATCATTAATGGTAAAGTTGATCAGGGGTTACAGAAGAGTTTTGAGGAGTAGACAATAGTGGAAAATATGAAGACTGCAAAAAAAGTGAGTTTGCCTCAACCTCACATTTCCTTGAGCTGATTGCTGTTATTCCACATATTATGTTTATGCCATGTACTGTGTCTATGTCTGTAAAGAAGCATAGAACACAGTAGTGGCTAGGAAGAGGTCCTCCAGTGTCCTCCTTGTGTCCTTTCCTCAATTTCCTTAGAACCTGTTCTCAATGACACAGACAAAAGTCACACAGCTCCCAATAGCTATTTGCTGTCACACCACCTAAAGGATGACCTCAAGGTTTGGGAATATACACAGGAACATCCTGGAGAGCTGGCCGGGCACAGGGGACTACTTCTCTCAGTGCATCTGAGGGTATCTAGCAATCCAATACACATACTAGTGGCTTGTTATTTCTCTCCAAAACCTTGCTGGGACAGGGCCAGGTGATGAAAAGATCAGAATAAAAATAATCTGCCATATTATTATCCACTGAAGGACATTTCACTGTTGATTATCCTGGGCCAACATTTCTAGAAGAGCCTTCCATTGGAAACTAGTTCACTGTGACACTAATATTACTCCCATGGAAGAAAGGGTTCCAAGGTCAAATAATTTTAAGAACTTCTAAATTAAATGAAATCAAATGAGTGTTTTTCAGTGCAGGATTTCTCAGAGCCTTTAATATGTTAATGTTGTATTGTGAATCTTCAAGACTGATTTTTCACTTCCCAGACCTCTGTGACCCTAAAACACTTTGCTTATGGAGCATCTAGAGTGGACAGTGGAGAACTCCGTTGCTGAACCCATCGAGAATAACTCCGGTACCTGCAGCTCCAGAGCTAGTGCCCTTACCTACCCTTGAGGAATGAAAATCACTGTGCAGACAGCACTTTGGGAGGCCGAGGCAGGCAGATCACCTGAGGTCAGGAGTTCAAGACCAGCCTGGCGATCAATGGTGAAGCCCTGTCTCTGCTAAAAATACAAAAATTAGCCAGTCACAGTGGCTCATGCCTGTAATCCCAGCTACTTGGGAGGCTGAGGCAGGAGAATTGGCTGAACTCAGGAGGTGGAGGTTGTAGTGACCCAAGATTGCACCACTGCTCTCCAGCCTGGGCAACAGAGTAGGACTCTGCTGAAAAAAAAAGGAAAAAGAAAGAAAGAAAGAAAGAAAGAAAGAAAGAAAGAAAGAAAGAAAGAAAGAAAGAAAGAAAGAAAGGAAAAGAAAAGAAAGAAAGAAAGAAAGAAGCAAGGAAGGAAGGAAGGAAAGGAAGGAAGGAAGGAAGAAAAAGAAAAAGAAAGAAAGAAAGAGAAAGAAGGAAAGAAAGAAAGAAAGAAAGATAGAAAGAAAGAGAGAGAGAGAAAGGGAGAAAGAGAGAAAGGAAGGGAAGGAAGGGAAGGAAGAAAGGAAGGAAGTCATTGTGCATAGATTTAATATAGTCAGTAAGGGGTTCTCCTCCCTTCCCGAGACAGATATAAAAAGTAATACCTGAGTACCTGCCAAGATCCATCAAACCTGCTGACCACCGTACACTCCATGATGATATGAAGGACCCAACAGAAAGATACAGGAAGTATCCTTGGTGCAGAAATCAACAAAGGAACACTTATCCAGTCCTAAACATTTGGGCACCATTCACTCATTCAATCCTCACACAATCTTGGGAGTATCCAAGATGAAAATAATTATCTCTATTCACAGATTTTAAAAAGCAACCAACAAACAAACCTGAGTTTCACAGAAGTTAAGGCACTTTTCCAAGATCATTAAGCTTATAATTGGAAAAACCAGGACTCAAACCAAAGTGTTCTAATTTTGAGGGCAGTGTTTTTCCACTGCACCAGGAAAACAAATAGCTTGAAGACAAAACAACATATTTAAACTTTTTTAGAAGTGACAGGATTTTAGAGGAATACTTTGCTTTGTAGACATTGTCAAAGGGTGGGGTTTGTATCCCTGGACTCCAGCATCAGATTCCAGAATTGCATACCTTTAGCTATTGACAGGTACTTTTCAAGGACAGAGAAGAATATGTGTCCAGAGACTGAAAATGTAAGACTAAAAATAAAGCAGAGAAAAAGAGATACCAATAAAATAAGCAGTTACATTGAACACAAAATATTAAAAAAAGAAGAAGAAGAAGAAGAAGGAACAGTGCTAGAATTGACCAATAATTCACATGGGAAAATAGTGTGTAATTGGCCTAGACACAGTATTTGTATCTTCTTTGCCTGAATACCAAGGTCCAGGATATTGGATAATCAAATGTTTATCAGTGAGGAGTTTAAAAAGCTCACGCATTTGTGGAAGACACAAAATTTGACAGGATGGCTGCTTGAGAAATTCACAATCTAAGAAGCTATTGAGAAGCTAGAAAGGGATTTGCTAGATCTAAAAATTAAAACCTAATAAGGATAATGTATTATATTGGGCTTATATCTAAAAATATCAGCAAGTTCATGAAAGGAGTACCTATTTGAGTAGCTGCCTATGTTAAAAAGAACAGTGGATTTTTTGTTTATAGCAAACTCAGTGTGAGTCACAACAGCATAATATGGCCACTAAAAAAGCTATTACATATTATATTCATTATCATAATTAACACTGTATGCTGCCAAAAATCAGTTTTTAAAATAAATTTTATTTTACAGTCAATGCAAAGTCTTGTGGCAGCTTGGACAGCTCTTCCACACAGCTCTCCACCATGTGGTGACTCAGGACCCAGGCATTCTTCTACCTTGTTGCTATGTCATCTGGAGCCCATGACTCCCTAGGTGGCCATGGAGAATTCCTTGGGATGTTCTTACGCATCAGACCTGCAGGAGGCTTGTATTATTTCCACCTGTCACCCATCGGCAAGAATTAGTCATATGACTCCATCTGGATGCTTAAGACAAGGAAACGTTAAAAAATGTGCATTTACTGTGTGAGCACCAATTGTCCCTGCCACATAAACTCTAAAAATATTTAGCAAAATATAGCATTTAGGATGAAAAGGATAATCATCACTTTTTTCTGAAACCCTGATCAGACCTCACCTGGCACTCACATACTCAGCTTTAGTCCTGGGCTTCACTCTCTAAAAAAGATATTGAAACACTGAAATACCTTCCAAGGAGGGCAATAAGGACAATGAGGGCAATCAAACTATTATCATATGGCAAATTGTTACAGGAAATGAGAATGCTTAACCTACACTTCAGTCTAAGGAGACACAATAGCTGTGTTCCAGTACAGGAATGTCATTTGAAAGAAATTGTTAAAGTGCTTCTGCGAGGTCCTATGGGGTGGAATTTAGCAAGCTTTGTAAAAGTTAGAGCTGGTCAAGGACAGAATGAGCTGCCTCGACATGTCATTTTCCCTTTGCTGGAAAGAGTTAACCAGAGCTTGGAGTACCAATTGCTGATAACCCAGTGTCTCAGTCCATTTTATGATGCTATAGCTGAATACCACAGACTGGGCAATTTTTCATAAACAGAAATTTATTTGTCTCATGGTTCTGGAGGCTGGGAAGTCCAAGAGCATGCACCAGCACCTGGTGAGGGCCTTCATGCTGTATCATCCCATAGTGAAAGCCAGAAGTAATCACACGGGCAGGAGAGCATGTCAGAGACAGCAAGAGGGGGCCAAACTCACTCTTATAACAAGCCCACTCTCACAGTAACAAATCTACTCCCAGGATAATGACATTAATCCATTCATGAGGGCAGAGCCCTCATGACCTAAATGCCTCTTAAAGGTCCCACTTCTCTATTTTTAGTAGAGATGGGGTTTTTAGCCAGGCATGGTGGTGTGCACCTGTAGTCCCAGCTACTTGGGAGGCTGAGGCAGGAGAATCACTTGAACCAGGGAGGAAGAGGCTGCAGTGAGCCAAGATCAGGCCACTGCACACTGCACTCCGGCCTGGGTGACGGAGTGAGACTCCATCTCAAAAAAAAACAAAAACAACACAAAACAAAAAGTCCCTCTTATCAGTTGGGAATTAAGTTTCTAACACATGAACTTCAGGGGACACATTCAAACCACAGCCCCCAGATATAGTCAATCATCATTATTCACGGATTCTATAGTTGCAAATTTGCCTATTCACTAAAATTTTTTTGTACCACAAATCAATACTCTGGGGCTTTCACAGTTATTTACAGGCAGGTGCAGAGCTGCCTGTAATTTTCAAATCAGCCAACATGCACCTTCCTAGCTGAGGTCAAACAAATGATATTCTGCCCTTTGGTTTCAGCTCGCATACTGTAAACAAGTATCCTTTATGCAGTTTATTGAATACCATGATTTTTGCACTTTTGTGCTTTTTCTTAGAGATTTTTCTGTTTAAAATGGCCTCCAAGTGTAGTGCCAAAGCACTATCTGGCATTCCTAATCACAAGAATGTGCCTTAAAAAGAAAATGTGTGTCTTAGATAATCTTCATGAAGTCATCCGCTCTAGTGCTCTTAGCTGAGAGTTCAATGTTAATGAATCAACACTACATATTAAATAAGGTGTCTTTAAATAGAAACACACATAAAACAACGTTATGTATTCATTTGTTGACAAAAATGTGACCATAGGCTTGCAAGAGACTAACCCTGTATTTCCCCTAGGATCAATGGTTCAGTATTTGCTAACTCAGTGTTTGTGGCAACTTTGTGGAATATAAATACCAGGAATAATGGGAATTCACTCTACGTATTAGGAAACAATAGCAATCTTAGCTGACAATTACAGCACATTTATCAAGTACCAACAACTACAGCAGGCACTCTACAGAGATTATCTTCTTTAATTTCTATAATAATCCCATGAGATAACCAGTTTACCTGTTTTATAGGTGAGGAAACAGAAGGGCATACTTATCCAAAGTCCCAGGATTCAAACTCAGACAGCCTGACTCCAAAATCTGTAATCTGAATCCCTGCATGGTACTGAGTGTCACTAGTTTTGTCACCCTGAACTGGTAAGATTCTGTGATTTTTCCCTGAGTTATAAACTCATGCCTTTATCCTTTGGTACTTGTTACTTTGTTTCCTCACTTCCTTGTGCAAACACACACACACACACACACACACGCAGAAATACTGAGAGAGGTTACCTTTGCATTATACATACATATATATATATATATATATATATATATATATATGGTGGGAAGACATACACCTTGCATTGCATTCCAGTCCTCAGATGCACAACACCTACCAGTCCTTTAATAATTCATTGAAGAAGAGACCAACAGATCCTGCTGAACATCCGTTGTCTTAGTCCATTTGGGCTGCTATAACAAAATACCATAAGCCAGATAGTTTACAAACAACAGAAGTGTATTTCTTACAGTTCTCGAGGTTGGGAGGTCCGTAATCAAGGCACTGGCAGATTCAGGGTCTGATGAAGGCCCACTTTCTGGTTCACAGATGGTGCTTTCTCGCTGGTCCTAACATGGCGGAATGGGCAAAACAGCTCTCTGGAGCCTCTTTTATGAAATCACTAATCCCGTTCATGAGGCCTTTACCCTCAGAACCTAATCACCTCTCAGAGGCCCCACCTCCCTAATACAACCACCTTGGTATTAGGATTTCAACATATGAACTTGGGAGGACACACATTCAGCCCATAGTACCCCTCCTTGCACATCAAAAGAAACAGCACTCTCCACAATAACATCCTCCCTCTGACCCCAGCCCTGCCACTGCAGCCAGAGGAGGGGCTAAAACATCACACATTGGCCTGTCTTTGAGTCCCTGGATCACTGAGGACACTGTTCTTCCTGTGTCCTACTGCCTCTTTGTTCTGGGGGCCCAGAGCAAAGGGGTGGCTCTGTGACCAGGGTGCTGAATAAGCAGAACTCCTGAGATATAATTCACAAGTATCTTTACTTCTGCCTCCCACTGTATTTATAAAATTCATTCAGTAGAGAAAAGTTCTTCCACTCCCCAGATGTAACCTTGGGAAGTCTCGTAAGTTTTTGGTTCATGGTTAGATTACAAAATGCCCTGGTCACTTTAGGCCACAAACACAGGTTTAAATCACCTTGCCCCATGTTCTCTACTCCTATCCCTGTCTTATACTTCCAAAACCTTGTCCCCCATCTTATTGTCCTGTCATGGTTATACTGGGGAAGGCAGGAGAGGAAAGGGACGAAGGAACATTCTCATTTGATCAGTAGCATTGCAAGTTGACTTCATGCTCTCTAGGCCTGTCAGGTATTTAAACATCTTATTTTGGGGGCACATTTGAAAGCTCTTTGGGGATTCGCAAGTATTGCAATCCTCTGCAGCCACTTCATAGACTCGGGCAATGCAGCTCCAATCTGGCTGGTCGCCTGGCATTTTCTGCAGCTGCTGGGATGCTGTCGGTGACCTCCAGCTCGCTTTGTCTGCTGAGGTGCCATTGCCCTCTGCAATTAGAGAATCAACATTATTGAACAGGACCTAAGATGGCCACATCAACTCTTTCATTCATTGTTCACATCAATCATAGGAAATCCCCACAAATCCTTTATCTAAATAAATTCAGGGATATAAGCTATCCCAGCGCATTATATGCTGACCAGATGGGGCACATTCAGAGTGGTATGGCCGTAGACACACCCCTCATATTCTGGATTCCCCGGAGAAAAAGGCAGACACTGTCCATGATGCCTGGCTAATTGCCGAGGGCACATTTCAAGACTCCAGAGGGTCTTTTTGAAGACCAATGCAAGAGGTAGACACCATCTACCCATCTTCCTTGATAACGGAGGAGGCCCAACTCACAATTCACCCAGCACCTTTCTTCAAAGAAATCCTTTGCCAACAAATTCCTTGTCCACAGATATCTAGACTTTTAAC
This sequence comes from Homo sapiens, assembly GCF_000001405.40. NCBI lineage: Eukaryota > Metazoa > Chordata > Mammalia > Primates > Hominidae > Homo > Homo sapiens. Next base: position 90,660,007 of record NC_000006.12, on the reverse strand, counting down.
TATTTTCTATACTCAAAGTGACTACAGAATTGAAGAGTCATAAAACCAAGTGTTTTTAAAAATTATTTTAGATTTAGGGGATACATGTGCAGGTTTGTTACATGGGCTTATTGTGTAACGCTGGGGTTTAGGCTTCTGTTGGACCCATCACCCAAATTGTGAACCTAATACCCAATAGGTAGTTTTTCAACATGTTCCCCCTTTCTCTTCCTCCCCTGTTTTGGAGTTCCCAGTGTCTACTGTTGCAATTTTTATGTCCATATGTACCCATTGTTTAGCTCCCACTTAAAAGTGAAAACATGCAGTATTTGATTTTCTGTTTCTGCATTAATTCACTTAGGATAATGGCCTGCATTACCATAATGGCTGCATCCATGTTGCTGCAAAGGACATAATTATTTCTTTTTTATGGCTGTGTAGTATTCCATGGGGTATATGTACCACATTTTCTTTACCCAGTCTACCATTGATGGGCACTTAGGTTGATTCCATGACTTTGCTATTGTGAGCAGTGCTGTGATAAACATATGAGGGCAGGTGTCTTTTTGGTAGAATGATTTATTAATATTTTCCTTTGGGCAGATTCCTGGGTAGAACAGTAGTTCTATTTGTAGTTCTTTGGGAAACCTCCATACTGTTTTCCATAGGGGTTTAACTGATTTACATTTCCACCAACGGTGTATAATTGTTCCCTTTTCTCCACATCCCTGACAACATCTGTTATTTTTTGACTTTTTAACAATAGCCATTCTGACTAGTGTGAGGCAGTATCTAATTGTGGTTCTAATTTTCATTTCTCTGATGATTAGTGATGTTGAACATCTTTTTCATGTTTGTTGGCTGCTCGTATGTCTTCTTTTGAGAAGTGTCTATGTCCTTTGACCACTTTTTAATTTTTTTTTTCTTGTTGATTTGGTGAAACTGGGTTTTAATCACCTACTTTGAAACTGCAAACAGATGCCCTGTCTCACAACTCCTTCCAGTGTCTGATATCCATCATACCTTGATAATATGGTGTACCTTAGCTAGCATTCCAATTTAACATTCCATATAATATACACTGCTCTTCCCAAGTCAAAAAATGTATTTTCCAACCACTCAATAATTTGGAAGGTGTGGTTCTAGTTGTGGATGCCATCCTGTAAGCCACCTGCAGCTACACAGAGTAGTCTTTATAATTTCTAATTGGCTTGTGTCTTCAAAACTCATGCAATTATAGTAATGGGAAAAATTACAAAATGCAGCAACAAACCTTTTACATAATTGTTTCCCAAACAGATAGTGAAAATTCTCCTCTCAAAAGTAATTCTGCAGGCTTAACGAGGGATGAAGTCCCTCGTGTACTGGGTTACATGCTCTGAAAAATAAACTAGCACAGCGTTTTTATCCAAATGACTATTAAATTTCGCCTAGGCAGGTTTTGTTTTGACAACTTCTATTTCTCAGGGACCAACTCCGTTTTTTTCTCTCCTTGTTTCAAGGTCAGTGGCTAGTCCTTTATCTTTGTCTTCTTATATTAAGAAAAAAAACAAGAATTTTTCATTAAGGCTTAAAAGGGGCATAACTTCTCGAGCAACTCTTAACCTAGAGTTATTTCTCATTTTTTGTATTCTTCTTCCTCTTTTTTTTAAATATGCAGTCAGAGCTAATAATTTTTTCTCTTAAATCTTCAGTTTTAATAGGGTCACAAAAAACGTTTGCTCAGTCTGTTACAGAACACAACTATTTGTCTTTCTACACTGAGGTAAGTCACCTCAGTCCTCTCCTTGTACCCAAAGCACCTTATTGTCCAACCTAAAGGGCAGAGGCTGTGGAGCTATCAAAGAATTTCAGAGGGCATGGAGATACTAACAAGGCTAGCCAGGTCTCCATGAGGCTCAGAGTGGCTGCCTATTCTGAAGAGGTTGGGATAATATGGTGTAAAACCAACTAATTTATTTGAATATACACACAAGAAAAACTTTAGAGGAATACTTAAAGCGTATTAAAGGAAATACTCAAAGGAATACTCAAAGCCACAAATACAATCCCAAAGACAAATTAAACTTCATAATTTCACCTGTCCTCCCATTAAATCACTTGTGTTTGTTTTCTAGTACTCAAAGCCGTGGTCTCTGAAATAAAATGTGGGTGCCCAGGGGATTAGCAAGATGAGTCATTGAGGGGTAGGAATAAAATGTTACAACTTCTATTTGTATTTACCTAAAAAATAAGAAAGTAGGTAAAGATTTTTAATGTTTAATATACACATTAATTTAGATCTCTTAGTCATTCATTTGCTTGAGCACGTTAGAACAGTTTACATATGTCAGTACTCTGGATTTAGAGATAATAGTTTTAACTAAACCAACCACCACAAAATGGGCAAATGACTTAAAAAGACTTTTCGAACAAGCTATGGATTAAAGAAAATGGTAATGATACCGACAAATAGCAAGAAAATGGTAAGACAAACATATCTCTTGTTTCCAGTTTGTGCTCTCAGTCAGCATCAAGAGGAGGTAAAATCATCAATGTGATAATCATACATATCACTGGGATACATTTATTTTCACACGCACAAAAAAAATCACAAAATTTGTTCCTTCTTGCTACAGGTGACAGTAAGGGGGCTAGAGTAACCTCTTTAAGGGAGAAACCTGTGCTTCAAAGAGAGCATTTCAAAAACAATGTTTTTGTTGTTATATGATGTTTGTTGCTGGAAATGGTATGCACCAGCTTCAAGAACTGCCTAATATAGGTACTTAAACTTACAGTTTTCCAATCTGCTTAAAAATGTTCAGGTGAACAGTTTGAACAGTTTCAATGGCTTGTGAACATATTGTGTAAAATATGAGAACAAATTTATTTGCATATTGATAAGCAATTGACAGCAGGGAAGATGTAAACATACTGGATGAGTTGAGACAAAAACTTTTGCTTAATTGGTGGATGGATTTGAAAAATAATTATCATAATTTGTAAGTGAAACCAACAATGTACTTCTTTCGCTTGAATCCGTGTATCTTTGAGCTATTTTCCAGCAGTGATCCCATTTGAGACCACGTATTTTAAAAAATTAATCTTGAAATGATATGTTCAAACAGCTGCATCACTAAGTGTTAAGCCAAAATTTTCAAATATAATTAAGCACATGCATTAACATTCTTCCCATGAAACATTATTGTTATTAAAATGCAGCCAAAATATATTTTGAAGCATTAATAACTAAAATAAAAATTATTTTGAATATTCATTTTACCTTGAGCTTGTCTTTTTAAAATATCTGTTTTTATGTTTTACACTGTATGCAATATAGTATTAATATAGTGATACATATAGATAATTTATGGAAAATAAAGATATTGGAACAAAAGCTCAAACTTTGACAAACAGAGAAAATGTATAAGCAAAGCAGAGGCCACAGGCTTGGAAGCTCAAGTTCAGGCTTCCTGGTCTGGCAGGTTCCTCCTACTCTAACTGCCTCCTTTTCTGTCAATTTTCCCACACTTCCCCCACGACCACAAAACACTGCCATGTTTTGATCAGTCTGACAAGCTATCTCATAAACACACCAAGCTCTCTTATACCTCTGCATCTCAGCCTAGAATATTTTGTACTCTCTTGTCCATTGCTGAATTCCCACTTTTCCTTTAAGACCTAGACCAAATGTCATCTCCCCTGTGGAAATTTAGTCTCCTAAAAATACATATCAGCAAAAAGGTCTGGTTTGTGGAGAAAAATGATAAAAGAAGATGTGGTGATTCTGAATCTGAGTTATGCCACTTGAAATCTAGGTATGAGGAAGTTACTGAAACTTTTGATCCTCAGTTTTCTCATCCAGAAAATGGAGATTCCACATTACCTTGTAACAGGAGCAAATATTTTCAGATTTGCAGACAAAATGGTCCCTATTGTAACTACTCAACTCTGCCTTTGGAGCACAAAAGCTGGCATAGACAATGCATAAACAAATTGACACGGCCATGTTCTAATAAAACTTTGCTGACAAAAACAGTTGATGGGTCACATTTGGCCTGTGGACAGCAGTTTGCCAACCCCTGCCTGATGGAATTATGGTAAAAACTGAAGTGACCCACACAAACATAAGTAAAGCAACCGGTGTATAGTGAGTACTTAGTTCATTATGTGTTAGGCCTGGGAAAACACCACTATACAAAAACAAGCATGATCCCCACAGTCATGTTGTTGGGGGGATGGATAGTAAACAATAACACAAATTATATCAATAAACCCACCCACCCCCACCTCCCACCAAAGCTTACAAAGTCAGAGTTAGATGGATCACAATCATCATTGATTCATGCGAGGATTGTCTGTTACCTTGTTTTATTTGTCATTTGTCAAGGGTTCTGTGAAGAAAATGTAGGTGGTGTTATGAAAGTGTGTCGAAATATTCTATGAAAATGACACTGCAACGTGAGAAGTGAGTCCGCCAGGTGAAGGCAAGCAGGGCCCGGGGGGAAGCTTGCTCCAGGCAGAGGCCAACATGTACAAAGGTCCTGAAGAGGAAAACAGTTGGTCCAGCTTTGCAAAACACAAGGAAGGCAAAGTTTAGAGGTGGAGGGAAAGAATGAAGATCAGCCTGGATAGGGAGGGAGGGGCCGGGGACCTTGTACAACATATAAAGGATTTGAGATTTGATTTTAAGTCACAAAGAAAGCCTCAAATATTTTTCAGTGATCTCATTGGTATATACAACATATGTTGGATATATATGTGTGATTATAGTTATTATGTAATCATTACTTATAAGGCAACAAAAATGTTTTGTGAACCACTAATTAATAACACCACTGAAAATAGTGCCTCCTTCAAATTCTCCCCAGCAACCCCTTCCGCTTGCGCCATCTCTTTCCTTGTGGGACCCTATTAGATGCACTCAGAAAATTGCTCCAGTCCTTGAATAAAACGTGTGGCCCAAGGCGGGGCATAGGACATCCTCCCCACTTCTGAGGAGGACCCAACACAGCGGCAGCCACAGGGACAGTGCACCACCCAGGCACAGCAGCCACTCACAGTCTCCAGAGCTGGCACCTGGTGCAGGGTGGCCACTGATGGCATGGGCAGCAGAAGTGGAGTTCTATTCTCAGGGAACTCCACAACAAGCTCTAGAGCTCAAGGAGAGCCCAACAGGGGACCACAAGGGTGCCACATGTGAGCTCAGGTGAGGCATTCTTCCTCCCCTTTCAAAATTAGATTTACACAGAAACAATTGCCTTAGTCCTTGTTGGAGGAGCCAGGGGTCTTACGGAAGCAGCTGAAACACAAGCCATGGAATTGTGGTGAATAGCACCCACAGTACTTCAGTTTTAACAGTGGGGAAAGAAAAACAAATGTTGGTGTTAAGGGACGGAAGAAGAAGATGAGGAAGGAAAAGCAAAGAAAATAAGATGAGAGGAGAAAAAAAGGAAAAGGGGACCCAAAGGAAAAGAATCCTCATAGTCCTCTCTGCATGACAGCTACTACAAAGGAAAAGCAACCAGGAGCACCAGACAGCAACACGGGATACCAAGAAACAAAATCAAAGAAGGGACCGACGCAGAAACTGAAAGGGGCAGATGAAGATGAACAGACAGAGCCCAAGGGAGACAAAATAAGCTCAATAGATTTCCGAAGTGCATTTATCAAGATAAATTGCTTTTGTCACATCCTGCTGTTTTCGAACATGAGCATGTTGTTGCCTGTTATCGCTGACCCTACAATTCTGATTAGCTGCTCAGCAATTAACCAGTATTCCTTAGATGATCTTAGCTCTGCGCTAGAGGAGATAGCCACAACAGGCCCCTGGCGTGGAGGAAGAAGAGAAGAGAACCTGCAGAGAAGGAAATTACTGCACCAACTGCAGAACCACGGAGCCTCCTCGTGTTCTTGCCTGTAGTTCTAAAAACTAAGAATCATTACATACATTTTTAAACTTAAAAAAATGCCTTCTATCATTTGCAACACAGCAACTTTTCCCCTCCACTTGGTGTACTGTAAACTTAAGGCAGAGGTGGTTGGTTTAAGTTACAAGCCAAACATCAAACAGACTACAAGACACGGAGGTGGGAAGTGAACGCTTGTCACCTGGCTTGAGCCACGAGCACTTTCTTCTCAGAAACCAGGTGGAAGGCCTGATGCCTTGCCCAGATATCAGTCCAGATGCATTTGTTCTTCTGAACCTTCGTTTAGAAACACCTTTGGTTCTGGTTTCATGTGATGAGATTGGTGGAAGACATCTCCACCACAAAGCTAAGATTTTGGCAACCCTTTCAAGCACCATCTTTAGATTCTCCCCTTTTTAGAGCAAGAGGAATTTGAGGCAGGGTGTGTAGGCTTACACAAAGAGCTTCAGTGCAGGGGCTAACAGAGATCTGAAATCACTCAGCACTCTTCCTCGGTCTCTATCATACTTAAAATATCCTACAATGAGCCCACAGGCTATCCTTGTATCTCATCCCTCCGAGAATTAAACAGGTCCACTATCATGATGAAGATGTAGACCCAGGGTAACAATATAAACATGTCCTAAGGATGGAATCCACATAATTATCCTAATTGTACATCCAGACTAATTATACTTTGTTTTATTAATAACAAGACAAACTTGCATTTTTGTCTTTATACACATAGATGCATTACAGTACCTTCTCATGAGGTTATTTGTTTTGTTTGTTTTGAGACGGAGTTTTGCTCTTTCACCCAGGCTGGAGTGAAGTGGTGTGATCTCGGCTCAATGCAACCTCTGCCCCCCACCCCACCCACTCCCTGGGTTCAAGCAATTCTCCTGCCCCAGCCTCCTGAGTAGCTGAAATTATAGGCACCCACCACCACGCCCAGTTAATGTTTGTATTTTTAGTAGAGACAGGGTTTTGCCATGTTGGCCAGACTGGTCTCAAACTCCTGACCTCAGGTGATCCACCCGCTTCAGCTTCCCGAAGTGCTGGGATTACAGGCATGAGCAACTGCGCCCAGCCTTATAAGGTCTTTATCACAACAAAAAAGTGAGGTAGAACAAGAAGGTAGGCTACAGTCAATATTTTTCCATATCAAGCAATGATGCTAATACAGTAGCTCTAAAACTGAGACAGCTCCAGAACAAATTTCATGGAAGTGCAGTACAAAATGCGAACAGTGGGCCAGGCACGGTGGCTCACGCTTGTAATCCCAGCACTTTGGGAGGCCGAGGCGGGTGGATCACCAGAGGTCGGGAGTTCGAGACCAGCCTGATCAACATGGAGAAACCCCGTCTCTACTAAAAATACAAAATTAGCTGGGCCATGGAGGTACATGCCGGTAGTCCCAGCTACTCGGGAGGCTGAGGCAGGAGAATCGCTTGAACCCAGGAGGCAGAGGTTGCAGCGAGCTGAGATTGTGCCATTGCACTCCAGCCTGGGCAACAAGAGTAAAACTCCGTCTCAAAATAAAAATAAATAAATAAATAAATAAATAAATAAAAATTAAAAAATCAAAATGCTAACAGAGTTTGGACCCAAGTGAGAGTATGCCATTGTAAGCTGAGATTGGAGGAACATACTAGGTTATCGCCCATCTTTCCAGGCATCATTCTGAAACAGTTGGGCCAACCACAGTCTTATTACTAAGTCCTTGTGGAATGCAACTCTGATCAGCGTACAGTCTGGAAGAGGAGAATTTTTTAAATGTCATTTACTATATCTAACACACTTGGAAAGTAATTAAAATCTTGTTCTTGCATTTATTTTTCACCCCACTGCGGGATGGGGAAGGAAATAAGTTTATACACATGACAGCTATAGTCAGCAAGGTCAGGTTGAGCCAGGAGGATGAATCATTGGCCCTCAATGCCAGGCAAAAAGCCACCACCCAGCAAACACAAGGTACCAGAGTTAATACCATGCAGTTCGCTGTCCCCCCTTCCCTAATTTCCCAGGCTGTGAAGGCCAAAGGGTGAGACAGTTCTCTAAAGGTAGAGGTGGAAATGACAATAGAAGAACATGTAAAATCCTTGAGATACATGTCAAGGGAAGGGTATGCATATAAAGGGGAGGAGAGAGGACATAGTTCTTCTTATACATCTGTTAACTTAAACACAGCCTGAGAAGCCATCACCTGATTTCCTAGAGCAAAAACAAAAACAAAAAAAGCCAGTTGGATCATTCTCTGCTTGGTCTAGTCATAAGTAGAAGGAAGATTACAGGAATGAGTGATGTCACAGTTTCCTCCTTCTGCATAGTCGGGCCATGGATATATACGGTAACAACTGTATGAGGTTAGCACTATTACTAGCCCCACGGTACAGAATGGGAAACGGGAAACAGGCTTGGAGGGGTTAAGCACCTTACCCAAGTCATGCAGCGAAGTGGCAGGTAGCAGACCAGAACACAGACGTACCTGATTCCACAACCATGTTTCTTAACCTGTCTATATTGTCACACAGCAGCTCTGCTCTAGTAAGGGAGCAGCAACATGCTTACTAGGGCTACATTTGGTTACTGAGCTTTGGTGACTATGCAGCCCAGTGCATTTCCTGATTACAATGACAAGTCAGATTCTGTTGTCACATAGAATCACTTTTTGTTTGTTTTGCAGAAAATCCATGGTTCTGGGCTAAATTCATGCATATTAAATATTTAAAAATTTAGTCATTGACCTAAAAGAGCCCCACATTAAGTCACAATGGGTTTAACTTGGCAGTTGTACTCAGGATTAAGATTCCCTTTGCAAGAAACTAAGCCTGAACATAGAAGTTGCTGCTAGTAAAAGACACATTACCGCAGTTTTATAGGGTCTCTGAAAATGATCAAGTTGACTTACAAGATAAAGATTTGCCAGACTGATATCCTTGGCAATGCACAGCTCCTTGTCTAAATTTCCACAAACATATGAAAATAGAAAGTTTGTGGAAATATAACTTATTTAATGGACCAGGCCAACTTATTTGGGTAACACAGTTAATAAAATGTGTTTTCAGGCAGCTGCTCTCTGCTATATTCTATTACAGAGCAAATTGTTACAGTTACCAGGCAAACCCCTAGAATAAAAAGCAAAAGGAGTCAGTATGCTCTCCCAGAATCATTGACATAACCTGAGCTGTAACGGTCCAAGTATATAGTTTCTATTCACAATTACAGACTCTCAGAGACATCCATGTACTCCACATCTATGTTTCTGGAAGAAAAAACCTCTTCTTAAATTGATTTGCCCTTTGTCACTGTCACAGATATGTTTTTCCTGTTTTGACAGGTAGTTGTAATTCTATTAGCAGCCCATCGACTTCCCTGTGAAATCGATCTGTGTTGGGCTGGCTGGGTCTTCCTAAACTGGCTGATTTATTGCTTCTGCATGATTTTAGAAAGAGAGGGCACGTGCATACTCGCAAGTGAGCTAAAGAGTCAAGGGGTGGGAGAGGATGAGGGAGAGGAAATCAGACACTCCTCTGTCACCAAACAGTATGAAGTATCTAAACAATGTTTTAAAACAAATTATTTGTAGCCTCACTGTTGGCTGTCTCCATGGCAGGTGAGCTGCGACCTTTTGTCAGCAGCCTAGCTGAGATGGCTGCTGATGCCTGCAGGTATAAGTGACTGTCAATTTTCCTTACTCATTTATCTTGCTGTCGCATGTTTAAACTAGAAGAAGTTGTTCATCTCAAGTGTCCTCAATGTCAATCTATCATGTTTGCCTAATTTTGCTCTTGTACATCACATCTCACAGTCACCAGAACATGAGTAGCTGTCTCCAGGTGCCTCTGTCTCTGTTATCTTGCCCACTGAAGGGAGAGCACTTAAGCCAATTTGCAGGAGACCACAGTTTGCCAGAGGTCAGAGACAGAAATCACCACTGCATTTTGTTTAAAGAATCACATCAGAAAAGAAAATAAAGGACAGGGAGGGAAAAGAAGGGAAACCTAATAAACACGCCGGTCCTAAAGTTTGATTCCAAGATTTATGACAGAATCAGGCAAAACTAAATTAAAATAATATCTGTGAAAACTGGACAACCTGAAAATAAGTTGATTTTTCCAGAGACCAAAGAACAAATCATTGCACAAACACATACCTTTTCAAACTGAAAATGATTCCAGAGTTAACTTCATGGACCTAAATATGAATATTAACATCTCACAAATACTATTTGTAATTTTATCCTTGAGCAGTATAGTGGAGAGGTGACTTCTAAGCAAATTATTAGTAGGAAGTAAGGTTAAGTGGGCATATTCCACTTTTACATCCTTTCTTCTCCATTTATTTACTTCCTGTATGTTTAGGGGCTTCCACCACCCTTATCCTCTGAAATAACACTAGAGCTTTTGCCATTTCCTCTACCCAAAGCTTCTCAGATGTTGGACCAGCAAGGCGATCAAGTTTGTTGTTTGTTTGTTTATTTGTTTGTTTGTTTGTTTGAGACTGGGTCTCACTGTCACCCAGGTTGGAGTAGAGTGGCACGAGCTCAGCTCACTAAAGCCTCCACCACCCAGATTCAAACTATCCTCCTATCTCAGTCTCCTGAGTAGGCCTCCTCAGCTGGGATTACAGGTGTGTGCCACCACGCCGGCTAATTTTTGTATTTTTAGTAGAGATAGGGTTTCACCATGTTGGCCAGGCTGGTCTCAAACTCCTGACCTCAGGTGATCCACCTGCCTCAGCCTCCCAAAGTGCTGGGATTACAGGCATGAGCCACCATGCCTGGGTGGTGATCAAGTATTTTAATATATCATGAAGTAATAGGTTTCATGTATTAACTCTCTCAGTAAGATTTTTCATTTTTACTGGGAATTTTTATGAGCATAATACCCTAACCCAAAATAGAGACTCATGGTGAGAACTGTGGGCACCAGTGAAGACAGTTCAGAAGATATTTGTTAGCAAGTGTACCACAGGGCAGGGGATATTTGTTAGCAGGCATACCTTTCAATGGCCCTCAAGTGGTAGCCCTAGAATGATGCAGGTTCTACACCACAAGCATCATCTCTGTCTACAGAACCCTGTAGAAACTGATAGTCTTGTGCTAGGCTGTGCTGTACTATGTCAACTTGGTTAAGCTGAGAACCCCGAAGCTTCCAGGTTAAAGTTGGCCAAAAGAGGAACTTGTGTGAGATTTGGAAGACAGAGGTAAAGCAACAGCCTTGACTCTTGGAAAGTAGTCACACACTTCTCCCTGGTCCTACTGAGGCAGCTGCATGTGCTTGCCTTCTCAGATTAGGCAACATAGATTTCCCTGCCAGCTCGCCCTTATCCATCATGGCCAGTACTTCAGACATACTGGCTAGTGACTCCTTCTCTGATCCTCCAACTCCTCCTCTGGACCTTACTTCCCCAGTTCCTCCCACATTTGTGTCATATCTAATTCCTATAAGAAATCTCTTATTTCCATGATACTCATAGGGCCTCTGCTTGCTGGCTGAAGCCTGGCTGATACAGTCCCCTGCAGAGAGCTTCAGAGAAGGCATAGGCATATCTTACAAGGCTGTGCACAGGTGCATGAATCATCGCCAAAAGTTATCTCGTGTTACAAGTACTAGAATCAAACTTAAACCTACATTATATGTCTGAGCCTCTGATTTGTGTTGTGTATGTGAAATGTAACTTACAATTTATATTTTCAAATTTTTTATTTTATCATTTTTAAAGCTGAACTTGATTTTCAATATGTGCTCTCTATATACCAGCTAAATTAATGAGGTTACAGACTCAAGTTTAAAAAAACCAATCACTAATAGAGCAATCATCAACAATCACCTTGAAACCCCAAGCTAGATAGATCATGTTATATCATATATCCTCTTAAGTAAGGGTACTAGGCCATGAATATTTACAGTTTCTGATCAAAATCAATATTATTCCTAAGTCAGAGATTGAAATGCTCTACATCTCAGGACAGAGTGGTCAGGACAAATGCAGACCCCAAAGTGTGTCCTACATGAGATTTTGAACAAGTTTTTTTTTTTTTTTTTTTTTTTGAGACGGAGTCTCGCCCTGTCACCCAGGCTGGAGTCCAGCGGTGCCATCTCGGCTCACTGCAAGCTCTGCCTCCCAGGTTCATGCCATTCTCCTGCCTCGGCCTCCCGAGTAGCTGGGACTACGGGTGTCTGCCACCATGCCCAGCTAATTTTTTTGTATTTTTAGTAGAGACGGGATTTCACCGTGTTAGCCAGGATGGTCTCGATCTCCTGACCTTGTGATCCGCCCACTTTGGCCTCCCAAAGTGCTGGGATTACAGGCGTGAGCCACTGCGCCCGGCCTTGAACAAGTATTTTTAACTTAATTACCTAGCACATATGAACAATGGGCCAAAGGTCTAATCACATTCCCACTAAAATCAGTGTTTAACTTACAGCCCCCAGGTGTCATAATAACAGGATTGAATCAATTATGTATCAACAATGATGCTGATCAGAATTAAGTATATCATTTTGAGTTGTTCAAGTCTAATTCTACTAAAATCATGTTTTGAAACTCAAGCCTTATCTAAGTGTATTAGTCTGCTAAGACTGCCATACAAATACCACAGACTAGTGGCTTAAATAAATAAAATTTATTTTATCACAGATCTGGAATATGAAAGTCCAATATGCCAGCAGGGTAGGTTTCTGGCGAGTCCTCTCTTCCTGGCTTGCAGGTGACGTCCTCCCACTGTGTCCTCACATAGCCTTTTCTCTGTGCATGCGTGCTCCTGATGTCTCTTCTTATGACACCAGTCCTTTTAGATTAGGGCCCCACCCTTATTACCTCATTTAACCTTCATCACCTCCTTGAAGTCACCATCCCAAATATAGTTACATTGGGAGTTAGCACTTCCACATATGAATTTGGAGAGGATACAATTCAATCAATAACTGCAAGAGATACTGACAAAAAGAAAATTGATTTGAATACATGCTTTATACGTCCATGACTCAAGGTTGAGTCATATCTAATGCTCATATGCCAAGCAGAGATGCTATCCACTCACAACTGCTATTAAACTTTGAAATGACATTCACAGATACCAATTTCTAATTTTTTTTTTTTAATTTGGAAATGCTTGTGATGGGTGAAAGGAGGGGCTGAGAAAAGGGAGAAGGAGTGCACAATGCCATAGGAAGCAAATTTGCAAAGAAAAGTAGAAAGTCAGGCACTGGCTAGTAAGTGGATGGCATAGGGTTACAAATAGATAATAAGGAGGACCTGGAGATGTAGGAAAAGTAATCGTGTATGTGTACATATGTGCACGCATGCTGCTTATAAAACATTAGGGTAGAGGAATTGAGAGGTAAACATCAAAAGATATAGACTAATCTGCCTATAGATGCTGCCTTTTGGCCAGATGCTCACAACAAGTCCATTCAGATTTGGTTGGGGGCAGGGTCACAAGTTACAATGGCAAGGTAACCACTCATAAGAAAGGTGTGAAGACTACAATTGCTCTTAAAGGGATACCTGTTTCCGGCATTTACCGTGGCATGATAACAAACTGGAACTCCAGGAGGGAAGAAAAAAAAAAACTGTTTCCATGAATTTTACCCCATTTACTGTAAGATTGAAAAAAACAATATTGGCCGGGTGTAGTGGCTCATGCCTGTAATCTCAACACTTTGGGAGGCCGAGCGGGGGTGGATCACCTGAGGTCAGAAGTTCAAGATCAGCCTGACCAACAAGATGAAACCCCATCTCTACTAAAAAATACAAAAATTAGCTGGTCGTGGTGGCAGATGCCTGTAGTCCTAGCTACCGGGGAGGCTGAGACAGGAGAATTGCTTGAACCTGGGAGGCGGAGGTTGCAGTGAGCCCAGATTGCACCACAGCACTCCAGCGTGGGCAACGAGTGAGATACTGTATCAAAAAAAAAAAAAAAAAAAAAAAATCAAAGAAATGCATCAGTGTGTACCACAATGAGAGAATTCCAGCTGCAATTTTTTCTTCAGAGTAAACTGATTTTTTTAAATCCTACCTTTAAACTCTTTGAAGCTAGAAAAATAACTGTAATATGCAGAGCATTTCTTGTTTGCTGTTAATATCAAGTGGTGATAGAGTGCTCAAAATTGCACAAGCCATACAGACAAAGAACAATTTCCACCTTCGTGAAGCAAAAACATTTTTAAGAACATAATTCAATAGCACAAATAAAAGAAGCAAACTTATCTCAAGTTGCTCAGGAGTCAGATTACATCTGCAAAATCAAAATTATATTACAATTTCCTTGTCTGATTTTTAATTTGCTCTAAGCCAAATAAACATGAGTAATGAGAAAGAAATCTCAGCCTAGGAGCTGATGACATCGTAAACCATACAAAGGACACTTGGTTGGTTTCTGTCATAACATTCCATCATAAAATCACACCTGCATGAAAAAACTTTTCTTGCCGGTTTCTGTCTTTTCCCCTCAAAACAGCCGTCCCTGCCAAGAGACATTCAGTTCAGTGCCTAGGACTATCGGTTGTTAAGGCTTGTCAGCAGTCAGAAATCATTCAAATATATTTCCTGCACCTTTCCAAAGCTATAAATAAAAAGTTTACACTAGCTCCTACTGAACAAAAGGATTTGGGCTCAAATGACAGCAGTCAGGATTTGGGTTAGATAGAAATGAGTATTTGGTGATAAAGGAACTTAAGACCAGAAAGGGTTATATTGAGAGAAACTAGAGCCCCCTCTCTGAAACTATTTGGAAACAATATATATTTTTCTCCAGGGTCTCCTAAATCAAGAGCTCAGGTAAGTGTAGGGCTTTTTGTATATTAAAAAATGATACCCACCCATTGGTTTATTAATTATCAAATCCTACAATTCTATGATTAAATCAGAAAAGGACCACAGGGGGACTCTCAGTCCTCATTCCTATTCTTCCACGAATGGGAGTCTTTTCACATCTTTATTGCTATTTTTCCGTCAATCAAAGTCACCCACAAATGTCATCATTAGTAAGTTGGTAATAGAACTTAAAGAATAATAGAAATATTTTAGGTTCCAGTTCCAACATAATTCTATAAGCTCTATGATCTTGGACACAATAAATCAAGTACTCTGAGCTTAAAATTATTTGTGAGTAAAATAATGTCTTTCCTACCTACATCATAGGCTTACCATAAGGGTCACATGCAATAACATCTGTAAAAGTGCTTTGCCAACTGTAAAACATTAATCAATGATGGTGTTATTATCATATATGACAAGTGGGCTGTAGAATCACATTCAAATCACAGAAAAGAAGATTTCTGTCAGTTAATAGGAATATAGAATGCAGATGCAGAGAATGGTATACAAACACCAAGATGGGGCAGGGAATGGAAACCAACTAAAATGTTTACTCAAGTTTTTCTTGAACAGATGGAAACCACAAGGTCTCTGCCATACCTCGTCTTCTCTGGGTCTCCTGTGTTTTAGGAGACAGCTTTTTCCCCCTCAGTTTTTCAGTCGTTGAGGCAGCTTTCTACCACTTTTTCTACACTGAGAATCACTGTGTTAAAGCCTGCTGACATCCAGCTCTCAAGAGTCTAGACACTTGTTCCACCTTAGAGAACAAAGAATATGAATCATGATTCTCTTTAGTAACCTGTCTTAGGCCCATGAGAGTTTAAATTTAAATTCTGAACGTAGGCTGGCCTGTCTTTGCTCTGTGGTGCATTGTTAATGTAGAAGACTTTAAACTTTTTGAAGGCAGTGACATGGCCTAAACTTTCTTTTAAGTAGGCAATAACCACAAACTCAAAGATATCAGAGAAAGTCATATAGAAATTCATATAGAATCATAGAGTATTTATGCTACATGTTTGTCATAATAATTAAAATTACTTCAAGGTGCCTGACAAAATACAAAAACCCTAAATAATAATTGCAAAAACAGATAAGTGTTTGATGACAGATATGGAGAAAAGATAAAGTGTAGCAAATAAGTTCTCTTTTCTTTTGAATCCTAATGTAACAGAAATAAATTGTGAAGTTCAAAGAGGCATTCACATTTCAAAACTCAGCCAAATTTTACCCAAGGACCTAACCAAGTATGTTATGGTTTACTTTGTGGCTGCCTTCTTCACAAAGTCATGGAATCTATTTTTATACTTTGACCTGTAAAACAATATAAAGTTTGAAATTGTACTTAATTTCTCCAGTAATTAAAAGTGGCATTCTTAAAACTGATCTGATATTGTGGTAGCATAGATGATTCAGTTCTTAGATGTACAATTTGTAATGAAGATATTTGAACCCCAAGTGCTCAATTTGTCAATTGCATGTAAGTAAACCAAAAAGAATTCAAGAGTTAATTTTATATTTAATAGACCAATTCAGTTCTTCAATTTCCCATGTCTGTTCTGGTGTATAATTTTTTTTTTATCATCTTACAAGTCATCCCTCCGACAGAAGTCTGGCTTTGTCATTTTGTTTTGGTTTTTCAAACATTGCGGTTATGGCCTGTCCCTTATTGTAACATGTGTGTTCCTGAAAGCCAGTAAACCAACCTGTACTTATGGTGTGTTGGGCTTCACACTCTGGTAGGCTGTGGCAGACACAGAAGGTGGTCCCCACACAGAAATCATTCAAAACCAAGCCTATAAATAAATTTAAGTGGTAAATCATGCCACAGAATACAAATGCTCTTGGAAACAGAGGCAAGAACACTGACGTTTGGAGTGGTTCAGGATAATCCCCCTGGAAGACAGGACTTGAGTTGGTATTTGAAACATGACTTAGGATTCAGAGGGAAGAGTACTAGATTTTCAAGGGGGGTAAAGATCATGATTAAATTCTGAGGGGAAATCAGTCAGAAGTCTACTGACTGTATATCAGGGATGATGTTAAAAAGTAATGATGGATTCATTTGGCTAGGTAGAAATCATTTTGTAGAATCTTGGTAAGCTGACAAACAAGGCAGACTTGATAGGCAAAAGGAAGCCATTAGGTTAGTTCTTGAAAGATGTGCATTTAAGGAAGCTTCAGGTGGTAATTATAAGCATAAGATTGAGTGGGAATGACACCAAAAGCCGGGACATCCATTTGGAGACACACGAATCACAAAGAATCCCTTCAGAATAATGAAGGAACATATATGACTCAATATCTGGAAGGGAATCCGCTGACTAATTCAAAGTCCTTCTTTTTTCAGAGGTAGAAGCTAGGACTTAGAATGATTATATGGTTTGTACAAGTTGATCAACTTCCCAGTTAGCAACAGAATCAGGACTGAAGCCTAAATTTCTGGACACCTAGAAATTTTCACTGGAGAAATTTTGAAGAAAGACATTACAGAACATGATAATAGGCAAGTTTACCAATAACAATGAGGAGGAAAAGTCTAAGCTTACCTCTACTGCTTAGAGACTAGAGGTGGGTGTCTTAGTGCCACAGTTAATTGTGAGAGAGTTAAGAAAATTATCTTGGGTGAAAAACTGATGAGTTCGAATTAGATTAAGCTGGATTTCAGGTGATGGTAGAATATCTAGGTAGACATGTCCTACAACAATTGGAAATAAGGACATGCTCAAGGCTGACAGCACAGTTCTATAATTTCTGCCCAGGACTCTCTCCAGAATTCCAGTATCAGCATATATCAAACCACTCATCTGACACTGGACCTCCAATTTAGACTGGCCAAAACTAAATTCAATATCTTTATTTTCTATCTTGGTTAGAATCATGATCCATGCCTTTCATTTTCACTGGACAAATATTTGTTATCACTGAAGTCAGAAACCTGGAACTCATCTTTACCTCTTTCTTTTACTTCATTGACTGCAGCCAATCAGTGACCAAATCCTAGTTGATTTTTCCTCCTTAATATTTATGACAATAGTCTCTTATCTGGCTCCACTGTCTCTGGCCTGGATCCCGTTTTAGCTTTCTTCCATATAACTATTATAATGATCTTCTGAAATGCAAATCACATTATCATGTTATACCTGTACTTGTAATTCTTTAATTACTATTTTCATAGTTTATATAGAGCTTAAGCCCCTCTCCCCTATAATCGTACCCTTATTTCCTTCTCAAGAGTTCCAGCCAAGAAGAATATATGGAATTGTCTGAATAGTCTATCTTGTTTGCATCTCAGTATCTTTGATTGGGTAACTCTCTCTACTTGAAATCCCTTCTCTCCACATCTCCCCTATTATACGCTACATTCCTTCTAGCTAGTGAACAACTGTCTATATTTCAATACTGAAACCAAATATGACCATCTCTACTTAACCTTTCCTGATCATCCCTCACTCAGTAGAATTAACCAACCTCTTCTTTGTGTCTTCTTTGTACAAAACCCATATCATTGTATTGCAAGAGTACTTGAATGTCTATAATGTCTTGAATGCCTCTTCTAGACTGGATAGCCTGTGAAGACAGAAACCTTACTCAGTTTACCACTGTATCTCCTGAAAGAGATCCTGATCCACAGTATGTACTTCATAAGGGCCTGCATTTATGCATTGTGAGAATTCTCTGAATAAAAGCAACACTTGAATGACACCAGAAATGTAACATTTCCAAGTGGGTTGATTCAGAGACCTGGATGACAGTTAAGGTCCAAGGTCAGCTAAAGAAGCCATAAAAAAAGACAATAAATGACAAAATTTGGCTGGGTGTGGTGGTTCCTGCCTATAATCCTAGCACTTTGGGAGGCCAAGGCAAGAAGATAGCTTGAGGCCAGATATGAAGAAAACCCCGAGCAACATATCGAGACCCCCATCTCTACAAAAATTAAAATAAAAGAATTAGCCTAGCATAATGGCACATGCCTGTAGTCCCAGCTACTTAGAAGGCTGAGGCAGAAGGATCCCTTGAGCCCAAGTATTCAGGGTTACAGTGGCTATGATTGCAGAAGAAAAAAATTTTTTAAGAAGGAATGGGAGAAAATCAAGGAAACTTCTTTTAATTATCAAAAGACATTTGTATTACTATTACTACACCATTGAAAAACTGAAGACAATATAAGCCTCCAAAATAAGGCACAGCAACATATTGTTTTGAGAGAATATTATGATGCCAATAAGTAGTTTAAATGAAATATAGGCAGATAAATGCTTATATAAAACAATGCTAAATGAAAAAGTAGAAAGCAATGTTATAGAACTCATTGATCACAACTATATAAAGATATATGAGCCCAAATTAAAAAGCAGAAGATGGAATAAGCATAGTTGCTGTATTAAAACAAAATAATTCAATAGATTTTTCTGAAATACTTATATGTTTCATTTAAATGCTTAGTATTTAAAATAATGGGTGTTAGTATTGAATTCAATTAAAAAATTCCAACAGTTATTTGTAAGTAAAATTATACCTTAGATGGGCTTGGTAATTACTACTCAAAAGTTCATAGCACTAGTTCCTTTTATAAAAAGAACTGAAACATGTGTAACAAAAATTATCAAGCTATAATGTCTTTGCTTCATACGTTCAAATTTTTATGTTTTGTGCTTTGTTTGTTTGTTTTTAATATGATATACCTGCACTGACTAACATAGTGTTATTGTATGCTTGTAATGGTCCTGTCTTTAAAACACAGATCACTGGGACTTGACTTTCTAGTTCCTTTTCTGGACTAAAATTTCCTAATGTCCTTTATAAGTCACATGCATGCTAAGTCAACCAATCAACATATATGGAAGCTCTAACTATTAGGAGTAAATGTGTTCAGTACACCAAGTCCATTTATTTCTAATCAGACACCTACCCAGAGTCATCATTACTTCCTTGAGATATCAAGGATAATAGAGTGAAGTTTGGGTATAGATAACAGATTTAAATAAGGGCGCCAAATTATAATGCTCCAGGCAGGAAAGGTAAATTAATGAATCAAATTAAGCTTGAGAGCACATGCCTATCAATAAGAGAGTAGTAGTTACTCAATTTTGTGACAAGCTGCTTTGAAGAAATGCCAGCCCAATATTGCTGGAGCTTCGTATTAAGCAAGAGAGTTTAAAATCTAGATTTGTCTGTGAAATCTCCTCATTTTAAATGACTGCTGAGTGAACTATGAGACTAGAGAGTAATTGAGGCCCATAGCCCTAGCTAGGCCTAATTACAGTAATGGTCAAACATTGAAGGTCACAGCTTGAAGATAGATTTTATTTTACGTATGCAGTGTTTTTAATAATGTTGAGCTTCTGCTCCCTTTCAGGCACTGAGTGAGGCAAAAGATTAGTGTGGGTTATTAAGAATGCAGTGATCATATAGAATGTCCCTCTGGTCACTCCCCTAAAGAAAGTTCACAGAGAAAAACCAGGAAGGCCCAGTCAAAAAACTGTAAGGACTGGTTTGTGCAATATCATAGAAGCCAGAGACCACAGAATTCTAGTGATAGAATTGAACACTGTTGTTAGAATTGGAACTTGGAAGTTATGGGTGACATTAAAGGGAGGCATTTTGATGAATCCTAGGACACAGGTAGAAGAACGTAGAGGAGAGAAATAAATGGGAGAAGAGGAATTAAATGCAGCAAATATGGACCACTCTTGTGAGAATTTTAAATAAGAAGGGGAAGAGATAGATTAGATGGTAGCTATAGGGTAACATAAGGGAAGAATTTATTTTAAAGATTTTTAAGGATGATAAAAATTTAAGCAGGTTTGTAGGGCAAGAAGAAACCATTAAAGGGCAAGTGATTGATATAGAATGAATGTTGAAGATTCAGGAGACAGAATGGAAGAAACTGGCGGATGCAGCAGCAGCTATATCAGGGCCCAGATGGAAACAATTGGTATTCAACAGGATGAAACAATCATTATCTTATAAGAATAGAGAAAATAGTATAAAAGTTGAGTGGAGATGGGAGGCAAGTGTCTACATGGGGTGGGGGCAAGAAAATGGTGTCAATTTTTTCTCAATACTTTTCTCTATAGAGTTGTGATGGACCACATATGAGCCTCAAAAACTTATCTTTCCATCCAACTAAAGTCCATGGATTCAGGTTCACACTTGCTTTCTCTTAAGCCCACACCCTGAGATTGACACCATAGATCTTACCATTTCTATAGAAAGAGAAGAAAGCAAAATGCATAAATTTTGATTTTCTCTGACACTAAACTAGAATTGACATAAAACACCTAGCCTGGGTTTTCTTTCCTAATTGGCCATCCTGGAGTACCAGCGTTGGTACAAGTCACCCCCAAACCTCATCTGCTGAGCATGATAAAGAAAAGAGAGCACTTTCAGAAGAAAGTTTTCAAAGAGATCCAAGAGAAGAAGAAATAATGTCCAGTTCCAGAACTTTCCACATCCTCTATACTGCTTCTACTAAATAAAGCTCAAGCTTTTAGTGGGAGAATCTTAGTGGGATTTTAGTTTTCCCATAATTAATAAGAAAACCTTTTCCCTGGAAAGGGACAAGGAGCATAACATATCGAACTGCTTGACATATTCACTCTTTGAAATAGTTAATTTAAAAGTATCTTTTCAGATGAAGATTTCCAGGTCTGGAAATAATGACATTCGCCTGAATCCAAATCTCTCCACAAATGCTCTTTTAAACAAAATAAGTAAAATTAACAAGGAATATAAACAAAACTGCACACGGCCCATCTACATTGCTCAGAGACACAGAATGCCATGAACTTAAAATTACCATAAGTAAAGAAATAAACACCACATTTCAACAAAGCTCCCCAACCATTGCAAGCTTATGAATTTGAAGAGTGAACAAGGGGAAGCATAAGAGACTCAGTGAAAAAGAGGAGGGGAGAACAGAGGACTGAAGCTAAGCACAGACAAAATTAGAAAGAGAAAGTCCAAGACCAAGTCATAAAATACTGAAAAACAAGACTTGGTAATTCATAGCACCAGCTGCAGGGAAGGGGCTTAGAGGTAAGTAGGATAGAGCATGAAAATATCCAAGAAGCACACTTCTATGGGAGAATCACATAAATAGAGAAAAGATGGTGCCTCTGAGAAGCATGGCCCCTTATTTCTTGAAGAAAAATAAATAAGGAAGAAGAAGATATTAAAAACTCTGCAGAAAAAAAGAGAAAAAGTAAACACCAATACCTCCACTACCAACATCATTGATTAAAGAGATTGCACATTACTATACCTCAGGAAAGGCACTTTTGAATTCGGAACCCTATCCAAAATATGCCTCAGAATAGAAAAGTTAAGGCTAACTCCACACAAAGCTACTGTACAAGGAAAAGAGATAATGCATTTCAGCTGATGAAAATTCTTCCCCTCCTCTCAAAAAGAAAAGCCATGAGATAGAAGAGTATAATACAATACTCCCAGCTGAATTAAATAGCATTAAATGAGCATTTTGAATTTTTTTTAGAGACTAAATGTAAAAATTCAAAATCTAGAAGCCTTTTTTAATAAAATGAAACTTGCAGGGAAAATATGCATAGGAGGTGATTAAACAGTGATTAAACACCGAAAGAAGTTGAAGTAAAAGGCAAACCATCTCAGAAAAGAAGAATAAATTACATGATGCCCAAAAGAGAATACATTTACATAAATATTTAATTAGAGATGTCAAAAGGGAAGAATGACAACCAAGAGAATGAAAATAAGATTTTTTTTAAAAGGAGTAAAAGAGAAAAATGCTTAAAAGAGAAAATAGAGAGGAAGGGGGTCCAACATACATGTAATAGGAGTGCCTGAAGAATAAACACAAAACAATAAAACAGAACCAAAATTTGTAAATATAATCAAGAAAAACTTTCTAGAAATAAGAGATAACTTAAATGTCACAGTTAGGAATAGTGACCCCTACTTGTAAACCCAACACTTCAGGAGGCCGAGGACAAAGGGTCACTTGAGGCTAGCGGTTTGAGACCTGGGCAACATAGCAAGGCAACTCTATCTCTAAAAAAATTTTTAAATATTAGCTGGGTGTGGTTGTGCATGCCTGTAGTCCCAGCTACTTGGGAGGCTGAACCACGAGGATCCCTTGAACCCAGGAGTTTGAGGCTGCAGTGATTTATGGTCATGCCACAGCACTCTACCCTAGGCAACAGAACAAGACCCTATCTCAAGCCCCTCCAATGCCCCCGAAAAAGAATATCCAACTGTATACATGGAAAAACTGAATAAAATAGTCCTTCTAAAATGACTGGGCTTTATAAATAAAGAAAAAGTAAACATGCAAGAACACTTGGAAAGTATTGAAAGAAAAAAGCTATAAGAGGGTACGAGCCCTACTAGATGTTATAATGTACTATGGAACAGTGTAGTACTGGTGACTGAATAGACAGGCAGACCAACGGACTAGAATAAAAAGTCAAGGAACAAACTCAATTATATATGAACATTTTTTTTAAAGAAATGTGATAAAGTATTTGATAAAATATTTTATAATGGTGGTTTCTCAAATTACTGGGGTAAAGATAAATTGAATGTTTTAATAAATTGCTTTGGAACAATTAATAGCCATTGATAAAAGATAAAATTTAATTCACTCTTGACACATACAACAAAACAAAATGAAACAACATAAATACTAGAAGAAAACACATTAACTTCTATAACCTGGCTGTAGGGAAAGACTTAATAACCATGACTCAAAATCTGGACACAATTCAAAAAAATTGATATATTTAACTACATAAAAATAAAGATATTTTCTTGACATAAAACACCACAAGCAAAATCAAAAGACAAATGCCAAATTGGGAGAAAAATCTGTGAGATATAGTGCAGAGAAAGAATTAGTATTTCTGATATAAAAAGAAATAATGAACAAAAATCCTATAGAAAGGTGAACAAAAGTCATGAACAGTCAACTCACCAAAAAAGAAAGACTTAACAATGACTCTAACCATATGAAAAAAATGTTCAACTTTACTCATAGTAGATGATAAAAATTAAAATTATACTGAGATACCATGTTTCACCCTTCCAATTGGCAAAAATTTAGAAGCTTGACAATATACTCTGTTGATGAGGTTTGGGAAGAAAATCACTCTCATACAACACCAACAGGAATGCAAAATGATATAACCCTTATAGAGAGGGCTTTGACAATATCTAACAAAACTGCATACATATTTGCCTTTTAATCCAACAATCCCATTTCTAGGATTTTACCCGGAAGTTGCACCTCTAACAATATGAGGTTATTTATTGCCACATTATTTGCAACTAAAAAATATTGGAAAGTACCTAAAAGCCCTAATGTAAGAGATTGAATGAATTAACTATGGCACAAACACACAGTGAAATATGATATAACAGTGAAAAGAATGAAGAGAATACGTATGAACTGATACGGAGTAATTTTTATGTCAGTACAAAAAATGTATATATAGTATGCTACCTTTGTATAAAAAGGAGGGAAAGCAGGAAACATAAGAATATGCTTGGCGAGGCTTGGTGGCCCACGCCTGTAATCCCAGCACTTAGGGAGGCCAAGGCGGGTGGATCACCTGAGATCAGGAGTTCAAGACCACCCTAGCCAACATGATGAAACCCCATCTCTACTAAAAATACAAAAATTAGCCCAGAGTGGTGACGCATGCCTGTAATCCCAGCTACTCGGGAGGCTGAGGCAGGAGAATCGCTTGAACCCAGGAGACGGAGGTTGCAGTGAGCCAAGATCACGCCATTGCACTCCAGCCTGGGCAACAGAGTGAGACTCCATCTCAAAAAAAGAAAAACAAAAACAACAAAAAAGAACTACGTATTGCACATACTCCTTCAAACATATTCCTTAACTTTTCCTCACAAAAAATAAAATATTGTCTCCCAATCCCCTAGAAGGCCAAAATGGAAGAGAAAAGGAGATGGAACACAGGGAGCCAAACTATGAGGGTTAATGAGAGAGGAGTCAAATTCCCTCTGTTGTGGCATAAACCATTCAGTTGCAATAGTGAAGGGCACCAGAAGAGAAAATCATGATCCTCTTCCGCAGAGAAATTAATTACTTTCTTAGATTTGAAACCTTTCCAGTGAAAATTTTCCTGTTGCCCAGAAGCACCTTTCTAATTAATGATCTTTAGTTTCTCAGGTAAGCTCATGCTACAAAAATCCCCTCTCAGCTCTTTAAGAGGAAGAGGCATTTAAGGCACGAACTGCAGGCTAATAGGAGAGTTCCATGGAGGAAATGAACTGGCAGTTGGAGTTCATGCATGCTACTCTCATGCATGGAGCCTTAGGATGAGGGGCCACAAGAATCTTTGCCCCCTAGCTTGGTGGACAGGAGTATGTGCTGACTCAAGGCTCCAGTGCATTCTTGAAAAATCACTGCACAGTTAGCTTCTAAATTAGTGAGAACAATTGTAAAGATCAATAGAAAACACCAAGCTCTAAAGACATTTCCTACAGCATAATTTGAAGAAGTAGAATACATGAAGCAGTGAGCCATAGAAAATCAGGTCTTAGAACTAATTAGAAAATTTCTAAGCTTTCTCTCTTAAGAAAATCAGTTCATTGGTTAAGGGGCCAATTTGAAACATGGTTGGTTTACAGATTTTCATCTGGACTGAAAAAAATTACAGCCAGATATTTAAACCAACATTCTAAATAAAATTGTGAAACTGATTAATTACTTACTGTTAATAAAATTGTAATGAAAAATCGATTATTCACTAGTAGTTAAAAGCTGTTTTCCATATGTCAGAATAAAGAAAACCTATAAAGCAGAAAAAAATAAAACACCCACTAGAGTTTCTTGTTTAATCAGAAAAGGGGGAAAGAAGCTTAATACTGTGTCCCCAGAAACATAACTTCCTCCCTTAAGCCCTCATTTTATAACATTTACTTTCAACAATGTAATAAACGTTTACCTCATGCTTAACTATGAATACTAACTAGCAAGGCAATCTTCTTCTCTTATAGCTTAATCCCATCTGACCCAGAATAGAGATGACCCAAAGAGCTATTCGATGTTTATCTATATGTGTGTATGGCTTTTTTCAAGTAAGTAGTTTAGGAGTCATTTTTGCTCCCCCTATCAATGGAAAATCCTGCTGAACTTCATCCAGATTCACCCATCTCATTTGATTTTTGTATGTTTGGTTCAACTGTTCACACTGATGTGACGTCTCAGGCATCACATCAGTGTGAACAGTTGAACCAAACATACAAAATGCCCTGAGAATCCATCTGCCAAAAACTATTCTTTTAAATAGAAATAAGAAAATAAACTCTCCTTGAGCAGATCAGTTGGGCCAAGATTTCTCCTCACTAAAAGGGATACACCGTGTAGAAATAGACCACCAGGGTGTTAGCTGACTCACCATCTTTCTCAAAGGATTGTCACAACTCCTGTCCTGACTATTGTGAAGGTCACTCCCAATAGTTCTATCTTCCTCCTGCCCATGTACAGATTCAAAAGGTGGTCTAATGTGGACTTCTTTCATCTCAGCCTTCTTCTATGCCCAGGTCACATCCTATACATATTATCTTAAATTTTCACTTCTATATTTGCAAAGCTAAAATTCAACTTTATTTTTCAATTGTCCTTTTTTTTTTTTTTACTGTTTCCAAATTCATTGTATCCTCTCATTTGTTTAAGACAAAGTAGGTATTATCTGTGTTTTATTTTGCCAAATTTTTAATGTTACAAGAAAATATATAAATATAAAATCAGAGAACACATAAACAAATAGGAGTTATAAATATATGTTAGGACTAACTAAATATCAGCAATATCACTAAATATTCTAAAGTCATATGAAAAATTTCCTGCTACATGTTGGGCAGACTGGATACTAATACATCCTTTTTATTATATAATTGAGTATATTTGTTACAGAAAAATTAGGAAGATACATATAAGCCTAAAGAAAATGAACACCTCCCTAATCCCACTGCTTAAGATGACCACTGTTAACATTTGGGGTATGTCCTGTTTGATTTTTCACATTCTTATACATGTCATATTTTTCTTACAATAGTGGGACTCACTGTATCATCTTTTTTGCAATGTGCTTTCTAGGTCAACAAACATAGATTTGAAACATTATTCTTTATGGCTGCATTTTATGAATTTTATGAATGCCATAATTTTGTTATCCAAATCTTCAAAGATTTTTAGATACTAAACCTGGATCCATTTGTTGCATGGAATTTTGACTTCATGATTGTTTTATAATAGTTAATGCACACTGACCAGGTTCCACCTAAAGCCCAAGAATGTATCGGAATATCAGCAATAATGTTTAGCTCTTAGAAAAACCACACATAGTAATGTGAAATCCAGCTAAATGCATTTTGTATTGAACTACAGCATTTAGTTCCTCGGTCTCGTCTATCAATTAGGGTGATAAGCAGGCACTCAGAAGCTAGCTTTTCAATTACGTTTTCTACCTTCAACTGAAATGTTCCTGTCATTGCATATCGTGTAGTAATTTTGAAAAGGCTTCATCTTAGCAACCAAGTGATAACTTTAAAATCAAGAATCTGAACCAATTAATTCCTAACATTAATTACTTCTTTTAAAACAAAAGACTCTTTAAAGTAAGTGACTGCAAATATACTTTTTATCCCACTAACGGTCCTTATCTCTTTTTCCCTCAGCTCACAATTCTGTTGACAACTCATGCTCAGTCTCAAATCATCATTCAAATCATAATTAAAGCATAATTCTGAGCTCTCTTTGTACATGCTAATTCCAAAACCACCAGATGTAAAAGCCACACAGAAATTCCTATAGAGTATTATTAGCTTGCAAGGAGCAGAATTAAGATGCATAAAAGTATCTTCTATAGCAAGTAAATATTTTGGTTTTAATTACATTATTACCTTGTTTTATGCTACTAATTACAATTTATTGCATAATTGACTCTCAGAGAAAAATATTAACAGAGCAGTTCTGCAGTCTTAAACTGAAGATAGTATATACTAATGATTTTGCCTAACTACTCACCTCCCTTAAAAAAATGCGAAGTATTTTTTGTAATAAGTTTGATAAATCTCTTTCCTATTTTTGCGCTAATATATAAAGTTAGGTACTACAGTTATTTGCTGATTTATTTCTCTATAAATAACAGGACAATAAAAAATTATGTTATTGAGCTGGGGACAATATATTATCTGTCTTTATTCCCTAGCACCCAGCTCAGAACTTGAAACTTAGTAGGTGCTCAATAAATTTTACTAAATAAAGTAATGAGTTAATTATTTAAAGTGATCTTTTAACTTGACATCATAAAAGTAGTATTACTTAATACTAGCTAGTGTCTATTTTAGCCTTTACAGATTAAAAACCTACAGCCTTTAGAGCAAAAGACTGATTAGAAATAATAACAGTTTGCTGTAGATTGAAAACAAATGAGCTCATTCTGAGACTGGACAGTCATTCATAAGCCACTTGAGCTGCCTGTCCTCTGGCAGTTTATGAACTCAGTCAAGACTTTCCAGTGAAATAAAGCCTTGTGTTCACTCCAGGGCCATCTATTGTTCTCTCTGTAATTTGTACCAAATTTTAAAGGTTATAAATATTTGCAGCGAAGCCTAGTTGCTGAGCTGCATTCATTCACACTTAGGTGCCTTTTATTATTATTATTAACTACAAGACCAGGGACTGGCATTTGCTTACTTCATACTTATTTCATAATAACTTGATCATACGTACCTGTGAACTCAGGATGTTCTTCAAATGCCATGATTTATTAGGTCCTCTTTGGTCACATAGCAGTCAACCTTGTCAAATGCAACTAGGTCAACCTCATTCTCCAAGGAGTAGTAGCTAGCAGAAAAAAGTGAAGAGTTATTTCTTATATGAAACTATATATACTTGAATTCTTTTTCAGATTGAAAAAATTTTCTGGATAAATTATACTGCAAATGACAATGAAATGAATGAAAATAAGCATAGTTAAATATATAAAGTTTTTCTGCCCCCCACTTCAAAGCCTATTTCCGTCTTATTGTTGTGCTTTTTCATTAATTTCTCTTGAACTAATGTGCCCTCTAATGGTTAAAATAAAAATATAATCAGAACCATAAAATAAGTGCCAACTTATTAATTGCAAGAAATATTCCTACTTAAAAGATACTTCTTTAACTCAAAACTATGCCTTCAAGATCAAAATGTATGTCTTTTAATAAATAACAAGAAGAATAAGCATTTTATTTTATTTGTTCTATGCAACAGACCATGCAAACGAGATGCAGCAAACTAACTTTCATCAATAAATTCAAATGCTAGTTCCTATAAACAAGGATCAAGTATTAAGGCTTGCATATACTGATAATGAAATACAGATTGGGGCTATGCCTATTTTACTATCCTAATAAGCATTTAAGAAATGGTACTACAAAAACATATTTCTTTTGTTCATTCTTCATTTTTATTTCTCTAACCTGAAATGAACGTTTGTCTTCACAACCTTCAAAAGAGTAAACATGTGTACACACAAAAATGTTAAATAGCTGTGCATTTTTGTTCACAATTTACCCTCAGTGTTCATGCTCTCTTATTTTTTGTCATACTGTAATATCAGAAAATAATGCATATTAAGTAATTACCCACTTAATGTGAGCAACGTCAATTGTCAATCCAGATAAGACAGGGATTTAGGAAGAAATTACTTAAATGGTTTATCTTGGCTGATTAAGTTCAGGAAAGGTATTGTAGTTTTATAACAGAATTTATTTCTAACAATAATTTGGTCAAGACAGAAAAATATAAGTAGAGAAAACATATTTAATTCTGTCTAGAAGGGTAGAGTTGAAATCAAAGACAGAAACAAAATATCATGCTAATAGACCTTCTGCCTTGTTTAACCATTATTGTTAGCAGTTGAGATAATTTGCTTCTTATCAAAACGTTACAATATGTACTTAACATGGAATTTTCAAGTCCCTTCCAATTGGTAATAGTTAAAAAAAAAAAAAAACCCTGCCTTTTTTTCCTGTCTCAGAAAGTAAAGACATTATTTTTTCTGTTGTATATATGGGGTACATGTCATTGAGGTAAACTGAACTATCAAAGACTGCACTGAGTTAGTGATGGAAGTCATATTCGAATTTAGAATTATTGATATGATTTGCTGATTTTGTTGGTGCTTTATGTGCATCACAAGAATGTTTTATTTTGTTAGAGAAAAAAAATTACACTTACCTGAATTAAATTTCTGCCTTTATCTTCCAGCACTCATTGGTGGAAGATAAAGATGTACAGATGTACAATCTATATTGCATGCATGATATTAATATTTTAAGTTAATACAAAAACAAAGAAAGGGCTGCAGGCTGAGGAACAGGAAACCTGGATTCTAGTTCTGTTTGTGCTACCAAATGACCCTGAGCAAGTTATGAAAGATTCTAATCCTTGGTTGTTCACCCTCTGAAGAGGAAAATTGAATTAGATAAACTGGGAGCTCCCTTCTAATTTAAAACCTCCAGTTTTTAAAATAACACACATTGAAAATATATATACACATTTTGTATGTATAATATAAAATTACAAGACGTTGTTTAGGTTTTTGTATTTTTTTATTATACTTTAAGTTCTGGGATACATGTGTAGAACGTGTAGGTTTGTTACATAGGTATGCAAGTACCATGGTGGTTTGCTGCGCCCATCAACCCGTCATCTACATTATGTATTTCTCCCAATGCTATCCCTCCCCTAGCCCCCCATCCCCCAAGAGGCCCTGGTGGGTGATGTTCCCCTCCCTGTGTCCATGTGTTCTCATTGTTCGAGATGCAGTGTTTGGTTTTCTGTTCCTGTGTTAGTTTGCTGAGAATTATGGTTTCCAGCTTTATCCATGTCCCTGCAAAGAACATGAACTCATTCTTTTTTATGACGGCATAGCATTCCATGGTGTACATATGCCATATTTTCTTTATCCAGTCTATCATTGATGGGCATTTGGACTGGTTCCAAGTCTTTGCTATTGTGAATAATATTGTGAATACTGCAATAAACATATGTGTGCATGTGTCTTTATATTAGAATTATTTATAATCCTTTGGGTATACACTCAGTAATAGGATTGCTGGGTCAAATGGTATTTCTGCTTCAAGATCCTTGAGGAATCACCACACTGTCTTCCATAATGGTTGAACTAATTTACACTCCCACCAACAGTGTAAAAGCATTCCTATTTCTCCACATTACCTCCAGCATATATTGTTTCTGACTTTTTAATGATCGCCATTCTAACTGGCGTGAGATGGTATCTCATTGTGGTTTTGATTTGCATTTCTCTAATGACGAGTGATGATGAGCTTTTTTTCATATGTATGTTGTCCGCATAAATGTCTTCTTTTGAGAAGTGTCTGTTCATATCCTTTGCCCACTTTTTGATGGGGTTGTTTGTTTTTTCCTTGTAAATTTATTTAAGTTCCTTGTAGATTCTGGATATTAGACCTTTGTCAGATGGATAGGGTACAACCCCGTTCTGTGGGTTGCCTGTTCACTCTGATGATAGTTTATTTTGCTGTGCAGAAGCTCTTTAGTTTAATTAGATCCCATTTGTCAATTTTGGCTTTTGTTGCCATTGCTTTTGGTGTTTTAGACATGAAGTCTTTGCCCATGCCTATGTCCTAAATGGTATTGCCTAGGTTTTCTTCTAGGGTTTTTATGGTTTTAGGTCTTACATTTAAGTCTTTAATCCATCTTGAGTTAATTTTTGTATAAGGTGTAAGGAAGGGGTCCAGTTTCAGTTTTCTGCACATGGCAGGCTAGTTTTCCCAACACCATTTATTAAATAGGGAATCCTTTCCTTATTGCTTCTTTTTGTCAGGTTTGTCAAGGATCAGATGGTTGTAGATGTGTGGCGTTGTTTCTGAGATCTCTGTTCTGTTCCATTGGTCTATATATCTGTTTTGGTACCAGTACCATGCTGTTTTGGTTACTGTAGCCTTCTAGTATAGTTCGAAGTCGGTAGCGGGATGCCTCCAGCTTTGTTCTTCTTGCTTAGGATTGTCTTGGCTATATGGACTCTTTTTTGGTTCCATATGAAATTTAAAGTAGTTTTTTCTTTTTTTTTTTTTTAAGGTGTCTGGTACTACATCTCCATTTTATTTTAACATTCAATAATAATCACAATGTCTATAGTTTAATTTTTGATTTTCTTTTTTTATTTATTATTATTATACTTTAAGTTTTAGGGTACATGTGCACAATGTGCAGGTTAGTTACATATGTATACATGTGCCATGCTGGTGCGCTGCACCCACTAACTCGTCATCTAGCATTAGGTATATCTCCCAATGCTATCCCTCCCCCCTTCCCCCACCTCACAACAGTCCCCAGAGTGTGATGTTCCCCTTCCTGTGTCCATGTGTTCTCATTGTTCAATTCCCACCTATGAGTGAGAATATGCGGTGTTTGGTTTTTTGTTCTTGCAATAGTTTACTGAGAATGATGATTTCCAATTTCATCCATGTCCCTGCAAAGGACATGAACTCATCATTTTTTATGGCTGCATAGTATTCCATGGTGTATAAACTAGTTTTTTCTAGTTCTGTGAAGAAAGCCAGTGGTGGCTTGACAGGTATAGCATTTAATCTATAAATTACTTTGAGCAGTATGGCTATTTTCACAATATTGATTCTTCCTATCCATGAGCATGGAATGTTTTTCCATTTGTTTATGTCCTCTCTTATTTCCTTGAGCAGTGGTTTGTACTTGTCCTTGAAGAGGTCCTTGACATTCCTTGTAAGTTGTATTCCTAGGTATTTTATACTCTTTGTAGCAATTGTGAATGGGAGTTCACTCATGATTTGGCTCTCTGTTTGTCTATTATTGGTGTATAGTAATGCTTGTGATTTTTCACATTGATTTCATGTCCTGAGATATGCTGAAGTTGCATATCAGCTTAAGGAAATTGTGGGCTGAGATGATGGGAATTTCTAATTATACAATCATGTCATGTACAAACAGAGACAATTTGACTTCCTCTCTTCCTATTTGAATACCCTTTATTTATTTCTCTTTCCTGATTGCCCTGGCCAGAACTTCCAATACTATGTTGAATAGGAGTGGTTAGAGAGGGCATCCTTGTCTTGTACCGGTTTTCAAAGGGAATGCTTCCAGTTTTTGCCCATTCAGTATGATATTGGCTGTGAGTTTGTCATAAATAGCTCTTATTTTGAGATACATTCCATCAATATCTAGTTTATTGAGAGTTTTTAAAATGAAGCGATGTTGAATTTTATTGAAGGCCTTTTCTGAGTCTATTGAGATAATCATGTGGTTTTTGTCATTGGTTCTGTTTACGTGATGGATTACGTTTATTGATTTACATATGTTGAAACAGCCTTGCATGCCAGGGATGAAGCCGACTTGATTGTGGTGGATAAGCTTTTTGATGTGCTGCTGGATTCGGCTTGCCAGTATTTTATTGAGGAGTTTTGTATCTATATTCATCAGGGACATTGGCCTGAAATTTTATTTTTTGGTTGTGTCTCTGCCAGGTTTTGGTATCAGGATGATGCTGGCCTCATAAAATGAGTTAGGGAGGAGTCCCTCTTTTTCTTTTGTTTGGAATAGTTTCAGAAGGAATGGTACCATCTCCTCTTTGTACCTCTGGTAGAATTCAGCTGTGAATCTGTCTGGTCCTGGGCTTTTTTTGGTTGGTAGGCTATTAATTACTGCCTCAATTTCAGAACTTCTTATTGGTCTATTCAGGGATTCGACTTCTTCCTGGTTTAGTCTTGGGAGAATGTATGTGTCCAGGAATTTATCCATTACTTCTAGATTTTCTAGTTTATTTTCATGGAGGTATTTATAGTATTCTCTGATGGTAGCATGTATTTCTGTGGGATCAGTAGTGATATCCCCTTTATCATTTTTTATTGTGTCTATTTGATTCTTTTCTCTTTTCTTCTTTATTAGTCTGGCTAGCAGTCTATCTATTTTGTTAATCTTTTCAAAAAAAACAGCTCCTGGATTCATTGATTTTTTAAGGATTTTTTGTGTCTCTCTCTCCTTCAGTTCTGCTCTGATCTTAGTTATTTCTTGTGCTAGCTTTTGAATTTGTCTGCTCTCATTTCTCTAGTTCTTATAATTGTGATGTTAGGGGGTCGATTTTAGATCTTTCCTACTTTCTCCTGAGGGCACTTCGTGCTATAAATTTCCCTTTAAACACTGCTTTAGCTGTTTCCCAAAGATTCTGGTACACTGTGTCTTTGTTCTCACTGGTTTCAAATAACTTATTTATTTCTGCCATAAATTCATTATTTACCCAGTAGTCATTCAGGAGCAGGTTGTTCAGTTTCCATGTAGTTGTGCAGTTTTGAGTGAGCTTCTTAATCCTGAGTTTTAATTTGATTGCACTGTGATCTGAGAGACTGTTTGTCATTATTTCCATTATTTTGCATTTGCTAAGGAGTGTTTTACTTCCAATTATGTGGTCAACTTTAGAATAAGTGCAATGTGGTACTGAGAAGAATATATATTCTGTTGATTTCGGGTGGAGAGTTCTGTAGATGTCTATTAGGTCTGCTTGGTCCAGAGCTGAGTTCAAGTCCTGAATATCATTGTTAATTTTCTGTCTTGTTGATCTGTCTAATATTGATGGTGGGGTGTTAAAGTCTCCCACTATTATTGTGTAGGAGTCTAAGTCTCTTTGTAGGTCTCTAAGAACTTGTTTTATGAATCTGGGTGCTCCTGTATTGGGCGCATACATATTTAGGACAGTTAGCTCTTCTTGTTGCATTGATCCCTTTACCATTATGTAATGGCCTTCTTTGTCTCTTTTGATCTTTGTTGGTTTAAAGTCTGTTTTATCAAAGACTAGGATTGCAACCCCTGCTTTTTTTGCTTTCCCTTTGCTTGGTAAATATTCTTCCATCCCTTTATTTTGAGCCTATGTGTGTCTTTGCAGGTGAGATGAGTCTCCTCAATGCAGCACACCAATGGGTCTTGACTCTATCCAATTTGCCAGTCTGTATGTTTTAATTGGGGCATTTAGCCCATTTACATTTAAGGTGAATAATGTTATGTGTCAATTTGAGCCTGTCATTACGATGCTAGCTGGTTGTTTTGCCTGTTAGTTGATGCAGTTTCTTCATAATGTCAATGGTCTTTACAATTTGGTATGTTTTTGCAGTGGCTGGTACTGGTTTTTTCCTTTCCATACTTATTGCTTCCTTCAGGAACTCTTGTAGGGCAGGCCTGGTGGTGACAAAAATCTCTCAGCATTTACTTGTGTGTAAAGGATTTTATTTCTCCTTCGCTCCTGAAGCTTAGTTTTGCTCGATATGAAATTCTGGGTTGAAAATTCTTTTCTTTAAGAATGTTGAATATTGGCCCCCACTCTCTTCTGGCTTGTAGGGTTTCTGCAGAGAGATCTGCTGTTAGTCTGATGGGCTTCCTTTGTGGGTAACCAGACCTTTCTCTCTGGCTGCCCTTAACATTATTTCCTTCATTTCAACCTTGGTGAATCTGACAATTATGTATCTTGGGGTTGCTCTTCTTCAGAAGTATCTCTGTGGTATTCTCTGTATTTCCTGAACTTGAATGTTGTCCTTTCTTGCTAGGTTGGGGAAGGTCTCCTGGATAATATCCTGAAGAGTGTTTTCCAATTTGGTTCCCTTCTCCCCGTCACTTTCAGGTACACCAATCAGGTAGGTTTGGTCTTTTCACATTGCCCCATATTTCTTGGAGTCTTTATTCATTCTTTTTCATTCTTTTTCCTCTAATCTTGTCTTCATGTTTATTTCATTAAGTTGATCTTCAATCTCTGATATCCTTCATTCCATTTGATCAGTTTGGCTATTGATACTTGCGTATGCTTCACAAAGTTCTCATGCTGTGTTTTTCAGCTCCATCAGGTCATTTGTGTTCTTCTCTAAACTGGTTTTTGTAGCCAGCAATTCATCTAACCTTTTTTCAAGGTTCTTAGCTTCCTTGAATTGGGTTAGAACATACTCTTTTAGCTCGGAGGAGTTTGTTATTACCCATCTTCTGAAGCCTACTTCTGTCCTTTTGTCAAATTCATTCTCCATCTAGCTTTGTTTCCTTGCTGGCAAGGAGTTGTGATCCTTTGGAGGAGAAGAGGCATTCTAGTTTTTGGAATTTTCAGCCTTTTTGCGCTGGTTTTTCCTCATCTTCATGGATTTATCTACCTTTGGTCTTTGATGTTGGTGACCTTCAGATGGAGTTTTCGTGTGAATGTCCTTTTTGTTGATGTTGATGCTATTCCTTTCTGTTTGTTACTTTTCCTTTTAACAGTCAGACCCCTTTGCTGCCGGTCTGCTGGCGTTTGTTGGAGGTCCATTCCAGACCCTGTTTGCCTGGCTATCACCAGCAGAGGCTGCAGAACAGCAAAGATTGTTGCCTGTTCCGTCCTCTGGAAGCTTCGTCCCAGAGGGGCACCCACCAGATGCAGCCGGAGCTCTCCTGTATGAAGTGTCTGTTGACCCCTGCTGGGAGGTGTCTCCTAGTCAGGAGGCCTGGTAGTCAGGGATCCACTTCAGAAGGCAGTCTGTCCTTTAGCAGAGCTCGAGTGCTGTGCTGGGAGATACACTGCTATCTTCAGAGCTGGCAAGCAGAAATGTTTAAGTCGCTGAAGCTGCACTCACAGCCACCCCTTCACCGAGGTGCTCTGTCTCAGGGAGATGGGAGTTTTATCTATAAGCCCCTCACTGGGGCTGTTGCCTTTCTTTCAGAAATGCCCTACCCAGAGAGGAGGAATCTAGAGGGGCAGTCTGGCTACAGTGGCTTTGCCAAGCTGTGGTGGGCTCCACCCAGTCTGAATTCCTGGCAGCTTTGTTTATACTGTGAGGAGAAAATCGCCTACTCAAGCCTCAGTAATGGCGGATGCTCCTCCCACAACCAAGCTCAAGCATCCCAGACTTCAGACTGCTGTGCTGGCAGCAAGAATTTCAAGCCAGTAGATCTTAGCTTGCTGGGCTCCATTGGGGTGGGATCCAATGAGCTAGACCGCTTGGCTCCCTGGCTTCAGCCCCCTTTCCAGGGAAGTGAACAGTTCTGTCTCACTGGCATTCCAGGTGCCACTGGGGTATGAAAAAACTCCTGTAGCTAGCTCAGTGTCTGCCCAAACAGCTGCCCAGTTTTGTGCTGGAAACCCAGGGCCCTGGTGGTGTAGGCACCTGAGGGAATCT
This sequence comes from Homo sapiens, assembly GCF_000001405.40. Classification (NCBI taxonomy): domain Eukaryota; kingdom Metazoa; phylum Chordata; class Mammalia; order Primates; family Hominidae; genus Homo; species Homo sapiens. The sequence continues at coordinate 90,623,126 of NC_000006.12, read as the reverse complement.
CCTGGTCTGCAGGTTGCAAAGACAAGGGGAAAAGCATAGTATCTGGGCCGGAATGTACCATTCCTCACTGCACAGTCCCTCTTGGCTTCCCTCGGCTAGAGGAGGGAGTTCCCATCCCCTTGTGCTTCCCAGATGAGGTGACATCCCACTGTGCTATGGCTCGCCCTCCGTGGGCTGCACCCACTGTCTAACCAGTCCCAATGAGATGAGCTGGGTACTTCAGTTGCAAATGCAGAAATCACCTGCCTTCTGCATTGATTTCACTGGGAGCTGCAGACTGGAGCTGTTCCTATTCAGCCATCTTGTCAGACCTTAGCTTTTTTAAATACTATAATTTTTATTTTCAATTTCATCATTGTATTTAATCATTTTGCAAAAAATTCATAATATTTAAACAAATCGTCATAGGATAAAATATCTTGTGAAAGTACTTTTCAACTATAATCACTGAGAATTAATGTAAGTAATCCCACTACAATTTGCCCTTGTTTACATTGATTTTGATTAAGTTGTTTAGCTTTTGTTTTGTTTTGTTTTCTGGTATATGTTCCTGCCTCTATACTTTAGAGACAGAAATTATTTTCTTTATATCAGCTCCCCATGGTACCACTATTCAATAAATGGGTCCTCAATAAGATTGACCAACATAATCATGATTGACTATGCCAGTTTAATGAATAGAATACAACTGGGATCAGGTGAGTGAGTTATCAGTAAAAGAGGTGAATGAGTATGTTCTCATATTCTTTACGGAGAACTTAGGCACAATATATCAATGAGTTTAAAAGTTATGTAGTAAATGTATGTTTGCACTAAAATCTATATCATGGTAAATGATTGGAACTAGAGATGTTTTGGTGATAAAGGTGAAAATACCTAAAAAATCAACACAACTCACATTATACAGATTTAGAACAGGCAACATATTGAATCTAGTTCTTGAATCTCATAATGTCTCACTATGAAGAGATTTGGGAATAAAGGAATAATCAGTCCAATGGTTCCTCTGTGATTTCTCAGCACAGTAACAGCCAGGTGGAACCTCTGTTAAGATCACCAGCTGTTTGGAGGTAGCCAGGATTGGCAGGTAGGCCAAGAAACCTTGGTGCATTCATTAGAAAACCTCCCCTTGTCCTTGTTCTCCCCAGCTCTCTTTCATACTTTTATTCCCTGGAAGCAAGAGGAAGTCTTTCCCTTCTATCAAGAAAAACTGAAGCCTAGGTTGTGTGTATAGTCCAGGCGTAGATCGAATTGATGGTCAGGAGCCTGTATTCCCTACCTTTACTCCTCAATTCAATCAGATGCTCCTTTTCTTTGCCTCTGCCTGCTCACCTGGCTCACTGCATGGTTATTACTTCTGCTTGCTTAACACCATATGTCACACCCACATGTGAGAAACACACTGAAGGTCATCCATAACAGTAGCCTAATTCTCTAATTTCTGATATCAGATACCAGATGTTTTATCCTGGTCTCTAATTATTTACTTCATGACCTCCTACCCTGGCCCCTAGAACTGCAAACCCCTGAGGTCTGCTCAGCCCTTCAAACATTACTGCGATTGGAGACCTCCCTCTAGAATCATCAGTGCTAGAGGCATGAGAGGCAGAATAAGGTGGCTGCTAAGACATGGATTCTGTGGCCAAAATACCTGGGTTTTAATCCCAGATCTTTTACTTACTAGCTTTCTGACCAGAGGCAATTAACTTAACCTCCCCAGGTATCAGTTTCCTCTTCTATAAAATAGGGACAACTATAGCAACTTCACAGAGTCATCATAAGGATTAATCCTGTTTCTAAAATAAAATGTACAGAATAATGTCTGGCACGTAATAAGTGTTCAAAAATGTTTGCTGTTATTAGAGTGGCCAATTTCACTTTTTATCTCAGTCATAATGGCAGAACACTAAAAAGGCAATTAAATTAATTTTAATGACTCGATCATCTGGCAATCTTAGTTTCTATTTTTTATAATCAAGGTGCTCATAAATTCTAGTTTTCCAATTTATACCTGTTGTCCTGGGCTAATTATTAATAGCAACCTCTTTTATTCTCAGAAGTGTCCAGATTTGGACAATAACATATGTAATCACCCTAATTATAATATAGAGTACTCAGTTGTTCTCCTGTACAATTAGAAGAATGAATTAGATGGCCTCTGAGATCATGTAAAACATGAGGGTTTTGTGAAAATATATGTTATACATATGGAAAGAAATATTTGGGTGTTTTATAAATAAATTTTAAAATCTGATAAAGGGCCATTAGCTTCAGTGAAGATGACATAATTTGATGGCTTTTTAAATTTTTAAAATAAATAAAGAGCGAACTTACATGTATGCGGAGTGCTGATTTTATTTTGCATGTTCAAAATGCATAAGAACGTCTCTGGAACTGTTCCCTCACTCTCCTTTAGTTCTTCCTCTCCTCTTCCCTACTTGCTTTCACTCTCTCTTCTCTTCATTAGATTTGAGGTGGAGTAGGGAGTAGGCAAGAAGAGAGAGAGCTTTTTCCCTCTCCTAAAACTCAACCTATACTCTGTTAAATCAGGGTTCCCAAAAAAGCTTCATTTAGTTCATTACTAAACATTTCAAAGCACTTAAAGCCAGAAATAGCTTCTGGAGGATGACATAATTTTTAAGGTTAAATTAAATACACCACATGAGAATTGTTTTTATTTCTTATCTCTTTTCCATCATACAGATTAAGTTTCCCAATTCAAATATTGTACTATTTATGTCCATCTTAAAATTACTTTTAATCACTCTGCTTTATGTCATTGATTAGGCTTGTAAAATTTAAGCTAAATAAATAACACTTATAGAGCATATATTGCAATTAATACTACTTACTTTAAAAGTTGACTGATATATATAGTTCATAATTATGAAAATAGAGATTTTATATACTTCAGTAGACATGCAAAATTTAATCTTAAATATGAATCACACTATAATTGTGTGATTGTTGCAATGAGCTGAAAGAAAAAAAAACAAAAAACAAGGATCCTGCAGAGAACAAGAAATTGTGAAAGCAATCATTGTGGGAAATAATTGTTACATTTATGATTCTTTCAATTATGGATTATGGAGACGATTGCAAGGCAACCTCTTCAGTTTCAAGACAGCATGGTGTTTTATATAATAAGCCTCTGAATAAAGCAACTGTTATCAATAGTGTTTGCAACTTAATTGGCTACCTTTAAAGCTAAGGAGGTCTTTTTGCTCTCCAGCTTTGATTCCCAGCTATAATTTAAAACATTGGCATTCTGTCCAGCTGTTTAACCTCCATCCATGTTCACAGATTCTCTGGAGGATAGTGCATATACATTTTACTAGAGCTGAGCAACATTTTCACAAGGGAGAAATAAACCTTACAATAAGCCCAGAATCTGTTAAGCATTCATAAATGTATATGTTTATACAACAACATGCCCACACTGCACCTCTGCCCTATTATAATTACATTTAACATAAAAGGAACATCACCTCAAACCACAAGTAGAAGTGATTAAGTTCTTAAACAAAGCTAGCCTCTAACGCTTAGCCCATTTACCAGAAATAGTATTAACAAGGAATGCATTCCTGTTTCAAGGTTTGTCTAGAAGAAGCTTTGCCTCAAACAGGCTTTGGTCCCTCAAAGTCCAATGTTCTCAAAGGCATCTGCCCCAACAGGAATGTCAGCCAGCGAGGATAGCAGCTTGAGAAATGACAGTTTCATGGCCCTGGTTTGGTGTAACCAGGAAGAGAAGAGGGAGGCTTAGTAATACCAGAAAGTGGGGGGGGGGAAAGAAAGTACAAGTGTACAGCTTGTGATTAAAAAGGGGAGATCAAGAATTCTAATGACCCAAATATCTTGGAAGGTAAAATCTGGGGGAAGCAAACACTCATCTCAAGCTCATTTCAATGATCCATCTCATTTGCTTTTCCTATAGTGAGGTCTCAGCTATAATATAACAATATCCCCTTTAATTTATGTCATAGAAAAAAAAGCATTCATTTGATGTCTCTTGGCATTTAATCAGTAATACCAAAATAGAAAGTATGTAAGAGTGGATTATTAGAGACACCAATATTTTAAAAGCAATACACTGATTCGGAGTAAAGTTTCCCACAGTGATATTATCTCAAATAACTCAGCATTTGATTGGTTTTACCAAGACTATTTCTGGTTTTCCTGGATAATCAGTGCTTATCTAAAACTATTTGGAATGAAGTAAATGCAGTTCTGGGCAGTGAGGTCCCAGTCATGGTTTTCACTCAATCAGCTCCTGCAGAGGAGTCCTTCTGTCCCTCAGACAGTTCCTTCTGTTGCTGCCCCTACACCCTGCTGTCCTTAAACAAAGATATATAATCATTTCAGAGATGTTGAAAGACTCCCAAAATGCCTCCCCATGAAATTCAATACTGACAAATGCCTACTTTTATGGCTTTTCCTGTACCTCAAAGGATTTGTTCCAGACAGCCCTTATTAAAATACAGGTATGTTACTGGAAGTCCTAACACTTTGTCATCCACTATGATAGTAAAACCAACCTTGCAATTTCATAAGCTCTTTGTTAGGACATTAAAAAAATAGGATTCGTTTTCATTCATCCAAACATATATTGTCAACCAACCACAGCTAGACTAATTGCTGGGAATCTCAAGATAAATTTTATAAAATGTCTCTACCCACAAGTGGTTTACTGTCTGTTAAGGAAGATAGAGTACTACATACAAATCATTTAATTGCATGTAATAAATGAGTCTTAATAAGGAATTGTCTGATTAAAAAAAATTCACTTTGGCCAGTTAAATAAAGGAGATAGTAGCATAAAGAGTTAAGAGTATCTAATAAGAAATTGCAGTCTCAAGAGGAACTCAAACAGGAATTGATAAGCCAACAGGAACCAAAATGGTATCCTACTCATTCTCTCTTTCTTAGGCCCCCAAATATCTCTCATATATGTTTTTTCTTGCAATCTGCTTCATTTTCCTACTCTTTTCCACAGATCAGCTCTCTTGGCTTGCACGTGTGACTATGAGACCTTTAAGACCATGAGACCTTATTCATCCAACACCCATAGCCAACAAATTTACTTGCTCTGTATCTCCATATCAATTCCTTAGAAAGAGAATCTGGCTTAATGTACACCAGGTCTAAGGACACATTCTCTTAAAAGAAAGTGTGGTGATGAGAAGTAGACACTTGTCCTCTCCAGGACAGTAAGATAATTTCAAGGTGAGCTTTGAAGGAAAGGTAGGCATCTTTCAGAGAAACAAAGGGAAAAAGGCAGTCTATGACATGTTCAAAGGTATGGATGGAGCAAAGCAGCCCACAAATAGCCCATAAAGACCCATGTATAAAGATGCATGGCCAAGAGGCAATTTATGAAGCTGGGAAGATAGCCAGGGACCAGATGAGGAAGCACTTTTTATGCTGTGCTAAGGAGTATGATTTTTACCCTACAGCTGATGAAGGCAGGGTGTCAAAATATTTAAGCAGAGGAGAGACAAAAGCAGACCTGTGTTTTAGAAAGAAAACTCTAACAGCAGGGTGACGGATGGACAGGACACACCACTCAAGAAGCTATTTCAGTAATTCAGACAAAAGGTGGTGCAGACTCAAAATAAGACCATGGCAAAGAGGAATAGGGAAGAGGAAGGTTTCAAAAATATTAAGAAAGTGGAATCTAAATGGAATAGGGTCAGTTCAGAAAAGCAAAGATTCATAAGCTTTGATATGGAGAAGAGAAGAAAGTTTAAACCAAACCCAAGGCAGGTGGTAAGGGGTGTACCAGAAATGGGAAAAAAGAACACACTGAAAGAAATGATGGGCATATGAGAAACATTGTACCTTCTTTCTAACCTTTTTATGGGCTAGTCTATTCCATGGTCTCTGAGTATGTTAACCCAAACAAATAAAGGAAGACCCCAACTTTCCAGGGTGTGAGCATAAGAGGCTGAAAAATAATTGGTAATTAAGCCTTAAAATCAAAGGCATACTCCATTTATCCTGTTATCTTATTACAATGTGTTTCAATTCAACCTATCACACAAAAGGACAAGAATTCACTTCTAGTGAAGCCTTAACTTGTGAATGCTGGGCCTTGTTTTATTATGTATTTCATTAGAAGTTTTTGTGATGTTGTTTTCCTTTCAATTCCATGAAGAAAAAGTAAAAAATGAGGAATGTGAACTTCTCAGATGATCCTGTGACTTTGAAGCCACGTATCTAAATATATGATCTCTTGCTTTTGCATTTAGAAGCCCTGGGGAGCTACATTATCTGACTGATTATGAATGCATATATTTTCATAAGAATATGCAATCTTAACCAGCTCAGCACAGGACACTGAAGTGACTAAGTATCAAATTAAAGATTATTCTTTTTTGTGTAGAATTTGCTCCAGCAAGAAATTGAACAAGGGGATTTGAAATCCAAAAACAGTGGGACCACCTCCCGAGACAGTATTCATTATTAGTGGGTCCCTGTTTCTTATCTCCCTGTACACCCAATTCTCCCATTGCTTTAAATTATTATCATTATTTGCTAAATGCCTTCGGTATGCTCAGTACCCTGTCAAGCACAGAAAAAAGGTGCCATACCTGCCCAGGGGCTTTCTACCTAAATTACACAGATATAATTTAAGTTTGAAAATGAGTTGTAGTTGTCAGTTACAGTCTTTGCAATAAGCTTAGAAGCAATATGACAAAACTAAAAGAATATAGATTCACATATTGAATCTTTCCCCCCTCCTTGGATCTTCTTTCTATCCCACAGCCCAGTTTACTAACCCAGACAACAGCATCGCAGAAATATGCCACAGGTCAATAGTGAGAGGTCATTGATAGCTCAGAGAAAATCATTAGCACTTAGAAACAATCCTGTGTATGTGCCCCATTTCTTACCTGCCCCCACAGAGAGAGGGGAGCCTGTATTCAAAAGCAGCAGCAAGTGAGGAAAGCTGAGTGAAAGGTGAAGTTTCCACAACTGCCTCCCTCTTCCCTGACCCTACACCACCCAGTCCAAGGCTCTATATTGCTGGCAACACTCACATCCCTGTCCAGATCTTCCCCATCTTCAGAGGCCTTGTTCACCCCAGACCTCTCCTCCAACTCCTGTGACAAATGTCTAGAGAAGTAAGGTCTGAAACTTCAGTACCTCTGATTTCAGTCCTTTACATACCTTGAGAAACACATCTCATCAATATATATTGTATTAGTGTTTACATGCAAGTTCAAGTGTATAAAAGAAAGAGAAAATGGGGGTACTCTTTCACGTATATTTCTTCCCTTCACTCCCATTATTTCTAACAAAAACAATCCTTTTTAAAAATCAAAAATGCTGTGTTTTCCTCAGGGTCAGATTGGTGATACAGCAAAGGCAGTGAATCTGGACTCTATTCCACAAGATGGAGAAAACCCCAGACAAAAACCACAGGAGGCAGATGTGGAAAAGGAAAGCAGGACGACCATCCCTTGAGCCAGTGAAGCAAAGAACAGTAGGGGGCTTGGTGCAAGGGATGGGATATAAGGAAATGGCCTGAGACTTCAGAGAATAGCTGCAGGTTTACTTATACTAGAAAGTTCTTCCACACCCCCAACCCTACTGTTATTGCAGCCGCCACTAAACCGACCTCACCCCAAACCCTAGACCCTGCCAGTAGTTTGCCTGCCAGTGGTGTCTCCACCACCTATGGTTTGTCGTTAGGGCATTCCTTGTTTCCTCTGCCTAACAGGAAGGAGAAGAGGAATAATCAGTCCTTCCAGGATGCATAAAGGGGAACCATGCAGTACACTCAGGGGTTCAATCACTGAAAGTCATTTCCTGGCACAACATCATTCCACAGTGACACAAGTTCCACTGCCTTTGAGGGCTAAGCCAAGAACCTCCACATACACATTTTTCTATGGGAGGATGTTTGAGTTACCTAAATTTGAACACGTTTCTCCTTTGAAATATAAGTTCCTTGAAGGCAAAGCTCATGTCTGACCATGAATATAGTGAACAGTGTATATGAATACTTTTCTAAAAAATAAGTACTTACATACCCACTGCATTACTACCTGCTGGCTTTACCCTCTACCTTATTCACAGAGCCAGCTCCTCAGTCATTTCAATCCAGCCAAGTACCACCAGCTACACCCACTTCTACAATGCACAAGGCCAACTCTGCCACCTGCTCTGGCCATCTCTTTTGCTTCCTATCTGGATCATTCCACCATGCATTTCCTCCCCGATACATGCTTAACACACATTCATTATTGATTTAAGGGTTATTTACTGAATGCCTATTATGTACAATACATTGTGCCAAGTACAGGGTATTGTTAAGTTCAGAGTTTTTTGAGTTTTAACATTCCATTCATGTCTGCTCTAACCTAATAATTTCTAAAATGTCAAACAGGTTTTAGTCCACTGACACAATATGAATCTAACTTCTTATTCCTCATACTCCTGGCATTTGTCTGGAGGGTCTTGAATGTATGCATAGTTCATTTCTCACTGATCCTTTATAGTCTTGTTGTTTGGACCACCAAAACCTTAGTCTATTTTCATTCAGGTAAATAAAATAGCGTTCAATAGACAGCACGATGAAACTGTGTTTTGCAGACTGCATAAAAGCAATTTCAAAAGTAGTTATGTTCTTATGGGGCTTAAGATTTGCTACCCCAAAATATGGAACCTTGGCATATGTTGAGCTGAAGGAATAATTTAAGCTAAAATAATTTGAGAAAATGGCAAAAGCAGAAAGGTCTCCCTGATCTGTTCCCATCCTTCTCCCCTGAAGCAGATCATAAACCTGGGAAGGATTTTCTGACCTGCCCTCAAAGGAGGTCATAAGAGCCTCAAGTGAGAAGCGTCCTCCTTATACTCGGAGAAAAGAACATCTTTATCTCTGTAGAAAGAGAGAAATCAGAATCAAAAGTCCTTGCTAAATTTCCCTGAGTTTATCATATTTAGCTCAAACCCTATGTGTCCTATCATATTTCTCCGCAGATGTCCACTCTTCACCAAACCTACCAGAAAAAAACAGTCAGGTTTCACTGTTCTTCAGGTCTTCATTTCCTTATGATATGACATTTTCCCATGTCATATAAAACTTATATTTAATATATTTGTACGTTTATCTCTTGTTAATCTGTCTTTTGTTATATGGGCTTCAGCCATGAACCTAGGATGAGTAGAAGAAAATATATTTTTCCCCAAAATATGTACACCTATTCCGTATCAGGGAAAAAAAAAAGATAAAAAGAAAATCTTCACCCCTACAGAGCAGAGATGATGCTCAGGAGACAAAGAAAGCAGAAGGAAATATATATATATATATATATAATATATATACATATATATATACATATATATATATATATACAAATGTAAAACAAAATTGTAATTAAAATTGAAATAGCAAAAATCCTGAGAGTAAAAATTACTGCTACACCATGTTTACTTGAAAATACAGATTTTCAGGGCAAAACAATGAGGCAAAAGTGAGTTTGTGCTTGACAAAAAGATTCACAGTATCACTTTGCAATATGAATAAAGCATGGTTCAATCAGTAAAAACAGAATATACATATACATACCTCTTTTCTGGTATGCATGAATATCGCAAATCTGTAGTATTTGTACAATAATTACTCGATATAAGCTTGTTCAATAATGGATCATCATTTATCAATTTTTAGCTCCCATTCTGTCTTCTAAACCTTGCCAAATAGCTATAAAAATAAGAATAATCAGGTGGGAAGTATATTTTAAGAACGGGTCAAATGATTTAAGATTGGATCAGTCCTCCCCTTTCTCTTCACTGCCCAGACAAAGGCTAATACATGATTGTCAGATCTGGAATCCATAAATGTCATAAGCACAAAGCTAAATAATCCACATCATTGGGGGGAGGGGTGCAGAGGTAAAGAGGAGAGAAACAGAGAGATCACGTTTAAAGAAAACATATTATTATCATACTTTGTAAATGTTGGTTAAATAAATGTTTTAATCTTATTGTAATATATTTTTCCTAGTTTCCGTGCTGCCTAAATTTTTCCTATCTAAATTACTACCTGGATTTGCCAGTAAATTTCCTTTTTTTTTCTACATTTTCTATAGATCTTTTAATCTTATCTGTCTCCAGGTTCTCTCATCCCTGCCTCTCTCCAAACCCTTCTTTCATTAGTCTATATAATATAATCTATTTTCCTCTCAATAATTTTATTTTTTCTTTTTTAATCTTAAATCTGGTTTGTACACAATCAGGTATATAGACAACAGTAGTGACTAATACAGGATGCTAAAAAATAGGTATAAAAATAGCAACATCATTTTATTTTTAATTTTTTAATCAGGTTTTTTCCTCGGGGAGGAGTCTACCTTACTTTTTATTGTCATAATCACCTTTATTCCGTTAAAGGCATAAATGTGAATCAACATTTCCAACAAGAGCTCAAATCCTAAACTAGAAGTCCAGAGAATTCACGGTATGTAAAAACTTGTGGGTGCCTTCACTTTTTAATGGGAGTAGATTTGGGTCTGGATGAAGTCACCGATGTTTCTCAGAAGAAACAAATGTCAGCGCGACCTATTAAAGTCAACCCTGAGCTAGGCAGCAACAATGAGCTAGGGATTAGCATTGACAGCTCCCTTAATGTGATTCTTTTGGACAGGGATTAATTTAATGTGTTGCTGTCAAATGAAACAAAAAACGAGATGGATTTACTAATGACTCTATTCTATACCACACACTTTTCCACTCCTGATCTATGTCAGAATGAATCTGACAGCGAGAGAAAATAATTTTTTAAATGAAAAGGAAGAGACATTGCCTTCTTGACAAACTTTCAAGAAAGGAGTTTTCACTGGGCTCCCAAGAGGAAGGATGAGCGTGGGGTGCGCGCCCACGTGGAGGGAAGCACTGGGAACCGCTGCTCCAACGAACGCGCACAGCACCAGGCCCGGACCCGGTGTCAGGTCCCAGCTTTGGCACAAACTGGCAAGACAGCCTTAACTTCTGCAGGCCTCAGTTGCCTCCGATGTGAATGTTAACGGGTCTGTTACGCGGCTTCTAAATTTCCCCTTAGCTCTAAATTGCTCACCTCTAGAAGAGGGAGCCCCCAAACCCACCAGGAGCTCTAGTCTTGTTTCAAAGACAACTCGGCTGTGAGGCTGTGACAGAGAGGGGGCGAACCACAGAGCGAAGGGTTGATCTTTAGCAAAACGGTTTGCCAAGTCAAATGCTAAAGCCTCCTTAAAATAATTTGGATTCTTCTTTGTTCTCCCTAACAAAGAAACTTTAATTCGCAGTTCTCTGAGAAGAAAGACAATGCAGACAAGCCATTTTCAGGTGAAAGGTGTCTCGTCAATTGATAATCATTGAATAATCACTGAGGACTGGCAGGAGCTATTCTTCGAATGGGGTGCTCATAATATGCAACTGCATCGATTTACAATATAGACTGGGCAAGATTCGTCCTTGTGATTGTTTTGATTTGCCCCCTGAGGTACAAACGTTGCTAGTCTTGTGTATTTGTGTATATTCCTGTAAGTTACCCTGAGGTTTGTAATAGCCCAGGCCCCCTCGTGTCTGAGTCTGGTCTCACCGACAGGGATGCCCCCTAGCAGCGTCTGAGCCCAGGCAGACACGTTGTCCCCGCCCGGCGCCTAAGCCCTGGGACGTGTGGTTGACTGGGCTTCAACCCGGTGCAGCCCCCGCCTGCAACCCTCGGGGCGCGCCGGTGTGGCTGGAGAGGAAAGAGGTGTGGGCCGGGACGGGGACGCCCCGCGATGGCGAGGCTGGGAGACCTGCCCGTGGCGCAGGAAGAGCTTGAGCGAGACGGGGAGCGGAGGGATGGGGGATGCTTCTCCCCTCGCCACAGCCTAGACGCCTCCCGGCCCTCGCTCCCCTGCCCAAACTGCGGCTGGGGAAGGGACGCCAAGAGAGGCTTCCCGGTCGCGCCCCTGAAAAGCGCCGTTGCTTGGGGAGGAAATGGCTCCCCGCCCGGCCGCCTCCTCCGCGCGCGCCTGGCGCCGGCTCCTTCCCGGCCCCCGGCCGCGCTCTGCCCGCCCCGCGCGTCCTCTCCCCCGGCGGCCAGCGTGGTCTGGCCGGAGCCCCGATCTGGGGTGAGGAGCGGTGAGAATCCTGGCTCTGGCACTTAGCTCGGTGACCTTGAGCAGTCACCTAACCTCTCAAGGTCGCTGCTTTCCCACCCGTAAAGCGAGACTGAAGCCGCCGTCTCTGCGGGCTCCCGAGAGGATGAAAGGAAGGATGGAGACCCAGCCTCAAGCTCCCAGTGCCCGGCCCCGTCTCCGTCCGACTCGTTTCTTCCTCTTCTCTATTTTCTGCCTACTCTTCTCTAGTGTTTCCTGTCGTTTTTGATTCTGTGTTTTTCCTCTTGGTTTTGTCTCCCCAGTCTCTCGCAGAATCCATTTCCTTTCAATTCTCCTTTTTCTCCCGTGTTCGTTATTGTGACCAAATTCATCAAAGATTGGTTTCCACTCCATAGACCCAGGCCTCCCCAAGAAACCGCCCCCACCCCCATAATCTCCAGCGCCCCCTCGCCGGGCTATCCCAAATAAACAGACAGTCAAGAAAGAACTCGGCTTACTACACAAACACGGTCTTAAGACACACGTCCCCTTCGCACCATTTCCAACCATGAAATTTCTGCTACGTGGGACCTCTGAGACCACGGCTTCCCTGAGGACAGGAGCCACCGTGGCTTCTTTGTCACCATGTCCCCAACACCAGGCCCAGAAATCCATGCGAGGGCTGGAGGAACGTCGGCCCGCGACCGACGAGCCGAGTGGGGAGCTGAGACTGGAGCCCAGACTTCCAAATACTCCTCTTGGTCCTTGGTACAGAGAAAAACGAAATCGTATATGATGTTCCATAGTCAAATATGAACATATTATTTAAAAGCACAATGTTGACTTGTGTTTTTTTAAAAACCATGTTCCGTAACTTTTACCTGTAGAAATGAGGTTTGGATCAAGTTCTTAATTATGAAAGTTGGTTAAGAGAGAAAATTAAAACACCACCAAGTTGAATTGCCTAAAGATGAGCTGCATTTATACTCATTTATTGAAACATTTTAAAGATACTTAAAAATACACGTTATTTCTTTACAACCAAAAACCACACTGTATACACTATCATAGTATATATAACACAAAGATTATAAAATGTCGTAAACTATAACCAAAGTATGTACACGAACTTTTTTAAAAGAAGAAAAAAGCTAAGGAAAAAAAAACTCTTGTAAAGAAGGCTAAGAAGATAATTTTTAGTTGCTTGCAAGTTACTTCAAACCTAAAAGTAACAGGTTTCCTTTGAAATTATTTCTCATTTTTATTAGAATCTAATTGAAGATCACCTGTAAAAGGTGGGGGGAGGAAGACAAGTGGGGAAATAGCAGTTCTAGGTAAAGATTTTGGAAAAAGTAAAAGAACCACAGTACCACCTTGTGGGGAAGAGAGATTTTTTTCTCCTTCAATATTATGGTGGTTTTATTTCCCTATACTACAGTCACACACACACACACACACACACACACACACACACAAATTAAAATAAAAACAAAGACATTTGGGGCTCAAAGCAAAAATTTAGTTGTGATAATATGCTTTCTCTAATATTTTTAACACACTGGCATGTTCATATTAAAACTTTTAAGATTATACTAGAAAGTTAAACATAACAATATGTGATATTAAGAAATTTTACTCTTAATGCTGCAAATAATCCCATAAATCAAACGTCAAATGTTAGGCATGAAATAGTAAATATAAAACCGTTAGCACATTCTAACAGAATAATAATTGTTTTAAAATTAGCTTTGATTTCAGTATTAAATACAATTTATGCATTTTAAAAATATATTTTTTTTCAATTGCTTGGACTTGGAAAAAACATTTTTAGATAAATACAAAGCAATTTTTATATATTAAAGTTGTTTGTCTCATTATATCTAAGAAGGGTGGAGCAGCCAGACATTTATAGAACTCAACAATTGTTACCTTAACAAAACCGTTCTAGCCACTTTCAGGATATAAAGAGGGCACAGATCATAAAGCTTGAATTTTAAAAAGTAAAATTGTAAGACTCCAGAGCCAAGAAATGCAAAACAAAAACTGCTCCTCATCTATTGTACATCTGGAAATATCTTAAATGACATGAATGTTTCCTGCTCTAAACGTGTTTTCCGTGAGGCAAGAGGGAATTCAGGGGTTACCTGTAGGCATTCTTTATTCTTTGTGCTTTAGAATCACAGGGCTGGTATATCCCTCTGACCTTCAGGAAGGACTAAATCAAAAGCATCCCAGGAAGAGACCAGTGTATTTCAAACTGTGTTCAGCAGAGCCCTAGGGGCTGTCAAAAGATTATGAGGGGAGGGAAACACCGAGAGAGGCCCCTCACTCGCAGCTTCCACCAAGCAAGTCTGCTTTCATCGTTTTCACATTTAGGAATTCTGCCTACAATTCAATGTAAACAACAGGCTCTGTGGCTTTAAAAATCCAACTAATTTTGTATAAGTCTAATAAATAAATGTCGTAAGAAATGTCCTGATGCTTCCTGCAAGTTTATTAACAAATGCACTTCAGGAGCAGCCCACCATGCTTCCACATACTACATTCTTTTCTTCTTTAAAAAGATTCATTCACTACAAAATGTACATAGGTTGGAAAACGTTTTTCAATTAAAATGGAAGTACATTAAACTAAAAATCTCCTTCTCATAACCCCAACCCTTTCACTCCCCAGGAGTAACACAGTTAACGTTCTGATTTGTATCTTCCTAGACAGTTTCCCTGTGTGCACAGGCACAGGCCTGTATGGGTGCATACACATGCCCACCCACAACAGTGTTTGATTGTTTGTTTGTTGGTTTGTTTCAAGAAAACAGGATTATATACCTGTGTTTTTTCTTCTCAATAACATAACAACATCTTTCTGTGTCAGTAGCTACAGAACCACCTCATTCCTTGCAATGACTCCATGGTATTCAAGGTATGGATGTGTATAACTTATTTAATCTCATCCTTCCTGTTGAATATTTGGATTTTTCCTCTACTTAAAAAAATATTTCCTACACTTTTCACCTGGCCAACATCTATACATACAAGTTTCAGGTTTTTTAAATGTTTCTTCCTCAGAGTAAACCACACCATCAACTTATAAGAAGTAACAACTGCAAATTTTTAAAACATAATTTCTCAATACAATATACTTTTCCTGAAAGAACATTTTAAATACAACAGAATAGGATTTTTGTAAGCATAGTTTCGTATTAATTTCTTTACTGGGAAACAAATAAACCTACATCTTTTTAAGATTTTTTTTCCAGTACCACACAAATGAGATTTATGCTTTTTTGGAGAGCTACTTGGCTGCATCCATCGATATTTAAAATATTCATGTCTTTCAACCTAACATCAAGGTAGCTTTTCTATAGGAATATTCACACAAGTTCATTAATTCATTGAACACATTTATTGAATCGATCCAAGTGCTAGTCATTTTGCTAATTTCTCATGGAAGAGTGTTTAAAATAAAAAAATACTCAGGGGGATTATAGTATAGTGAGAGAAATCTATACTGGATAATCACATGGTACATATGCCATTATAAATTATGAAAAATAGTAATAGGAAAAGTAAATTATAATAAGTGATTTTAACAGTGGGTTTTCTTCCCAAAGAGCTACAAAATGTTACACCGTCTTCTCTCTCATTATACTTCACCTTTTAAGCCCAATCTTTTACGATATATTTCTAAAGCATCCCACATACATTTTTCTTTTTTTTTAATATACCTCAACACACGGACAAACCACTTAAGACTAATGAAACTTCAAGATTGACAAGTCACTGCTTTCAGCTCATTTTAGTCTTTGTCCCAAATTTATTATTAAAATATTATTAAGATACTTAGGCATTTGTATTTTACCAGCCCTTTCACTTTTCTATTGTGGATTCATTTTTCAAATAATGAGAAGTAAGGAGAAAATATAATAGAATATTCAAATATATAAATAAATATAGTTGTTTGGATAAAGCCAAGAACATGAGTGCAGCTAACTTTTTGACTGGCAATCAACACCAACCTACTACAATTTCAAAATCATTGCCGATAAGATGCTTTATAAGAGTCCAAATTTAGTACACAGAAGGTAGTTCAGGCATGCCAATCTCAAAGTCTGTACAGACTTTAATACATGAAAAGATATGTATGAAAGCTAAAAGCTAACATAAAGTGTTTTTTATTGTAGTGGAGGAATAAGAGCTAGAAAAAAGGTGTGGCAATGGTTTAGTTTTCAAGGATGTCAGTTGTGATAGTAGTAGGAGACACCAAGACTAAGCTGAGCTGTGAACCCACAGAAAATTTCGACAAGTCTGAGCATATTTAGAGGACAAGTTAGATTTGGCTACCAGGCTGGGCGCGGTGGCTCACACCTGTAATCCCAGCACTTTGGGAAGCCGAGGTGGGCGGATCACGAGGTCAGGAGATGGAGAACATCCCGGCTAGCACGGTGAAATCCCGTCTCTATTAAAAATACAAAAAAAAAATTAGCTGGGCATGGTGGTGGGCGCCTGTAGTCCCAGCTACTCGGGAGGCTGAGGCGGGAGAGTGGCGTGAACCCGGGAGGCGGAGCTTGCAGTGAGCCGAGATTGCGCCACTGCACTCCAGCCTGGAGGACGAGCAAGACTGCGTCTCAAAAAAAAAAAAAAAAACCAAAAAAAAAGATTTGGCTACCAAAGGTCTATTTGTAAAAGGTGCTCCTGGAAAATAACTCATCTTTAGGTTAACAGAGACTTTTATAGTACAGGTTTGACCCAACAAAGGATAATGAGCCAGTCTCATTAGAGGAATGATTTTGGCTGTGTTAGCAAGCTATGGAGACTTCCTGAAAGCACTGGTAAAAATTTAAGAGGCCAGAATAACTTGAGGGTAGATGGAGGATGGGGAGGTGACAATCAGAGAAGTACTGTTTTGTTTTTGTTAGTGTGAAACTGTGACCCTATGACCTCATTTTTATCCTGTATCTGGTGCGACCTAAGGAAATGTGAGTTAGATAACATAACAGTAGGCCCAACTGGAGAAAGTCATTATGAAGCTGACACTGGCTTTGTTGTGCTAAGTTCTTTCTTTCAAGCTTTGGCTGAGTTTGAATTTTGGAAGCAGAGTTCTTTCTATCTGAATCATGAGAAGAATAGATCACTATCAAAGAAAGATTATTTGAGAACTCATTAATGACTCCAGTTGGTATAAAACAATGTCTTGAAACTATAATAGAATAAACTCCCACTCTCCTTCCCCCTCCTCCCCCCCCCCAAAAAAAAACACACAACAGCCCTGGTCTCCAGCATTTGGGGTAGGGATTGACAGGGAAGGGGTATGAGGGAACTTTCTGGGATGATGGATAATGTTTTATAATATAATAGGCTTTCATTTATAAAGGTATATTCATTTGTTGAGACTCAGTGAATGTATACTAAAGATATGTGCATTTATTGTATGTAAAATTTTTCGCAGAAGAAAAATATGTTTAAAATACTGAATTCTTGTTAATGTTATCAGTGCTGAACTATTTAGGGGAAAATGTACCAATGACTGCAATCTACTTTCACTAGTAAATACATCAAAAATTAAGATGTAGTAATGGGTGGATAAAGGGCTAAATAGATGGATGGAGATGCATAAAACAAGCAGAGTAAAATTTTAATGATAGACTCTAGGTGACAGACATTTGGGTATTCACTGTAAACTTACTTCAAGTTTGATGTATGTTTGAAATGTTTAATAATAAAATATCGGGGGGAAAATTAATTCCTTGAATCCAAGAAGGTTTGAAGTCTAAAAGGGACAAGAGTAGACTAAGAATCTGTTTACACGCCATCTAAAACAACAAAGAACCAGAATAATGGGAATAGGCAAGATCAGAATGTCAGCTCTTCTAATTTTCCCTGCCTCTGACTCCCCTAGATCCCCACAATTGGTTATACTGGTTTCCCACCTTGAGGTCAGTTTTTTCCCGGTTATCCAGTCATTCTCAGTGTTAGGTAGTCAGTATGTAAGCAGATACAGCTGTTCATTACACAGCTACCCCTCACTTAACACACAAACATCACACTCGAAACAAGCTTAGAAGCAGACACTTGCCCATTTCTCAGTCTCATCACTGGCTTCCATGTTGATGCCTGAGCCTCTTCCACCCACAGTCAGGCTTGGGGTTCAGTGCCCTAGGGATGATAAGTAGAATTCTGGAATTATCCTGTCCCTTTCAATCCCAGCTCTGGGAAGCTCTAGTTGTAAGGGTGGAGTTTCTGTTTTGGTTCCTGTTATCTCATCATGTCCCTGTGGTCACTTTCCCACTTTGGAGCCTGAGACCCAGCCTATCACGTAAATAGATGATGACTGCTATACCAGAATGACCCCTAGGATAAAGAAGAGAGCTGGGAAGAGTCCTAGACTTGGAAGCATGAGACTCAAATAAGGGTTGAGAGAGTTGAGGCTACCACTAAAGAGCTTGAGGTCAAGCCACATAATTATTTAACAAATATATTTCAGTTTCTGCATTGTACTAGGCACTATGCCAGGCACTGACCAATTGGTGGCAAACAAAACAGATATAGCCTCTGACCTCACAGAGCTGACAATGGTGGCAGAGTTAGTAAACACCAAAATATATATGCATATAAATAGATATACATGAATATATAACAATTTATTATAAATACTATGAAAAAAACAGAGTTCTCTGAGATTATATTAAGGCAACTCACTTTAGATGGGTTGGGTAAAGAAGAGCTCTCCAAAGAAATGCCATTTAAGCTGGGACCATGTGAAGTGAAGTACAGGGTAGAGAGGGGAAGAGAGTCAAGACTGGCTGAAGAAAATATGAAAGTGTCTGAGACAGATTAACGTTAGAGGAAAGGGAAGAAATCTGGTGTGACTGGTGTAAACTGGTGTAAACCAGGGAAGGTATAAGTCCTTGGATAAGGTTTCGGACAAGTGAGTATGAACCAGATTTTATCACGCAGGCCTAAAAAGTATGTTAAGGCCTTTGGGTTTTTATTTAAGCACAGTGGGAAATAATTTAAGAGTTTTGGGCAGAGAAATGAAGTCTTCCTGAGTGCCACGTGACCCAGAAATAGCTCCAGTTCTAGGTACCAAAGCTTCTGAAATAATACAACAAGAATGTCAGCTTCAAGAAGTCAAGGGATTTTTATTTGTGTCACTCATTACTCTTTCCCTAACGTCTGAAATAGCAGGAGCTCAGTAAACAGTACATTTTCTTTACAATCATAGATTCAGGTCATACTCAGTTTAATGGCTCTGCATTTAACTATGAATTCAACACCACAGGGCACTTCTTTTGGCTCCACAGCAAAGAAAACCCTAACTCTGCCACACATAGGACAAGGGCCAATTTCATATTTTGATCACAAAACTCCTGTGGAGGGAAGGAGAACAATGGATTCATATAGATTTACATAGTAAGTATTGGGAAAAAAGTGAGAGAAAAACACAATCTGCGAAAGGATGGTGGGAGAGCGTTGGTGGAGCAGTTGGAAATTAATGGTTCAAGTAAGAGTGGAGAGGTGGATCTCCAGGCACTACTGGATCCAGATGCTCAGACTTTGTCAGTAGGTTTCCATTTCTCTCCATATATCCTCCAATTCCTTTTACAGGTTTTGTTTTCAAAGCAAGCTCTTCCCATATTGTCATAAGGATAGCTGCTATTAGCACCAGGCATACAGACTATCAGCCTAGGAACCCTGGAAGAAAGAGAATGCCTCTTTCCTACAGTTGTAGCCAAAGTTTACTGGTTCTGATTGGTCTGACTTGGTTTACATATCTACCCCTGAACCAATCACCAAAGACATGTTGCAAGAGAGGTACTACTCTCATCATTCACAGATGGTGTTCCCACCACTGAAGAGAGGAGCAGTCAACCTCACCTAAAACCCAAGTACTAGGAGAGGTCATTCTCCGAGGGAAAACCGAGATGTTAATGCCAAAACAAACATCAACGACAGACTTAGAAAGCACCATTTCTATGTGCAAAGAATGTTAATGGCAAAGAATGACTAATAAACCATTGTTTTCTTCAAATAAAACGCATATATTAATCCAAAGCTTTAAATAATGTACTGTATTGTACATAAGGTTTCTGCTATGTTTTCTTAAGGTCTGGCTAGTTGCAAATTTCAGGTGAACACTATAGTCAATGAATGCACAGGAATACAGTGACCATGAGAAAACCATAGTTCTTAGTTTATAAATGTTTACACTGACATATGACTATAAAAAATAACCATTTTTAAGATTTTTATGTATTTCTAAGGAAGTATTAACTTAATATTTTTAATAAGCTGAAAAAATTGCTGCAATGAATAAAGCTAAATATGGCACTTATTTCAAACTTCTGCATAGTATTAAGAATTATTTGTGCTTCAGACCACTTAATTAAAAAATGTATTCAGTTTTGAGAATTTTAATACTTAATCAAAAGCTTAAACATTTTTTAGCAAATATGCCTGAAATAAACACAAAAACTTTGAGAAATGCTAATCTCAGTGAGACATTAGTGGAGTAATAAACCCTGAAACAAATAAAATTCGACAATAATGAAAACTCATTCTCAAAAGAATGACCAATATAAAGAGCAAAAAAAAGAGAACTAGTTAGGTTGATGTACGAGATATGCAAAATCAGTATGCTGCAATCAATATAGAAGAGCACAGCAGAGAAAAATGTATTTCCACTCTGAGTATTGCAATGCAAGTACTAGGGAAAATAATCAGACACATTGAGTAAAACCAATAAACTCTTATTAACAGCCATTAAGATTTGCAAGAGCAGCATGTAAATATAGCTGTAAACAACAAAATAGCTCAACTTTAAGCTTCCATGAAAGCAGAAAGTTAAGACTAAGCAATCATTAGTCTTAGTCATTGTTATATATCTACCTAGCGTAGTACCTAGCACATAATAGATGCTCAGTGAGTTTTGTTCAATTGAAAAATTACATACATAATCACTCCACCCAGTGATTTATATTATTTAAAGCTATAATTTGGTAGGTCATTTGGTGATCTCAAAGTGAAACCAGTTAATGAAAAGTTCTTGGGTACATAAATTATGTGAATGTGAATTTATATATACCAGCATTTATGTGACTGTTAATCTGCAATCAAATATACCTAGTAAGATTCTGCCAGTCATATGTTAATGTTTTCAGGCCTGAAAAAGAAATAAAAAGTCTAACCACTATCTGTATTTAGTAGACCTGCACTGCTACAACCAAGGTTCCACCTGGATTGTTTGGACAATACCAAGTTTTTAGTTCAGTTTCCCCTAGAAGCAAAATCTGAGAAAACAATTATTGAGGGCACATGGGACAGTGTACTCAATGGACTTACAGAAAAAGTCCATGGAACAGTGATCCTTACAGAAAAAGGGGAAGATGATGGAGAAAAGGAAAAGCGGGCAGTAAAGGGTGTATTATTAAGCCAACTGCCCAAGTGACACCACAAGGAAGCTCTGGAATTAGTCCATAAAAACAGGTGAAGAGCCTGGGTATTTATACCTCTACACCACAGATCACTGGGTTAAGGGCCATCACCTGAAAGAAATTAATTTCCATCCCCTTCCAGCCGGCCCAGGTATGTGGGCAAAGTGGGTTTTGGCAACTCAAAGGTAGCCACCCAAGAAAGACGTAGTTGCTGCCCGTGGGAAGTCAAGCTCACATGTATGGAAACAGTAAAATAATTTAAGGGGATATGGGTGGGACACTCAGAATATCTGCTACACCTGGCAATTATTGGCAATTCTTACATAAGCAAAAGAGACCCTAAAGTAAAGAAGAGGGTATGAAAACAAAATATAACCGTAACTTCTTTTTAACTCCAGGCTAAACAGGCTTTACAGTATAGTGGCTACTACCGTCTACACTCAGTAAACCACTGTGCTTGATAAAGGAATCAGTGAATGATTTAGAAATGAACTATCCACATATAGATACACCACAATACAGCCATTCACACCCCACATGCACTGAGCTCTGAGTTTTAATTTACTTTTAAAACTTCACTTTTATGTAAGAAGGGACAGCTTTGATGCAGGACTTTTTCTTCCCTAAGAGATGGTCGCATACTCCATTTGTGGCCATAAAGAACCAAGAATAAAAATAATAGATTTAACTCTAACAATTTCTCCTAATATAAACATAGTTATGTAGCCAATTAAAAACCTAAAGTAAAAGAGCATCTTGAATGTAAGAAGCAAATTCATCTTACTTTTTGTTCTCTACATATTCTGAATCTCTCACATTCTTTCTCAGGATCCAATGGCAACTCAAGGCTAAATTTGTAATGCAGATTTTACATCTTATCATAGTCCTTCAGCTAATTTTGTTGCCTTCAGAAATCATTTTTATTCCAGTTCAATATGCTTCAATCATACATAAATTGTCAATTCTGATAATACCTATTTTTTTAATAAATTAAGCTAGAGACAGGGTATAATGTATTCTTTGTTTTCCAACGGAGATCCATCCCAGGCTTATTAAAATTGATAATGAGTGAGGGGCTGGAGACTGGTTAGGCTGAAGAAAAAAGTAGAAATCAATTCTGAGCAGGGGAGTTAAGGTAAGCAATACATGAAATTAAAACCAAAGATAAATCCATTTTTGTTAGTTTAATAAATACCATATGTCAATTAGAATATGCTATTGTTTTTCTTTTAATGAAGATGGCTTATATTGATTAATAACCTTTTGAATTGTCTGAATGTGTGAGGAGGTATGGAACTTACTCTCATTTAGATTGATCAAGAATTGCTTAATTTGATCTCACAATGAAATTTCCCTTTAGGCTGTGAATTTCATCAAGTTTGGATCAAGATAATGACATAGTAACCTTAAACAATTGTCATTTATCAAGGAAACCAGAAGTATTTATTAGAAAAGTTTAAGAAATGTAGAGGTTTAAAACCCAAACATAAACTGAATGATAATATTTGCTATTTTTCATCCTCTCAAAATCACCTATTTATATACTTAATATCATGCAGTATAACATTACATTTGATGCACTCATTATAGTACAGACTCCATTCCTAAACATCCCAGAGGATTCATTTCTAGGGATTAATTGACCTTGCATTCTTTAAAACGTTTTACTCTGCATAAATTTCAACTTTAATTTCTTCTTCCTAAAATCAAAGAATCTTTCTACTCTACTCAAGTTTTAAGAATAGTTGGCATCAGATAAGAAAAGAGAATACTATTAAGAAAACCATAGTGATGCAACACTAAAGTATAATTATCTCATCAAATAAGCTAACAGGAAAACCTCTTATTTTCCCAGGAAAGTCTATATTCAAAAAACATACTCTAGACAAGGAAGATTACAATTAATCATTTGTCTTAAGGAACTCTGATATGCCCCCAAAGGAATGTGATCATCTGATAGCTTCCATAGAGGCCTAGAATTGGAAATCCAGCTCTAAGCTTTCAGACAAGTAGGCTTTGGTGACTTTACATACAAGGAACCTTTAGAGATAATTAAAATGAAATGTCTTCCTGTGGTTACAAAGCTAGCTGTTTTCTTTTCAATGATAACCTGACCAAGTTGGTAACACAATTTTCTAGGACATTAAGAAGCTCACCGATAACTACGCCAATATCTTTTGTCAGTAGACTGCCCTTATCCAAGGGGAAAACGTTCCAAGACCTCTAGTGGATGCCTGAAACCATGCCTAGTACCAAACTCTATATACTGTTTTTTCAACCTGATAACCAAGATGGCTGCTAAGTGACTAATGGGTGGGTAGTTTCTACAGCATGGATACCCCGGACAAAGGGACAGGACAGAATGTGACAGCACAAGATTTCATCATGCTATTTAGAACAGTGCACAACTTTAAAT
Organism: Homo sapiens; assembly: GCF_000001405.40. Taxonomy (NCBI): domain Eukaryota; kingdom Metazoa; phylum Chordata; class Mammalia; order Primates; family Hominidae; genus Homo; species Homo sapiens. The sequence continues at coordinate 90,599,209 of NC_000006.12, read as the reverse complement.
GTATGAATTGTTTATTGCTGGCATTTTCACTGAATATTTGCAGACTGAATATGGTCACTGAAACTGCAGAAAGTGAAACCATGGATAAAGGAGAACTACTGTATATACCACTCTTTTAAAGTCTCCTTTTATTCATAAGCCTATTATCATTCTCTTCAGCTTAACCAGTCTCCAGCCCCTCACTCAGGACTAGTATACTATATTGGCTCTTTAGTTCATATGGTCACTAGTGGTTCTGGCAAGGAGGAATCAAAAGCCTAATCATCCTTTGAATTAACTGATAAAATGGAGTTATTAAGCTTACAAAACCAAAGATTACAGCCACGATCAAGGTATCCTTACCAATGTGTAACTGCCCCATGAACCCTACTGGAAATAGTCTTCAACTTCAGTGAAAAGAAATGTATTATAAATCAAAACAGCTAACACCAACTTGATTGATTGATTGAAGCAAGCTGTCACTCTGTCACACAGGCAAGAGTGCAGTGGCATGATCACATTTTACTGCAGCCTCAACCTCCTGGGTTCAAGCGATCCTCCTGCCTCAATTTTTTTACTTTTTTGTAGAGACAAGGTCTCACTGTGTTGCCCAGGCAGCGACTTTCTTCATTTAAACAATAGGAAAATGTGCTGAAGATTAAAATACAATCACTAATTTTTAGTTATTCAAAATGAATAATTCAAATTATTTATTAACATAAATGCTGCTGCCTATATGTGACCTCAAGGGCTCTCAACTCTGATTGGCCTGTGACATAGAAACTAATGCTGCCATATCAGAGACTTACTGATCAGAATCTATAGAATGGTGACTAACTATTGTTGTTGCATCATGTTGTTTATTTCTGTTCCTCTATATAGTATTTCATTCATGTTAACATTTTTGAAAACCACATATTTTCTAGGCTCTGTACTACATACTTTCACATACTGTTTCATACACACTAAAATATTTAGAAATGGATTGACATTTTAATATTTAACAAAACTGATATGATTCAAATTCCGATTAACAACTAAAACAAAATATTTTAATATTGATAGGAATATAGCATAGCTCACTTAGCTCAATACTTAGAGTTAGCATGGTTAGTCAGCCTTCAAATATTAAAAGTTTATCAGATTATTTCTTCATTTAACAATTCAAGCTAAAGCATGAGTTTAATAATCTGTGCTTAGATTGTCTTCTGCACTTCAGATAGAAAATTCCATTAAGAAATAGTTGTCATAATTCCACTTCCTGAATTTCTTCTAATACTTCTAATATTTCTTCGGATATCTAAGCACTAAATATCGATTTCCCAAACTTGTCAAGTGTAATAGAACAAGTGAATATTTTAGATTCAACTAAAACACCATTTGGGGACACTTTTCCCATTAGACAATTTCCCTTAACTTTCTGAATGCCTCTGGGCATAATTAAAAGACCCTGTTACTTTTCCTGTATCATGTGTTAAAGTTTAAGTGTGTTACATAATTGAATTGATTAACAATTTTTAGAAGATTAATTAGCATCCCAACAGAAATTTAACAGAACTTTTCATTAATACCTTAATCTTGATAGTACTGACTTCCCTCTCAGAGCACTTTGAATTCCCAGAGATGGCTTTTAAATATGGAGCCTCTATTTACTTAATAGAGCTTTGTGCCACTGAGAGTAGCTCTGTGCGGTGCTGGGGAACTCGGAGGAAGATGTGAAATGGGTTGCTAACGAACAAGAATGCAAAGTAGACCCTCTCAGCCTCACAGGTTTCAAGCACTACAATATCCCTTACCCTGATTATAGCTTCAGCAGAGTGGAGTGGTTTGTTTGTTGAAATAATGAAGAGTGGATGGCATCCATTTTAGTGGAAAGTTTTAATTTGTGATTTCCTGAGGCTGTGTGAAATGAAATACCCTTATTTATTCCCATAAATGAAACCAAATTGCTTCTGCAGTTTCTTCTGAGAAAGATCATCTAAGAACATCGATGTGACATATTAGTCTATGACATAAAACATTCAGTGAATGCACTTTTGTAGTGAAGAGCACTATTTCCATGAAGATAATTTTTTTGCTGACTCATGTTCTTATCTGATTAAGTTTCTGCCATGAAAAACCGATGCTGAAGTATATCATGATGATAAAGCTTAGCTCGGAAGCTCAGAAAATAAAACTCTGTCTATTCTCTCTATTTTTACATATTTTTTGATTAAAATATCAGTTATTTCTGAAAGTAATCATTAGTGCCATAATAACACCTTATTAACTTTCAACAAGCAAACTATTCAAATGAATTAAATAGGTATTTGGAAAGAACTAAAGTTTACCCTTGGAAAATCCAGGGGAAAAAAGTATCCTAAAACTTAGTAACATGAAGATTGGAGAGATATTTAAACTGACCAGGAGAATGAAGAATTTTCAAAACCCTCAAATACTCGAGAAATCTTCATTACAAATAGTTGGTATGCCAATTATATATCAATTTATTTATTAAATCTTCCCCCAGTTATAGAAAACATTTGGTTAACCCAATCCTTACACCTGAAATAAAGTAAACAGCATTTATTTAGAAATGTAGATACTCATTTACTTTCTAAAAAGTTATTAAGTGTCTACTAAACACTTACAATTCTCACCCCAGTTCAGCTAACATCCAATGGGCAGGGTCTGGTAAGGGGTAGGAGGACAGAAAATAAACAAGAGAGAAAATAATTAAAAAGATGATGTTGATAGGTAAAGGGCTAGAAATAAAACTTAGTAATAGATAGAAGTGAAGGGAGAGGGAGCCAAAGGGAGGACCATATCACTATCTCTGAGGTGCTGTTTGAGCTGAGACCTACCTGATAAGGTACAGACATCTGTGGAAAATTTAGGAAATAGCAAATCCAAGCTGGGAACATCTTACCTATAAATCACGAGTAGTACACAGGAACAGAAATCTAGCACTTACAAAAGCAGACATTCTCCTAACATCTGTGGGGCTCAGGGTAAGAGTACAAATGGAGGCTCACATATTATATGCCTAAATATTTATAAGCAGTAAATCAAGGTAAACTGGTAAATAAAATATATTCCATCCTCCTACCTTGACAATATTCCCTTTCACTAGAATGTAGTGGTATAAGCAAAGCTAGCCTCCAACTCCTGATTTATACCCCTGTCCTCCTACTCTGGGCTCAATCTACACTGCAAGGGGCCTTTACACACCCACATGTGGGCTCCCAAGCCTGCCCATCTGAGCCCATTCACACACACATACGCATACACAGATACACTTTGGCTAGCCCTCCGGAGGACAGACCCAGAGGAGAAACTTGTACACGTAGCTTTGGGGCTGTCTGGGGGCTATTTCAGGGGCTTGAGTACCTAGAGCTCTCATCCCATGACAAACATGGTATAAAAGGAGATTTTAAAGTGTGTGGCTCAGAGCAGAGACCCCTCTTACTGGGGCTAGTGGAAAGAGTATACATAAAAAAATCACCAGCACACTTTTTTCCCCTCAACAAATCTCCCCAATCCAGCCTCTCTTTTCTTTCCAATTTTGTACCAGTTAGCAACTAAGCTATGATGGGACAATAGTCTCCTATTATCTGTGATGGAGAACTGTTTTGCCCATTATCACCACACCAAGAAGGAAAAAAGGAAAACTAACAATTACTTCATATTTAATTTCTATGAACCAGTCACTTTTAATCTGCACCAAAACCTTTGATGTAGGTATTAGATAAACTAAAGTTGAAATTTTAAGTAATTTATTCAAGATATGTGGCAGAATCAAGATAAGAACTCTATCAGAATTCTAAAACCTGTGCTTTGAAGATAAAGCACAGAAATCCTAACTACAATTAGTTTACCACCCCTCTCTAAAGCATAAGCAAACTTGAAGCATTTTAAGATTACCAAAGAAATAGAATAGCTTTTGCATGAAGATACCCTAAAAACACTAAATTTAAATAATGTTCACGGATGTTCATCTCAGTGATATTTAAAGGGGGGAGGGGGGAGTGTTAAAAACAACCTCAATGTCCAACAGCAGACAGTTAGATGAATGACTCACAGACATCCTGACGTCTCAGTTCCTGCCCTTCTCAGTTCCCTCCTTTTCTCCCAATCGTATCTCAGATTGAATGTTGCCCTTACCTGAAACTGCACCACCTTTGAAATCACAAATTCAAAAGTCTCACTCTCTAAACACAACCCCAGATCCACCCAGTTTGCCCAGGAAACGTTCACCACACCTGTTCTTCAATCACATGGCAAACCTCCACCCTAGTGACCCTTCTACCTTCTCCCAAACTATCATACCCTCCCATCATCTCTTTATCCTCTCTTCAGGTTAGCTCCCATGGCCCATCATTCAGCTATACTCTTGCCAAAGCCCTAAACTCCCTCGCCGCAATGTGGGTTTAATTTATACTGTTCTGTATTTTGCCTTCCCTTAACAATCAAATTTCTCAAAAAGTTGTCCACATTACTGTCCTCATTTCTCTCACCTCTCACTCAGTCCAACTCATCTAGTTTCTGTTCCCACCTTGGAAACTGCCCTAGTCAAGGTTATGGGTGACCTCTGAGTTCCTAGACCCAACAGACCCTTTTCAAGATTTTCTCATGTTTAACTTCTTTTTTTTTTTTTTTTTTTGTGGAGATGGAGTCTCACTCTGTTGCCCAGGCTGGAGTGCAGTGACGCGATCTCGGCTCACTGCAAGCTCCGCCTCCTGGGTTCCCGCCATTCTCCTGCCTCAGCCTCCCAAGTAGCTGGGACTACAGACGCCCGCCACCACGCCCAGCTAATTTTTTGTGTTTTTAGTAGAGACGGCGTTTCACCGTGTTAGCCAGGATGGTCTCGCTCTCCTGACCTCGTGATCTGCCCGTCTCGGCCTCCCAAAGTGCTGGGATTACAGGCGTGAGCCACCGCGCCCGGCCATGTTTAACTTCTTGTAAGTATTCAACACAAACATCCTTTTCATGTTGGTTTCTACAATATCATAGTTTTTTTAAATTATTTTCCACAACTTTCTTTGGTAGTTACTCCAGCTCTACCCACTCCTTAACCATTTTATTCCTTACAGCTCTTTCTTAAGTCCTAGTCTCACTTTACATATCTTTCAATTTCCATGAATTTAATTATTAATATCATCAGTAGATCAGCATCTGTTTCTCTAGCTTTGTCTTTTCCCGGAAGATCAGCTGCCTACTTGATCATAATACTCTCTGGAACCTCTAGCTCAACATGTTTAAAACTTATTTCTTCATTCTCCTCTTCCCTAACCTTGTTCCCGCTCTTCTTCTTGCCTCTTGCAAAAGGCACCCTTTCTACAATGAATTGCACAAATGAAAAATCTGGAAATCCTCCTCTATATTGCCCTTTCCTTTACCTCCTTCCCCACTTCCAGTGTCAGTCAATAACTCCCACCAATCACTAACTCTACCAATTCTATTTCCTCAATGCCTCCCATTTATCCGTTTATCTATAACCCCTATGGCCACTATCCATGTTGTTTAAACCACTATTATGTCTTGCCTTGAATACTGCAACAGCCTCCTAACTCGGTGCTTCCCAAACTTTTTCATGTCATGGCACACATAGAAAATGATATATTGGCCAGGCGTGGTGGGTCACGCTTCTAATCCCAGCACTCTGGGAGGCTGAGGGGGGCAGATGACCTGAGGTCAGGAGTTCGAGACCAGCCTGGCCAACATGGTGAAACCCTGTCTCTACTAAAAATACAAAAATTAGCCGGGTGTGGTGGCAGACACCTGTAATCCCAGCTAATCAGGAGGCTGAAGCAGGAGAATCGCTTAAACCCAGGAGGCAGAGGTGGCAGTGAGCCGAGATCATGCCACTGCACTCCAGCCTGGGTGACAGAACAAGACTCCGTCTCAAAAAAAAAAAAAAAAGAAAAAGAAAGAAAGAAAGAAAAAAAGATAATATTGTAAGATACTCTGGGATAAACTAGAAGGGATTGAAGTCATCTATTCAGGGCTTAATTTTAAAAACCATCTTTTTTTTTACATTATATAATTTTGAAAAATGAAATACAATGTATTAGAGACAATGTTAAACACTAAATTTGTATAAAACACCAAATAGACTCTTTGAAATTTTAGTAAGAATTTTTAATAAGCTTTCCTTCATGAATATAATTTTTAACATAAATTATTATATTTGAAATGACTACCATCAATTCCTGATCCAGACTTTTTAAGGATGATCTCTTCAAATTCTTGATAGTCATCATCAAAGAAAAACTTTCTTCATAAAAGTAAATGAAAAAAGCATTTTTATAACCATTCTAAAATTTACAACAGTTCAAATTAAACAGCTCTCCTTTAGTTGTCAAATATAATGTTCAAATGTCTTGTGGTAATATAAGCAAATTTTGAGATAAGTTGTACTTTCTTATATCAAGTGTTTAGAAAATAATGGACATTTTTATTGGCAGAACACACAGACATCATCAAAACAGTCACCTATAACTAGCTTGGATGGGGATGGGGTTAAAGGAGAGAATGTTACCTGCAAACAGAAATGTCAGCTAACTGTGATGTCAGAGAATGTCTTGGAGCTGCACCTGCCAGAAGCCTCTACTCCACCTTTGCAATGCTCACCCTTAAAAGCTACATTGTGGGTAACTGGAACACCAACGCTTCCTGCAGCTCCATGAGTTGGCTAAGTTCCAGCTTAGTTTCTCCTGGGATGCCAGAGACCTAGGATGAAGATATGGAGGGTAGAAAATATAGAACAAATGCATATATTAAAGAAATGCTGCTCTCTAGCCGTGTCACTAAAATGCTGAGGGACTGGCTATCCTCTGCATACTCCAGTTCTGAATACAGTGCAGCAGAATACTATTTCTGAACTTCCTGGAAAGAATAATATTTAATTGGGTTGGGTGGGTTTGGGTCTCAGGCAGTAAAAATAGCACTTTCTAGGTGTGGAGCTTGTGTTAGGGCTTTCCGGAGAATCAAAACCAGTAAGATATATATAAGGAGATCTATTATGAAAATTGGCTCATGTAATTACGGAGGCCATGAAGTTACCCCATCTGCTTTCTGCAAGCTAGAGAACCAGGAAAGCCAGTGGTGTAATCCAGTCCAAGACCTGAGAACCAGGGGAGCCAAGAGTGTAACTCTCAGACCGGCTCTAAAGGCCTAAGGGGAGGACTGGTGTAAGTCCTGAAGTCCAAAGGCCAAGACCCAGGATCTCTGATGTCTGAGTACAGAGGAAATAGATGTCCCAGCTCAAGAAGAGAGAGTGAATCATCCTTCCTTTACCTTTTTGTCCTGTTGGGCTCTCAACAATGGGATGATGACTCCCTACATTGGTGAGGTCAGATCTTCTTTACTCAGCCTACTTAATCAAATGCTAATCTCTTCCAAGTACACCCTCGCCGACACACCCAGATATAATGTTTTGCCAGCTAGCTGGGTATACCTTAGCCAAATCAAGTTGACACAAAATTAACCATCACAGAGCTCAATCTGAATAAACATATGAATAATGAGCATTTGCTGGTTGCATACCCACCACCCATCAACCATTGCCTGCTTTGCTGTTCCTAAGAGTATTAAGATTTTCCTTCGGGTTAGCATCTCCTCCTCCTCCTTAGAGCCCATGTTTCCAGGAGCCCTCAATCTAAGTTAAACAACGTACAGTCATGCATTGCTTAACTACAGGGATAAGTTTTGAGAAGTGTGTTGATCGGCAATTCCACCATTATGTGAACATCATAGAGTGTACTTATACAAACATTATATACTTATATCATTACAAGATGACATAGCCTACTATACACCTAGGCTATATGGTATACCTAGGTATATAACAGCTATACCTGTTCCTAGGCTACAAGCTGTATAAACCATGTTACTATACTGAATACTGCAGGCAAATGTAACACAATGGTATTTGTGTATCTAAACATAGAAAAGGTACAGTAACGAAACAATATAAAAGATTTAAAAAAATGGTACACCTATATAGGGCACTCACCATAAATGGAGTTTGCAAGACTGGAAGTTACTCTGGGTGAGCCAGTGAGTGACTGGTGAGTGAATGCGAAGGCCTAGAACATTACTGTACACTACTGTAGACTTTATAAACACTGTACTCTTGGGTTACACTAAATTTATTTTTTAAAAGTTTTCTTCAACAATAAATTAACCTTAGCTTATTATAACTCTTTTACTTCATAAACTTTTAAATTTTTTAAAACTTTTTGACTCTTTTGTAATAACACTTAGCTTTAAAACACAAACACACTGAACAGCTGTACAAAAGTATTTTATTTGGATCCTTATTCTATACACTTTTTTCTGTTTATTTATTTTTTTATAGTTTTTAAACGTTTTGGCTAAAAAGTAAGACAAACATATGTTGGCCTAGGTCTACCTACACAGGGTCAGGATCATCAACATCACTATCTTCCACCTCCACATCTTGTCCCACCAGAAAGTCTTCAGGGGCAATAACACGCACGGAGCAGTCATCTCTTATGATAACAATGCCTTCTTCTGGAATACCTCCTGAAGGACCTGCCTGAGGCTGTTTTATAGTTTTTTTATGGAAGTAGGAGTACACTGTAAAATAACAATTAAAAAGTATAGTATAGTAATTATATAAACCAGTAACATAGTTGTTTATCATTATCAATATTATGCACTGCACATAATTGTATTATACTTTTGTATGACTAGCAGCATAAGTTTGTTTACACCAGTATCACCACAAACACGAGTAATGCACTATAAGTAATGTGTCATGCTATGACATTACTATGGCTACAATGTCACTAGCCAATAGGATTTTTTCAGCTTCATTATAATCATATAGGACCACTGTCACATATGAGGTCCATTGACCAAAAAATCGTTATGCAGCGCATGACTGTGTGTATCCTCAAGCATCCTGTTCCCCATCCCTCAAGGGTAAACTTACCAAGGGCTTTTGAAAAAGAATGTTTAACTGCTCTTCTGAGATGGCTACCAAGAGATGCTCTCGGTTGTACTTTGTGATGTGTCATGTGAAAAATGAAACTGCTAGTACATGCATTCTCAATGGAGGCAATAACACCTCCACAGGGGGCAAAAACTGGAGAGAGAAAAAATCTTACTCTTTTTACATAGAAAGCACAAATATACATACAATACATAAATAGATATACAGTGTATCTGAGGTATTAAAACTTTGAGGAGGGGCATTAAGATGTCTAAAAAGGCTCCTTAAAAGAACAATAATGAAAAAAAAGATTGAAAAACACTATTGTAGAATATAGCAAATACCACAAAAGGCAGAAGAGAATAATGGAAACTCAATTATTGATGTTATCATCAAGCCTATGATGGAAATATGGAACACTTGTCTGACATATATATGACCCAGAACATTAAAGTGGTGTTACTTTAGTCCCAGTTTCTGCTAAGCCTCCATTAAAATAGGTCCCAGATATCCCTACACCCAAAATGAGCCAAATAAGATCAGAATCTCATTTAGAACAAGCAAAGAGGTGGTGGGAAATGGATTTTGAAACCCTTGTCCTCTCAACCCCTGGAGAGTATAAAAGGGCCAAAATTGAAGACAGAGTTGGAAGTTAGAGAGTAGTTATTAGGGTGCTGACATGAGGGAGAATGGTGGAGGGTGCTCAAACTCGGAGGGACTTCAAGGAATTTACTTAAATAGTTTTGATATGTATCCGGAAACGTGTGGAGACACACAGACTGGTGACTGAAGTTGACATGAAATTCTGAGGTCAAGTTTCTATCCTTAATTCATGAAAGTTAAAGGAAATGCAAAGTCAAAATTGAAGTGAACTGAGAGAGGTTCAGCTCCCCTCCATCATTCCTCTGCATTTAAACTTTATTACTTAGGATTATTTGGTTACAAGTGACAAAAATACAACTTGGACCAGCTTAAATGAAATGGTAATTTACTAGCTCACATAACCAAATCACAGAATGTAAGAGATGGATTGGACCTTGGGAATGACTGAACCCAGAGACATAAACACTGATGAAACTTTCCATCTATTACTAGAAGCTAGGGAAAAGGCGCAGGCAGACAAAAAAGAAAAAAGTAATCTGCAAGCAAGTTGGACAAAAATTGATTTTAGACTGGCATCAATATTAGAAGTCCAAATCAGTGGATAAAACATAGAAGTGTTGGGGTAGAAGATATTCAAAATCATGTAATCAATTCACTTTGAAATGCATCTAGCAAAATGGTAGATGGATGTAAATATGGATGGAGAGATGAGATGCACATATGTATATTATGATAAAGCAAGTATAGTAAAATGTTAAAGGTAGAATCCTGGTGGTGGGCATATAGGTGTTCACCATAAATTCTTTCAACTTTTCTCTATATTTGACATTTTTGTAACAAAATTTTGGGGGGAAAAATCAAGCAGGAGAACTGCATCATGGCTGTGGTAATTAATTAGTCCTTTGTCAAGATTCCAGTCCTAAACTGAAGGTACAGGAAACATATCTTACACTCCAGGGAAAGGGAGGACTGACAAAAGCTATTCATTTGTACAGAATATCTAAGTATTTATTGAGTTCCCACCTGGCAGCAAGATCAAGGTGTTAAAAGGAAATCGGATATAGACCTGCAGAGTTATAGCACAAGGTAAGAAGTGACCATCCTTGTTTGGAAATGCAAGGGGAATGACAGGTGAAAATGACTGTCCCACTGATTATATCAGCTTCTACTGGGTATCAGTGCACCACGCATCATTTCACATGCCCTGATTTCTCACTTGGACAACCAACTGGGTGATGGCATCCTTAAGTGACATAGGAAAATAACATAGGAATATATTTGTGGTGGGTGACAACTTTTGAATTTGCTGTGGTATCTTGAAGTTTAGGTGTTTGTCTAAGTAGAGATGACCAATAGGTCCAGAATTCAGGAAAAATCTTGAGTATTTGGAGATTAGGAGTCATCATTATAAAAATAGTATGAGAAACAGAGACCTTGGGTAAGAGCATGCAAAGAGAGAGTGTACAGTGAAAAGAAATTATCGTTTCTTTCATTTTTTTATCCACTCATCAAACTGTCACTGCGTGTCACTAGAACTACGAATAAAAAGTGACAGAATGTTTCCCAGGAGTTTGTAACTTCTTGATGGTCAAATCCAATGATCTATTTGCAATCCCAAATGTGTTTAACATAATTCCACAGTTAGGCTTTATGTCAAACGGACTATATAAAATTCAACAGTTAGTTTAAAACTAAAACTTGTGCTGGTAGTACAACATGAGCAATACTGACCATCTTGGGGACAGAATGATCTAGTTTGTGAGGACCATAATTGCTTTAAACTCTCAGCGTGTTTTCTCATGTCCTGAAAATGGTGACAAAAATATTCGATTTTCAAGGCGACTGTTGATGATTCATTTACCAATCTAAAGCACTAGTGCCCCGCACTCGTAATCCATAACTTGAGATGAACACACCAAATTATAAATATCTTATTCACCTAATCCGTGGAAAGTTTGTAACACCAAAATATTAACTTCTGTTCTTGATCACTCAGCCTCCATAGTTATTCATGTTGCATGATCTGATTCGCTCTTTTAGAATTTCTCATAGCGTCAGGTACTAGCTCAAAATAACAGGAGCAACTGCTTCTTTCCATATCCCACATTGAGGAAAACACATTTTGCAAGCCGTCTTAAAGAAACAGGTCAACTTAGTTTAGGGATGAAACTTAAAAGTAAGCTTCGTCACAAAAAACACAGTTCAACACCACCTCGCCCGGCTGCAGGCAGCTCAGAGGACAGGAAGTGAGGCCAAGACATATTTCACGCAGCACAGACTAAACCCCAGCTTTTATCTTTCCCGCTGGTCCTTAAGGGACCAACCGTACTGATTTTCCGTCATGTTCCGCGCCACTTCCGTTCGCGCACTTTAATTACGTCAGGCGTCCTCTCTCGCGGTATCATCCGGTTGCTGAGGCCCTGTAATAAAGGTCTCGCGAAATTTGTTCTAGAGGTCCAAGTTTGCTTCTTAGCTTACTCCACCCCACCCCCAACCTGTCCCTCCTTTTCTTTCCAAGTCACAAAATTCTCCCCTCCCCTACCCCGGAGTTTACGGCCCTCCTCCTGTTTCCGATTTCAGCCCGGAACCGGAAGTGTAGTGGGCGGGGCCCGTCGGCGGAAAACGCAGCGGAGCCAGAGCCGGACACGGCTGTGGCCGCTGCCTCTACCCCCGCCACGGATCGCCGGGTAGTAGGACTGCGCGGCTCCAGGCTGAGGGTCGGTCCGGAGGCGGGTGGGCGCGGGTCTCACCCGGATTGTCCGGGTGGCACCGTTCCCGGCCCCACCGGGCGCCGCGAGGGATCATGTCTACAGCCTCTGCCGCCTCCTCCTCCTCCTCGTCTTCGGCCGGTGAGATGATCGAAGCCCCTTCCCAGGTCCTCAACTTTGAAGAGATCGACTACAAGGAGATCGAGGTGGAAGAGGTGAGCGAGGCCCGGCATGGAGACGCCGGTCCCGGCCTGCCCCGCCCCCGCCTCTGCCTGGTGCCGGCTCTGAAGGTGCCTCCCGGGGCCCCTCTAATTCGCGGGACCCTGCGGGGTCCACCCGGGAGACCCCACAGCCCTCAGTAACGTGGGAGTGGGGGTTACTCTCTGAGCTCAACTGCTCGGGAGTAGCTGCCTTTTTTCCTCTCTTGGGTACTCTTGATTTTGGATTTGATATTCCGGTGATAAACAGGAGAATGAACTGGTGAGATAGTGTGGTCCACCAGTTCTCGTATCTGTAAGTAGTAGTTTCAGCGAAGATCGTAGCCGTTCTGGAGTTTCAGTCCGCTGGACGTAATGTTCTTTTTTTTTTTTTTTTTTTTTTGAGACGGAGTCTCGCTCTGTCGCCCAGGCCGGACTGCGGACTGCAGTGGCGCAATCTCGGCTCACTGCAAGCTCCGCTTCCCGGGTTCACGCCATTCTCCTGCCTCAGCCTCCCGAGTAGCTGGGACTACAGGCGCCCGCCACCGCGCCTGGCTAATTTTTTGTATTTTTAGTAGAGACGGGGTTTCACCTTGTTAGCCAGGATGGTCTCGATCTCCTGACCTCATGATCCACCCGCCTCGGCCTCCCAAAGTGCTGGGATTACAGGCGTGAGCCACCGGGCCCGGCCGGACGTAATGTTCTTAATGGCCAAAGATTGTATTATATTCGACTTCTACTTCAGTACCTGGCATGTAGGGGATGCTCAATAAATGCTTGTTAAATTAGTAGATCATCAAGTCTAATAAAGTGTTTCCCTTAGCACCGAATGGTTCTCAATTTCTCCGATACCGCACAGCAATACTCGTAATGTTTAAATGCTCGGCTTTCAGTTGGGCTAATGTAGGTGAATTTCACCATAAGTAACATAGACTGGTCTACGATCAAAAGATGTTTCAAGTAGCATATTCTGAAGAGATAACGAATGATTTCGGTGACAATCAGAATATAATATTAGACTAGAAATCGCTATCAGAAAACCCATATCCTTTCTTTATTCTGCAGTAATTTATTTTAGAACAAGATATTTCAAAGTGACTTTAAAGCGTCGTTTTTCAAATTAACAGGTAAATTGGGTTCTAATGACTATAAAATTTAGAAAAGTAAAAACTGCATATATATTTTTTAAAGACACTTTAGAACTTGTTAAAAACTTTGGTTGAAAATACTATCTCTTACCATTTATTTGCCATTTTTTAAATTTATTAAGCACTTTGCGTTATATAGTCCATGAAAAACCTAGTGAAATATTATAGATTGTCAACGAGTTATGTCTACTTTAAAATTCTAAAATTATTTTTAAGTGTCAGCAAGTTCAAAGTAGTGAGATAACGTTCAACAAATAAATTTTTTTTCCTGTGCATGTTTTGGAAGAGTAATGGATTACTGAATTATATATGTTTTATCACATAAAGTAACTTTAGAGATTATTGAGAATATCCTCATTTTACAAGATAATATGGTGGAAAGAGCAAGGTCTTTGGAGTTAGAGGAAAGTTCAGTGTATCAGATATGCCATTTATTAGCTGTGTGATTTGGGGCAAGTTTCCTAACCCCTTTGAATTTTAGTTTACTCTAAGAAAGGGCTAATAAATTCTGTTTCATTTTATCTGCATAACAGATCTTAGTAGACATTATATGCAAAACACCTACCACAGGGCCTGACACATATTAGGAAACCTAGTTCCAGAGAGGAAATGTGACCTGCTTTAAGGTCATATGGCTAAAAGAAGACCTGTATTTTGAAAAGAGGGGGAAATGTTTTTAGTTTCTTTTTTTTTACATTGAGGCTATGATAAATTCCTTTTCCAGAAGTGGATAGTTGATGCAGCTTTCATGGCTAATATTCTTTTTTAAGAATAAAAATTCAGTGAGTCAGTATACAAGAATTGCAGTTTTTAAATAAGCGTTTACGTCTGCTCTGTGGTGAATTGCTATGCTTGTAGACTACAAATTGTTATATAATAATAACTTGTGCTTTATGGTCTACTAAATGCTTTCACAAACTTACTTCATTTGGTTCTTACAACCTTAGTTTTTGAATGCTACTTTCTAAAGCTTTTTACATTCTTGATTCAGGGAAAAACAAATTACTAAGGAGGTAGTTATCATTTTGATGTTCTTCCCCTAAAGCTATTTCGCTTCTGGTTAGGTTTCTGTGTTTCCAAGACCCTTCTCTCAGTTTAGATAATGTTTCAATCTTTGTGTGTATGTGGGTGTGTGTGTGTTTAGGAAATTTCTGGGAGTAGGTTTTTGTTTTTAGATGAAAATTTGTTTCTAATATCAGGCAGTCATTTGGGTTTTTTGTTTGTTTTATTCCCTTTCATGTTTAATACTTAGTTCATTTTTGCATTAAAGATTGAATTTGGACCTTTCTGATATTGAAAGCATTACATAATTTCCATCATCTTCTTCATTTGCATACATTAAACCAGTGTTACACAATCCAGGGTGAACCATGAACACTTATTAGCTATTTGTCAACTTAGATTACACTTCCAGTTCAATTGTAAGATAAACAGAGGAAGATGACCAGAAACAAAAACTATTTTATGTTGCTTCCAATATTTTATATTGTATGAGAATATTACCTTCTAAATTAAGAAAATCATGTATTTCTCAATGTAATTGAATTGTATTATATCAATATAATTAGAAACTGTAAAAAAAATAATAATTCAACTACAGGCCAAATATGCAGCCATTTAGTAGATACATATTTCTAAGACATTAGCTGATCTTGCATTTCTAATATTGTAACTCAGTAGTATTAGTTTGGCACATCTTAGATTCAATTCAATTCAGTCAAATTAGGTAAGGTCTCAGCCTCAGAAATCTGCCTAGGTACTTTTTAAACATCATTTAGTGTTTACCATCTAGAACTGGCTGTAGAGAATGTTGGAATAAAAGAGGGGATGGGTTGCAAGAAGTGTTACACAGGGTAGTATAGTGGAAAGTGTTCTGGACTGAAAAAGAAAATTTAGATGCTGTACTGATTCTGCCATAATATATTTTTGTAACTTTGAGGAAGTCACCACATTTTTCTGGGCCTGTGGTTACTCATGTAAACTGACTGAACAAGATCATTTAAGGTCTTTTCCAGTTCTAAAATGAAAACACATTCATGTTTTCCAGTATTTAACTGTTTTCTATAGTAAGCTTAGCAGTTCTTTAAAGACTGATCATGGTCTCCTATAGAATTCAGTTGGTGACCAACTAATCCTGGGTTGACAGGGCAAATGATATCCCATTGTACAGATATTGACAAGCAGTCATAGAGTTTGACTTGCCAGAAGCCGCATGCCTAAGTAAATGGTAAAGCTGGGAATTGAATATGAGACTTCTCACTTGTGAGTCAGTTGCCCTTTCCACTGGATTTACAGTGTCACTCAGTACTTTCTGAAGTACTCTATAACCAAACCTAATATGGGAAAGGGGAAACAAAATACTGATTTCCTTTTTAGTGTAGTTGGTCCTGAGCATTTAATGAACATTCTCATCTGTGCGTAATACTCTGAGGTACTATAAAAGATAAATAGGGCTTGGTGCGGTGGCTCACACCTGTAATCCGAGCACTTTGGAGGGCCAGTGCGGGCAGATCACTTGAAGCCAGGAGTTCAAGACCACCCTGGCCAACACGGAGAAACCCCGTCACTACTGAAAGTACAAAAATTAGCTGGGTGTGGTGGCACAGGCCTGTAATCCCAGCTACTTGAGTGGCTGAGGCATGAGAATCGTTTGAACCCAGGAGGCAGAGGTTGCAGTGAGCTGAGATCATGCCACCGCACCCTAGCCTGGACAACAGAGGGAGACTCTGTCTCAAAAAAAAAAAAAAAAAAAAGATGATAGAAGAATCCTAGGATTACCTCCTTAAAATGTCTGACTTAGTATGATATCAGACTGGAGTAAACACAGAACAGTTAACTATAGACCACAAATTTAAAACTGAATATAGTGTAAATTAAACACTTAAGCCATAATTTGAAAATAGAGTTAATCACAGAAGGTTCCATTGAGTAGGGACAAGTTTAAAACTAGGTTTTGAATAAAGTGACCATCGTGGGTTGGGAAAGTCACTAAGATGAATTTTCTTTGTAGTTGTTCCTCTGCCTAAAGCGCTGTTCCCCCATAACTTAAGATGACTGACTCCTCACCAGTCAAGTCCCACCTCAAATGTTATTAACACTTCCTTAGAGAAGCATTCCCTGAACAACCTAGATCTTTTGTCATTTCTATTATCTTTCATGGTACTTACCAGTAACTGAAATTGTGTCTCTCCTTCAGCAAAATGTAAGGCGCTTTATTCACTTTTGTAACCCCAATGCCTAGAACCTAGAAGGTTCTCTATACATATTTGTTCAATGAGTACATGAAAGTATCACAGCATAATCATAAGAATTAAATGCCCATCTTGTTCTCTTATATTACATGTGATAAAATAGGAGCTGAGTTATGCGATTTGGCTAAGGCAACACGTTAGAAATGAGATCCGAGTCTTGTTTTAATGTCGACTCTATTATAGTTAGCAGATACTTTTGTTTAGCAGGGATAAAAAATGCTGTAAAGGGCCAGATGCTATGAGTAAGCCACGTATGGTAGGTCTTTACTACAGAGTGCTAAAAAGACACTATTTACAATGGTTGCTTTTGAAAAGGGAGACCCATAATGCTGACCTCAACTATAGTGTAGGAACAAAGCTATAGTATTGGACACATAAAATTACTGCAGCATTTGTATATATTCTTCAGCTTTGTTAAGGAGACACACAAAAGTTTTGTTTTAAAAGCTAAAATATGCTACAAAGAGGAGATATAGATAGAACTTAAACAGTTATATGTACTTTGTAGGTTTAAGTTATAAATATATGGGGAATTGGTATTAGAGAAAAACCTAATTTATAGTGGTCTAAACAAACTGAGTACATAGATTTGTTAGTCACTATTTAATTATGGATACCTAAAATAATCAATACATTCTTTCATGTGAAAGTGACCACTGATTTCAGTAGAAATCTGGAATTACTATAGTTAAGAGGTAGCTACAGAGATAATTTTTGCATTGTACACGTGTAGCTTAAAAGATAGCATGAGCATATTATTTGAAATAAAAGCCTAGAAAATGGGTGAGATGTACTGTGGCAGGTATTAAAAGACTGCATGAAACATTCAGAAGAAAGTTTGAATAATCAAAGCTTTACTTTTATGTTATCAAATCCATCTTGTCAGCAGATGGCAGTTCCACTCTGCCACAGTTTATTAATAGATATTGAAGTTCTAACATAGTTGGAGGCTCCAAGTCCTAACTAATAAATGTATGATCTATGCTTGTTCTGTCTTGTTCCGCATTTCCAGCCAGAACAATGCCAGCATCACCAGGGGTCCATTCAGATAGTTCATAGAACAGGGCCAAATGAAACTGACAGCTGTAGTCACTGAACTAAAAATAACATGAATTCAGAACAATTAAAAGAATTATTTAATAATAAATTAAGAGCACAAAGGCATACATCCTTTTCCATTTAGGTTAGGTGTGTGTTTGGTTGTTTTCTTTAACATGACTTGTCTGAAGGAATGGAGTCATCTTACATCATAAAGAAATTAATTTTTAAAGGAATTTCTTTAAAAATAACACACAAACACACAAAACCTGATTTTTGTTTTTGTGCCTTTCAATAGTAGTTGCATGGAAATGTTCTATATACCATCTCATATTCTTCTGTATTTTTTATTAAGAAATTAAATTTAAATCTACTTAATTGTATGAGACTAAAGTTGTAGACCCAAAACAAAGAGGTTTCAACCATAGGGGGAGAAATGCTTATCATAAAGTAATTAATCAAAAACATTTTGATTTAGAAAACATTCATAAATTTAGAAGGAAATATTTCCAAATTGACCTCCCTTTTAAAACCAAAGTCCTTTTTGCATTCCTCTGTTTTTTACAAATGAAGGATTATGAAGAATATCTGAAATATTTATTTGTATGTCACCATTTTAGTTGGATGTGTGTGATGGGGAAATACTTGTAACTTGATATGTTCTCTTTTTTACTCTTGATGAAAATTCATCTTTGGGGAAAAAACAGTCATTTAAAATAATGTTGGGCTAGGTACGGTGGCTCACACCTGTAATCCCAACACTTTGGGAGGCCAAGGTGGGAGATTGTATGAGGCCAGGAGTTTGAGACGAGTCTGGGCAACATAGTGAGACCCTGTCTCTATAAAAAATTTTAAAAAACAAAAAACCTAATTGTTAATTACAGTGTGTCAAATAAACTGTATTATTCAGAAAAGAATACGGTTCAGAAAGCACGTTTGATTTGTGAACTTGGACTAGAAATTTGGTAGTAAATAAAAAGTGGCCTTCTTTCAGTGGTTTACAACTTGAATATTAAGTTTTTTCATTGTTTACCTCAGTTGCCAGTATGTCTCAAGAGTGGCCATCTATGCCACTTTTTTTCTGTTGATCTACCATATGTCAAGAAAAATATCAAATTTGCTTTCTGTAGTTTGTAACATTGGCTCATTCCTTATCTAATAATGTACATAATCTCCTTATGTGTTTTTAGGCTTGGCCTTTGCAGTCCAGACATACTATTATTCTACATCTGATCTTCTCCACGATTTTATGTTCTTGATTAATACAATAAGGAAATTTGTTACCAAGATATTTGCATTTGAAACATTTTCTTAGAAATATGTGATATATTTTTTAAAAATCTATACACATGTAAGATTTTCCCCAGTCAGTGGAGTGCTGTTTTACATAGCCTGAGAGGTGGAGTGCAGACAGTAATGAACTTTCTTAACCAGCGTTTCCTGTTGGAGCGGTGGTGTCCACAATTTTTTGTTTGTCTGTCTCCCACTGGTAAAACAAAACACTTTCTATTTTGTATACTCAGTTTTCAGTGTGTATGTATGAAGTCGGTATTTTTAAACAATGGGAGATGAAAGGTTTCATACTATCATTTGATCATGGCTCAAGTTGCAATAAGTACTTTCTAAATAAAACCTTTCTAAAATGTGAGAATTGACTTAATTAAAATGAGATAATATCTGTAAATCTACTTAACTAAGGTCAAGTAAACTACAATATACACAAGTGAGGGACTGATAATGGAGTCAGTATTTGACATATTGAACTTAATAAGCCTGTAGGACCCCTTAGTCTCAAAGGCAGTTTTAAATATATCTTGAGCTTGGGCAAAAAACCTGGATGGGAGAGATTTGAGAGTATGAATCCATGAGATTAGAGAACAGATTCAGAAACAAAAGGGCCAAGGACAGAACCCTGGAAAGTAGCAACATCTAAGGTTTGGACAGAGGAAGGAAGAATCAGTGAAGGAGGCTAAAATAGAACTCTTAAGCAGAGACAGGCAGAGAAGGGATTGTTGACAGCCATCTTTGGAGACTGCCATAAGCCCTTTATACACAAGCCTTCTATTAACCCAACTTCACTCTTTTCTTAAAGGAGATTAGGGCTTTTTAAAACCCCCTTCTAAACAGCTAAAATCTGATTCGAATATAATCTTTTGAAAAGTTAATTGTTGTTAGTTATCATACTTGCTGCCTTTGAGTAGCATTTTTCTCTGTACCAGGCACTGGACCAAATCCTGGCAGGCCTCTGTTTTGTTGGCACCATGAAACATACCTGAAAGCTGACTCTGATTTACTAATTACATGATCCTTGAATAGGTAACTTCAGTTCTTGGAGCCTTGGTTTTCTTCTCTCTAAGGTAGGAATAAAAAATCCTATATATTCATGGGTTTATGGTGACACTCAAACTCCATCATATTTGTAAGAAAGAGCTTTACAAGTTGTAATATATTGTTAAATATAAGGTTGCATTATCGTTATACAGATAATAAAATTGCATTTCTTTAAAATGTTATTTCTTGAAGAAAGGAATGAGAAGTATATTGGAATGCCCTGGGAAGCTTTTTTTATGCTACGTAGCACCTTCTGCCACCTCTAATTCCCATTCAGACTTCTCCCTTAGAGAGCTAATATCAGAATGGGGGGAAGGAGAGCAAAATATACCAGGAAACAACTTTATCCATTGTATATATCATCTGATTATTCTATCTTCTACTCTTATGGATATATGCTTATACTCTTTTTTGTTTAAAGCACAAAACTCCTGTCTCTGGCCAGGTGCAGTGGTTCACGCCTGTAATCCCAGCACTTTGGAAGGCCAACCCAGGCAGATCGCCTGAGCTCAGGAGTTCAAGACCAGCCTGGACAAGATGGCAAAACCCCGACTCTACTAAAAATACAAAAATTAGCTGGGTGTGGTGGCACAAGCCTGTAATCCCAGCTACTTTGGGGTGGCTGAGGCAGGAGAATCACTTCAGCCAGAGAGGCAGAGGCTGCAGTGAGCTGAGATCGCGCCACTGCACTCCAGCATGGGCAACAGAGTGAGACCCTGTCTCAAAAAAACAAACAAAACAAAACAAAACAAACTCCTGTCCTCCTGCCGGTATTTCTTACTTGTTTTTAAAAGTTAAGAAATGTAACTATTTTTCTATAAACTACTGTTTAATTATGAGTCATTCCTCTTTTCAACTCAGTAGAGAAAAGCATTTAATCTTGCCACAACAAGGATAATTTCCATGTAATACTTACCTCTTTTATGTATCTTTGTACTCAGAAATTTCAAGATTAATTCGGTTATTTCAAAATTCAGTCTTCCCCCATAAGGATTTTCCTTTTCCCTTTCTCCTGCCCAAGATGACATATGGGTGCTGTGGAAAGCTTCCACAAATAATATAAACAGCAAGGGAGAGCTCTCTGGTCTGTGTGATGGCTTCCACTGAAATATCTTGCCTTATTATCTGTTGTTAATGGATTAGCCTTGAATGCAGTGATTTTCAAACATTGAAACTACCTGGAGGGCTTGGTAAAACATGGATTGCTTGGCCTTACCGTCAGACTCTATAATTCTGGGTTGCACCCTGAGAATTTATATTTCTAATAAATATCCAGGTGATGTTGATACTGCTGAACCGGAGACCACACTTTTAGAGCCACTGGCATATGCTTTCACTGTCCTTATATCTGCTTTCCTTCTGGAACGTCTTTTTCTTTTGGCTTCTCTGACTCTCTCCTAGTTTGCCTGCTACCATATTGACTGTTCCTTCCTGTTCCTTGCCCATTCCTTCTCCTCTCTTGTGATCTAAATGTTGAACTGCTTCAAAGCTCAGTTCCTCTACTCCACTATCTCCATATTATTTTTGGTTACCTCTTCCAACTGATTGACTAGAAAAACTGACTACATGCTAATGACTCCCAAGTTTGTATCTCTTTGTCTGACTTCTCCATAGATCCTCTCACTCACGTTTCTACCTTCTTACTTGATATCTCCTCTTGGATATCCAGTAGGCATCTTAAACTTCATATGACTAAAACCAAACTCTGAGTTATTAAAAAAAAATCTGCATCATTCTTATCCCTCAGTAAACTGTTGTCCAGTCTAGGTGTTTTCCTTGATTCAGCTCTTTTCCTCTACACCTGTCCTGCCTGGATGCAGAGCATCAGCAAACCCTATTGACTCTACTTCTAAAACATTTCCCAGATCTGCCCAGTTTCTGCACTACCATTGACCTTGCCCTCGTAGCTATTGTTGCTTGTTTGGACTGCTGTAATGGCTTCCTAATGGGTCTCTATTTACATATCCTAGCTTCCCTACAATCCTTTCTTTAAGAGCTATAATGATTTTGTTTAATGTCACATACCATCCTTACTTCCTTGAATTTTTTCAGTTCCTTCACATTGCACTTAGACTGAAATTCAAACTCCTTTTTATGGTAGGTAGAGCCGTTCAGGATCCAACCTCTGCCTGTCCCTCCAGCCTTACCTTACAATCACTCTTCCCTTCCTCCACTATACACCAGCCACACCAAACACTCCCAAGTATTTCTCTAAATCATCACTAAAATGTCACCTTTCTCAGTGAGGCCTTGAGTGATTACCTTGTCTAAAATTGGAGTGAGGCAGAGTGCATACATGTGTGTATACACACACAATTATACTCCTTTTCTTCTTAGCACACAACTCCCTTCCTTTTTATTTGTCTTTTTCCACAAGAATATAAACAATGAGAACAAGGATTTTGATTTGGTTTGTTCACTCTTGTATCATCAGTGCCTAAAATAGCGCATAGCCCTTAGATTGGGCTCACATATTGGAGTAAATAAGGTAGTGAGGTTTTTCTTTTCCCTTAGGGCAAAGCTTTATATTAGTTGTTTCTTCTGTGTGTGTGTGTGTGTGTGTGTGTGTGTGTGTGTGTGTGTGTGTGTGTGTGACAGAGTCTAGCTCTGTTGCCCAGGCTGGAGTTCAGTGGCGCGATCTCGGCTCACTGCAACCTCGGCCTCTCAGGTTCACGCCATTCTCCTGCCTCAGCCTCCCCAGTAGCTGGGATTACAGGTGCCTGCCACCACGCCCCGTTAATTTTTTGTATTTTTAGTAGAGATGGGGTTTCACCGTGTTAGCCAGGATGGTCTCAATCTCCTGACCTCGTGATCCGCCTGCCTCAGCCTCCCAAAGTGCTGGGATTGGTGCCTTGTGTCATCCAAATGTCAGATTCGTAACCTCTTTATATGGCCTTTTCAAACTGCCCAGCCTGGAGCTGCCACTAGTCTCTTGGTCATAGCATCCTATTTTTTGTTGTTGTCGTTGTTCTATGTGGCATTTTTTTAAAGTCTGATTTTTTTCTTACTCATCTTTTGTTTGTATATCGATTTTCTTTTCTCCTCCCCTCCCTTCACATACGCTAGAAAGTACATTTGTGTAGATCAGAGCCTTTGTCTTATTTCTTTCTGTATTTCTGATGTCCCAAACAGTAGCTGGATGTAGTACACACTAAAGAAATATTGGTTTAAGGAGTAAACAAACGAAGTTCATTATTCTTTCAACATCAAGCCTCACTTGCATCCTTTGAAGGCAGAAGACCTAACCCAGTTCTCCCTGCTTGCTGACCAGGCCTTCCCCTTGGCTTTCATTAATCCTCTGAAACCCAGCTGTGTTCTTCATTAAGTATTTGAGCTAGCTACCATCCCACAGACCTCTAATGTAGGTCCCAACACTCTGCCCTACCGCAGCCTCCTTCCTGCAATCAGAAGACTCCTTACTTCTCAGTTAGCTTGCTTTTTGCTTCACAAGAGCTTTTCTTTATCCCTTACGTGTTCTACTGGGGCTGAGGGAACCCGGGTTAGGGCCTCCCTTGGTCTGTCTTCCTTGCCACAATCCTTACTCCTTTGAAGCTTCTGGTGTTTGCAGAGCACATGCTGTGAGGATGCCTGCTCTTAGGGATCTAAGTGAGAAGAGAAGGGTATGAGTCTTTTTTGCTGTTGAATCCCTACCCTAACCCTATCCTGAAAAGGGGGAGGGAGGAGTTTATTAGCCTTCATCATTAGCCCTTACCTTTGGCTCTCTTCAGCTGGTAAGTGTTTAAAAGTTTTTAAGTACTATTATTTAGTCTTAAATTTCTTCTCTACCGCACTTTCATTCCATGAAGGCAGGGGTCCATTCTTTATATATATTTTTTCTTCTCATCCCCAGTGTATCTACCTTTATGCTATTTTTAAAAATGGGAAGTCATTTTTGATACACACAAACTTAATTCTTTAAGTATTGACTGTGCTTATAATCTCACTCCTTTGAATTCACAGCAGTTATTATTTCTATCCTGTATTTCAGGTCAGTACAACCTTGGACATCTTCACCTTTCTTTATTATAACTTTAGATCCTGTCATTTCACTGTGCATGTGAAATATCTCGTGGCCCTAATAAGAATGGAGGCTTCTTAAGCCCATGGGCTCATCTTACAGGAATGTGCCTGTTTTGTATTTCAGGGTGTTCTAGAAAATTGCTTTCTTGAGCAAAAAGGAGAAAGTTTTTCATGTCCTCATTTGACCACATTTTGTTCCCATGGCTTTAAGTTGAAAGCTCAGAATCAGCTCTACTCTCATCACTAGGTGGCACTTGTGAATTACAAATAGTCAAATGAATTTTTATGACAAACATGTGATTCACAAATATAGATAATGTTTGGAATCCCTGCATGGACGTTCCTCAAAATGGAAGAAATGAAAGAAGGGGATTCCTAGTAAGTACCAGTTGCTGTGATGTATTTATAAATACATGGTTGAAGAATAAATTACTTCATAATCATTTCGTATTTAATAGTAATATCAATAGGTAAAGTCTGGTCTCCATGCCTGTGTTCTTAAACTAATGTTGCCACAAAGTTGAAATTTTTTTAGGACCTGCTTGCTATTCATCTTAGTTAATTGCAAGAGAAGTGAGTACTACAGGTCAGGTGCAGTGGCTCACACCTGTAATCCCAGCACTTTGGGAGGCTGAGGCAGGGCGATTACTTGAGTTCAGGGATTCAGGACCAACCTGGGCAACATAGTGGGATCCCATCTCTACCCAAAAGAAAAAAGAAAGAAAAGAAATGAGTACTACAGCCCTTTACACTGATTCATACCCAATTCCAAGCACTTACTGTTCTTTGTAGTATTTGAGGAAATACCTGGTTTTAACTTACGAATCCTGTAGATATTCATGAAGGAAAATGTCAGCACTTCTATTTTACTGCTGAGAAAACAGAAACTCAAACTTGTCCACCATTAAGAGATAATAGGTAGACAGAGCCCTACATTCAAACTCAAGTCTGTTGGATTTCAGAGCCTGGGTGTGCTCTTTCATTTATTCTAATGGTACCAGGTAGCCAGTACCCTCTATTCACAATAAAGTAACTGAATGGCAAGTACAAATGTCTGATGAGAATTGTGAAGGAGAACAAGAACCTAAACCACAGAACACTGAGTGCCCAGGGCTAGGACGAGTGAAATGGGAAGTCAACAAAACAAAGACTAGCTACCAGAGAAGTTGGCCTACTTTGAAATTTTGCCTAGAGGCAGCCCCATTTCCTTTAAGCCACTGATGAACAGAAGCTGAATATAGAGTATGTTCATCATTAGGTGCTCTAGGCTTCAAATTCTGGCTTCTCTGAATATTTTCTGACCATCCAATCTTGGGCAAGTTACAACCATGTGACTCCATTTGCCTCCCTTTTAAATGGAAGAGGATTAAATGTGTTAATGTATGAGAAGCACATAGAATAGTACCTGGCACATAGTAAACATTCAATAAATGTTAACCATTTGAGTAGCTTTAGACATTGAACAACATGGTAAATGTTCATTCTGCCTTATTGATACATGAAGTGGAATTTAAGCTATGGCTAGAGTGGTCATACACATCGCAGTTTACAACTAGTGTCCTAATATTATTATTATTAATGCCCTTTTTTTGATCTCCAAAGTGCCCTCAGTTAGATAATAACTCATTTGATCAACCTAGTTATAGTCAACTTTGTTATAGAAGAGTTTTGTGCCAGGAATTTGTTCATGTAAGTCTAAAGTAAAAGTTCCTCCAAGGGAAGATACTAACTTCTACTTCCCGACATGGGGCTTTATATATGTTACAAATTAGGACTGGTAACATTCCCGTGTTAGACTACCTGGCATCAGACTGCACTTTAACACTTGCTAGCTATATAGCCTTGGGCAAGTTTTACTTCTTTAAAGCTAGGCACTTCAACTGTAAAATGAGGACAGCATTAGTACCTTCCTCTAGGCCTGTGTAAATGAGGTAATGTATATAAAGCATTAGTTAAGTGCCTGCTGCATAGAAAGTACATATAAATATGGTTAAGAGATGCAGATTTTTTGCTAAAGAAAAAGGCCTTGATACAAAGTGCTTAGGTTCATTGGAAGCTGAGAGATTGGAGTAGGTGGTGCTTAACTAAGGTCCTTTCACAATGATAAAATCTAATGATTTTATTCTAACAAGTATCAAAAGCTATTTTTGTTTTCTTTTTTTATATTATGAAAAATGTCAAATATTTGTAAAAATAGGACTCCATGAGAGAGCAATGAACCCATGCAGTATTCATCAGTTGGCTTCAACAATAGTATGATACATGTCTGATCTTTATTTTTATGACTTTTGAAAAATAACTGTAATGAGATCTATTTTACACATCATAAAATTCACCCATTTGAAGTGTACAATTTGGTGGGTTTTGCAAATTTACCAGGTTGTCAGCCACCACCATAAATTAGGTTTTTGGTTTTTTTTTTTTAATAATTTCATCACTTTGTCAGGATACCAGCTACTCATTTACTGTTAATTCTAATTTTCACCCTCGGACCCAGGTATCTATCTATAGATTTGCCTTTTCTGAACATTTTGTATAAATGGAATCATACAATATGTGGTCTCTGGTGTCTGACTTCTTTGACTTAGCATAATGTTTTTGGAGTTCATATCGTAAGTAACATATATCAATAGTTTTTCTTGCGGAATAAAATTCCATGGAATAAATAATACTATATTTTGTCTGTCCTTCATAGCCGGTCTTTTAACATCTATATTTATATCGTTTCTCCTCCATTCCCTATCCCTGTTGAATTATTCAAAGGCTATTTTTAATTTCTTAAATATGATAGCTGAAAATATTTATTATATGTTCCTGCTTTTTGTTTTTCCATATCATCTTCTGTCTTCTCATTCATCTTGTCTGTTTTAGTTTTTTTTTCTCCATTTAACAAATCACTTTACTTTGTTCCTCCATGTGTCTTTTTTGGTTTTACTTGAGAATGAAAGGGTGTACAGATCATAAACTTTCAAAGATAGAGACAAGCATGCATTTAATTATCTTCTCACTTTAACAAAAATTCATACTTGTTCAGTGGCAAATCCAGATACTGTTGATTTCCATGTTTTTTTTTTTTTTAATTTAAAGTCTTAAAGATTGACTTTAGTTTTTTATATTGGGCTGATCTATTTGATTCCGATTCTTGTGGTGTTTTTTGTTTGTTTTTTGTTTGTTTGTTTAACTCAGGTTGTTGGAAGAGGAGCCTTTGGAGTTGTTTGCAAAGCTAAGTGGAGAGCAAAAGATGTTGCTATTAAACAAATAGAAAGTGAATCTGAGAGGAAAGCGTTTATTGTAGAGGTAAGTTGAGATTTCATTTCTTTTGTGTAGTTCTGCACTTAAGATACTCTGTGAATTTAATATTATGAAAAAGATTGGTTTCTCAGATGTCATTTCTTTGTATACATGAACATCAGCAATTCGGTTTAATCAAAGGTACTGCCATAGGAACATTTTCTCGTTCATACTCTTAATTCTGATTAAAAATTAGGGGAAAAGCGACTTAACTACATAAATGAATTCACCCCTGAATTAAAACAGTTTCATCCATGGAATTCAGATCTATTTCAAGGCGTAATATTTTAATTTTAAAATAGAAAAGAAATGGTATGCTTTCCCATTATCTAAAATTAAGAAATTTTATACACTTACTTTAAATGGAATGTTTTTAGAAACTCAGATTATTTTAAAGAAAAATTATTTCAAATTTGATTTTTCTCATTTAGCATGAAAATTTGCACCTATTCTTTTAGAAATAGATTAGATTGAATGATGAAAGAAAATCCAATAATCATGAAATTAGCATATTATCAAATTTATCCTTTACTAACTTTGTTATTTTGTATTTTGGATCACATTATTTAGTTAAATCAATGTTTTTATCACTATTAAACCTCATTGGCCAATGGATAAGTGGCCTGTACCTTATAAGCCTTCTGAATTTATATCTCTGTTTTTTCATTTAATCATAATTTCAAAATATACTTCATATTTTTAATGTATAACATGGAAAAATGAGGACTTAATTGTGATATGAGAAAGTGATTTGTAAGTGGCTGAATGAGTTGAGAAATGCTGATAAGTGATTTGATGTCAGCATGAAGAAAGATGATTTCTAGTAATATGTTCTAGGAGTCTAGCCTCAGCTTTGTTTTATGCAATATTTTTATTACAGTTTAGATAAAGCTATTGATCATTTCCTGTTACATTAGCAGTTTCACAAAGCTGGGTGAAATAGCATATGTGTTAAACATTAGGAATCACAAGTCAAAAAGATCGTAATAGCGTGAAGAAAATTTTTTAAATCCAGATGAGATGTGCATGTAATGTAAAAAATCAAATGGTTCTCCAAAAATTCTTAGTAAAAAAGACTTCAGTCTCCTGTACCTCCTCCAATCTAATTTTCTGCTTCCCAAAGACAACTACTTTGAGCTCATTCCTTCATGTTTGGTGTCCCCAGTCCAGATGCTGTTTATTACCCCTTCTCTAAAGAATCAACCTCTAGTCTTCTGCTGGGATGATAAGAGATAGTCATTGAGCTGTTTGAAGTCAAGGAAGGAATCTTTGAGTCTTTTACACTGTCCCCTGCCCTATCCTTTGATTAGCTCATTTGCATAGGTACCTCATTCTGCTGCCACTCCCCAACCTTTTGGAAGCTTTGTGAGATAAATCTGGTTGTTTCTCCATTTTTCTCATTGCCAGTTTATGATGCAGCTCTTCTAGGTCTGCTCTATCAGTTATTGCTAGTCATTTGCTTTCCAGCTTCCAAAAATGTATGCTGTTTGTGCACTTTGCATTCTCTTCATCCTTCTGAGGTTATGCCTTAAAATTTTTCAAATCTTTACCATCTTAGTGGGAATTAGGGAGAGAGGAGGAAAAAATGCTTGTATAATCTGCTATCTGAATCTCAGTGCTGAACCTTAGCAAGATGAAATATAGTAAATATATTTTCATATAGTAAATAAATATAATAAATAGTGATACTAATTCTATTGGACGAAAAATCCACACATGTTGGCTCTAGATAGATAGAGCTTTTTATTAGCATACAGTATGAAGGTTTAGAGACATTAGTGTACTGAATATGAGCCAGCAGCATAATGTATGTAATAGAGAAGAGGAAGAAGAGTGGAAAAAGGGCAGAAAAGAGAGGAGAAGGGAGAAAAGAATGAGCAAGAAGCAGTTTGCTGTGGAGCGGGATGCATTAATAGAAAGAAGTTTGAAGACAGACATGATGGTTCACATCTGTAATCCCAGAACTTTGGGAATGGCAGATGGGTTGCTTGAGCCCAGGAGTTTGAGATCAGTCTGGACAACATGGCAAAACCCCATCTCTACAAAAAATACAAAAATTAACCAGGCATGGTGGCTGTGCACCTGTAGTCCCAGCTACTCCAGAGGCTGAGGTAGGATTGCATGAGTCCAGGAGGCAGAGGTTGCAGTGACCCAAGATTGTACCACTGCACTGCAGCATGGGTAACAGAGCAAAACCTGTCTCAAAAGAAAGAAAGAAAGAAAGAAGTTTGAGATCTAGAATAAGAGAAGTGAGTATAGCCAAACCCCTCATTGACCTCTGTATGGATCATTGGATCAGGGATGATTAAAACTGAAAGAGGGAAACCAGCTAGTAGGCTATAATGATCACTGCAGCAGTTCAGGTTGGGATTACTAAGGCAATGGCAGTGGGAATGGAGAGGAGAGAATTAATTCAAGAAATGAGAAATGGAATGGAGGCAAGTATACAGAGGGAGTGCACATTTTAAGTCAGATAGACTAAAGTTCACACCCCACTTCTTAGCTATAGAACAGGTCATTCAACCCTCTCTGAGACTTGAGGTTAAAATCTCATCTTTAAAATGGAAATGATAATACCTACCTTGCGGAGTTGTGATAATTATACAATATCTATAAAGTGCACATTAGGGCCCCACGCAGAGTAGCTAGACTGTTCAACTATAGCTATGAAGATGATAACAATGATAGCATGACGTCTGGTTTGGATAATGCAGCTCAGTACCATCTCTGGGATCATATCCTAACATTTCTTGGCAGAGTTCATCTCTTCTTATTCTATATACTCATCGTGCCTTGTTCATAACTCCTGTTATAGCACTTTGCACATTGATTTAATTATTTGTTTAGATGTCTATCTCTCCAGCTAAACTGTATGAGCTGGAGAACAGGGATTCTGTGCCATTCTGGGCAGTCACTTGGTATTTTCAGTGACTATGATTGCAATGCCTGTTACATAGTAAATAGTGATTGTTGAATGATTTAAACAAATGTTTTGTACAACAGTAAGATTTTAATGATACTGTGAAATCAGTACTTCAAAAGTTATCACTTTTTAAAAGAAACCTTAATTTCTTAACAGCTTCGGCAGTTATCCCGTGTGAACCATCCTAATATTGTAAAGCTTTATGGAGCCTGCTTGAATCCAGTAAGTTTGTTACTTTTTCATGGTCACCTGTGAGAAATGACATGGCAGATGTGTGTGTGTAGTTTATGTAGCTATTTTTGGGTTTTTTTGTTTTTTTTAAGTTTTTCAAAAATATTATATTTTTTCAAGATAAAAAGGTACCTCCAATACTTTAAAATATCAGCAGTGATCCCAATAGTTCAAGGACTATATGAGTACATGTGGCTATTATACACGCACAATATGTCACCAACACACTCTAAATAGTGAGAATACAGCACCGTGGCATTGCTCCCATATTATTATTTTTTTCTTTCTCTTTATGTATTTATTGAGTTACTTACTTGTTTTTGATATCTTTTTTTATTATACTTTAAGTTCTAGGTTACATGTGCACAACGTGCAGGTTTGTTACGTATGTATACATTTGCCATGTTGGTGTGCTGCACCCATTAACTCGTCATTTACATTAGGTATTTCTCCTAATGCTTATCCCTCCCACCTCTCCCCACCCCACAACAGGACCCAGTGTGTGATGTTCCCCTTCCTGTGTCCAAGTGTTCTCATTGTTCAGTTCCCATCTATGAGTGAGAACATGTGGTGTTTGGTTTTCTGTCCTTGCAATAGTTTGCTCAGAATAATGGTTTCCAGCTTCATCCATGTCCCTACAAAGGACATGAACTCATCCTTTTTTATGGCTGCATAGTATTCCATGGTGTATATGTGCCACAATTTCTTAATCCAGTCTATCATTGATGGACATTTGGGTTGGTTCCAAGTCTTTGCTATTGTGAATAGTGCCACAGTAAACATACGTGTCCATGTGTCTTTATAGCAGCATGATTTATAATCCTTTGGGTATATACCCAGTAGTGGGATGGCTGAGTCAAATGGTATTTCTACTCTAGATCCTTGAGGAATTGCCACACTGTCTTCCACAATGGCTGAACTAGTTTACAGTCCCACCAACGGTGTAAAAGTGTTCCTATTTCTCCACATCCTCTCCAGCACCTGTTGTTTCCTGACTTTTTAATGGTCACCATTCTAACTGGTGTGAGATGGTATCTCATTGTGGTTTTGATTTACATTTTTCTGATGGCCAGTGATGATGAGCATTTTTTCATGTGTCTTTTGGCTGCATAAACATCTTCTTTTGAGAAGTGTCTGTTCATATCCTTTGCCCACTTTTTGATGGGGTTGTTTGATTTTTTCTTGTAAATTTGTTTAAGTTCTTTGTAGATTCTGGATATTAGCCCTTTGTCAGATGCGTAGATTGCAAAAATTTTCTCCCATTCTGTAGGTTGCGTGTTCACTCTGATGATAGTTTCTTTTGCTGTGCAGAAGCTCGTTAGTTTAATTAGATCCCATTTGTCAATTTTGGCTTTTGTTGCCATTGCTTTTGGTGTTTTAGTCCTGAAGTCCTTGCCCATGCCTATGTCCTGAATGGTATTGCCTAGGTTTTCTTCTAGGGTTTTTATGGTTTTAGGTCTAACATTTAAGTCTTTAATCCATCTTGAATTAATTTTTGTATAAGGTATAAGGAAGGGATCCAGTTTCAGCTTTCTACATAAGGCTAGCCAGTTTTCCCAGCACCATTTATTAAATGGGGAATCCTTTCCCCATTTCTTGTTTTTGTCAGGTTTGTCAAAGATCAGATGGTTGTAGATGTATGGTATTATTTCTGAGGGCTCTGTTCTGTTCCATTGGTCTATATCTCTGTTTTGGTACCAGTACCGTGCTGTTTTGGTTACTGTAGCCTTGTAGTATAGTTTGAAGTCAGGTAGCGTGATGCCTCCAGCTTTGTTCTTTTGGCTTAGGATTGTCTTGGCAATGTGGGCTCTTTTTTGGTTCCATATGAACTTTAAAGTAATTTTTTCCAATTCTGTGAAGAAAGTCATTGGTAGCTTGATGGGGATGGCATTGAATCTATAAATTACCTTGGGCAGTATGACCATTTTCACGATATTGATTCTTCCTATCCATGAGCATGGAATGTTCTTCCATTTATTTGTGTCTTCTTTTATTCCAATGAGCAGTGGTTTGTAGTTCTCCTTGAAGAGGTCCTTCACATCCCTTGTAAGTTGGATTCCTAGGTATTTTATTCTCTTTGAAGCAATTGTGAATGGGAGTTCACTCATGATTTGGCTCTCTGTTTGTCTGTTATTAGTGTATAGGAATGCTTGTGATTTTTGCACATTAATTTTGTATCCTGAGACTTTGCTGAAGTTGCTTATCAGCTTAAGGAGATTTTGGGCTGAGACAATGGGGTTTTCTAAATATACAATGATGTCATCTGCAAACGGACAATTTGACTTCCTCTTTTCCTAATTGAATACCCTTTATTTCTTTCTCCTGTCTGATTGCCCTGGCCAGAACTTCCAACACTATGTTGAATAGGAGTGGTGAGTGAGGGCATCCTTGTCTTGTGCCAGTTTTCAAAGAGAATGCTTCCAGTTTTTGTCTATTCAGGATGATATTGGCTGTGGGTTTGTCATAAATAGCTCTTATTATTTTGAGATACGTCCCATCAGTACCTAGTTTATTGAGAGTTTTTAGCATGAAGGGCTGTTGAATTTTGTCAAAGCCCTTTTCTGCATCTATTGAGATAATTATGTGGTTTTTGTCATTGGTTCTGTTTATATGATGGATTATGTCTATTGATATGTGTATGTTGAACCAGCCTTGCAACCCAGGGATGAGGCCAACTTGATCGTGGTGGATAAGCTTTTTGATGGGCTGCTGGATTCGGTTTGCCAGTATTTTATTGAGGATTTTTGCATCGATGTTCATCAGGGATATTGGTCTAAAACTCTCTTTTTTTGTTGTTTTTATGCCAGGCTTTGGTATCAGAATGATGCTGGCCTCATAAAATGAGTTAGGGAGGATTCCCTCTTTTTCTATCGATTGGAATAGTTTCAGAAGGAATGGTACCAGCTCCTCTTTGTACCTCTGGTAGAATTCGGCTGTGAATCCATCTGGTCCTGGACTTTTTTTGTTTGGTAGGCTATTCATTATTGCCTCAATTTCAGAGCCTGTTATTGGTCTATTCAGGGATTCAACTTCTTCCTGGTTTAGTCTTGGGAGGGTGTATGTGTCCAGTAATTTATCCATTTCTTCTAGATTTTGTAGTTTATTTTCATAGAGGTGTTTATAGTATTCTCTGATGGTAGTTTGTATTTCTGTAAAATTGGTGGTGATATCCCCATTATCATTTTTTATCGTGTCTATTTGATTCTTCTCTCTTTTCTTCTTTATTAGTCTTGCTAGTGGTCTATCAGTTTTGCTGATCTTTTCAAAAAACCAGCTCCTGGATTCATTGATTTTTTTTTTGAAGGGTTTGTTGTGTCTCTGTCTCCTTCAGTTCTGCTCCGATCTTAGTTATTTCTTGCCTTCTGCCAACTTTTGAATGTGTTTGCTCTTGCTTCTCTAGTTCTTTTAATTGTGATGTTAGGGTGTCAATTTTAGATCTTTCCTGCTTTCTCTTGTGGGCATTTAGTGCTATAAATTTCCCTCTACACACTGCTTTAAATGTGTCCCAGAGATTCTGGTATGTTGTGTCTTTCTTCTCATTGGTTTCAAAGAACATCTTTATTTCTGCCTTCATTTCGTTACGTACCCAGTAGTCCATTGTTCAGTTTCCATGTAGTTGAGTGGTTTTGAGTGAGTTTCTTAATCCTGAGTCTAGTTTGATTCCACTGTGGTCAGAGAGACAGTTTGTTGTAATTTCTGTTCTTTTACATTTGCTGAGGAGTGTTTTACTTGCAACTATGTGGTCAATTTTGGAATAAGTGCAATGTGGTGCTGAGAAGAATGTGTATTCTGTTGATTTGGGATGGAGAGTTCTATAGATGTCTATTAGGTCCACTTGGTGCAGAGCTGAGTTCAATTCGTGGATATCCTTGTTAACTTTCTGTCTCGTTAATTTGTCTAACATTGACAGTGGGGTGTTAAAGCCTCCCAATATTATTGTATGGGAGTCTAAGTCTCTTTGTAGGTCTCTAAGGACTTGCTTTATGAATCTGGGTGCTCCTGTATTGGGTGCATATATATTTAGGATAGTTAGCTCTTCTTGTTGAATTGATCCCTTTACCATTATGTAATGGCCTTCTTTGTCTCTTTTGATCTTTGTTGGTTTAAAGTCTGTTTTATCAGAGACTAGGATTGCAACCCCTGCCTTTTTTTTGTTTTCCATTTGCTTGGTAGATCTTCCTCCATCCCTTTATTTTGAGCCTATGTGTGTCTCTGCCCGTGAGATGAGTCTCCTGAATACAGCACACTTACTGGTCTTGACTCTCTATCCAATTTGCCAGTCTGTGTCTTTCATTTGGAGCATTTAGCCCATTTACATTTAAGGTGAATATTGTTATGTGTGAATTTGATCCTGTCATTATGATGTTAGCTGGTTATTTTGCTTGTTAGTTGATGCAGTTTCTTCCTGGCATCAATGGTCTTTACAATTTGGCATGTTTTTGCAATGGCTGGTACCGGTTGTTCCTTTCCATGTTTAGTGCTTCCTTCAGGAGCTCTTGTTCAGCAGGCCTGGTAGTGACAAAATCTGTCAGCATTTGTTTGTCTGTAAAGGATTTTATTTCTCCCTCACCTATGAAGCTTAGTTTGGCTGGATATGAAATTCTGGGTTGAAAATTCTTTTCTTTAAGAATGTTGACTATTGGCCCCCACTCTCTTCTGGCTTATAGAGTTTCTGCTGAGAGATCCACTGTTAGTCTGATGGGCTTCCCTTTGTGGGTAACCCGACCTTTCTCTCTGGCTGCCCTTAACATTTTTTCCTTCATTTCAACTTTGGTGAATCTGACGATTATGTATCTTGGAGTTGCTCTTCTCGAGGAGTATCTTTGTGGCGTTCTCTGTATTTCCTGAATTTGAATGTTGGCCTGCGTTGCTAGGTTGGGGAAGTTCTCCTGGATTATCCTGAAGAGGGTTTTCCAACTTGGTTCCATTCTCTCCATCACTTTCAGGTACACTAATGAGATGTAGATTTGGTCTTTTCACATAGTCCCATATTTCTTGGAGTCTTTGTTTCTTTTTACTCTTTTTTCTCTAAACTTCTCTTCTTGCTTCATTTCATTCATTTGATCTTCAATCACTGATACCCTTTCTTCCACTTGATCAAATCAGCTACTGAAGCTTGTGCATGTGTCACGTAGTTCTTGTGCCATGGTTTTCAGCTCCATCAGGTCATTTAAGGTCTTCTCTATGCTGTTTATTCTAGTTAGCCATTCAGCTAATCTCTTTTCAAGGTATTTAGCTTGTTTGTGATGGGTTCAAACATCCTCCTTTCGCTTGGAGAAGTTTGTTATTACCGATTGTCTGAAGCCTTCTTCTCTCAACTCATCAAAGTCATTCTCCATCCAGCTTTGTTCCGTTGCTGGCAAGGAGCTTTGGAGGAGAAGAGGTGCTCTGATTTTTAGAATTTTCAGCTTTTCTGCTCTGGTTTCTCCCCATTTTTGTGGTTTTTATCTACCTTTGGTCTTTGATGATGGTGACATACAGATGGGGTTTTGATGTGGATGTCCTTTCTGTTTATTAGTTTTCCTTCTAACAGTCAGGACCTCAGCTGCAGGTTTGTTGGAGTTTGCTGGAGGTCCACTCCAGACCGTGTTTGTCTGGGTATCATCAGCAGAGGCTGCAGAACAGCAAATACTGCAGAACAGCAAATGTTGCTGCTTGATCCTTCCTCTGGAAGCTTCGTCTCAGAGGGGCACCTGGCTGTATGAGGTGTCAATCTGCCCCTACTGGAAGGTGTCTCCCAGTTAGGCTACTCAGGGGTCAGGGACCCACTTGAGAAGGCAGTCTGTCCGTTCTCAGATCTCAAACTCCATGCTGGGAGAATCACTGCTCTCTTCAAAGCTGTCAGACAGGGATGTTTAAGTCTGCAGAAGTTTCTGCTGCCTTTTGTTCAGCTATGCCCTGCCCCCAGAGGTGGAGTCTACAGAGGCGGGCAGGCCTCCTTGAGCTGTGGTGGGCTCCACCCAGTTCGAACTTCCTGGCTGCTTTGTTTACCTACTCAAGCCTCAGCAATGGTAGACGCCCCTCTCCCAGCGTCGCTGCCGCCTTGCAGTTGGATCTCAGACTGCTGTGCTAGCAGTGAGTGAGGCACCGTGGGCATGGGACCCTCCGAGCCAGGTGCAGGATATAATCTCCTGGTGTGGTGTTTGCTAAGACCGTTGGAAAAGCACAGTGTTAGGGTGGGAGTGTTCCAATTTTCCAGGTACCATCTGTCACAGCTTCCCTTGTCTAGGAAAGTGAATTCCCCAACCCCTTGTGCTTCCCGGGTGAGGCGACGCCCTGCCCTGCTTCGACTCACACTCCATGGGCTGCACCCACTGTCTGACAAGCCCCAGTGAGATGAACCCTGTACCTCAGTTGGAAATGCAGAAATCACCTATCTTCTGCGTCGCTTACGCTGGTAGCTGTAGACTGGAGCTTTTCCTATTTGGCCATCTTGGAACCTCCTATGTAGCTATTTTGATCTGCTATCTTAGATGTATTTCTGAAAGAACAGTTATAGTTTGTTCATTTGACTTGTTTCTAGTCTTTTAGCAAAACTGTATCGGAAGAGTTCTTTTAGGTGATTTTGTCCAATAACCTCATCTTCTTATGAGGCTTTTGATGTCCTGTGGCAGCACCTACTTACTGGCACTGGAGAAAGTCCCCAGAATATCCTGTGATTGTATTTTACATACATCTTCACTGTTAGTGGACTCCTAGAAGACAGTCTTAGTCTTAGGTCATAGATACCTTTTCCTTCCCTAGTACTATTCACATAGTAGGGGCCAAAAGAATGATTTTTAATATATCTATAAAATCAGGGGAGTGAATTAAATTCTCTCTCAAAGGCCCTAAGATGATGGAGCTTCTTGGTTAATGCTTCTGATATATGTTTCCTTTAGGTGTGTCTTGTGATGGAATATGCTGAAGGGGGCTCTTTATATAATGGTGAGTGTCATTAGACCTGTCTTTATCTAGTGGATTAAAATAATTTGAAAAATTTTAATATAAACCCTAAGTTGTTTAACATTCTTCACAATTTGCCGTCAGAGTCCCAAAAGGGCATAATTTTTAAAAATCTGCTAAGAATAAAAATGGAAAGATAAGATTCTATAACATTAGTATGTGAAATTTAGAGGTCTATCAATTTTTTAAGTAGATGGTACTTTGCATTTCATTAAAAGCATTTAAGTAAAAGTTTACTTTTTAAATAGATTTTAAAATATCTTCAGATTTTTTTCTTTTTGCCCTCTCATAACTTTGAGCCTCCTCATTTTAGAATTCTTTAACCATATTTCGATTTCACTCTGCTTTATTTTTTCTTTTTTTTCAAAAAAAAATGTGAAAACTCACTTCACACAACCTTTTATTTGTAGTAATGAAAAAAAACTTTGTGTAGTTACATTGGAGAACAGAGTTCTTTTACCCTAAAAATACCAACCATATGCAGAAATGTATTGTCTCTTGTAGCACCAGTTATATAAAACAAATTGTTACATTTTATTTTTTAATTAGTATTATTTTATGTAAACTTTTACTTATATTTACTGCCCATGTGTTCATCATTGTGATGGATATCTAATACCCCATTGTCTTATTTGATTGAACTACTTCTGGTTTTTAGCCATTACAGAAAATACAGGTGCAAACATCTTGATATACATTGTTTTGTTTCTTTCTGTACTGTTCTCTGCCTCTCTCTTGTAGTAGTGTGCCATAAGACTGCTCATAATTTATATTACTTTATAAAAGTCTTTATCTGTTTGAAAAAATGTGGTAATGTATATTGATTTTACTTCAATGTAGGAATAACATTTAATAGATGTACTATTAAATGTTAATATCATGGCAATTATCCACTCAAAATTAGTAGATATTTTCATCCTTTTTATTTAGAAGAAAAATTAAAAGGCCAGGCATGGTGGCTCACTCCTGTAATCCCAGCACTTTGGGAGGCCAAGGCAGGCAGATCATGAGGTCAAGAGATCAAGACCATCCTGGCCAACATGGTGATACCCTATCTCTACTAAAAATACAAAAATTAGCTGGGCGTGGTGGCACACGCCTGTAGTCCCAGCTACTCGGGAGGCTGAGCCAGGAGAATCGCTTGAACCCAGGAGGTGGAGTTTACAGTGAGCCAAGATCGCACCACTGCACTCCAGCCTGGCGACAAAGTGAGAGTCCGTCTCAAAAAACAAAAAGAAAAAAGAAAGTAAAAAATTAAAAGCAGGACTGATGGAGCATATGTATATGTAGAAAAATACCCAGTCATGTGTTCTGATAGTGCTTGCATTCACATTGTGTCTTTTGTTATATGCAATAAAGTTCTTTTTAGTTTGTGCCTTTCTTTCGCAGTGCTGCATGGTGCTGAACCATTGCCATATTATACTGCTGCCCACGCAATGAGTTGGTGTTTACAGTGTTCCCAAGGAGTGGCTTATCTTCACAGCATGCAACCCAAAGCGCTAATTCACAGGGACCTGAAACCACCAAAGTAAGTTATAATAATGTGACACCCCTCAGCCTCTTCCTCCTTCTCTCTCACTCTCACCACCCCGAACCCACTCTCTAATTCAAGCTCATTATTGTACAGGAGTTTCTCTTTTCTCTATTTGGCTTACTCAGTGTTTACTTTTAACTCACCTTCATCATTTAGTCATTTATCTAAGCTTGTATTTTAGATGTTGTCTTTAGTGGGATTTTTATTTTTGGTAACCTCTACCTTAGATTAGCATACTTCTAGAATCTGTTAGCCTATAAAAATCTCATTTTGTGCCTGCAGTATATAATGTTGCTGTTAGACAATTCCTTGGGGGCAGAGATAGGTCTGACGTTTTTCTTGCTGTGTCCCTAACACCTAGCACATAAACATTCTACAGAAATTTGCAGAGTTGTTATTACTTGCTCTTTCAGAGGAAAGTAAAAGGGCATTTCTTGGCATCTGGGTAGAAATTGAAAATATTCTGGATTCTTCATAATGTGAATACTTGGGACTTTAAAAAACTTATAAATTCCTTAGATAAGTATTTTAAAAGACTAAAACTTTGGGGGTTTTGTTTGTATAGGTATTCAGTTAAAGAAAACATACACATAAAACATATTGTTTCCTTTTCTCTCTTTTTTTTTCTTTTATGCACCTGTGACACAGTAAAAATAGTCTCCACGTATCTTCTTTACCCTCCCCCCAAGCTCCCACCCCAGCACATTAGTCTTTACAGAAGAGGTTTCCCTTAGGAAATCAGTATAGTCTTCAGTTATTCCATTCTCTTGATACTGGTTAAAGCATTAAAACATCCCTTCTGGGTGCAACTTGTCACTCTCAGGTCTAATCTGATATACTCTACATAGGTTCCAACTCTTAGAATCACTGTTCTTGCTATGTATCTTATCTCTACTCCCAAACTTAAACTGATTTCTGTTTCCCCAGGTCACTGATAAAATAATGTTTAAGCTTTTATTTTTCCTGAGGCTATTATCTTAGTTACCTGCCTTAACTAATGAAAAAATCACTTAGCCTTTTTTTCTTCATTGTGAATATTCAGTCATCCTTTTTCCACTATATTAACAGAGTTGAATTATTAAAGCAAACTTATGAGAATCACAGCTCTTAACCAGCAACAAATTGACAAATGATCCAAAGGATATAGGCAAGCATCAGATACAGCCAAAGCATTCTTTTCCTAAAAGAGTCTGAACGCATCTGATGCAACACCCAAAAGTATCCCTTTTCTCCTCGTTACAGTATGTTTTGGCTTTGGAATAAATGATTAGTTATTGAACAATATATGGAGAAATATCTTACAAAAGGAAGTCATTTCCATTTTCTAACATCTTTTACATTGCACTAATTACATGGTTTAAATGACTATCCCTAATCTTCATCCAACTACACCCCATGAATTTTAGGTTTATTTAATCAACCTAGTTAGACCAGATATATCCTTCTAAAATCATTTGTAGATAGAGATTCTCCTTTTGCTAGTAAATACCATTAACATATTTACAGAAGGTCTGGTCTAGGTCATTTATTCCAGGCCTCTCCATGATTGGATTCATCTTGCAAATCGTCTTTGGAGCCCCTGGTATACAAGTTGGACTTTAGAATCAGAATTGATTCTAGTTCAGAAAGTACTGGGTAAAAGAAATTCTTTGGAATGGCTATGATTTTATATATAATTGGACATACATGAATACCTGCTATATCTTTATTTTTTAATTATTTTTATTATTATTATTATTTTTTATTTTGAGACACAGTCTCGCTCTGTCGCCCAGGCTGGAGTGCAGTGGCGCAATCTCAGCTCACTACAACCTCCACCTCCCGGGTTCAAGCAATTCTCCTGCCTCAGCCTCCCAAGTAGCTGGGACTACAGGCATGTGCCACCATGCCTGGCTAATTTTTTGTATTTTTAGTAGAGACAGGGTTTCACTGTGTTAGCCAGGATGGTTTCAATCTCCTGACCTCGTGATCTGCCCGCCTCAGCCTCCCAAAGTGCTGGGATTACAGGCCTGAGCCACTGCACCCGGCCAATACCTGCTATATCTTATTGTCAGTGGAAAACCTACAGATTCTGTGGTCAGGAAGAGTTCCTCAAAATGGTATCTAAAGAAGGTACCTGATGATCTAGGGAGGTGTTTTATACACTATCAAGTTGTGCTTGTGCTTGTATTTTATCTTTTGCAAGTTTATTCACATTTACATTAGAAATTAAAATGTGTTTTTAATCTTAACAGTGTGAAAGTAAGCCTACAAAGATAATTTAAGTTCAGATTTCAGTGAGCCCTGAATTTCCTGTTCAAGGCTGGTGAACTTTTGAAGTCGAGTAAAGGAGTACTAACATAAAACTCATTCAGGAAAATTATCTTGAATCATCAGAAATTATCTTGATATCTTGAATATACCAGTATAAAACAAGGAAACTAGTTACAGAGTTCTTATAATTTTCTTGGGTAAAAAGTGTAAGAGTTTGAACAAGAACATTGAGATGCGGGAAAAAAGCTTTGTTGAAGTACATATAGAGGTATACTGGATTTAGCATTCTTTTCACTGGAATGATTATGAGAGTCTTTTTGGTATTATGGAACTGTGAATAGTAGTTTATCTGACTTATTTTAGTCACATTGGACTAAAAGAGAAGAAATTTCCAAATAGTCTCTCCAGATGTAAAAAGTTTATAAAACTTGTAATTAAAATGAATTCCTATGTACTGCTATTGGATATTACTACAATGTGATGGTGCAAATTATATTACCCATTTCTATTTCTCTTTGTCATGAAAAGCAAAACCTTGTAAGTAAGAGTATGCTACTTGGTGACTGTAGTTGGGTAATAGTACACCTAGGAAAGTCCGAATCTTAAGTTCAGAAAATTTTCCAGAAATCTCTCATTAGGTCATTTTAGCTATAATAGATTTGTATTCCTCCCACACATTCATAGTCTAAGCACAAAAATGGTTTTGGGATTGAACATTTTTAGAAGTATCTTCAAAATAAAGACATTAAATTACAGACCATTTTTTTCCTTCTATATTGGATTATTTTCTTTATATAGTGTTACTATTTTTTAAGTAATACATATTTATGATTAAACTCCCATTTCAGGATACCGTAATGTTGACCTAACAGAAGTTTTTTAAACCCCACGTTTTATTTTGGCCAGATAGAAGTATGATCAGGAAAGATTTTGGAGCTAGAGATGAAGACATCAGAATGTGAGTCTAGCAGCCTTCCAAAGAGAGCTAGGTTATGGTTAATTAATTTTTGCTTATTATTTCTCTGAACTATTAGGCTTTTATAGTGACCAAGTAAATTAGTCATTTCACAGAAGTTGAATGATAACATTCATTTTGCTTAACCTTTTCCATTTCCACAAATGTCTCTTCTTTTATTGTAGAATAAAATGTTGGCCTTGTAACTTTTGATGTTTTTTGTTTTTTTTTAAACAGCTTACTGCTGGTTGCAGGGGGGACAGTTCTAAAAATTTGTGATTTTGGTACAGCCTGTGACATTCAGACACACATGACCAATAACAAGGGGAGTGCTGCTTGGATGGCACCTGAAGTTTTTGAAGGTAAAATGGCAAAAGTATGGTATGTTTGATAATCTCCCTCACTCCTTGTGAATTCATATGTTTTTATAGATTTTCCCCATTTCCATGGTTTTATTTCTGCATAATACATAAAGTATACAATGAAATCTAAGGGGATATTAAATATAGTGTTATATCCTAAATTTTATAGTAAGATTTAAATCTTCTATGCTTCTAAGCATATGTACAGTTGATCCTCATTGTTCACCAATTTCTTAATTGCAAAATTGCCTATTTGCTAACATTTATTTGTAACCCCAAAATTAATACTCATGGTGCTTTCATGGTTATTTGCAGACAGTGCTTTCATGTACTCGCAGACAGTGTGCATGCGCTGAGCAGTGCAAATTTTGAGTCATCTAACGCATGCTTCCAGCTGAGGTTGAACAAGACAACGTTTTTCCGTCTTGTTTCAGCTCTCATGCTGTAAGCAGGTGTCCTTTTTTGTGCTGTTCAGAGCCCTTTTTCATTTTTGTGATTTTTGTTGGTAATTTTGCTACTTAAAATGGCCCTCAAGCATAGTACTGCCTAAGTACAAGAAGGCTATGATGTATCTTAACAGACAATATACATATGTTAAATTATCTTCATTCAGGCATGAGTTACAGAAATGTTGACTATGAGTTCAATGGTAATAAATCAACAGTATATATGAATAAGGTGTCTTTAAGCAGAAATACGCATGAAACAAGGCTATATATTGATCAGTTGACAAAAACATGGTGACCAGAGGCACACAGGAACCTACCCCTGTATTTTCCTTAGGAGCAGTGATTCAGTGTTCACTAATTCAGTGTTCTCAGAAACTTTATAGAACATAAATACCAGGAATAATGAGAATTAACTGTGCTTTTGTATTGGTTTCCTAGCAATTAAAAATTGAGAGCCCTAAAGTT
Organism: Homo sapiens; assembly: GCF_000001405.40. Classification (NCBI taxonomy): domain Eukaryota; kingdom Metazoa; phylum Chordata; class Mammalia; order Primates; family Hominidae; genus Homo; species Homo sapiens. Next base: position 90,555,585 of record NC_000006.12, on the reverse strand, counting down.
TAAATGAGGATGCCTTAAAAAGAATGCAAATAGCTGGGCGCGGTGGCTCAGGCCTGTAATCTCAGCACTTTGGGAGGCTGAGGTGGGCGGATCATGAGGTCAGGAGATCGAGACCATCCTGTATAACACGGTGAAACCCCATCTCTACTAAAACTACAAAAAATTCGCCGGGCGTGGTGGCGGGCGCCCGTAGTCCCAGCTACTCGGGAGGCTGAGGCAGGAGAATGGTGTGAACCCGGGAGGCGGAGCATGCAGTGAGCCGAGATCGTGCCACTGCACTCCAGCCTGGGTGACAGAGCAAGACTCCATCTCAAAAAAAAAAAAGAATGCAAGTAATTGGACAGAAATAAGATACTAAGAATTACAAATAAATGTCAAGCTTATATGTTTACCTTCTTTTATACCTCCATATGTCACTGAAGTTTTAAAAGAGTTGTCTGTAAATTATATGCTAGGTTTCTGTATAAAAACATCAAATTATCTTTTAAATGAAAGAAGTTGAACTGAAGGTATGTGATTTGTATGTTAGGAAGTGTAAATGCCCATAAAATTCAGATACATTCAGTTAATCAGACTCTGGTTATAGCTTATTTCTTTCAGTTTTGATGACTTTAAAGGGTTTTCTGTTTGTTTTTAGCCACCCCAGAGGAAGAGAAATTGCAATGCAACTAGTCACCTGAGTGGAGCTCTTTTGCCCTAAAATTCAATTTAGTAATAAATGAATAATCAGGTGTTATATTACACAAGATTAAATAATGCCTCCTGTTTCATATACAGAATGTATACATTTGACATTGTTTTAAAATTATTTACTTATTTAATATACCTTTATGTGAGTTAAAATGACCCAATGTTACTGTATGTGGAGAGCAAAAAGATTTGTTTATACAAAAGATTAATTTTATTGCTCTAGACAACCCTTAATTGTCTAGAGCAACAAAATGCAGACTGTTAGGCTGTGTAAGTTTCTTCATTTCTGAAAGATGTCAGTCAACCTGTAGCCCAAATTAGACTGTAGCATGGTTGTAGTGCTATATTACAGTGTACTGCTTAGCATGTAAAGCTATAGCTATAATAATTGTTCATTCTTACAGTGAGTTGAGTGTTTGTTTGTTTTTGGGAGATTATGACGGGTGCTTATTGTGCTGGCTGATTCAACCACCTACTTAGTTTGTAAATTTTGCTGTGTAACTCAGGTTATCCATAATTTTCGTTACTTACAACGTAATGTTTAAGTTTATAAATTAAGAATTTCCCTTCACCATATATTGAGGAAAAAACTGTAACACTAAATTAGAAAGTTCTTCTGCTTTGATAGCAGAGTAGTGCTGTCTGTCAGAGTGGGAAGAAAATTTAAGATTAAAATGTAACAGAAAGGAGGCCAGGCACAATGGCTCATGCCTGTGATCCCAGCGCCTCGGGAGGCCAGAGCAGGAGGATCAGTTGAGCCCAGGAGTTTGAGACCAGCCTGGGCAACATGGCAAGACCCCATCTCTACAAAAAATTTAAAAAATTAACCAGTTGTGCCAGCGCATGCCTGTAGCCCCAGCTACTCAGGAGGATCACTTGAGCCCAAGAGTTTGAGGCTACACTGAGCTCCAGCCTGGATGAGAGTGTGAGATCCTGTCTCAGAATAAAATAATAATAAACAACATAAAGGAATGTACAGATGTTTCATACTCTGCCCCAGAGAAAGTATCAGTCTAAATACATAAAAGTCAAGTCCTGTGCCTCTTGATGAAAAAACTGCCTCTTGATGAAAAAAGATAGAAAATAACTGAGTTTCTGAAGTAGTTTTTTAGTGTATTGTTGATACTTAATTCATTTAAAAATGTACTTGTTGAAAAGACAAAGTACTTCAGAAAGAGTAGTTTCTTAGTTCTACATGTGACAGCCTCATTTTTATCCCTGATACCCATTCTCAAAATTTAAGCCATTGTTTCTGTAAGTCATGTGGAAAAATAGTCTTTAGGTTATATACTACCTTTTTTTTTTCTAGGTAGTAATTACAGTGAAAAATGTGACGTCTTCAGCTGGGGTATTATTCTTTGGGAAGTGATAACGCGTCGGAAACCCTTTGATGAGATTGGTGGCCCAGCTTTCCGAATCATGTGGGCTGTTCATAATGGTTCGTAAAAAGAAATTTTTCTTAAAAGTACTTTTTGTGTTTTCTACTTGGAAGACTACTCCTGTCCCCTTCCCTAAAGAATATCATTTATCTCTAACATTAAAATGTACAATTCTTTGTTAAGAGACTGCTTTGCTATTATCAGACTCTGCCCTGTCCCTGCCCCAGAGTCCAGCAGAGCAGGATTGAGAGTAGTCCTGGTCTACACATGCGGCTGAGGATGTTCACTGGCTCCGCTGATTAGGGAAAGGCCATCAGTACGCAACCTAGACAGTTGGCTCTCTCTTAGGGAGAAGCATCAGGCTGGATCATGGAAAAAATAAAAAAATACATACATAAAATCTCTGACATGGTTAATATAACTGGAGAGTTATAGCCCTTTTCTCCTGAAGAAGCAAGGGCCTCATCAAGGAGAAGAAGCAAAGAATAATAATGCTTCACATATTTTTCCTGTTTATATTCTCACCCACCCTTAGAAGGTGAGTACTGTTGCCTCATTTTACAGATTAGGAAACTGAGGCCTAGAGAGGTTAAATAACTTGCTTAAGGTCACAAGATTAGTAAGTGGTAGAGCTGGGATTCAAATCCAGATGCTTCTGACTTGAATGCTCATATCTTAAGTCATATTGACTTATGGACTCAATGTCCTTGCATCTGTCCTGTTTCTTTTATAGTTCTGGTAATGTTGTTTTTAACCACATATGATGTTAGAATGCATCCTCTTCATTAGTAAAGTTACTTTACATTTGCTTGGGAAAATAGCTTTTCATGAAGGAAAATTACTTACCTTCTTAATTTTAGCGCCACTCTTAGTTATTTCATTTCTATGCCTTGTTTATAATCATGTGACTAATGGCCATTTTTTACATTATTCCACAAGTCTAAAAACAAATGTCTGCCTAATTATTTAGGTCATTCATAGATTTATCAAACAGTACCATCATCTGAGTAATCTTAGCTGTTTTTACCAGTTTCCTATACTGCCTTTAATATTACTACCATTAGTATCATTGTGGAGACTGTTCAGCATTGACCAGGACAGCTTGCTTGCTTGCTTTCTATCAGTTGTCAGTAAATAATTGAACGTCCGTGAAGTAAAGAGTAAAAGAACTAACTTGTTAATTGATAAAATTACAAAGCACTTTTATTACTCCAAATTACAGATCTTAAACTACAAGATCTATAAAATAAATACCACTTTGGAAATACGTACAAAGAGTTTGCATCATTCTTTGGGTAAATACATTCTTCCCCCCTTCCTCTCATTTTCAATTGTAGGTACTCGACCACCACTGATAAAAAATTTACCTAAGCCCATTGAGAGCCTGATGACTCGTTGTTGGTCTAAAGATCCTTCCCAGCGCCCTTCAATGGAGGAAATTGTGAAAATAATGACTCACTTGATGCGGGTATAATCCTTCTTTTGAGGGGCTTTGGATTTAGGGGAATTTAATATGTGCTGAGTTTTAATGGAATTTTAAAAGGGATGTTATTACTATATTCTGCTTTATATATTGCTATGTTTTCTAAGTGAGAATGGGCATTTATTACTCATAGTCAGAAGAGGAAACATTTCGAGAGGGAAAATCTAGTTCTTTATCACTGGAAAGATGGCTAGACTAGGTTTCTAGACTTGCTTTTTTCTTTTTGCTTACATTAGTGGACAAGTATGTTTGTCTCTGGGCCTGTTGCCTCATTTGTAATGTGGGAGAAACTGAAATAGATAGTCTCTAAAGCCATCACAGGACTTGGATATATTAATATTATGACTTCAATACATGATAAACTAAATTTTACATTTTTCTGATACCAATTTTCATCAAGCATTTAGTCATTTATGCAAGGCAATAGGTTGCATTCTCAGACACATTTATTTGAGTGACTTTTACTATTTGGCCTATTTTCAGGTTTTTATATCCCAGTAAAAAGTTAAACTTTCTTCTATTTAGAAGAACCCTTTTAAATGATTATCAAATTTTCCTAGTCTGTGAATCAAGCGCCTTTAGAATTATTTGGAATATTTTACGCCTCTGGTTTTTGGTACATTAACAAAAACTGTGAAGTGGTATCTTGGCTTTAAAAAGTTCAAATATCTATGAAAGTGCCTGAATTTTGAAACAGTTTGTTCAGTAGAAGAATCTTACAATCTCCTTAAATATAGACTAAGTAATTTCCTAAATGGTAAAACGTTGTTTATTCAATCTATTGAAAATTTCTTACGCAAAGCAGCTTGAACTAATCTACTAAAAGTTTACCATCGTATTTGGATACCAGTCATATATAGAAGCCTAGGCCTTAAAGGTGTGTGCATAAGAAAACAACTTAGTCTCTGTAGTCAGATTACTTAAAACTTTAGGATATATAAGTTATTGCAGTTGTAATTTTGCTTCTCTGTTCCTTGTCTAATTTGAGGAGAATACGTTTCCTTTTTTTCTCTAAATTCTAACATTTTTGTCCAGCAGATACTTTGAGTATTATGCCTCCAGTTTGTAGAAAGACATTCATAATCTATCCTCTTAATATTTAAAATGTTCTAACAATTATTCTATGGTATACTAGTCTCAGTCTTCAGACTAACAGTCACTGGAAGTTTACATCACTACTGTAAGAACATGAGTATGTTTTACATAATTATGAGAAATGATACTATTTTATTTCATATGTTTCTCTAGAGAAATATTTGCTGTTTTCTTCAAGACTATCTAGACTCCAATGTAAGCTAGATTCTTAGGTAGGTGCATGGCATTGATCAAAGTTGAAATCCAAGAGTACATTATTGTAATCTTTGTAAAATAAAAAACTTAGGCACCTACAAATTTAGTATATAACTTAGGGAAAATAAAACATTAATCAGGATTTAATTTGTATTAAGGAAATTTTAAGCTGTGGTTTACTTTTTTATATATAGTACTTTCCAGGAGCAGATGAGCCATTACAGTATCCTTGTCAGTATTCAGATGAAGGACAGAGCAACTCTGCCACCAGTACAGGTAAATGGATAGATTGGAAGAGTATTGACTTGATTTTTCTTTCATCTCTATTCCCATGAAATTATAATCAAGAAGTAATGAATAATGTCCCCATTTGCATTTTAATTCCTTCATTTCATATGATTGACTGCAATTTGAGTTTACAGGTGCGTCATTCTTCATGTAGGTACCCTGATTAAAGAGTTATTGAAGACCTGCTTCCAAGTCTTAGAATTCCTACATAATTATGAATAAAAAGATGGCATATTGTATTACAGTGAATGTCATTCTTAACTTGAAAAATCACTTTTACATGCATACTACTAGATCAAGTAGTATTAGAAATTATTGTAAATGTATTTAAACATTTCTTCATCACGAACACCCTAGTTTTTGTTCTCTTCTACAGAGGCTCTGATTTAAGAAGCTATGTTAAAAGTTCCTTAGTTTTCCGAAATGTGAAGTAGTAGTGGGACATGTAATTTGTGGTCATCAAAAAGATAGTAGAAATAATACTGTAACTTAGAAATATTGTACTTCTCAAAATATAGTGGCATTATAAGCATTTCATTATTAATTGAAACTTAAAGATATGTGTGTGTCTATATGCACATGTATTTACCCTGCATTTATTGAAAAATACTTTTACTGATCTATTTCTCCCACCTCAAGAATAGTTTTATTTATTTTAAGATGGTTACTGCTTGGCTAGTTATTCTCAAATTCCAGTTTTACTGAAAATATTTTGAGTTGCTCTGAATTCTAAAATGTACTTCTCTAAAATTCTATCATTTGTGTCTCCCACGTCCTCTAAACTCTCTCTTCATTTCCTTACTGTGACCTTGAATTTTTTGAGCCTCCCACCTTTTCACTGGTCCTCAGTCCTCTTAGGTCCTTTTTTCTTTCTCCCTCCACTTAATTCCAATCAACTATTATAATTCTTTTGGGAATAATTTTCATCTTTCTAGCCTCTCTCTCAAGCTTGCTTGGCTAAACCACAAGCCTAATGAAAGCTGACACTCGGCTTACTCCTTGCCTGTACCAATGCAGCTGAGTGTGGCTGGAGATAGCACAGGTTTACTATCCTCACGTGCATGTTTAGTGCTATTGGACAGTTGTACTGTATTGTAGTTCATCTCTTTCCTCCTATATGTCTTAATTTTATACTGTAGCCTCTCCTCAGACTTCAAACACCTCCTCGCCACTCCTCACTCTCAGCTGATCTTGTTTGCTCTTTCTCTGAGAAAATTGGAGTAATCGGAAGACAGCTTCCACAACATCTGTGCCCATCTACTCTGCTTTCTTCTGTTACTCTGGCTAAACTATCCATACTTCTGGCCAAAGGTGTACCTTTCTGCCTGTGCATTATATCCCATCTGCTCCTCTGAGCAATTCTCCCCTGTCTCTTGCATCATCAGTTTTAGCTTTCTACTGGATCATTCCTAAAACATACGTAGTCTGTATTTGCATTCACTAGCTTCTCTTTTCCCCTTCTTTCTTGAGCTGACTCCATTCAGACGTATTATGCCAGTACTTCAGAATTGTTCTTGTCAAGGTCACTAGTTATCTCTACATCACTACATTTAAGGAATCATTTTCATTTCTCATCTTGACTCTCAGTAGCACTTGACCTAATTCATTACTTTCTCCTTCTTACAGACAGCACTTTCTTCAGTTGGCCTCCGAGATACCATACTAGCCTAGATTCCATCTTACATCTCTGGCCGTCTGTTCTCAGTTTTCTTTGCTGGTTATTCCTCATCTCCCCAACCTAGAAATGTTGGAGTGCCCAGGGCCTGCTCATTTGGCTTCTTCACTTATCTGTCTGCACTCATTTCCTTGGTAACCTCATTCATTATTATGGCCTTATATACCATCTGTTGGCTCATAATGTTTTCCATCTTATACCTGAACTCTATACTCATATATCCAACTATTTCCTTTACATCTACTAGAAACTCAAACTTAATATTTTCCAAACTGAGTTCCTGATACTTCCTTCAAACTCACTCTTCCTTTAGTCTTTCCGCATCTCAATTAATAGCCCTCAGTTCTTCTACTAGCTCAGGTTAAAAACCTTAAGTTATTCTTGACTATTAGAAGACTATTTAGGCATCTTGGTTCCTTTTTTGTGCTATCCTTAAGTTTCTCTTAAAATGGGTTTGTTTGGATATCTTCATTAGCTTGAAAAGTCTTATTTTATTTCTGTTCCTGCCTGGCTAGTTTATAAAAGAATGTAAGTTACATAATACCAAGTGAAGCATTTGTATTATTTCCAGCCATTAGTCATAAATGTTTCTGCTTTTCCTAGGCTCATTCATGGACATTGCTTCTACAAATACGAGTAACAAAAGTGACACTAATATGGAGCAAGTTCCTGCCACAAATGATACTATTAAGCGCTTAGAATCAAAATTGTTGAAAAATCAGGCAAAGCAACAGGTTTGTTATGTTATTACAAGTAAAACTGGTAACCTTACCAGTAGTCACAATATTATACTAACTGAAATTAATTATTTACCATCTTCTATTTTATAAATCCTGAATTTTCTTCCTGAAACATGCAAAAGAGCTTACAAATAGAGACACGTAATGAGATTCTCCTACCATTTATTACCAAATGGTTTTTCCTTCTAATGATTGCTACCTTTGCCAATTCTAAATCCCTATCTATAATAATCCCTAAATGTAATGGTTGATGGTTAAAAATGTAAAATGGGTATATTTTGGCTGCGCTGCCCAGTTAGAGGAGTTGTTCTAAGTCTATCATTTCATGCTGTTCAGATTTATTATATTTTTGCCATTGTTGATTTTTAAAAATATTTCAAGGAGTGAGTTTATTCATTTTGCCTGAGGCATTTAGGTTAACGAATAATTGGGGCTTTTAGCTCCCAGTTCTAGTGACTGCCTTTTCATAAAGACAGTATCTGCAGCTTGCTTTCCCTTACCCCTGTAGCTCCCTCTCGTACAAACTTCCCTCTCCTTTCAGAGCAGAACAGGATCTATCAGAATCCCATTTGCCATCTTCCTCCTTTTAGGTTGCCTAAGATTGCTAAATCTAAAGAACTTCAGTAATTCAGATTGACCTGTAATTTTAACAGAGTGAATCTGGACGTTTAAGCTTGGGAGCCTCCCGTGGGAGCAGTGTGGAGAGCTTGCCCCCAACCTCTGAGGGCAAGAGGATGAGTGCTGACATGTCTGAAATAGAAGCTAGGATCGCCGCAACCACAGGTAAAAAGGAACTACAAGTCTGAAGAGTGAAAATGTATATAAGCCTTTTTGGCCATGGTAGTTTCAGTTGTCAAAGGTTTTTTGTGTGTGTCTTATATTTTTTTTTAAATAGGAAGTAGGTTTACAATATATTTTTCTAAGTTACTAGCAATAGTTTATGCATTTATCTCAAATTCCAAATAAGGAAGGTATGACTTGTAAAATTATTTGGATGAGAAAGTATGCCTTCCTCATTTACAGATTTTATCAAATGTAATTCTTTCTGCTCAAACATGAGTTGAAAGTCTAAGTGAGAAATTGAAATTCTGCCAAAACCAGAATATTTTGGGGATTTTCAGTGATACTACTAGATTTTTGTGCTGAACTCAAATAATAGCAAATATTTTGTTTCAAATTTAACAGAAAAATGTATTCCAGATCCATGTATGATTTGACCTTCTATCTGCTTCTTCATTCCAGTGACAAAATAATAGCTAAGCTGGTTGTGGTTAATTTTTTTAATTGTAAAATAAAATATCATAATTTTATTAGATCTTGAAAAAGCTAGCATTTAAATTCCATTGTTCAGTTCTTAAAATTATTAATCATGGAAGAACTGGTCAGCACAAAAACAATTACATGTTTTGTTACTTAAGTAAACTGACAACCTAATTCTGTGACCAGGTTTCATTTTAGTAATGCTGGTTTAATTTGGACGTTTTTGGTTTTTTGCTGATTCTTTCCAGGGATCAGGGGGAGCTGATTTTAAAAGTAAACACGTTTCTGTTGTGGAAAATGTGGAAATGTAAACAAGCCAAAAAAACTTACATAATTACCCCACTCAGAGATAAACACTTAACATTTTTGTGTATTTACCCCATCTTTTAACTATGTATGTGTATAAATGTATATATTCATGTGTATTTGCATCTTTTTTAACTTAGCTAACCAATTTTTTAGGTCTTTTTTTCACTTATTTGGTTTTTTTCTAAATAGAATATTCTCATTGTGTGTGGAGCTCTTTTCAGAAAGAAGTTGTCAAGATGGACCATCATACTATACTTGTCTTCAACTAATCATGATCATTGATTTTATCAGCTACTATTAGAATCCATTAGATATAACAGAATATCCGAAATAACAGTGTCTATAACACATAAGCATTATTTTTCACATATAAACAAGTCTGGAGGTAGTGGGCTCTGTGATCTTGAAGTAACTGGTCTCCTATTTCTGTGCTGTAATCCCTACTGTATAGCTTCCATTCTCAAAGTTATCCTGTGCTCCAAAATGGCTGTTGAAGTTCCATTTCATCACTTCTACATTCCAGGCAATAGGAAGGAAGACATGGGGGCAGGGCAAATAGACATCCAAGTTCTTTGAAGGAACATTCCCAGATGCCTCTCTTAACAACATCCACACATCATTGGTCAAAGTAACATGGTCGAATGGCTACACGTAGCTCCAAGGGAAGAGGAGATCTGCCCTCTTTTATCTGATGACTTTTCTGTCCTAAATAAAATCAGAGTACTATTGCTAAAACAGAAGGGAAGAGTGGAAACTGGCAGAAGATAGCTGTGTCTGCCACAGATGGGTCTTCAGAAACTATCAAGTTGAGTAGAAGTCACCAGCCACTGACAAGCCCATGAGTCTCCATGAGTCACAAGTATTTCTTTGGAGCAGGGTTGTCTCACTGTAGTGTCAGATGAACCCTACTCACCGGGACATACCCTCATGCTTTGAGGAACCCTTTTCACTTCAGGGATGTTGTTCAGGATAGATCTGCCACATACTAATTGCTGTCTCAAAACTGAAAATTGTTATAATAATGGTTTCATGTCTTCGCTAGTATCATATTTCTAGTCAAGCACTGGTTTTTTATTATTATTTACAGAAATGACTTTGCTAGAAGGATAACCACACACATTAAAATTTTGCCTAAGTGTAGAACAAATGCTATTGTACATCCCTTGAGTTTTACACAATTTAAATTTTTTCATGAATTGTCTTACTTGGAAAGAGTCATACTTTCCAGCCTTTTGACAGACTTTGTGTTTACTGTGAATGTACCCTAAACTTTGGAAAATATAATAAATATTTGGTACTAGAAATATGTATAAGTATGACTACAAAAGCATATACATTTCACACTTTGATTCAATAATTATTATTTAATCATTGGATTTTACTTTATAGCACACTTCAAGAAACACCTAACTTGAACATGTATTCCTGTGTTTGTGTAATTAAAACAAATACGACAACTTACTTTTTAACGCCTTTCTTCCTCTCCTCCTTCGTTCCCCCACCCCCATCACAGATCAGTGATTTCACTTAGGTAGACTGTTTCTATGAATATATTTGAAATTTTGCTTCCTCATTACCCTGCAGCTTTGTCTCTGTTCTTTTTATTTTTTTCTGCTAATTAAAACCAGTGTGTAAAACATCTTGTATTTGGTAGTTGTTTGCTCTTTAATCTCGCCTTTTCTGAGCATGGATGAAAAGTTAGGTAGTTCTGCATGCCATTCTGCATGAAATGTTATTAACATGAACTATTTGAAAATGAGTCTATTTTTGTAGTTAATCATTTTCCGTGTTACTGTTTGTGGTTGTTTGCATGTATACTGTATATATGTGTTTTTGCAGCCTATTCCAAGCCTAAACGGGGCCACCGTAAAACTGCTTCATTTGGCAACATTCTGGATGTCCCTGAGATCGTCATATCAGGTATCATAGACCACCTGAGTTGGTCTAATAGCTGTGGAACCGGAATAATGATCCCTGGTACTTGTAAAATGCTTCTTGCTCCAATTTTTACAAGACATGAAAATGGATACCTTGCATGCAGTAATTAGGGAGACAGATTGAAAAACTACATTTATTCTGAAGCAGTCTTGAAAAGATACCTCTGATCTACAATAAGTGAGGATAAAATAGAAGAGAAAGTAAACCTTTTTGGAGAAGGGAGAACACCAACCCAGAATTCTACCAACTTCCTCTCTACTTTTAAGTGAGCACATGAGCTAAACCCAGACCTTTTTTGCACCCAACAGAAAGAGGAAACAACTAATTAAAATTTGTTATTTTCCTTGGCTCCTTTCCTTCCTCAGTTACTGCTTTTTGGGTCCCCTCTAGACTTTCTGTCCTAACCTCTTTCTGTTGGTAGCAAGTGAATGTGAAGTTGAGAGAAGAGAGTTGCTAAATAGCATTTTGCCTTAACCTGGAAAACAAAAAGTAAAGCTAAATGAGATGTGCTGTTTTGCAGGGTATCTTGCCAAAGAATCATGTAAAATAGTTGGTCAATTCTGATTTTTGTGTATTATCAGGAGAATCTCATAAATTACATGTTTTTATACCTAACTTACACATGGTACTTTAGTGTCTAAAATTGGTAAACTGCTTTATTTCTTATGGTGATCATTTCATAGAGGAATATGTTACCATTTTTAATAGAAACTTAAATGGCATATTGACCTTCAGTATTGATTAATGTATTATCAAAATTATCATTTATTTATCCCTTTAGGCTTTTCTCTACCTCTTTACCCAAAATCTTGATAAGGAAATACATATTTTCCACACACGTTCATGAGTGCGAGTTGGATGAATTCTTCAGCATGCTGTCCTTTGCCTGTGATTGTGTTTTTAGCAGTGTTGATAATTCTAGTTGAATACCTAATGGTTATTTTCTCCTCTACTAAACTGAAAACTATGTAAGGATAGAATCCATATCTTTGTGCATTATTTTGTTGTTGTTGCTTATTATTGATTGTATCAGCAGTTGCTGGCTCAGTGCTTCACATATTAAGCATATTAACATAGTGTTTAATAAATACATTTATTAAATAAATGAACAGACCTATTGAGCATCTCCCCTGGTGAGAAACTAGCATACAAAAATATGAATTATACTATTCTTAGGTGCCATTTTGTCTGTATAAAACTATCTTATATTAATTTTCCCCTGGTTATCAAAGTGGTTTCTTATTTTACAACATCATTACTATTGCTATTCAAAGAGTAGAGTTAACCCATTTTTCACATGGTAATTTTTATTTATTGAATCTGGACTGCTTCAGAAATTAACAAAGAGATCATTTTACATGGAGATCAGTTTACCTCCATGCGGAAAGGTACTGTGTATAAGGGACGTACTTTAAAGAGGTGGAAGCATTTAAACTTACATACCGCTGAACTGTGCTTCCCTTAAATGTTTGAGGGAATCAGGAAAATTTAGACAGATGGCAGTGTAATCTTATGACTAAGCATTAAGAATAAATTTATATATGGCAGCGTAGCCCACGCTATACAAGATAATGGGGGAGGGAAAAATAAGGAAAGAATAATAGTTTATAACTGTCAGGTACTACTGGCATCTAGTGGGCAGAGACCAGGGATGCTGCTAAACATCCTGATGTGTACCAGGCAGTCTTCTCCAACAAAGAATGATCCAGCCCAAAATGGCAGCAGTGCTGAGGCTGAAAACCCCTGATTAGATGTTCTTTGTGCCCTACAAAGTAGCTTAAAGTACATCTTATTTTACCTTTATACAATCTTACAACTAGGTTATCGGATGAAATTATAGCTGTTTAACAGACGAAGAACTTAGATCTGATGATGTTTAGTGGTTTTTCCAGAATCATATAGCCAGGACCCCAACCCAGATCTTCTGACTCCAAGTCACATCCATTTTTTGTTCTTTTGTTTAAGTCAGAGAAGCTAGAGTAATTTCTTCTTGCTTTCTCTTAGTGTTCACATTAAGGAGAGCTCTTCAGCCAGGGAGATCCTCTTTTATGACATTGGGCCTTTATGGAATCAGGTAACCTTAATTCTCTTAATTGCCAGAGCAGCAGTGCTATTCATATGAAAATATTATTCAGTAATACCTTTTATTAAATATTCTTTTTAGGCTTTTCCCCCCTCAGATATCAAACATTAACTTACTCAGGTGCACTTTCTTTAATAGAAGAATACAAGCTGTAGAATTGACACTAGTGGACATAAAAGCCAATCATGAATGTGCTCATAGGTAATGTTTTTAAATTAAATATAAAAATACCGCCCATCCTTTGGGAATATCTCAAATTTCCTACATGACATTTTAATTGTAAAGAAGGGTGATACTTAATTTCCAAAATTTCTTAATACTTTCTAGAAATTGTTTTGTTCTAAGTGGATTTCCCACAAGCTTTATGGTATTAGCAAATACTTCTTGATATATTCAAACTGTTTAATTAGCATTAAAACCCAATTGCAAGGATTCTTTTTAAATATAGCTTTTTAAAGATCTTATTTACATGGATAAGAGTTTCGTTAATACTTCCCTTTGGCCAAGTGCAATGTACTGAGTCTAATGTACTTCTTGGAATGAACTACCTCTCTTAATAAGAGCAATCCTTCAAGCATCACAAAAAAGGTTTTGTATATATATCTTTAAAGTCACTAAAATGTCTAACCTAGTCATAGGTAAAGAAATGCAAAGACCCTAATCTTGTAATCTTGTTTTTTGCTCGCTCTTCAAAATGTGTATACTATGCCATCAGTCAAATGTGGAAGAAAAAGCAACTTAGCAAAACAGCACTATTTATCAATTTAGTAGTCTCTCAGATCATACAGAAATTAACCTTTAATACCTTAGGACTCCCTGTGGGTCAGACTGTACAATTTTTTATACCTCTTCTACCATATTACTGGCTCTGAAGAACTGACAAACTTTTGTACGGTAACCCTTCCTTCTTTCCACTGTCCATCTGCCCTTAAAAGAGTGAGCTTTATAGATTAGCCTGGCTCCTTTTTACCAAGGAAGACACGCAGCTAAGAGCAAATTACCAGTAGAGTGTGTGACATTTTGCTGACTCTTCCTTTGTAGAGAAGGTCCTGCCAAGTAGCAGTGTGCTACCTAAGCAAAGTAAATGTAAATGTGGAAGTTTCTTGCCCAGTATTTAGACCATATGAACTACAGTTTTCTAATGCATTTGCTTGCTGGTAAGTTGGAAGGGACTTCGAGAAAAGAAATAGATTTTCTTAAATGTTTTTTATTAAAACTTGAGTTTTAAAAACCATATCCTTTCTCCTTTCAGCCAGTACATCTAATTTGTTACATTTATATTTGAAGAAAAGGGAATAGGTAGCAGATTATTGGATTCTTTGAAGTTTTTCTAGATTTTTTTTGTTCTAGGACTTTAATAAGGGCAGTAAGAACACAGATCATTGTTTTGCATGGATTTTCTTTACTTTTTCCCATATTTTCTTTTTGTCACTATCTAAGCTTCCAAGAATCTATTTTTCACCCACCTTCATCTCAAGTACACAAATGAAATAGATTATTGGGATTGTGAAACTATGTAAGACATTCTAATGCAGTTCATCTGATGTTAGAAGAATACCTAAATTTTACATTTCTTTTAAAAATCCAAATGTCAAAGAGGAACAGGTAGAATGCCTAAATATTACAAAAAAAGAGGAACAACCTTTTTCAGTTTAACATGTAGAGTAAGAGAATAAGTAGTTAAGAAAGCGAATTATTTTTCATGCTTGTAGCATCAGTAATGGAAGATGGGTTGTTCTGCTCTGGAGCCTTTGTGTGAGTAGTTATAGCATTTAAGGAAATAAACTGTAATTATAATGCATTCTAAAATCTACTGGAAAAAAATACTGTCATATACATATATACTTACCACCTATAAAAGATTTAATTAAACATTAGTCTTCTGCACTTCTACTCTGATATAAAATTTGTTGTACATGGTTCATACCGGCTTGATTGCTTTTATAAAGTGAAATGAGTTTCCCAAATGTGATATGCAAAAGTAAAATTTTCTAAATTACAGACATTTTTAATGCTATTATATCATCATAGATAAATTTATTTCTTAGTTCAGATTAGATTATAATGCTTGATTTCAAGTACTTGAAAACCATCCATTCTATAGATGAACATTGCCTTGAAGTGCTTCAATTTGAGAACCTTGAACAGTGTTGCTTTAGTGTACCTTTTGTTATTTCTAAGCCTAAAATAATATGGCATAACATTCGAGAGCAATAAAATGCCTTGACCAAAGAGGATTTTCTGTCTTACATACTGTTCTTAAGGATATGCAAAAGAAGATTGAATATACAAATGTTTTTGAGTCAGATCTTACTGAAATAGATAAGATTTTTGCCTAGTTTCCTGAAGAACCTGAACTTAATTGATATTTATTGTTTGTTATATCATTCTTAAAGCTAAAAAGAAACCTTAGGTGTCCTTATGATTTCAGCCGCATTTAGATCTCTTAACTGAATAAAAAACGCGTATTCGCTTTTAATTTCAGTCAAGGACGTTTAGCTCTATTGTATATTGGTTTTTTACTAACAGTATGATAAGTAGTAAATTGGAGTAAGTAGAATGTAGAGAGGCCCAAACATTTTAACTGAAAAATAGATGAGTAGTTAGGCTTCTAATACTTGTATCTTGTTGCCCTCCTTCAGAAGTTTCAAATGTCAGGTATTGGCAAATAAATTATCTAGGTGGGGAGGGCTTTATAGAATGCTTAAACAACTGGAAGCAGAGATGCTTTTCAAGGACACCTGAGCACTATTTTGCTTTCTCCACCAGGATGAAAATATCACTTTTTTAATAGTATATTTGGTTCAAGAGCCGGTCGGTAACTAATGTTTGTAAACCTTTCTTTAACTGGAAGCATGTAAGTTATTAAATATTTCCTCCAGACTACTGCAGCACCAATATGAAGAGGCAAAGAGAGAAAGAATTGAGTTTTTCTAGATCTGGCAAGTTCTCACCTAGCACAGATAGTGTCATTAGCAGATGTAAGCCTTTGATAGGGATCCTAGGGCTAAGGGGTGCTATACTAAGATGTACTGTACTAGTTTCTGTGTATAGCCACCTCACTTTCAATAAAATTCTCTATTTGTGGCATATTAAATAGGGAAGTTAATCTAACTTTATAATGAATATTTAGGTGGCCTTTCTGCCATATTGTATAGTCTACCAAGATCACTTTTTGTAATCTAAAAAATTCAACTCTAAGCTAATAAAGCTGGTTTATTGGAAAGCAAATAAACCACCTGACGGACCTTTCCAGTGAAAGAGCCAGAATTTGTTAAAATTAGTAAAGAAATACGAAACTTTGGCAGCCTAAATTAGAACATATATTTTAAAATTACATGTTCAGTTTACCATGAAGCAGTAATGTAATGCTAGTGTATCATGCTATGCATTTTTTTAAATCTTGGGTATTTTACACATGAAGAGAATGGTGTCCCATAATGTGTAATATTCAAAACTCGTGAATCTCAAAATTTCTAACATTTAGGTTAAGAGAAGTCTCCAGGAAAATGTAGTGTTGATTCTTACATGAAGACAGTCTTCAGGAAGTTTTAAAGTAGAAAATAAGAGTAGTGTAAGTCAAGGAAAACTATGAGCTTAACTGATAAGAAAAATTACAGGAGTGGCTGTCTGGGACCTAAGCCAGCAGTCTCTGGAAGAAACCCGGGATAACTTTTAAATACCAGCTCAGGAAATCAGTTGTACTTAAAAGAGCAGCTTTTTTGAAGAGGGGCTCTGTTTTAATGACATTACTGTAAAAAGAATGGAACTGACCCCTAAGTTGCTTTCTATTTGCGGTGGGCAGGAGTGCAGATTTAGTATGCACTGGCAATGTGATGTATTCTTAGAAGTCATTCTAAAAAGTGGAATTTGTTCTCTATTATAAGACATGAACGTTCCAGAATTCATTACAGAATGAAATACTCAGGATAGCATATGCAGGTTTCAGATTCCTTGATCAGGCATCTGTTTACATCATGCTGTCCTCATTTCTACTACTTTTTCCATTTACACTACCATGTATAATATAGGTATGTACATATCAAAGGACCAAAAAAGGTAAAATGAGTGAATGTCTAAATTAGTATTCAGTTGCAAAAAACTTCAGAATCAATTCAAATTTACTGAGAACACACCCAGTAATTTTCATTTGAAGTAATAGGAGGTTGATTTTTCTTACATTCATATTTCTAAATTATGACTTAAAATTTAATATTGGAGCAACAAGTATTTGTTGATTGCAATCCTGTTTTGCTTTGTCTGAACTATCTGCCAGATGGTTTCTGCCATGGTTGTGCTAATTAAAATGCATTGCCTAATACTGCTTGCTTTGATTCATGCAGTAGCTTAAAGATTTCTCATTTTATGGCATTTGTTAACTGTCAGCTCTTCTTTACCTTACTTCCTTAAAAGGTTTTACTTCCCTTTTCTCCTATCCTTCCACCTAAATTTAAGTTCAGTTTTTGTTGTTATTGCAATGGTGATGTAATGGTTTATAGACACATGTGTCGGGTGGTTCCTCAGATTAACAAATGTTGCTGTGTTGCTAATCTGAAAAGAGAATTCCAGACACTTTTACAAGCCTGTCTCATCACCGCTAATTTTAGAATGAATGTGTTGAATGAAATGTGCCTAAAATTGCTTATTAGTCACGGTTGTGGGGATCCTTTTTGTCCTTGGGAAACAGGGGTAGTTGAAAGTATTCAGAAAAGTAATCTAGTGGATCTAATTCAATAAATGCACAGTTTTGTTGTTTTAGTTTGTAATGAAAAGTTGAAATTTTTGGAATAAAATGAAATTTGAAGTAAATGTGAATTCAGATAATGCAAAGAATTATAAAACGTAGCTTAAAATGGAAAAAAACTGATGATGTCTTACATTTGCAAGAGGAGTTACAAATTTGAGTTTTTATATTCACTACACATATTATTCTATTAAACATTCTTATTCCATTGTAAGGTCCTTTTAGTTTATCTGCAGCATAATAATGGGGTCATGTGGGTTAAGGTGCTAAATTATATTGCTGATTGGTTTTAAAAGGATGTCTCTACGAAAGATTCTGGAAGTCTAAAATTTTAAGAATGAATTCTGTCTACTAATCGGGAAACTACAATTAGAGTGAGTACATGTTCTAAGTGTTGCCCACTAGTTGAGAAATTACGTAATACAGATTTCAGAGTCAAAAGAATTTTGAGTATTGTATCAGCTGTTACTCAGTATTTTGGTGTTTCCTTTTAGACAGCTGATCTCTCACGTTAGAAGATACTGCATAAACAGCTTTATTCCCAAATAAAAGTGCTGAGTGAAGCCATTGCTCAATTCATTGTTTTGCTGAGGACTTATATGTGTAGAATTCTCTCATAAATTGATTTTTAATTAAATTAATTATAAACATAGAAGTTTCTAAAGCAGAATTAACACAATAGCCCATTTCAACAAGCTGTATATTTGAGAACAGAGTGACAGTTATTAACATCCAGTAGGAAATTAAGAGTTGTTGTTCACAAATAATAAATTACTAGATTCTGACAAAGACTAATGGGGATTAAGTAAGCGTGACTCAATATAACAAATTTAAGCCTAAGCATCTTCTAGGCCCTGAAATGAACAAGGTATTGCTGCCAGTTAAAGTCAGTTGTGTCTTACAACCTGCTAGCTGTCTTGCTGTAAAAACTGTAACGTAAGGCCCTTGAAATAGATGCCGTCATCAGCCCCAGCCCCCAAGCATTCATCTATTTAAACACATGACAGAAGATGGTGGAAGAGAGTTCAGCAGCTATTCATGTGGTAGAAGTGGTTATTGTATTAGGACATACTCTGTTGTAGGCCAGCAACTTTTGAGTTAAAACACCGCAGCTGTTTCTCTTCCTTTCTTTACATCTTTCTCTTCTTTTTTTTTTTTCTTAGCAATAAACTCACTTTTTTTTCCCCACAAACATTTTGTGTAGATCCAAGGAGCAACAAATTCCAACTTTCTGCTGTAGCAATTACACGCTTTTTGTCTGTTTGACTAGATTTTAGTATTTTACTTTTTTTCTTCTTTTTAAAGGCAACGGACAGCCAAGACGTAGATCCATCCAAGACTTGACTGTAACTGGAACAGAACCTGGTCAGGTAAGACAACATTCAAATTTTCTATCTTTGAAGAATACTAGGCAGAAAACAAGAATTAACTGTATTCTACTCTGCAAAATTAGTTTTATGAGTTGACCTAAAGTTGTGATAGAGAAATTCATTGCACCTGAACTTAAATACTTAGGGGGGAAAAAAACATAGGTGCCATTGTTAATTTAACTTGAAAGATAATTTATTAAAGTAGGTTTATTAAACTCCATGGAAAAGTAAATTGTTCATTAGCGCTGTATATATGTTATATGGTTTTATGTATGTTTTAATAAGTATTCAATTTTATAATTTAACAATTTATCATTAAAGTGTCCTTTAAAGTGAATCATTAATATGTCTCCTTTTTACTAATAAGGGTAGTAAACATTTCCCCAATAAGTTGCTACTCCTCTAGCGCCACGTAGGGCATTACATGGAGAACTCTAACGTCTTTTAACTTGGCATATCCACTGGATTAATATTTTTTTCAAATATCCTTAAGATAACATTTACTAAGCAAATGTGTAAACTCTCGAAAGGCTTCTATTCCAGTGGTTAAGATTTCATTGTTTATATTTCTGGATCCTCCTCTAAACTCTCCTTGTCTCTTTATCACTGCTGCTTTGCAGATGATGCAGACAGTGTTATAATTTAAGCCATTACTGATTAGTGCAGAGTTTTAACCCACCAGGTATATAAAAGTAGCTCAGTCATTGTTTTTTCTGTGTTACTCAGATTAATACACTTGACATATATAATTTATTATATACTATATTCTGTAAAATGAATGAAGATTAATTATAAGGTGTTTGTTTTCAGCTGTACAAGAATAAGTTTTATGAGAGCAGCATAAAAGTAATGAAATTAAGTAATGAAATTGTTACATATTAAGAAGTATTAAGTATTAAATTATTAAGTATTAAGTAATGAAATTATTACATCGTGACCCATATTTTTGTAAAATTTTAGCGTTTATATATTATAAACAATCTGTTGTAATTTATGATAATATGTATTAGTACTTGTCATCCTAAAAAGGTATTTTATTATTATATCATTTGTATAATATACTTAAAATTTGGGAGATCCTTTGTAGTCATTAATAAAAAAGTCTTTTATACCCATCAACCAACTTACCAAAAACCACTTCAAATATTTAAGTGGTGAATATCCTTGATCTTCATTTATATCTGGAAATATGTTTATTTCACAAAATGCTTATAAACACATATATAAATAAAATCTATATAGACACATTAATTTATTATGTTTTGTGATACTAGTGACTCTAAATCTTGATTTCATTATTTAGTGATAGTTTTTTTCAGTGCATCTGTTTTTGTAAGACCCCAGAACTTTTGGCTGAAGTTTCCCGTTTTCTCCCCCTCAGATACTTAAAAGTTTTAATCAGCCCATTTAGTAACAGATAGTTTGACATCTGCTATTTGCTTTGATTCTTTGGAGGTTTGATGAGCTCAGCCTTTTAAACTCTGTTTACTATTGCCACTGATATTCCAGTTATGAGAACTTCTAGCCAACTGTTTGACTAGGAATGAGAAGCTTGTCCTAAGACATGTCAGGAGCAGCTACTAGTTTGAAAGCTTTTCTGTAGACTCTAGAATAAAAGTGTTGCCATAATTCAGGACTGATCTTCCCACACCAAGTCTTACTTATTTCTTCACAAGTTCCACATTATTTGAGATTTTCGTTGTTACCCTTTTAATTCACAATACCTTCAGGTAGTAAAACGCTGGAACTGAGGCCAACTATGGGTGTGGGACAGTCATTTGTGGAATTGTCATAGACCACTCTGAAAGATTTGGGGTGAGGGAGAGTTTGATATGGGTGAGGGAGAGTTTGATATGGCAGTAAAACCTGTTCTGAAACAGGTGATGTATGACCATTGTGTAGCCACATTTTAAAACTGATCCACTCTTTCAAAATTATTTGTGTTATAGCCTTAAAATGCCTAATGTTCAGCTTGGCATGAGAGTGGCAAATACTAATCCTAATGTACTATGAAAACATTTCTCCCAAAAAATGTATGATAAGTGACCATTAAATCTTTTAAATTACTCACAAAGATGATATTCATTTGAGGAAGAAAAGTATTCACAATATGTGTTTTCAAAATTGGAAGGTGCCATCCTTTTTGAAGTCTGGCTAAGCGTGATTCCATCTTGCAGAGGAAAGTAAACTTATTGTACTGTGGCTCTTGACTCAAAACATAATCTTAGTAAAACCACTTAGAATTTCCATCTGTAAACTAAAATTAAATTGGTTGTTTTTCTGCTGCCATCCATTTGAGAGGAACAGTAAATGAAGCAAGCTTCTTAATTAAAAGTAATGATATAAGTATAGGTGTAAAAGATTGCATTCTTACAACATACAACTCACTTTCAAACATGGTTTTTTCATTAATTCAGGAAGCTTTTTAAACACTCAATAGATGTGACTTCCTAGAAGCTTTGAAAAGATACTGAGAAAGAAAAAAGCAGTCCCTGACATCCAGGAACTGGTTTGACACTGTGGCCTCACTGTTGTTAGTAGCTAGCCTTATTCTCAACGGCTGGCTGTCACAGCTAGAGCATGTTACTGTCTTATTGGACATAATCTCTCAGAACACCAATATCAGACAAGATAATGCTGAGACCGTGATAAAAGGAGACAAAACAAGACTACTTCGGAATGTTTTCTAAGCACAGACAAAAACAAGGTCACTGTGCCACCCACAAAATACCTAACATTGTCCTCTCCCAGCTATTAAGAGTGACTGCTGCTTCTTTACCAATTACAGCTTGGTCCTCACTCTGGACTGCCCTCCCTGTGGAATTGCCCTTGCTTTCTGACAGCGGCCAATCTGGAACGAACCCCTCCTTCCTTTGAGTTTCCCCAAAATCACTCAACCAAAGCCTAAATCCTATAATACTTTCTTTTTCTAAAACCCTCTTACTGAGACACCCCATGCTGCCCCATGGTAAGCATTCTCCTTCACTGCAATAAATATTAAACCCAACTCTTTCCACTATTGGTGTGTTCCTGGCAGTCTTTGGCTAGAGGGCTTTGACAATACCAATAAAGCCTATTCCGCAAGGACCTCATTTGGAGAGATCAGACTTATGCCCAAATCAATTAGAAAACTAAAGTAATAACAGCTTCCATTTGTTGTGCACTGACTTTGTGCCAGATAGGCTCTTAGTATACATTATCAGAATGTTAATCCTGTTATCAGGATCTTAGTCCTGTGAAGTTGGTACTTTTTCACCTAATTTGCAGCCAGGTAAAGTGAGGATGAGAGAAACTGACCTAAGTCTCTTACTTCCTTATACTGCCAGTAATTCCTATAACCAGGTTTTGAATCCAGACCTGATTGCAAAGCACACAAACTCTATACTTTAATCATTCTAACTTGCATGTGAAACTAGATGTGATGCATGCTGTTATAGCCCTAGATCTCTTACATTTAGGTATTTTGGCTTCTAATAGTCTGCATTGTCATTAATTATTTAAACAGTTGTTAAGTGATGATGAATTGTAGCTGTATCATATCATTGAACAAGGTTAACCTATCTTGATAATAAATTTCTACCAATGACTGCACAAATTTATGTTTTATACACCTGGGTGAGCCATTCTGTGTTTCACTAAAACAATATACATTCTTATAAATGCCTGAATACCCCTTCTGGAATTGTATTCAGTATAGATCTATATTCAAGAATTCTCTTAGAGGAGGCTGCAGTCAGTGAAAATTACGACTGCAAGATGATACAGTTATGATTATTTAGAGAAGTGGGCATATTACATTTCCATATGGACTTTATAATCTACTTTTACTAGTCAAATATGTGACTTTGGGCAAGTTCCTTAATTTCCCTGAGCTTCTGCACCCTTATCTGCAAATAGGGACCATAACACCCACCTCCCAGAGTTCTTAACAGATGTGAAAGTGCCAGGGCACACAGTAGATACTAATCCATGTTGTATGCCAGCCTCTCCACAGTGTGCCTCACCGGGCTCTTGATATCACTTCCTTGCTCTCATGATAGTGAGAAATAAAAAGAAAATAGCACTTGGAAAGAAGTAAAATCCACCAGCGTTCTTTCTGTATCATAAGGAAACCTTGTGTCAAGGATCATGGAAAGTATTTGCTTTAAAGGTCTCTTATCGCATATTGAGTGATATTAATATACATTGTTATTATTTATTTAAGGGATGTGATTTATTATACTACTTTTTTCCATCTTCATTCTGCACCTCCTTTTGTGTAAACAAATGTTCTGGTAAACTCTAAATCAGAAACTTATGTAATAGTTTTGAATAATTCCTTCTTCATAGTATACCTTTCTATTGGAGAATAGACACGTTTCTTCTTTTTTTTTTTTTTTTCCGAGACACAGTCCCCGCTGTCAGCCAGGCTGGAGTGCAGTAGTGTGATCTCCGCTCATTGCAACCTCTGCCTCCTGAGTTCAAGTGATTCTTCCACCTCAGCCTCCCGAGTAGCTGGGATTACAGGCATGTGCCACCACACCTGGCTAATTTTTGTTTTATTTTTAGTGGAGGCAGGGTTTCACCCTGTTGCCCAGGCTGGTCTCGAACTTCTGGCCTCAAGCGATCTGCCCGCCTCAGCCTCCCAAAGTGCTAGGATTACAGTCGTGAGCCACTATGCCTGGCCTCTGTTGGAGAACAGACACCTTTCTATTGTAGAAGACCATGTAAGAATAATAAAATTCTGAAATTTCCTTATGAAAAACTGTAGTGAAGCCAAAATAGATCAAGCCTACAGACCTTTAGATTAGAAAGAATATTTTCAGTACAACCTTCATGTATAGATTTAATTATCTGTAACTACCATAATAAGTACCCATGTAAATCCACATTACCAACTTATACCCATTTTAAAAATATTTATATTATTGAGATGTTACTTTAGCAAGAATATCATAGAAGTCATCATTTAATCTCTGTGTTTTGTGCTTGTATAATTTTAGCTACTAAGATTTCTGAGGGTATTAAATAGCTTTTAAATGTCAGTCTAAATAATAACACTGGGTGTAAATTCCTGACTTATGAAAATATTTTCCCAGTCTTTCAGGTAAGATATTAAAAGCTGAGCTTTATTTTTGTCTGTAAAATAACTTCCAATTCCTTTTTATAAATATAGGGATAAATTTCTGGTCAAAGGCCAATTCTGGTTCATGTCTACTGATGGTAATCTGCCCCTGAGGTTTAAATTTGGCTTAGTATTCTTTTGCTGCCTTAAATTGCTGTGTCACGTTTCTATACTCTTGTGACTTTCATATCCAGTTCTTTTGGTAAGTCAAGTTTGCCTATATCTCTTAAACTTTGCAATTAATGTGGGGATAGAATAAGTAATTTTAAATGTCTTAGAGGAAGGAGCAACTTAAATGAGTTTTAATAGTTTGAGAGCATTTGTGACCCTCAGAATTTTACCAGTGATTTTAAAAAATAAGTACTGTAAAAACTTCTTCAGTAGTTGGTTACAAGCAGTAACATAAATTCAGCCACAAACTAGTTTGAGTTTTTTCATTGATTGTCAGATGTTATGTGTTCCTCTTATTTATGCCTTGTATTATTCACATACTCAAAAACTACAGTTATGCCTTGTTTTTAAATATTTCCTTAGTTTTTTTATACAAACATATTAGCATATTTTTATTTATTGAGATACACATTTCTTAAAATATAAAGATTTATTTATTAGTTAATGGATTTAAATCTAACTGTGCTGGTCTAAAAACAGTTTTGAAACTTGCATTAAAAGTGCAAGCCTTATATTTCTTAGTTTCATAGCTGTTGGAAATTACAAGTGGGACAAACAAGCATGCACAGAAGGTGCTAAGAGTTTCTTGGAAAGTAGAAGGTGAAAAGAAAGGTGTAGCAAAGAATCATTTTGCAAAAGATTTAAGCTTAAGGAGTACTATAAAATTCCTATTAGGTCCAACTTATTTGTTTTAATATTGCAGATGTTCAGTGACCTCTTTTTTAAATATACTAAATCCATTCTCATTTTAAAAACCTAATTATTACTTCTACTGTATTTTGTTGATTTCTCACAACTGATACTGATTCTTACATGTCACAAACATGTGTTTCTCTTTTTAAAATGTGCATTAGCATTACACTGACTCTGAAACCCTGGTCTGCCACCACTTTGAAGGAAAAATGCCTTTGATTTATAATAGCAGTTATAACTATGGGCATATTTGTGTACTTGCTTTCAGTCAAAGAAAGTTAAAAAGACTCAGGAATAATTTCATAATGTCTATACTTGCTTTGTCAAGGGTAAAAGTATCCTAAAAGTAAGAGTGAAACATTTCATCACTGGTTTTCTTTGGTGTATGTCGTTGTTATTCTTATATACTAAAGGTAAATAAGCTTAAGCACCAATCTTGTATCTGAGTGCTAATAGCTTGTGTTCTCATTTTATTCAATGAGTATCTATTATGTGTTTATTATATATTCAGCAATTTCCCAGATCCTGGGAAGTACAATATAAAAAGTACGCATGGTCTCTGCCCTTAAGAGGTTATAATACTTTTGAAGAGGAGTAAAACTTTGAGACTACTATAATTTCGGGCACAAGTTGAAGTAGGAACTGACTATACAGCCAAAATTCAAAGAAGAAAAAAATCTCGTGTGAAGACATTTCATGTACATCATTTCATTTAATTTTTATAACCTTATAGATAGATAATACTGTCCTTATTTTCCTATTGAGTCTTAGAGGTTAAATAAGTTACCCAAAGCTGTACTAGTTAGAAATGGCAGAGCACAGTCAAACTCTGGGCTGTCTTGTCTCCAACACCCAACTTCTTACTGCTACTACTTTTTCTCATTCACACTTCATCAATGAGAAACCTAAGTCTCAGAGAGGCTAAGTTACTTACACAGGTTCACACAGCTGTAAGTGGCAGAATGGAGACATAACCCCAGGTCTCCAAAGTATTAGACTGAAACATGTGAAGTTGCTGAGTTTTCAACTACAAAAACACCAGTTTTATCTGGTTCAGTTTTATGCATGCCCTGTGCACTACGCCGTATTATCTTTAGGTGAATATGAGGTCAGGATTAAAAACTGCAAGGGAAACAGGGGCATGAGGAATTTTAAGAGGAGAGAAAATCCAGATGGGCAAGGTAAACCTGCTGATGGAGAGTCATGAATGCCAGAGTGAGAATTTCAGAATTGATTCAGTAACAATCAGTAAACGAACATTTTGCCTGCAGTACACTGTTAGGCACTCCATGTCCTCAAACACAAGGTCTGGCCTTGTACACAAACAACCAGAGAAGTGGCAAGAATCACCACATAATGTAGAAGAAAACCTGAGCTGGGCCTTACAGGGTGGGGAAGGATTAACAAGGAGAAGAAAAGAACAGAATGAGCAATCTTATATGGAGTTAAAAATTGGTTATGGTGTAGAAAAGCTTTTTGGAATTTCTGA
Source organism: Homo sapiens (assembly GCF_000001405.40). Classification (NCBI taxonomy): domain Eukaryota; kingdom Metazoa; phylum Chordata; class Mammalia; order Primates; family Hominidae; genus Homo; species Homo sapiens. Next base: position 90,528,879 of record NC_000006.12, on the reverse strand, counting down.
AGCAATTTCAGTGGGTACCCAAAATGAAAGTCATATTTCATCAGTTTTTCTTCAAAGTTAATTTATGATTTTTTTCTCTGAAATTGTTAGGAAAGTACCTTTCACTAAAAGTATAATTAGATTGTTTGTAACACAAAGGATAAATGCTTGAGGGAATGGGTACCCCATTTTTCATGATGTGATTATTATGCATTGCATGCCTGTGTCAAAACATCTCATGTGCCCCATAAATATGTACCTACTATGTACACACAAAAATTAAAAATTATTTTTAAAAAAACAGAAATGAGAGGAAAACAAAGTACCTGTCACTGTTTATTATCCTGAATCCATTGTGGCTTTTCAAGACCTAAAATCATATAATTTTAGCACTATATGGAACACTTCTCATCACATTCTTAACCCAGCCCCAACCCCTCTCCAGATAAAGAGAGGTTGAAGTGATCTGAAGCAGACATTACAGCATAATTAGAACTCACATACGATGGATTCTACTCAAAGGTACTTTTGTATTGCATTTCATTTTACTTGTTGCAGTCTTGAATTTGAGTGTTTGTATATATGTTGAAGCTAGATATAAGATTCTTCATGAATTTATTTTAAGTTTTATTTTCTATAACTCCATGTTCTTTTTTAAGTCTCTTCTTTGGTACTCAGTAACACATCAAGAAAAAAAAGGTGCTTTTTAAAAAGTCCTTATGAGGCCGGGCGCGGTGGCTCACGCCTGTAATCCCAGCACTTTGGGAGGCCGAGGCGGGCGGATCACGAGGTCAGGAGATCGAGACCATTCTGGCTAACACGGTGAAACCCCGTCTCTACTAAAAATACAAAAAATTAGCCGGGCGTGGTAGCGGGCGCCTGTAGTCCCAGCTACTCGGGAGGCTGAGGCAGGAGAATGGCGTGAACCCGGGAGGCGGAGCTTGCAGTGAGCCGAGATCGCGCCACTGCACTCCAGCCTGGGCGACAGAGCGAGACTCCGTCTCAAAAAAAAAAAAAAAAAAAAAAAAAAAAAAGTCCTTATGAAACCCATTTTAGTTTCTGTGTCCTTTGAAAGGCTTTAATATATGAAATATAAATATGTAGACAAGAATGTATATAATGTATAAGTTATGAAAATAAAATGAGCACTTGTGAACCCACCACCCAGCTTAAGGAATGGAACATTAGCAATCCCAGTGGGGGTTGGTCCCTGTGTGTTCCTCGCCTGTGGCCTTCCCTGTCATTTCCCCACCAACCCTCAGTGCCATGTTCTGTCATATGTCATGTTTCCAGATATCATAAATACCTTTTATCTGATTAAGAAGTCCTCTTCCCACTGGGCACAGGGGCTCACACCTATAATCCCAGCACGTTAGGAGGCTGAGGCAGGAGGATCGCTTGAGCCCAGGAGTTCAAGACCAGCCTGCACAACACGGGCGAGACCCCGTCTCTACACAAATTTTTTTTAAAATTAGCCATGCATGGTGCCGTGAGCATGTGGTTCCAGCTACTGAGGAGGCTGAGGTGGGAGGATTACTTGAGCCCAGGAGGTCAAAGCTGCAGTGAGCTGTGTTGGTGCCATTGCACACCAGCCTGGGCAAGAGAACAAGACCCTGTCTCAAAAAAAAAAGAAAGAAAGAAAAAGAAATTCTCTTCTCATACATGGAATTTAAGTTTGTTAAATGTCTTTTTTATAAGTAGATGTTAAATGTTGTCAAATGCTTTTTCTGCATCTGTTGAGGTTTTGTCCTTTAATCTGTTGATGTGATTAATTTTATTAATGGAATTTCCTAATGTCAGATGAGTGACCTTTGCAGTCATTTGCAAAGTTGGATAAACTAAACTTTTTAAATGGTTTTTATTGCTTCTACACTGCCACATTATATTTGCTAATATAATTTTTAGAAATTTTGACTTTTGTGTCTTTTTATTTTTATTTTATTTTTTTGGAAGTGAGGTTCAGTTGTAACTTTCTTTCTCACACTGTCCTTACATATTGATTTTTACTGCCTTCACAGAATGGGTCAGAAAGTTTCTTCTTTCTTTGTTTAGGATAATTTAAGATTGGAAAAATCCTTATCTTGAATGTTTGATAGAACTTACCTGTAAAACCCTCCTCTGTGCTTGGTATTTTCTATAATGTATAGGAATTTTTGAAACTTTTTTTTAAAGAATGTGTTCATTTTTATAGTATTGTCTCCGATTTCAAAATACTATCTTTTACTATTTTTCATTTTGGGAGGCAAATTCTTTTTTTTAACTAAGTTAGATCTCTAGCTTATAAATTGTCAGTGTTTCTGGTTTTTTCATATATATATTTAGAATTAAATATTTTCCTTTAAATGCTCTTATAGTCACATCCCCAAGTATTAGCATGATTCACGTTAAAAGTCAGTTCAAGTACTTTCTAATGTCCCTTTTGTTTTCTTCTTTGACCAATGAGTTATTTAGAAGTGTTTTTCAAAACAAAAGATTTTTAAAGGTTTTGAAATCAGTATAAAAAGTAATTAAGTTATGATACTGAAATTTTTTTTAACTTTGAGATTTGCTTTATAGCTTAGTACATAATCAGTTTTCATTAGTGTCCCATGAATGCTTAAAAAGAATGTGTATTCTTCATTTGCTAGGCGTAAAGTCACTTATGTTTAGATTAAGCTTGTTTTTTATGGAGTTCAAGTTTTACTGTGTGTGTTTTGTTTTGTTTTTTTGGTCTCCTTTTATATAATTTACAGAAGAATATTAAAATATATTACTGTGGGGCTGGGCACAGTTGCTCACACCTGTAATCCCAGCACTTTGGGAGGCCAAGGTGGGAGGATTTCTTGAAGCCATTAGGTCAGCCTGGGCAACATAACAAGATCCCATCTCTACAAAAAGTTTAAAAATTAGCCAAGTGCAATATCATGTAACTGTAGTCCCAGCTACTCAGGAGGCTACTCAAGGAGGATCACTTGAGCCCAGGAGTTTGACGATACCTCCTTGAGCTTTTTTACTTTATGTGTTTATATGTACAGCATATAAATTTTGAATTGTTGGCCAGGCACAGTGGCTTATACCTGCAATCCCAGTGCTTTGGGAAACTGTGGAGGGAGGATCACTTGAGGCCAAGAGGTAGAGACCAGCCTGGGAACGTAGCAAGACCCTGGCTCTACAAAATATTTTAAAATTAACTGGGCATAGTTGTGTGTGCCTGTAGTCCCAGTTACTCGGGAGGCTGAGATGGAAGGATCGCTTGAGCCCAGGAGTTTGAGGGTACAGTGAGCCATGATGGTACCACTGCACTCCAGCCTGGGCAACAGAGCAAGACCCTGTCTTTAAAAACAAATCTCACTGTGATGGTGGATATGTCCTTTTTCCTTGCAGTTTTTTGATTTATCTATTTGTATGTACAGCATATAAATTTTGAATCGTTGGCCAGGCACAGTGGCTCATGCCTGTAATCCCAGCACTTAGGGAGACTGAGGCAAGAGGGTCACTTGGGGCCAGGAGATTGAGAGAAGCCTGGTCAACATAGTAAGACCCATTTCTACAAAAAAAAATTAGTTTTTAAAAAATAAATTTTGAATTGTTGTATTCTGAATTGAACCACTTATCATATTATCTCTTTCTCTAGTAATTTTTTGGACCCTAAAATACATTCTCTCTGATATTAATATAGGTACCTTATTTGGGGTAGTTTTTGCCTGGTTTTCTTTTTTTATCCTTTAACTTTCTGTTTTCTCTGTCTCTGTAAATTAGATATGTCTCTTATAAATAGCATTTAATTCATCCTGACAATCTGATTTTTTTTTAAATATCTTAACTGGAGAGTAATTCATTTACATTTATTGTGGTTACTGATAAGTTTGCTCTCTTATGTTTTATTTCTCTTTCTTTTCTTTCAAGTTTTGAGTTGAATAAATTTATTCTTCATTTTATTATTTTCTTTCTGGTTTGGGAGTTATATATTAATTACTACTTTTAGTAAATACCTTTGAAATTTTAACATTCATGCCCAACCTAGTAAAGATCTGTACCCTCATCCTGAACAATATTTAAAACAAGGAGTTTTAAGTCAGTGCTTTTCATGCTTGTGCTATTGTTATTATAATTTTAGTGCCATCTTGTTTGTTTGATAATTCTATAAATTCACTGTTTCTGTCACTGAATGTTTTCAGTGTGTAGATTTATTTCCCTGTTTATCACTATTCCTTATTGCATCTTGATCCTTCTATCAAGTAAAATTTTTCTTCTTCCAAAAATACATGCTTGAAAAACTTATGTGGTAAGAATGTATGGAAGGTAAACTCAGTTTTTGCCCATCTAAGAATGTTATTTTGGCCTCTATCTTCAAATTTTGTTGGCTAGACAATTCTAGACTGGCAGTTATTTTTCAGCACTTTGAAGATATTGTTCTGCTTTCTTCTGGCTGCTTTTTCTGTCTCCTGTTGATTGTTTCCTAGAATTTGAATGTATACGTTCCATGTTGAACTCAATTTGTGAGCTTCCTCCTATTTCTTATGCTGGGGATTTGTTGTGGTTGGAATTTGTTGTAACCTGCATCCAATCTGGAAATTTTTTGTGGATTCACAGTTAATACATTTCTCCCTTCCACCCAGAGCCACTAACCCAAGAGAGACAAATTTGTTTCCTGTCTGCTTTTGTAGGTCAGATTTTTTTTTTCCTAGTTGAGTGACCTTTTCTCTGAGAGTGAAGCCTTTGCTGAGTTTTAGCTTTAAGCAGAGGTTTCTCCAGTCTTACTTCCATCCTACAAAGGCCCAAGGCTTTATGGTCCATTCCTCTGAGTGCAGCAGCCTGTGAAAACAGTAGCTCTAGGCCATTGGTGTTTAGTTGAAATTCCGAGGGCTGTCAGCTTAAGCACTTACTAGTTTCCTGATATTGTTTTGTTTCTAATCTCAGAGTATTTCTTAGTTTCTTGCAAGCTCATCAGTTTTTAATAGGTATCATGCGTGAGTGAATATAAATTTTTACATATATATAAGAGAGGATTTATTTTGTTGTTTACAAGAGTTTTGGGGGGATCTCTAAGTCTCTTCTTGCCTTTTAATGGAAACGTTCTCGTCATTTTTTTTAATCAAAAAATCACATTTTGTTTCTCCTGTGACTTCTTCCTGTAGGTGAGCAGTAGGTCATCCAGTCCCAGTGTCAGAATGATTACTACCTCAGGACCAACCTCAGAAAAGCCAACTCGAAGTCATCCATGGACCCCTGATGATTCCACAGGTGACCAGTCTGTTTCTTCATACTTATGAAGTTGAATCAGTCATGTTTATATTCATTTGGCCATGTCATTACTCTAATGTTTACAAAGGCAGGCATTATACTGTTGTTTAGATTTTTATATTAAATAAACTATTTAGTAATACATGTTAAAATACCATTTTGAATACAGAGACAGAGACTGCCTTGCCTTCTGTATTTTTTTTAATCCAGATACTAAACATGTATTTTAAAGATTGTCTGTTTGGGGTTTTTTTCCAGTTGCGAAGCGTATTGAATTCTTGATACTTCAGCCTGTGATTTTCCTACTAGATTCATCCTACTAGATGATAGTAGTAAAGTCATTTTTTCAGTAACCAAAATCGGAGAATGGTAAAAATCATCCCCATCATCTTCATCTCAATCTTTTAAGGACACGAGATGTCATGTACCTTAAGTTGAAAAAAATTCTGACCATTGACCTTTTGAATTGTTTTTAACTGATAAGAGACACCATTTTCAGTTATACAAATATTCTATTAGACCTTTAGAAACCTGTGATGAGTTATTAAAGCTCCCCAACATGAATAACTAACTGTTCACAATATTAGTATTAATGTCTACCTGCCTAAAGGTAGTGACGGCATCGTTTCATTATGGGCAAACAGGAAATGATGTGCCATAGTAGAATTAACTTTTCCCTAACTTTAAGAGAATACCTTGATAAATGCTTTTAAGTGTACTTATGAAATTTTTTATTTATATTATATTAAGTCACGAAGGGAAAGATGATCTCTTAGCCCTTGGAAAATTAAAGCATTTGATATTTTATATAAGATCGACTATGTTATTAATAGTAACAATTAGATTGAAGTTTAAAAGCCAGCTTTCTGTCTTTACAAACTAAAATACAACTCAAGTATTTATAGTTATCTGATGTGGTTTGGTCAAGTTTATAATTTAATTTAAAAAATTAACTGGGTGGTTTTTCTGTGTGTCATGTAAGATAGAACTATGTTTAGCCAGGGTGTACTCTCTAGTTTTAGTAAGTTTAAATTTAGTGGCGGCAAAAACTCCTGTTTCACCCCTAGCACAGCCCAACCTAGGACTGTCCAGAGCATTCACCACTACGCAGCACATGTGTAGAATTCATTATAGACTTGCTCCTCCCCAGTGGTAGACAGGGCAATGCTCTTGCCCAGTTTTATCATTAACATTCAGGTGATAGCAGCTCTTTTTGATTTCTGAACCCCCTGGCAAGGGAGTACGTTCTCTGACATTACAGCATTTGCCCGGGTCTGGTACTCAACTCAGCAGAGCCTTCTGTCTTCAGTCTACACTAATCTGTATATGCCAGTCAATAGTGTGGCAGATTGTGACTTCATGGGGGTAAAATAAAAAATGTTTAAGGCTCTCTCTCACATAACTGCTACATTTCTGCCTCATATGTTGCTTCTACCTTCCAACTCCCGTCCCATTGTTTTCTTTTTCTGTACCTAGAAACACCACAAAATACCAATTGCTAGAAATAATTTGCAATATCAGCTGAATTTTGTCTTTGCCTTGAAATATATTGCACATGTGTGGCTATAATTTTGAATACATTTTAAAAATGGATGCTCTGGTTTAAGTTTATAATTAATTCAGCTGTGCAGTATTTGTAAGAAAAATATTGATAACCAAGCTAATAGAATAAATTAGGGAACAGATAGGTAAAGTCTTTTTCTTTGAAGGCCCACTGACCAAGGAAAAAATTAAGAGTGTAAATGTAAGTTAAAGTGACCTAATTAAATTTTTTTAATTTGAGAGGTTTTTGTATATTTTCAGAGAAAGCTAAAGAGCATAACAATTTAATAATCATAGCCGATAATAAGCGCTCTTCAGTTCCTATTTATAATATAATGGGTATTCAAAAAGACACACATACTGAGAGGATCTAGTGAGAGAGAGATCTAGACGCAGTAGAGGGAGCCGCAGAGGGGGAAACTCACTAAAGAATTTTCACCTTTGCTTAGTACTTTGCAAACATGTATTAATATAAAGTGTAAGACATGGCCCATTCCTTGCAGTCTGGTTAGAGTCATAATACTGACACATTAAAAGTAAACTTATACTATATAATAACTTACTAAATTTATAGTACAAGCTGAGTGTTTTGATAGTTGTAAGAGAAATCAGTTCAACAAGACTTGGCATAGTCTCTGGCCTTTTCATAAAATGATGAGACTTTTCTTTAGCCATAAAGCAGAAAGGAGAAGGCAGCATTCCACTGAAGGGAATGCATACTCAAAGAATATGAGATAGTAACAAGTGTTGTGTTTGAGGGGTCAGAAAAGAGAGTTTGCCTTAATTTAACCAAACCAACATGAGCTTTGACATTCAGGAGAAGCAATTAGATTTGATTAGCAATTGAAACACACACACACACACACACACACACACACGCAAAAAACTTTCATTAAATAATCTTCCGATCTGTGACCAATTATTGCTAGTAGAGATTGGAAGTTCAATATCAATTTAGTGTAAAGTGAGAAAGTGAAATCCCACTTCTTTTTTTAGAGAGAAGATGAAATTCAATGAAGGACCTTAAGTTCCCCACCATACAAGGGCTTTAATTATTTGAATAACACAATCCTTGGACTTTTTTTCTGCTCCCAGAATACCACGCAACACTGATGTATTAAGCTTAATTCTAAAATACATATCAGATACAGGGTGCTGATATAATGAGATATATAATGTATCAGTGATTTAAGAAAGAATAATAGGAATGGAAATCTTAAATTGAAACTTTTTCAAGACACTTAAATTTTTCTAGTAAATCAGGAGGAAATCAGTCATTTTTAATCAGTTTTAGTTTTGTGGAAAGCAGTGTTTATGTGGGAGCGTAGTTTGAAACCACTGTTGGGGTGGGAGAAGAGTTGGTCAGAGAAATAACAAATTAAGTATATTTCTTGTTTAGCCACTTCAGAAAAACACACATTTATGTTAGTACTGTATATGAGCCTTAAGGGTAAGGGTAAGTGCCTTAAGTCTCTACTGTTTTTCTGTATTGCCCTGCAATATTTAATAAACATTACTTTTTCAATATGGAATTCATACTATACTATTTTAAATTGTTCTTTCTAATTCTCCATTTAGTATGAATAATAATGATAACTACCGTCATGTATTGAGTGCTTAATATACGCCAGGATTTGCATGGTGTTCCTCACATGCACTGGCTCATTTGGTCTGATTTCGCTAATTAGCTTTTGGAGTTTCTTGAGAGCACGTTCTCAGTGGCTTTAAAAAAACAAAAACAAAAGCAAAAAGAAAAAAAAACACCTGGATTATCAGTTGACAATAAATTAGAAGATTACTGAGCCAGCAACCCTTCTTGAGTTTTTTTGGATTGCATACAGTGCGTCTGCTGTCTTCCTGACTTGCCTTTATCCACACCACTCCTTCAAGGAGTTATTCGTCAGAAAAAGGCTGAAGAGCTCACTCATTTAGCTCTTTTTTTGTCTACTAACAGTGGGAAAGCAACTACTTCTGAAGTAGAAAAGTCTGTATTGCTTCAGAGTTACTCTGTTTACTTCTGGAACTGTTCTACATAACCATAAATGTTGAGAAGAGACTGTCCCACGCATCTCAGTCAAGTTGTATGGCAGTTTTACCTCTTTTGAAATATAAACAAAAGCATTCTATTCAAATAATTTTATAAAATTGACTGATTGTTTGAATTAATCAACTTAACTGTTTTCGGCATGACATTGAGCCACAGGTTTCAACCTCATTTTGGTTCCTTACTGTTCGTATTTGTAATATACTCTCATCACCAACATCTCGTTTTCTGCAGTGATTCTTACTGGGAAGGGCAGGATGAGTGGTGGAGGTCACATTATAATCTATATAAATTGAAAATGATCCACTGGAAGAGAATGTGTCTCTGCTTTCTCCCTTTCCCTGTTAAGGAACATTGATATTAGCGGAGTTGATATAGCCTTCTATAAAATAAACTTAGCATGATAAAGAAAAGAGATGGGGAGTTTGATTAGATAGGGTCAATTAAGACTGAATTTAAAATATAAAGGTCTCATCACTGTTTTTGTTTTTAATTAAGAGCTTAGAAGCTCTAATATATTGTGTTCTATTCAGTTTATAGCCAACTTAAATTATAGGTATGAGAATATAATTGCATTCTAATATCTGATAATTGAATATCCTTTTTTTAACCTTTAGAATTCAGAAATAGACTCTTCAATTACCAATAGCTGTAACTTTTAATTTACATATTATTTACTTTAGGGAAAAAAAGCATTTCATTCATGCTTTCTTGCTGTTCGTTTATAATTATTTGTGACAGAAAATCAATAAAATACATGCTTGAATTCCAGATACCAATGGATCAGATAACTCCATCCCAATGGCTTATCTTACACTGGATCACCAACTACAGGTAAAGGAGTACTTTCTTATTGAAAGTTGACTTTTTTCTTCTTAGAGAGTTTAAGTTGACAATTGTGTTGCTACCTGTCATTGTATAGTCACTCCTTAATTTATCCTTTTAGTTGGCCTCCTTAAACTTTTTAGAATCAAATCAAAATAATTCTTTTGGTTAAGTTAATCAAACTTTAAATTGGCAGAATCATATTCTTATCTTTTCAGTCATCTTAAAATCCTCCAGTATCTTTCTTTAGTACTGCTAAGCATTACATTTTCACTCTTTAATTTTAGTGCATTAAAACAAAACTCATAAGCTTATTTCTATTTAATACATTTGTGATACATTCTCATGTTCATAGTGACTGAAAATGTAAATAATATACTTCAGTGCCCCCTCATGAGTATGAGGGCTATAAACATCATTTAGTTTGAGCCTGTTTGCAGCCTGAAATGTCATACCAGAGACTACAACTCCAACAATCATGATTCTCTGTAACAGACTGTTAAAACAGCAAGAATAGATTTAAATGCTGAGTTAATTCTGACAAAAGGACACTGAGATTTTCTAGGGCATGGTTTAACACTTATTTTTAAAAGATCATTGCTTTAGTGCTATAAAAATATATCACAGTCTCTGTCTTGACTCTCATCTTAGCTAGATATTGAAATTTGATTTAATTATGTTTTAACATTCCTGATTATTTTCAGCCTCTAGCACCGTGCCCAAACTCCAAAGAATCTATGGCAGTGTTTGAACAGCATTGTAAAATGGCACAAGAATATATGAAAGTTCAAACAGAAATTGCATTGTTATTACAGAGAAAGTAAGTTATTTTTTATGAATAAAAATAAAAATACATTAGTATTTTGAGTTTAAAATATGATAAGGTGCAATGAAAACGTAGTTTTTAGAATTAGTCATTAAGTATACTTTCAACTTGTTTAAGCTTTAAGCACCCTTTTACTAAAAATTTTTTATGCAAAACTCAATCCTTTTGACTATCATATTAGTGCTATGGAAAATAAACTGGTGCTTTATACTTGTTGTTTTATGTTCTCAGAGCTGTTTAGACTTATTATTATAAAGATTTATTGTTTTCTTGTAAATAGATAAAATAATTTGATTTATTAACATTCAGTTGTGCCTTATCTTAGAAACATTTTTGTAGATACATTTTTTCCAGGTGTATGTTTAGAATTGGATTACTTATTAAAAGACTGTATTTCATAACTGAGTGTTTTTCTGAGGAGTTATAGAAACTGCCTTCCTCCCTTTTTAAAGAAACACAGCCTAATTTCCTTACTACTGCATTCACAGTTCTTAAATATGTATGTATCTTCAGTTTTCTTAAGCATGACCTCCATGAAATTTTATACTTAGGTAACTGAATTGTTGGTGGTAACTAAAATGAAGTGATAAGGAAAAAATTTTGGCAACTTTATATATGTATGATAATAGGATTCCCTTCATTAATTTTAATCTAAATAAATGAAAGTTGTTTTTTTCTGAATTTGCGAAAAGCTTTCTGTATGTACTTCAAAAAAAAGAGAGAAAAAATTGTTTTATCATAATTTATTGATACAGTGATTTAAATGGAACCAACCTGGTATTTGAAAGGTAAGCCTAAATAGGAAATTAAATACTACAGTTTGGAAATCGTAGAAGTAATTATCAAACTGCTGGCACTTTTATGTTGAAAAAGCTTGATTTCTTATTTCACTTATTTAACCTATACTTTTGCCATACTTTAATCATTTGAAAGAAGTATTCTATGCTGGAAAAAACAAATGGTGGATTAGGGTGTTGGCTGTGAAAACTATGACAGTTTTAATCAATTTTAAATACTTTCAGAAGTAGTATTAGTTAGTTATTTTGCTTGAGGACTTTTTATTAATTATTCATTTATATCCAGTAACCTCACTTTAGGAAATGCCTAAAGATGCATCTTTTTCGGGAATACTTAATAGTTCCCAAATAAGAGGGACTTAAATAAGTTTATCAGACTATAAAAGAATGAGGGTCTTTCCTGAAAGTGCTTGCAAATGTAAGTGTTTTAAAAGAAGTGGTACTTTGTCATTTTTCTCACTGCTTTAAAATGGGAAAAAGCTTTAAATTGGATAGCATTTATTTTAATTAGATTGCAAATTTGCTATTAGCTTACCACTCTCTGCTATAGTTAAGTAGGATTGTGACTTCAGAATGTGAATCAGTATAAAAGTAGAATGTGAAGGATAAAAACTTCATGATATTTTCCCATAGCCACATAGAACCCTTCCCAGCCTTTTTTCATCCTTCCTACACAAAAAGAGGATAGAAAATGAAATTTTCTGAAACTTTTATTTTACCATTTTATCTGCTTCGCTAATTATCCAAGTACAGTTACTTAATAAAAGGATTATGTTATTTGTATGATTACACTAGAAGTAGATGAGAGTTCCATCCCAGCCCATAATTATATTTGATTAGTGTACCTAAGATGCAAAATGATAAACCAAGAATAAAAATTCTCATTAATTGAGCTTCCATCATCAGCTACTAAGGTATGAATTTTTCCATCATGTGTAATATTATGTGGTATTTGTTTGTAGGCAAGAACTAGTTGCAGAACTGGACCAGGATGAAAAGGACCAGCAAAATACATCTCGCCTGGTACAGGAACATAAAAAGCTTTTAGATGAAAACAAAAGCCTTTCTACTTACTACCAGCAATGCAAAAAACAACTAGAGGTCATCAGAAGTCAGCAGCAGAAACGACAAGGCACTTCATGATTCTCTGGGACCGTTACATTTTGAAATATGCAAAGAAAGACTTTTTTTTTAAGGAAAGGAAAACCTTATAATGACGATTCATGAGTGTTAGCTTTTTGGCGTGTTCTGAATGCCAACTGCCTATATTTGCTGCATTTTTTTCATTGTTTATTTTCCTTTTCTCATGGTGGACATACAATTTTACTGTTTCATTGCATAACATGGTAGCATCTGTGACTTGAATGAGCAGCACTTTGCAACTTCAAAACAGATGCAGTGAACTGTGGCTGTATATGCATGCTCATTGTGTGAAGGCTAGCCTAACAGAACAGGAGGTATCAAACTAGCTGCTATGTGCAAACAGCGTCCATTTTTTCATATTAGAGGTGGAACCTCAAGAATGACTTTATTCTTGTATCTCATCTCAAAATATTAATAATTTTTTTCCCAAAAGATGGTATATACCAAGTTAAAGACAGGGTATTATAAATTTAGAGTGATTGGTGGTATATTACGGAAATACGGAACCTTTAGGGATAGTTCCGTGTAAGGGCTTTGATGCCAGCATCCTTGGATCAGTACTGAACTCAGTTCCATCCGTAAAATATGTAAAGGTAAGTGGCAGCTGCTCTATTTAATGAAAGCAGTTTTACCGGATTTTGTTAGACTAAAATTTGATTGTGATACATTGAACAAAATGGAACTCATTTTTTTTTAAGGAGTAAAGATTTTTAATTCTGTGATTGTGTGTATGTGTGTTGAAACTGTAAAGCTTTTATGACTCTAATATTAATCTCTTAAATGAAATTAAAAGGCAAAAGAACATGATTGAGCTTAAATGATCATTTCTTCCTGCAGTGATTCTTGGATTGTTTTCTCATGTATTTGAAAAAAAAAAAATGAAGAAAAATAATGGAAAATGGAAGTAATTACTCCAGCTAAAAAAAGCTTGGACTTAGATTTCTTTTTATGATACCAAATGAGAAATAAACCAGGCAAATCAGAAGGAAGTTAAAGAAGCAAATATAAATTCAACAAGTGTCCTAATTATCCTGGATATTGGAATATTTGATTTTCCTTACAATCCCGTTCTAGAATGCCTGCCGCCTTTCAACACTTTCAAGAGAATTTCAACACTTACAGAGTATTTATATTGTTAACAGTAATTTTGCTACCAAAACCTTCAGAATAACTTTAATAATAAAATGACACTGAAATAATAGACTATACAAACTCTATATTTTTTCAGTTGGTGTTAAAATAAGTCACATTTTGATACCAGTACAAGATGTCTTTTAAATAAGGATGTCATCAGTCTGATTTTTATAGCATTAATGTTTTATGAAGAAAAAGTTCAAAATGAAAGCATTAATTGCTGTGATTATTAGAATTCTATCATGACTGTATTGTAGTTTTTGCTCTATTTCAGATAAGCAAGATCTAAGAAGTTATCAAAACTATTCTTTAAAATGCTAAAGCAGGTAACTTTTTCTTCCATTATTTTTTCCTCCTACCACTGAGTTTTGTAATGAATTCCTTGTGTATACAAGCAATACAGGTGAATACTAAACTGTTATTTTTAGCTTCTTCAAAAGCTATTTTAGAAAGCTTCCTGGAAATAAATGTCTTCTGTCATTTAATTTAAATAAAAGGAGTGTTAATTGTTCCCAAATTTGATTACCTAGCTGAAACAGATATTGGATTCAGCATAGTAATAGTAAAATAAAATTGGCAGAGAAAATAACTGTAGACTAGGATAAAGCATGACTCCTCCATAGCATTGTTGCTTGTATGTACATCTGTCACTCCACTGAAAGGGACCTAGTCACTTTAAAGAGGCCTTTTATCTCAGCACGAGATATCCAAGCGTGAATGCTAAGGCTTGATGTTTCCATTAGGATTTAGCATTCGAGATTTCAGATTTTATTTATAGTCATTGATGTGTTTTGCTGTATTATAACACATTTAAGGGAAATTTTATTATGGTTTTTACATGTAGTCATTTCATAAAAATATCCAGATAGGTAAATGGAAGAAAATAGTAGATTTTAGTCATGGTACCAAATGCAAGAGGCTGTTGAACAGTTGCTTGTTTGTTTACAGTAAGTTCCTTGAGATTTTCAGTACTGTAGTTGCCCTGGACATTGAGTACAGTTCAGCCTTACTCTGTTTTTAAGTAGTTGTGTTGTCAATTTCATGCTTTTAAGTCCTGATGATCCTTGGAGATGGGAGAAAAAGATACCAGGGATAATTAAAATCCACAGCCAGTTTCATCAGTTTCCTCATCCATCCTGCAAATAAAAATGTTAACAAGGAGCCAAACTTATTCGTTCTGGTTTTACAATTTATTTTGACCGTTTTTTGGGTGAAAATTGCAAACAGCCAAGCAAGTGGCTGGAATGCCCCAGTCTAAGAAATTCAAAAACAATCACTGAGTAAGCCCTAATTACATTAATTACATTTTACTCTTGACTCCAGGAAAAGAAAGCAAGCTTTTATCTAATCTAGAGGGAAGTATTCGTGAGCAATAAAAATCACTTTTTTGAGTTGAATAATAATCAGTTAAGAATATTTACCGCATAGCAACACAACATATAAAGATTTGTTACAAGTTGTTTACGGATGTTTGACTATTTTTGCTGAAGTATTTTAGAGTATTGAATGTCTTCTCTCTTCAAGTTTCTTTCATGTTCCTAATTTCAGCTCCTGTAGCCAGAGATCACAGGTCTTCCCTGTGAAACTTTGGTTTCTTTCTATAAATGTGTGTGGTTTTCAGCGCTCAACTCCTGTCTTCAAATGGTAGTAAGTTCTACTTCTACTTCTGTCATTCAGAACATTTTATGTCAAATGATGTAATGCAGAAATTCTTGTGCATATTTGTAACTGAAGGAAGCTTTTTAGATTTATTTTTGTTTTTAATAAAATTCAGATTCCTATTCTAAACTGGTACATAAAAGTGGTGAATGACTTGTATCAGCAAATGAGCTGCGAAGTGTTCTGCTCTAGCACCGTGTTTACCTTACACAGAACCTACTAAAAACTGAAATGTCACTTTTGTACGATAATCATGGTTTTTAAGAGGCTGGGTAATTGGCCAGTTAACACATCATCTCTTGCATTTCAAAATTTTGTGTTAAATGGAGCTCTTCACAATTTCATGAGTCCTAATTTGTGTGAAGCACAACACGTCATACATTGCTAAGTGATTCTTCTCATCAGAAAGCTGATTTCTTAGAGTATTTCTAAGTTAAATTAGGTATTTCATTCCTTTATCAACCTGCTGGCTTTCCAACCCTAACATATGCACACATTCTTATAAACTCTACCTTCATTTTAGTAAATCCATCCATTCATTTGCTCATTCTTTTAATAAATATTTGTTTATCATATATTATAAACTGCACTGCTATTACCAATACCAAGTTACATGTCCATTCCAGTCACACAGTAGTTTGATGGTATTCCCATCTTACAGATGGGAAAATAGGCTCCTAAAGGTTAAGACTTCTGCCTGAGTCTGCTTTTCCATCATCATCTGTTTCAGGCAGAATCTCATGCATGGGGACACTGTGGCCACTATTAGTCCATGATGCGAAGAAGAGCATAGGAAAAATCTTAGATTGAATGGCAAACAGAGGAATAGAACGAGATAACTTATAACTAGAAGATGCAGGGGCTTTGTGACCGCTCTGTAGATAGCAACAAAGCCAACATGGAGACCCACCCCCATGTCTTTTAAAACCCAAGTCTATGATCTAAACAAATTTGCCATGCTGTAATTTTAAATGCTCTCCAAATTCTGAGGTGATTTAGCTTTCACATTGACTTATTTGGCAGGTGGGAGATCTGCATTGTTTTAAATTGGGGTATAATTCATATATGATAAACTGCATCCAGTTTTTTAAAATGCAGATATCCTACCTGCCAAATAAGTCAGTGTGAAAGCTAAATCACCTCAGAATTTGGTGAGCATTTAAGTAAAAGTGTGCTGCTTACAGAGTTTTGACTTATGTATTCACTTGTGAAACCACCCCAGCAGTCAACATCCTCAGTATGTCTACCAGCCCCAAAAGTACCCTCCTGCCCCTTGCAATTGAGCCCTTCTCTCACCCCAGTCCCCAGACAACCACTGATCTGCTTTCTAACAATATGGATTAGTTTGCATTTTCTACAGTTTTACATAAATGAAATCCTAAAATATGTACACTTTACTTCTTAAGCCTTTTCCCCCACTTGAATAGTTTTTGTAATTCCTTTGAGAGGAATTTTAAGTTTTCTGTTGTTTTTCTTTTCTTTATTTTTTTAAGTTGCAGCTGCTTTCTGCTTGCTCAAAATCCCAGCAAAGACTAGGTTGGTTGTTATGCCACAGAACAATTGGCAAAACAATATTTTCAGTAACAGTGAAGATAGTCTTTGTAAAAATGTTTGACACTATCTCATACAGATGCTGTCAGTGGTCCTTCCTGATATGGTGGTGCACGCAGAAATAATATTTGCATTGGCAGATCATGTAACACTTAACACCAGGCTCTATGCTCCTTTTCCATCCATGACTAGACACTGGTCTTGGAGGTTCTGACACCCCCTGCCGTGCATTTCCACCAAAATGGAACGTCAGTTTAAATGACCTGCCCATCTGTTACTTTAGGCAGCCTTTAAATCAGTAGGTTCTATGTTATGCATAACTTGAGTCTTCCAAAATACATAAGACCACTTTTAAATGAAGCTTTTTTGAGAAATGAATGGCTATTTAACTGTATTTGAGTGTCATGGTACTTTCAAATTTCCAAGTCATGAAAGGCATTACTTTTCCTTTAATTTAATGGTTAATGATATCTTATCAGTGCCATGTAGCAGCAGGATCATTGCTTTGAAAGCACCAGAAATTACTGAGTAAATGCTGGATATTTATATTCTGAAAAGCAAAAGTAACTTACAAAATGCAGTTACTTTTCAGACTTGTTGCGTGTTTCTATTTGTGGATACCTCTTCTTTAGTTATTACTGGAATGATTACATTAATCATCGATTGGCTCATTTACTAAATTCAGACTAGAGACTGAAGAAACCTGAAACTGGGTGTAACTTTGGTTGTAGAATTAATGGTGGTATTCCCTCATCACATGCTCTAGAACCATTTTGGCTTTTAATCAGTTTCCTACAAAGGTCCTTAACTAAATATCCATCTAAAATGTGATAGACATCTTACTTAGAAAAATTGGCACCACTCTTGTTCCTTTTGCATGTACCATGAAAATATTATCTAAGCTGCATATGAAATGGATGAATTATATGCTTACAAAGCAGATCTACTTCTGTACATTGGGGCCATGATACTATTAGTACATTCTTAGAATTATGTAGTCAGATTTCAGTTTTACTATCTTTGCATTCATGGTTCCAAGTTTTATGTTTAGGAGGATTGAGGAAGTAGTATAGATTTCCTTGGCCTACACTGAACATTTCTTCCTATTGTGCTTTCTTTTTTATCCATATTAGAAAATTCCTTAACCTCAGTGCCTCAGACCATGTTCACTATCTCTCTATATTCACTAGGATGTAAGTTGGGCTGCTGCCCAAAATAATGGCTGAAACAAGTTAGCAGTTCTTTTTTTCTCATATAAAAAACTAAAGTAGTATAATTATATACATCTTCATTGCCGCCAAAGGGAAGAGGGAAAGGGTAGGAATTGTGAAGGTGCACATCATTTACACTCATATGTTTTGACCAGAACATAGTCAAATGGCCACTCCTAGCTGCAGAGAGGCTGGGAAACATCTCTATAATGGATAGCCACATGCTTCGCTTAGGAGATCAGATAGAGTTAAGTTACAGGTGGAGGATTGAAAGGTTATAGGAGACAAGAATAGCCTCTGCCACACTACCTTGGGAAGGAAAATAGGCCACTGCCTTGACCACTTCCTCCTTCCCCACTCTCCACAATAAAAGGGGAGCAGGAAAACCTGGCCTCTCACTAGAATGCACAAGTAACTTGCATCTTCATTAATGTAAAACTCTGATCAATATGGTGTACACATACCTGGAGATTTTCATGTATTTATAATTGATGCAGCTTGGAAAAATAAAACTTCAAAATGTGTTTTAAGTTGAAACACCTTAGCTGGAAACTAGATTTGAAATAATTTAAATATTCAGTATCAGACAGTGTCCCTTAGAAGAGAAACTTTGGTAGGAAGTCCATTATGAAAAGAAAACAAAATTTAACTTACAAGCATAAAATAGGTGTTAACAAACTTAGAGTTGTCAACAAAGACAAAGAGAAAGAAACTAACATTTATTAGGTGTATATTATGTTTCAGGCATTTCTTAAATGTGACCCTTGCTTTAGAGGTAAGCTGAAGCACAGAGGAGTTTGAAAGTTTGCCCAGGTAGTAAATTATGGACTCCAGTTCAAACCCAGGTCTTCTAAGCCTTAAGCCCTACAAAACTCTCACTTTTAATTAGTGTAGAACTTGGAGTGTATTTTCTTGTTAATAAAAGGGAAGAGAGCTAGATTCCTAGGCTCATTCACAAAAGTATATTTGGTCCTTAATATAAATGAAATAATAATGCAATTGAATGGAATAATTACAAAAGACTATGAGAGAAAATTAAAAAGTAAAGTGGTTAATGTCCAGATGTTGGCATTGTGGTGATTTTCCCCTTTTAAAAATCCTTTCCCTTCTTACTGTTTTCTGTGCAATAAAAATAAAAACCAAGAGGTGAGGAAGTCTTAGACAACACTCTGACCAAGTTTTATTGGCATGGAGAACTCCACAGGACAGCTTAATGGGCCAGGTACCCAGGCCCTTTGCCATGGACACAATTAGAGCCTTTGCCTTCATCCTACAAGAGCTGGAATTTCTCTTCCCACTATTGGCCCCAACCTGGATCCCTCCAGGTAAGGGTGGATCTGAAAGGAGGGGATTCTAAAGGTATTCCCATGGATTTGATGAGAGAAATTCTGCTCCCAGAGTTTGATGGGAGAAAGTACACATTCTGGGGAAATCCTGCTTCACGATGACAGTGTAGGACCAGGGATAAAACTTTTTTCCCAATTCCCCAAGTGATTCGGTTGCACAAATGTGAGAACCACCAAGACTTCTGGTTCCAAAATGGCAGCACAGAAGCAAGCTTGCTTTACTCCCCACCCCACTAACCCCCACACACAAAAAAAGACAAACATATAGTGCCGAGATTATCACCAGCAATATTCTAGAATTCAAATATAAAAAAGAGATAGTTCCCAGAACCATGGAGAAGTGAAAAGACTCCAAGTAGTCAGATAATTGGACCTCCATGTCCTCAATGCCCTTCCCCCCAAAATTTCACCCCTCAGCTCAGAGTTCTACATTGGAAAAGGAGATTAAGGTTAACAACCACCTTCCCCACCATCTTGAGTTCCCTGTCAGGAGACCTGTCCCTACCTCAACCCATGGGAAGCATCAAGAATGCCTGAAGGGAAAAATACCCCTGAGGTCATCCAAAGACAAAGGCAGGAGGCAAGCCTTGGCAGCTCTGTAACTCAGCCAAAAGAAACACCAAATCAGAGTGGCTTTTCGGCAGCATCAGGGTATATGAGGTTCATTCCACAGGCACCCTGGGCGTGAACCCCTGGCCAGCCTTCCACACTACCAAGATACCCCTTTGGGTACTTTTCCGTCCCCATTTGGGTGGGTGGCAAACCTGGGGTTAAGGCACCATCTAGTGCCAGAAAAGAGGCAGCGACTTAGTCAGGGGAAAATCAGTAGGTCGATGGCAAGAAAATCTCTAACAAACGTATCCAAAAAAAAAAAAAAAAAAGCCATACAGAGAAGATGAGTAAATAACTAATGCTTTGATGCAAAGACATAAATGTATATCCACAGGAAACATAAGCAAACAGGGAACTGTGACCCCCCAAACAGACAAAATAAGGAACCAGGACCCAAACAAGACTGTGATATGGGAACTCAACAAGAATGCAAAATAGCAGTTATAAGGAAACTCAGTGATTCTCAAGATAACACAGAAAATCAATTCAGAAATTTATCAGAGAAATTTAACAGAGATTGAAATAATAAAAAACATCTTGGAATTGAGAAATATTTGCTGAATTAAAAAATTCACTAGAGGCTTTCAACAGCAACATAGATCAAGCTGAAAAAGGAATTCAGTGAGCGCAAAGATAGCCTGTTTGAAAATAGAGGAGAAAAAAGAATGTAAAAGAATGAAGGTAACATACCAGATATAGAAAATTACCTCAAAAGACCAAATCTAAGAATTATTGGTGTTCAAGAGGGAGTTGAGCAAGAGCGAGGGGTAGAAAGCTTATTCAAAGAAATAATAACAGAAACCTTTCTAAAACTTGAGTAAGAGATAAATAGGCAGATACGGGAAGGTCAGAGAACACCAAACAGGTTCAACCCAAATAAGACTACCCCAAGGTATATAAGAATCAAACTCTCAAAAGTCAAGGACAAAGTCCAGGCACGTTGGCTCATGCCTGTAATCCCAGCACTGTGGGAGGCTGCGGCGGATGGATCGCTTGACCCCAGGAGTTCAAGACCAGCCTTGGCAACATGGCCAAACCCTGTCTCTACTTAAAATACAAAAAAAAAAAAAAAAAAAAATTATTAAAATACAAAAAAGTTAGTTGGGCATGGTGGCATGCACCTGTAGTCCCAGCTACCTGGGAGGCTTTGATAGGAAGGTCACTTAGTGCAGGAGATGGAGGTTGTAGTGAGCCAAGATCATGCCACTGGGGTGATCTTGTAAGTGGGGTTACATCAAGCTAAAAAGCTTCTGCACAACAAATGAAACAATAAAGATACAACCTACAGAATGGGAGAAAATGTTTGCAAACTATTCCTCTAATAAGGGATTAGTAACCAGAGTACACAAGGAGCTCAAACAACTCAATAGGAAAAAACAATACAATTTTAAAATGGGCAAAAGATCTGAATATACATTTCTCAAAGACACACAGGTGACAAATGGGTATATTAAACAATGCTCAACCTCACTAATCATCAGAGAAATGCAAATCAAAGCCACAGGGTAATATCATCTCACCCCAGTAAAAATGGCTTTTATCAAAAAGGGAACAGTTTGGTGAGGATATAGAAAATGAGGAACCCATGTGCATTTTAGATAGAAATGCAAATTAGTACAGCCACTATGGAAAACTGTACGGATGTTCCTTAAAAAACTGAAAATAAAGCTACCATGTGACCCAGCAATTCCACTGCTGGGTATATACACAAAAGAAAAGACATCAATATATTGGAGAGAGATCTGCACTCACATGTTTATTGCAGCACTCTTCAAATAGCCAAAATATGGAATCAGCCTGAGTGCTCATCAGCAGATGAATGGATAAAGAAAATGTGGGATACAGAGTAAATGTAAAACTCTAAATTATTAAGTTAATGCCAAAGTAATTGTGGTTTCTGTCGTTACTTTTAATGGCAAAAATCGCAATTACTTTGGCACAAACCTAATTTTAGAGATACACTATAATTAGGTTTATCACAGCATTGAGTAAAGAGAAAAAGACAAATACTCATTAATCAGGGTTAAATAAGTTATAATAGAGCTACACCATGTAATACTATGTAGCCATTAAAAGGCATGATATAGTTCAATTGGTGAAATCTGTCCATATTGAATCCCTTAAAATATTAAAAGATTGACACACCAAGAAGCAGGGTTTATAATACAAATGCAACATTTTCATTCATTATGTATTCATTATGTAACGTTAATTATGTAAACAATTATGTAAGCAATGTGGTGAATTATGTAATCAATTATGTGACATATTAATTAAACAATTTAGAGAAACTACACAGTTATATCAATAGATGACCAAATGACATTTGATAATATTCACAAATAAAACAGGATTAAAATGAAATTTCCCAAACTTGATAAAGAACACTCAACAAAACCAACAGCATATTAATTAGTGAAAATGACTACTATCATTTTTTAATTAAACGTGAAATAACTAGGGCCTGAAACAAAGCAGAGATTCACTTTCTATCATCATCTAACATTTTTTAAAAGTTTCAGCTCGATGAAAAAAGCCCTCAAAAATGAGAATAGTTAGTAGTGTAAATGATGGAAATTAATTTTTTTGTTTGCAGGATATAAAATTGTATAGTTCATGAGACTCTGCTTAAATACTGTTAGAATTAATAAGAATTTGATAAAGTGACTATCTGATATATATCAAAATCAGTAGTTTTTCTTTATAATAATCGGAAGTAAAAAATGATATTTTTAAAAACTTAGTGGCAAGAGCAGTAAAATTATAAAATATGAAGAAAAACATTTATCAGGAAATAGAAAGGGCTGAAGAAAAGTAAAAAGGCTTCGAAAATAATGTAAAACAAGACCTGAATTTAACATTTTCCTAAATGATAAGACAATATTAAATATTTGGTGTAGATATACGTGCATATAGATTATGGATTTGTTTAAAGTAATTTCAATTGGAAATCCAATGGAGTTGAGATTGGGTTTATTTTGAACTGGACAAAATGATTTTAAAGTTCTTAAGAAATAAATGCTCAAAGGTTGAGGTATAATTTATATGCAAACTGTACATTTAAAGTGTACAATTTGATAGGTTTTGACAAAATGTATTCTCCTGTGAAATGACCACAATCAAGAATGTGAGAGTTTCCCCAATCCCAAAAGATTCCTTGTTCCGTTTGATAATCCATCTCTCCTCCACCCTCATCCCCAAGCAACTACTGGTCTGCTTTCTATAACTGTAATTATTTTGCATTTTATAGAATTTCATCTTACAAGATTTAGTCTCTTTTTGGCTGACTTTTTCACTCAGCATGATTTGATATTCACCCAAGTTATTAACATATATTAATAGTTTCTTCCTTTTTAAAAGCAGGATTCCATTGTATCGATGTAACAAATTTTGTTTATCTAGTCACCTATTGATGGATATGTTGAGTTATTTCCAGTTTGGCACTCCTACAAAAATAGAGTTGATATTAATGTTTGTGTACAAGTTGTTATGTAGACATGTGTGTTCATTTCTTTTGGGTAAATACTTAGAATAGCTGAGTTTTATGATAGGTATATGTTTAACTTTTCAAGAAACTTCCATACCTTTCCAAAGTACTATGTAATTTTATATTCCCAGCAGCAGTGTATGAGAGTTCCGTTTGCTCCATATCCTTGCCCACACATGGTATAGTCAGTCTTTTTCATTTTAACCATTCTAATAGGTGTGTGGTGGGACCTTATTGTGGTTTTAGTTTGCATTTCCCTGATGACTACTTTTAGCCCCTTGGCATGTGTTTATTGGGCTTTTCTTTCATATAATTTCTTTGGTGAAGTGTCTTAAAATATTTTGCCCATTTAAAAAAATTGTGTTGTTTCCTTTCTTCATATTGAGGTGTAAGACTTTGGTATATTCTTGTTACAGTTTGTTGTCTGATATCTGTGCTGTGAATATTTTCTTTTCTGTTTGCCTTTCTATTTTCTTACTGATATTTTTCAAAGAGAAAAAGGTTTAATTTTTATGAAGTCCAATTTATTAATTTTTTATTTTAAGCTTCCTGTGTTCTGTTTTAAAAAATCTTTGCCTACCCCTCACAAAGATTTTTCCTTCTGTTCCTTCTAGAAGTTACTTATTAGGTTGGTGCAACAGTAATTACTTTTAATGGCAAAAACCACAATTGCTGTTGCACCAACCTAATAGTTGAGCTTTTACATTTTGGTCTGTGATCCGTTTTGAGTATTTATTATATTTGGTTTAAGGTAAGAATCAATGTTCATTTTTTTTCCATACAGATATGCAGTTGTATTCCAGCACTATTGATTGACTTTCTTTTCCTCATTGAATTGTCTTATTTCTTTTGTTGAAATCAGTTGACCATGTGTATATGAGTCTGTTGGTGAATTCACTATTTTTCTCCATTGTTGTAGCTTTTTCGTGTTGTAGCTTTATAGCACCTCTTGAAATCAGTAATGTAAGTTCTCCAATTTTGTTCTTTTTAAAAAATTATTTAGCAATTTCTGCAAAAATTTTAATATCAGCTTGTTAATTTTTACCAAAAAAAAAATGTCTATTGGGATTTTGATTGGGATTGCCTTAAATGTATAGACCCAAGTTGGGGAAAATTGACATCTTAACAATGTTGAATTTTCCAATCTATGAACATAGGAATTTTCTCCATTTAGTTAGATCTTTTCTAATTTCCCTCAGCAATGTTTTGTAGTTTTTAGTGTAGAGATCTTGGACTTGTTTTGTTATAGTTTTTACTTAGAAAGTATTAATATATTATTAATTTTGTTACATTTATTATATATTATATATGATAGTAGATATATAATAGATAATGTAATATGTTATATAATATCTATTATTATATTATATATAATTATATTATTTTGTTGTATTTATTACTTAGAAAGTATTAAATATAACAAAACAAGCCTCGATTAAAAGTAAAAATATACCCTTGGACACAACATTCCTACTTTGAAAAATCTATAGCCTTAAGAATATCTGTATGTAAAGACATAGATACCAAGAAGTTATTTGAAACACTGTGTATAATGGCCCCCAAATTTTTTATTAAAAAAATAACCTCAACAAGAAAAATGTCTATCAGTAGGGGAAAGATTGAATCAATTATGGTAAATTAATGTTTTTTAAAGGAATGCATTCAATCTATATACAGAGATCTAGATGGATGTCTGTGACCTATTGCTACATGAAAATAGGACATTGAAGAGCAAATATACTATTTAGGTCAAAAAAAACTGTTAAGCAAGACAAAAAATTATAATATGACATGCATATGAATACAGAAAACAAGAGAGAAGGATACTCTTAACAGTGTTTATCCCAGGAAGGGTGGATGGTGATGGAGAGCTTATTACCATTTTTCTTATACATTTCTTAATCACTTGACATAAAAATACATGGTGTAGGCATTATAGCATATATAATACAAGTGACCCTGATATCAACCTGCTATATTTACCACAGTCTGTAAATAGTGTGGCAAAGAATCTAACATTTTGAGGAGAGATGTGAAGGAAGGAGAGAAGACACAAGAGCCCAGCATAATGAATCAGTCGGTAACCATTGAGAGGGAACAAATTGTGACTAGCAGTTTTCCAGATTATTCTACAGTAATAGCCACCGACATATACGTGAATCATAAATCTTTCTGCAGCCCAATAAGGTTTTCAATCTGAAGCACGCAAGGAAAGCTACAGGAAGTGGTATTGTCTCTTTTGAGGGAAAGAAATGGAGGCACATTCATTAATCTCTGAGAAACAAATCTCAATCTCTGCCTGCCTTGGAGACACTTAGTTTATGGAGTTGTCAACAGACTCATCAACAGAACACACACATGAAACCTGTGTAGACAAAAGCACCTTTATGCCTAACTGATCAGACACTGAAACTGGGAACCAAAGGAGCATGTCATCTTCATGCTCACATACCTTTAAGAGCAGAGTGAAATGGCCTTTAAACTTTGCTTAGTCATTCATTCAAACAGATAAGGGGAAAGTTTCCTGCTGTGCTCTTGTTCAGGCCTTGCCAATAGATGACACTTGCCAGCCACTTGGGGACATCACAGCAGACCAGAAAAATTACCCTAGAGAGTTACCTTAGTTTTAAACATGGCTTAGCATATTTGCACATTTGGGAGGCATCGGGTTAATCTACTTTTTCCCATATTAGCCATGCCAACTATTGCAGTTAAAACTGCATACTCCTAATTTAGGTGACTTTATGTTAAAATCAACAGAAATCACACACTCTTTGGGTTGGTCTATAAATCAAAAATATAGGAAATATGCATTTTTTTCTTGCCTAAACAAGCTTGTAGCTGAGCCAATTTTGCTGCCTGAAATGTTTAAGCATTGTTGCTATAATTGGTCCTTAGAGCTTCATTCCTTAGTGCTTCATTTAGGATTTCAACAACCTGCCATTCCCCGTAAATAACAACCTGTCATAATGACAAATGTGGAGGTGGTTGGTCCGAAATGCAAAGTATTCAAGCAGGCTGTTGTAGCAGACTGTTCCGTGGATAAGCAAGAGGCAGGTTCATCAAAATGAAACAGCCAAGTTTGCCCCAACTCAGAGACAATTCTTTGATTATTTGAGAGAAAAAATGTCTTATTTTGTACTTTTTTCCTTTTATTTTTTGTTTTGTTTTGTTTTGTTTTTTGAGACAAGGGCTCCCTCTTGCCCAGGCTGGAGTGCAGTGGTATAATCACGGCTCACTGCAGCCTCAGCCTCCTGGACTCAAGTGATCCTTCCACCTCAGCCTCCCACATAGCTGGGACTACAGGCACATGCCACCACACCCAGCTAATTTTTCAATTTTTTGTAAAAACAGAGTTTCCCTATGTTGCCCAGGCTGATCTCAAACTTCTGGGCTCAAGTAATCCTCCACCTTGGCCACCCAAAGAGCTGGGATTACAGGCTTGAGCCACCATGCCCGGTCATTATTTTATACTTTCAAAAAGCCAAATGGGACCACTAATTAAATATTTATTACTTAAAAGATCTCCTTTACCACCTTTGTTCCAAATTCTCTTATACTGCTGGCAGTTAGGAGTGGGGCATTTTATTAACCACTAAAATGTGACCTTTCATCTCACAAGACTGTCCCTCTTTTAAGCTGATTTTGAGAACATGTGGATATGCTCCCTTTAATTGCTTTTATGAATAACATTTTTAGTGATCCTTTTATGTGTCTATATACACATATACACACACATATATGTAAATGTGATTTACATATGTATACGCAGAGGAACAGCCCAGATCCAATTCCAAATGCCTGTAATCTTTCAGTATTGTTAATGTTATCATCTCCATTCTCCACTAGGGATAATTCATTTCCTCTGTTACACATACTTCAGGTGTTAATGATAAAAATGTATCAAATGGTGGGAGAGGCCAGGCATGGTGGCTCACGCCTGTAATCCCAGCACTTTGGGAGGCCGAGGTGGGCAGATCACGAGGTCAGGAGATCGAGACCATCCTGGCTAACACAGTGAAACCCTGTCTCTACTAAAAAAATACAAAAAATTAGCCAGGCATGGTGGCGGGCACCTGTAGTCCCAGCTACGTGGGAGGCTGAGGCGGGAGAATGGCATGAACCCGGGAGGCAGAGCTTGCAGTGAGCGGAGATCACGCATGCCACTGCACTCCAGCCTGGGCGACAGAGCAAGACGCCTTCTCAAAAAAAAAAAAAAAAAAAAGTTGGGAGAAAAATAGAATTAATGTGAATTTGTTTATTCCTCCTTTTAGAAAAGATTCTAAATCTTCTCACATTTACAACAGTATTAACATAAATTCTTCACAGTCATCTTGAAAACATTACCTTGATTTAAGAATCAGTAAATATCCTGGGAACAAAGGTAAGGGTCAGGTTCCCAGTGGAAGATCTCTAGGACAGCAGGAAGAGTCCTTGTGCCAAGTTACTGCTACTCTGTAAAGGGATGTGTTGGCAATACCAGCTCACTGGCAAGTCTCTCGGATAAAATGGCAGGGTAGCATTCCCAGATACAACATATGACCCATTGTAAGTCTTGTCGTATAAACCTGAGGGACACTGAGAAAAACAGCTGCTTCTAAACATAAGTAAAAATTGAACTTAATGCTGTAACCACCATAAATTGTAGGATTATTTATGTAAAACCATAAATGTACGCTACGACTAAATGAGTCATTTACAGAATATCCCTTCAGTTATTAACGTGGCATAAATACTAATCCCTGAAGATTAAGTTGAACACTAATCACTTTGAACATTCAAGGACCTTTTGTAATCCCGAGTTTCGTATTTCCATATGGTAATTTCCCCTGTGATAGCCGAGTAGGGCGGATCATTGCCACGTAAGCAATAATGCATGACAAGGCATGCTGTAACAAGGAATGGGGTTTCCATCTTTTCTCCCAGTCCCCCCGCTCCACCTTCATTCCCAATGTGAGCTTAATTAAAACTCCTCAGAACTTGGCTCTGTTTAACACAAGGGCAAAACAAGCCCAGAAATGCTGACAAGTTCTTCCACCTCTGCCTGCTGGGTCAGCTCATTAAGGGTCATGATTTTATGGCACATGCATGGTGGCCTGGCCACAGGTTTGGAGAAGCCTCAAACCAAGAAGCAGAATACAACTTAGTAAACTAACAATTTGCCTTACTTTTTAAATGTCTTTTAATGATGAATTTTAATTTTTAAGATAATTCATGCACATAGTTTTTTAATCAATTTTTTTTACAAAATGAGCAGCTGCTGTCCAACCTCCTGCTCTGAAACCATTTCTTCTGTTTACCCATATGTGTAAATAACATGCTTATACTGCTGTTTCCTCATTTATCAATTTTGCACACCAATATTTTGACTAAACCATTTCTCAAACCATTTCTTCTATTTACCCCATATTTGTAAATAACATGCTTATACTGCTATTTCCTGATGTATCACTTTTGCACACCAAATTTTTGACTAACACGATAGTAATGGAGGATTTAGCTGGTTAACGCACACCTCTGCCATCTCCTCTACCCTTTTATCCCTATAGAACTGGATCACAATGTTAGAGTCGATCACAGTAAATATTGCATTATTATTTTATAATATCGAGCTTATGACTATATAAATTATGTTTACTGCTGATTCAAGTAATGTATTACTGTGATTGCAATGGTCTGAATGTTTCTGTCCCCCCAATATTTATATATTGAAATCTCAATCCCCAAGGTGATGCCATTTGAAGGCAGGACCTTTGGGAGGTTGATTAGTTTATGAATGTGGAGCCCTGGTGAATGGGATTGGTTCCCTTATAAAAAAGAGACCCTGGAGAACTCCCTCACCCTTGTACCATGTGAGGACACAGTGAGAAGATGGCAACTATGAACCAGGAAGCATGTCCTCACCAGAAGCCAAGTCTGCCAGAACTGTGTGAAATAAATTTCTGTTATTTATAAGCCACCTGATCTATGGTATTTTTTTGTAAAAGCCTGAATGGAATAAGAAAATAATTATATTGCCTTTCTCTTAAAATTATTTGTTTTCTCCTAGTACCTTTTTCATTTGCCTATAGATTTATCACCTTTTTAAATAAGTGCTTCAACGCATGTGTCACCCACACCTATCAATAATTTTTCAACACCAGACTGCTCAAACACCAGACCTCTCAGATCCATTTCTCCTGCAAAGACATCTTTCTGCAGCTGCCCCATGCAATTCCTCCATCTCCAATACAAACTCTCTCTAGGCCGGTGCTGAGCTATCATCTTGTGACTTCCTTTTGCTGTTTTCCTGGGATGGATCCCTATTTCCTGGATTTCATGTCTTTCTTTTTCATGGCTTACTCCTTCATTCACTGATTTTGCCCAGTGGCTTCATCAGAAAGGGCACAAGTGAGGTAAATTTTTAAATTCATTATATGTCTGAAAGTATCTTTATTCTACACCAGCTGCCCTGTGGCCCCTTTATTTCTTTCCCCCAAGATGCACCCAAGTTCTGCAATCCCTGCCTTCTTGCTCAGCTGTTTTTGGTACCATTTTAGGCTTCAGGGACTGGTCTTTTCAGCATTTAAATGTCCATCCTATTACCAGTTAAGGAAATTCTTGCCTTATTGTTATATACTTGCCTTTAAAAAAAAATCCTTGGGCTTTTTCTGTACAAGGACATGGATTGGGATGACAGGAGGGAGAAGGTACAAGTGAAGAACTCAGTGGCCTGAAATCGACTCTCTTTGGACTATGAGGACTTGGCCATTTTCCACAACAGAGAGTGTAGAGGAATGCTGTCTTGTGCTGCCGTGGGCCACAAGGTGTGGTGGCAGGTCTCATATGCTCCAACATCTGGCCATGAAGAATCATGGTTGGTCAATCTCAGAGGGAGGAATGAGCTGTAAACCTATAAGAAAATCAACACCATTATTTCCCTAAAGTATCCAAAGCAATTCTATGTACTTCTGACAAGGAAACAGGAAGGAGAATCTAGAGTGCTGCTCAAATTAAAGGGAAAAGGAGAAGAAAGATTATTGGCTACCACCATCTCTCTCACCCTTACCCCTTGCCTACCTCACTCTGTAGAGGCTAGAAACACAAGATTTGCACTTCCGGCTCCTGTTGCAAATCAGAGTAGCTGAGTGACCCACATTTGGCCAATGAGTACTTGTGGGGCAGGCTGCTGGGAGGCTTCTGATGGAGCCTTCTTTTTCCAAACAATCAGGCAGAGGCTTGGGAGGAAGCAAGCTCTTGCTCCCACCTGTCCTTCCTTTTTAGGATGTGCTGTGAGGACCTAATGTCTGCAACTATCATGTATGAAGGTGACAAAGAGCCCAAATGCGGCTGAAGGAGTGGAGAATGGGAATGACCTCGATGAGCTGCACCAGCAATCCTGAGATCACACATCTAACTTCTTAAGGAAGCAATAAATGTCCCTTTGCGGTAAGCTACAGCAACTCAGGTTTTCAGCCACTAGTAGCTGAAAGTATGCCTAACTGATGCCAGGAGTCAAGGAGAGCCCTTCCTATACCACCATGTCCCTGCCGTGATTGTTCATGTGCTTGGCTCAGTCCTATCCACAGATGGGGGATGTGGGCCATGCAGGGACTTACCATCAGCTTCTCTGTACTGCTCCTCTGACTCTGAGCTTGTACCCTCATAGGATGACTACTTCCCTTTAAGGTTGGAGTCCTGCCTTGATCTTGCCCTTGCTGGCCCTAAACCCACCAATGCCCCTCATGGAATCTGGAATTTTATACACCCCATTCTATTGGTAAGGACCCTCTTAGCAGCTCACCCATCCTTCTTGGGCTGGGCAATTCCATGCTTGTCTGGACAAATATGGTCTGTTCCCAGATGTCCCATCCAGCAGCTCATGAGACTCTGTCACCCTCTGGTGGACCTTTCCAAGGTCAGCTGCTTGCCTGAATGATCACACCATTACCTTCTACTGAGCACCTTGCTCTCTGGACACTAGAGTCCTCCTGCCTGGATAAACTTCTATCCTGACCTTCAGCTGAGTTTGCTGACCTTTCCTTCCCCAACCCTTGTTTAACCCCAGAGAGGTGCCTGGCTCCATGTCTTGCCCCCTGAGTAACATCGTAGTACCCAGCAGATGGCATCTAGGCCAAATGACTTTATCACTTACATGGCTTCTAGTCTGATTAAATCCCTCATTCTATTACCCATTATATTTAAGTTATAACTACTTCTACTTTTTCAGGTGAGCAGAGTATAATTGCTCAATAAACTGAAGGTTAATCCAAAAGTGGATAGAATAAAAAATGTCTCTATCATGTAGGTTTTGCTTGAAGAAAAAAAAATCATCCCCCCAAAAAATACTTTCCATTCCTAATTATTCCTAATACTGTCCCAGATTCTTTTATATCAATTAAAGGCTTAATTGATATGAAAATTAAGTTTAAGCTATAATGTCAGGGAATGTTCTTTTTTCCTTTCTTTTGATAGGTGGTGATTTTTTTCAAACAGGCTAGGGATTCAAGAGAATATTTTTATCTGTTCGACCAACATCATGGCTATGATAACCGGACCAAGGTTCCCAAGGCTATTGTGGCTCCAGAAGGATGTGTTTTGCTCCTGTGGGTGACTGGAGTGTGCTCCCCTGACAGCAGCAGTCTTCCTGGGCCCGAGGTCGACTGACCTGTCTTCACTCAGCAGACAAAGGAGTAGGTGGGGTTGTGCAGACAGGAGGTCCCAGCAGCCGCAGCTGCACAGCTCCTGTTGTTTCCCCTTCCTCAGATGGGATTTCTTGCTGATGCAATTACCAGCCACTGTTCTGAGTGTATTACAAGTATGAACTTCGTGATCACAAGATCTTTCTGAGTTAGGTAACATTATTATCCCCAGTTTACAAATGAGGATACTGACGGAGTTCAGAACACGCTACCCCAGAATACGTCATCTTGTCATACTATATATTTTAGACTTGAAGGAAATTGAGAAAACCGTAAAAACAGAAGGTCACGCTCTGATCTTCCCTCACCCTCTTTCCCCTGAAATGGGCCATTAAACCTCACTGACCTTCCCCTGAAAATCGGTCGTAAAACTCTCATTTCAGAAGGGCCCTCCCTATACCCGGAAGAAAGGAAAGAAGACAAGAGAAGACTGAACAAACAGGCCTTGCTAAATTCCACCCCCCACTCCCGCAGTCTATTACCATTAGACCGTAGCCTTTTGTCCTCCAGACATACTTCCGTACAACTATCCATAAAAATACAGAGCCCCCTCTTACTCATGGAGATACATTCCAACATCCCTAGTGGATGCTTGAAACCATGGATAATACTGAACTGTATATACACTGGGGTTTTTTCTGTACATACATACCTATGACAAGTTAAATGTATAAATTAGGCACAGTAAGAGATTAACAGCAATAACTGATAATAATATAGAAGAATAAGAAAAATATAACTAATAAAAGTTATGGGAAGGTAGTCTCTCAAAACATTTTAATATACTCACCTTCTCCTTGTGATGAGGTGAATACATTGGACAAAGGGATGTTTCACATCCTAGGTGAAACTCAGAAGAGTGCAGAGTTTAAAACATGAATTGCTTATTTCTGATTCCAGAAATTTTCCACTTAATACCTTCAGGCCATGGTTGACCTCGGGTGACTGAAACCATGGATTAGGGAAGACTACTACACCCATATTTCCCTGTTTCTTGAAGTCTTCATTTCTGAAAGCTCCCTTGCCACATAAAACTTATATTAAACAAGTTTGTATGCTTTTCTATTGTTTATGTTCATTTGTTTTTAGACTGGGTCTCACTCTGTTGCCCGGGCTGGAGTGCAGTGGCGCAATCTCAGCTCGCTGCAGCCTTGACCTCCTGGGCTCAAGCGATCCTCCCACCTCAGCCTCTCTAGCAGCTGGGACCACAGGCGTGTGCCACCACACTTGGCTAATTTTTTGTATTTTTTGTAGGGCTGGGGTTTCACCACATTGCCCAGGCTGGTCTGCAACTCCTGAGCTCAAGCAATCCGACCGCCTCAGCCTCCCAAAGTGCTGGAATTACAGGCTTGAGCCACCGTTCCTGGCCTTTTCTCTTGTTAATCTATCTTTTGTTATAGGCGTCTCAGCTGTGCACCTGATGGGTGAGCAAAATACTATGTTTGCTCCCTACCACACAAAGCCATGGGGAGGTGAAACAGTTTGCCTAATGTTACTTAGCTAGTGAGTGGCAGAGGTGGGATCAATGTGGGCAGTTTAGCTCTGGACTCAACATTATGCTGAGGTCTGAACACCACTCCAGGGGAGATAATAGGTGAATGTTTTGAGAAAATGTAAAGGTCCTGAAAAACATTGAAATGAATTTTTTTTCTGAATTTTTTTTCCCCAAAAGAGTAAAAACATTGGCCAGCACTTATAATCTGAGCATGAGATGTTCATTAGAATTATAATATCTTGATTAAGAAATCAGTTATAAACTGACAGTTTTCAGATTAAAGAACTGGAAATGTGATCACGAAAAATGAGGGAAAATTTTCTACTAAAAAGCATTTCAACGTTTTCCAATGTGTTCTCTTTACAAAGGAAAGTAATGGTGAGAGGCTTGTTCACCACTGAAAAGTTTGGAGAACTAAAACATAATTCAAATTTTATAAGGATGGAGATATTCTGAAAAGTGGGAAGAGGCAAGCACTTCAATAAGGGGCAGTATCTCTGGGAGATGGAAACGAACATCCTCAGGAAAAAAAAGAGAGGGGGTTAAACAAGAACTCAAGGGAAAATTGAGGAGCACCACTTGCATTCTAATTCATTTCTCTTGAAAGAATTCATTAATTTACTCAGGCGCATGTACTAGTGACACCAGAACAAATGAGTTTCTGCCCTAAGGAATTCGTTACTGAATGGAAAAAATTCAGGGGGATAAAGCAAGCTGTGGCCACCCACTGTGATATGCACTGTGATAGAGTTAGGCTCAAAGTGCTGGAAGGTGCTTCAAAGTCAGGCAGTATTAGAGCCTGGAGCCAGGACAACATCTGGAAGAAAGCGATGCCTTAGCAGAATGCTGAAGATTGGAGAAAACTTGGCCAGGCAAATATGGGGAAACATTCCCAAGGAGGAGCAGATTGTTCCAAGGCCTGAAGAAAAAGAGCTCACCTCTTGAACTTTCTACGGCTACAGCAGAGAGTGTGAGGTGGGCAGAGGGAGAGACGAGCCAGGGGACCTGGGGAGGGACTAGGTCGTGGAGCCTTGTGTGTCCCCTGTAGGGATATGGACTAAATTGACAGCCCCAGGGAGCCTTGGTCACCATTGTCCTTCCCTGTAGCTGCTGTGATTGTGCCCCTGCGGGCCATTTCCACAGAGCAGGAAGAATGAACTTGAGAACAGATAGACTGTTCTGTCATGGTATTTCCCAAGGCATTTGGGGTAAGACTGGGGACATGTTGCATGGCCTACAAAGCTGTACCACATCTGGCCCCTGCCTCCCCTTCAGTTCCACCCCATACCCTCTTCCTCTTGCCAGGGACATGTTCTTCTCTACATCCTTCTCCTAGCTAGCTCTTGCTCAGTCTTTAGGTCTCAGCTCAAAACCATCCTTGATCCCCAATCTAATTTAAGCCCCTTGTTATACATTTTTTTTTAATTGAGATGAAATTCACATAACAGAAAATTAACCATTTTAAAGTACATAATTCAGGGTGGCATTTAGTACACTCAGATTGTTGTACAACTACCATTTCTATTTAGTTCGAGAATGTTTTCATCACACCAAAATAAAACCATATACCCATTAAGCAGTCATTCCTTATTTCCTCCTGCCCCCAACCCCTGGAAACCACCAATCTACTTTCTGTCTCTATGGCTTTACCTGTTCTAGATATTTTATTTAAAAGGAATCCTATCTTATGTAACCTTCTGTGTCTAGCTTATTTCACTTAGCATAATATTTTTGAAGTTCGTCTCTGTTTAGCCTGTATCAGTACTTCCTTCCTTCCTATGACTCAGTAACATTCATTGTAAGAATAGACCACATTTTGCTTATGCATTCATCCTTGATGGACATCTGGATTCTTTCCTCCTTTTGGCTATTGTGACTAGTGCTGCTATGAACCTTCATGTGTTGTAGATATATGTGTTTGAGTACCTGTTTCCAATTCTTCTGAGTATATACCTAAGAGTAGAATTGCTGGTCATTTAGTAACGCTATGCTTAACATTTTGAGAAACCTCCAAACTGTCTTCCACAGTGGCTATATGCCTTCCAACTTTTTTTTTTCTTTTTTTAATGATTCTATGCATCTCCCTGTTTCTGTTTCTTACCTGCCTTGCAAGCTCTGTGAAGGTCCCAGCCAAGTCTGGTTTACTCACCATTGTGTCTCCAAGGGCTAACAAAGTAGATACTCAAAAATATTTGTTAGCTGAATGAAAAATGAGTGAATGCGACAGATCAGTCTAGACAGATCTTGACTGTGAGTCTAGACAGATCACTCCAGATGCAGGGTGGTGGGTGGATTGGAGGGACGAGGTGCAACAGAGACCGATAGGGGCCACTGTGCTAATCAGGAGCCTGACTGGACTCTTCAACCAGGTGAGAGACCGACCTGCTAGCTGTTATCGCCGCAGAGCACAGCTCCCTCACACAGCACAGCACACTGCAGTAGACCTGTTTGCTTGACTTCTTCCCCCATTGAGCTGTGAGTTTTTAAGGGCAGCTATCAAATTTTCTCAACATTGCCAAAGCTTATAGTAGATTCTCAACCAATGTTTGTTGAATGAATGAATGATTAATTAATGTGAATGGAGGAACAGATACTAGCTATATGATATTGGGCAAGATACCTACCCTTTTAAGTCTTAGTTTCTTCAGTGGTGAAATTGAGACAGTGATGTTCCCTGCCTCATAGGATTCTGGTGAGGAGTAAAAGAAATGAAGGCAATAGGGCTTTTGGCACAGTGCACAGTGCTGTGCATTCTTTATGACTCTGAGGTCATAACTAGAATGAATGAGCCTAAGGTAAATAGACAAAGTTTCAATAAAAAAAAATAGAAGAACATTCTAATGTAAGCCTTATGAGAGTCAGACCACGTCCATCTTGCTCCCTTTGGTATCTCCAGTAACCTCACACAATGTCAAGACAAACTGTTCAGTGAATGTTTAGTAAATGAGCCTGATCAAAGTGGAATGGGCAGCCTATGAGTAGACAAGCTACTCATCACTGGACAGAATGTGGGCCCCTCAACCTCAGACTTCTCAGCCTCCAGAACTGTAAGACACAAATCTCTGTTCTTTATAAATTGCCCAGTCTCAGGTATTCTACCATGACAGCACAAAATGGACTAAGACATCTGCCTTGGTAAGATGTTAGACAAATTTGCACAGAGATCCCTACAATTCTGAGATGATTCTTGTTTTGTGATTCCTCTTATGAGACAGTGAACTTCTCCAAGGCAATGATTGGAACAAAGGAATACAAAAATGTCTCCAGAGATAAGGGCTACGAAATACAGTATTTTTATGCTCTTTCATGGGAAAAAGGAAGTATGCATTCAAATTGCTTCAAAACTGAAAAGGACGAAGGAAACCAAAATTTGGAATTTTCTTGGAAGTCTAAGTTTAAGGAGGAAGGAAAGCTACATAAGATGCTAAGAGCCTAAGATTCTCATCGAATTGTGTATCAGTTAACATGCTTTTCCATAGCAATTGCAGATACTTTCATATTTGCCAGTTGTAAAATTCTGAATGTTTATTGTGATAAAATATACATAACAGAAAATTTACCATTCAACCACTTTCAACTGTACGGTTCAGTAACATTACGTACATTCATATTGTGGTACAACCACCACCACCATCCATCTCCAGAACCTTTTCATCATTCAATCTAAACATTCTTTTAAATATAAATATTTTACCTAGGAAATGTGTTCAAAAGTTGGAAGTATACTATTGATCGGCAGTTAGCTTTTTGTGTGTGTGTTTTTTTGTTTGTTTGTTTTTGTTTTGTTTTGTTTTTTTGAGATGGAGTCTCACCCTCTCACCCAGGCTGGAGTGCAGTGGTGTGATTTTGGCTCACTGCAACCTCCGCCTCCTGGGTTCAAGCGATTGTCCTGTCTCAGCTTCCCAGGTAGCTGGGATTACAGGCACGCAACACCATGCCCAGCTAATTTTTTTAATCTTTAGTAGAGACAGGGTTTCACCATGTTAGCCAGGCTGGTCTCGGACTCCTGACCTTGTGATCCACCCACCTCAGCCTCCCAAAGTGCTGGGATTACAGGCATGAGCCACCACACCTGGCCAGCAATTAGCTTTTTTAAAAAAAGGAAAACCAGGCCAGGTGCGGTAGCTCATACCTGTAATCCCAACATTTTGGGAAGCCAAGGAAGGAGGCTCGATTGAGCCGAGGAATTCAAGGCTGCAGTAAGCCATGATCATGCCACTGCACTCCAGCCTGGACAACAGAGTGAGACCCCATGTCTAAATAAATAAATAAATAAATAAAAGGAAAACCAAATGTAATGTTATTTTTGTCAATATAATCAGATGAAGTTGTTATCAAGAGGAATAAAGTAGCTGAACTTCCTGAATAGAAAAGGTGATTTCAAGATATTTTCTATGTTTATTAACTGTTGTTTAAATGTCCTTTATGGATCTGGAGAAACAAAAAATGATATAGATTTCATGCATGTAAACCATGCTGGTCAATAAAAATCCGCCAAACCTTCTATGTCAATGGTCAATAAATGCAGCTTTATAATCATAGATACTACTAGAAAAATTAAAATCATCAGCCTCAGGTAATCTGGTTATTTGCTTTATTTGCAGCTATATTTTCACAGCCAGCAGTATTAGCATCTCCATGTGCCCAAATCAGAATCCTACAGATAAAACTTGAAATCTACTAACAATCAAAGTCACTTTTGACAACAGAGTTGGTTCCTATTTCTTCTCCAGATGAAATGGTGCATCTTGAATCAGGCCAGCTCTGTGTGCAGGGCTCCATGGCGCCTAGGCTGCACAGGTCACAGTCACCTAGGAGGCCACACCATGACAGCCCCACCACAGGACCTAACAAGAATGCACAGCTGGCCCAACAAGACCGATTATAATCAGCTTCGTGTTGTTTTATTTTACTCTCTTCATTTGATAGAAACAAAATCACCAAATTCAAAAGATTACTAAGCAGCAAAGGTGAATGAAGCAGACAGCTAATATCAGACACCATTTCAAAAGCAACTGCCCGGATAAGCCTCTAATGGAATTTCCTAGTTTACAGCTCTGAAGATGAAGAAGGCAAGTTACCATGGAAACAAATAGTCTCTTTAAAGAGAGACAGGCTCTTCTCTTAGTCTGAGCTCTTTCCAGAAGGGAGGAGGGAGGAGGTGGAAAAGGCAGGCCAAGGATCTGTGACTAGAACAATGAAGGGAAGTTTTCTTCTCATTATTAAAATTTTACCAATGAAATCTGTGTGAAGGTTCAACTCAAGATTATTTCATTTTCTTGGCTGTACCATTAAAAAAAACTTCAAGTTAGATATTTTGAGATACTTAAGCAAGGTGACTTTTTACTGATAATTTCTTTAAATTGTTTTTCTTTATTCAGTTAGTGACACATGCTGGTAATACGTGGAGCCCTTCAGTACAATTTCACAAGAGGCAGAAAGGAATCATGTTTGCTCCTCTTCCACCTCAACACACAACCTCTGAGGTAACAGCCTGTTGTTTCTATACCTCTGCCTTGTCTATATATACATTTAAAGGAATATTTCCAAACAAAAACCAAACAACTTAATTTAAAAATGGGCAAAGGGCTTGAATAAGCATTTATCCAAAGAAGATATACAAATGGCCAATAAACACATGAGAACATGATCAACATCACTAGTTATTAGGAAAATGTGAATCAAAATGAGCTCTCACACCAAGATATCACTTCACATACTTTAGGATGGCTTTTATAAAAAAAAAATTATAACAACTATTGGTGATGACGAGAAGAAATTGGAAGCCTTGTGGCACTGCTGGTGGGAATATAAAATGGGGCAACTACAATAGGAAACAGTATGACAGTTCTTCAAAAAATTAAAAACGGAATTACCATGTAATCCAGCAACTGTACTTCTGGATATATAACCAAAAGAACTAAAGAGACTTCAAACCCCATTTATATACCCATATTTATAGCAGCATTATTCACAGTAGCCGAAAGGTGGAAGCAAACCAAGTGTCCATTGATGGACGAATAGATATAAAGAAAATGGGGCCGGGTGCATGGGCTCACGCCTATAATCCCTGCATGTTGGGAGGTTGAGGGGAAGGATCACTTGAGCCCAGGAGTTTGTATATACATACAGTGGAATATTATTCAGCTTTAAAAATGAAGGAAGTTCTGACACATGCTTCAACAGGGATGAACCTATATTAGGCTAAGTGAAATAAGCCAGTCACAAGAGGACAAACACCATATGACTCCACTTACAAGAGGTTTCTAGAGTAGTCAAATTTATAGAAACAGAAAGTTAAATGGTGCTCACCAAGAGTTCTGGGAAGGGGATTAGACAGTTATTGTTTCATGAGTATAGAGTTGCAGTTTGGGAAGTTGGAAAAAATTCCAGAGACAGACTGTGGTAATGGTTGTGTAACAGTGTGAACATACTTAATGCTCTAAATCTGTGTACTTAAAAGGGGTTAAAAAGTTAAACCTTATGTATATTTTAACATAACTTTTTTACATTAAAAAATATATATGCAGATGTTCAGGAGTGTTGGGTTTTGTTTTTGCTTTGCTTGCTTGCTCTTACTAAAAGAGAGTTATAATATACATATACTTCTGTGAAACAAACCACAATCCTTAATGGTACAAAACAGCCAGTTAATGATGCTTAGAATGAGGGATTCCATGCAGCAGCAATTTGACTTTGGTACAGAAGGGACAGCCGTGTCTGCTCCATGGCATCTGAGGCCCCCTCTGGAAAGACTCAAAGACTCAACAGCTGGGAGCTGGAATCATCTGGAGATTTCTTCACTTATGTGTCCAGCACTTGATTCTGGGTCCTCACCTGGGCGGTCCAT
Source organism: Homo sapiens (assembly GCF_000001405.40). Classification (NCBI taxonomy): domain Eukaryota; kingdom Metazoa; phylum Chordata; class Mammalia; order Primates; family Hominidae; genus Homo; species Homo sapiens. The sequence continues at coordinate 90,488,474 of NC_000006.12, read as the reverse complement.
CGGAACACCTACCTGTGGACCCTCCATGTGGGCAGCTGCTTTGCACTTCCTCATAATATGGCAGCCACATCAAAGGGCCACATCCCAAGGTGCCAAGCAGAAGTATATAGAATTTTTACAATCTAATGATAGAAGAAAAACTTTACCCAAAATAAATTTAACAGAGTATATTAGAGCAAAGAATGACTTGAGAATTGAGTAACCCTCAGAACAAGAAAAGGTTCCAAGAACTCCACTCTGCAACATGGGCAGTGAGTATTTACAGAGAGAAAAAGGCCACAGAAGGCGGAAACAAGGAACAAAAAGCAGATTGGTCATTTCAAAGCTACTTTCCTTGTAAAGCAGAGTGGATTTTCTTATCCTGCTGGCCAAAAGTGATCTGTTTCAGAATTTGGCTATTATTTCTCTCTCTTTCCTGATTCCTGGGGAGGTCAGACAAATATTGGTGTGGTGATATGAAACTTTGGCACGAATGATGCTGTTTTGGTTTGGTCTGTTGAGTCTACAGGAGCTCAGTCCAAAATAGTGAGCTCCTATAAACTGTATTGAACACTAGCCTCACAAGTTACATTGTGTCACTGCCAGAGGCCTTGGAACCAGAGTGACTTCCTCTTGAATAGGATCTGGGTAAAATAAGGCTGAGACCCACTGGGCTGCATTCTCAGGAGGTTAGGCATTTTTAGTCATAGGATGAGATAGGAGGTCAGCACAAGATACAAGTCACAAAGACCTTGTTAATAAAACAGCATGCAGCAAAGAAGCCAGCCAAAACCTGCCAAAACCAAGATGGTGATGAAAATGACCTCTGGTCCTCCTCACTGCTCATTATACATTAATTATAATGCATTTGCATGCTAAAAGGCACTCCCACCAGCACCATGACCATTTACAAATGCCAGGGCAATGTCAAGAAGTTACCTTATATCGTCTAAAAATGAGAGGAACCCTCAGTTCTGGAAATTGCCCATCCTTTTCCTGCAAGTAGCCATTCTTTTGCTCCTTTACTTTCTTAATAAATTTGCTTTCACTTCCCTCTATGAACTCGCCCCAAATTCTTTCTTGTGTGAAGTCCAAGAACCCTCTCTTCTTGGGGTCTGGATCAGGACCCCTTTCCAGTAACATCACTTCTACTATGTTCAGTTGAGGCAGTTACAAGGGTCTGTCTAGGTTTGGGGGAGGAGCTCAAAGGAGGAGTGTTAAGGTCCCATGGGAAGAGGAGCGTGCAGCAGGAGCAACCTTGTGACCATCTTTGGAAAACTCAATCAGTAAGGTGTAATTCCTCAATTTTTCTCATTTCTTCATCATTACAAAATTACTTAAAATTCTAAAAGTAATATAAATACAGTAACAAAAGTTAGAAAACATAAAAGAAAAATCCATAATTGTCCTCCTTCATGTAATCGCCCCACAGGTTCTTCCTGCCTGCTGTACAGACAAAATCAATCCACTGACACCATGGCATTGCAATAAAGAAAGAGTTTAATTGAGGTGAGACTGGCCACACCAAGCAGGGGCTGGAGTTATTACTCGAATCAATCTCTCCAGAAGCTGGAAGGTTGGGGGGTTTTCAGGTAGTTTGGTGGGCAGGCGCCTAGGGAAAGGGTGCTGCTGATTGGTGGGGGATGCAATCATAGGGGTGTGGAAAATGGTCCTCATGTGCTGAGTCCCCTTCTGGGTTGGGGCCACAGAACTGGTTGAGTCACAGGTCCAGGTGGGGCCATCCAGTCATCAGAAATGCAAAAGCCTGAAAAGATCTCAAAAGGCCAGTCTTAGGTTCTACAATAGTGACATTAATTACACGAGTAATTGGGGATGTTGCAAACCTTGTGACCTCGCCCATCCTCTTAACCTGGTGGCCTTTTATTAGTTTTACAAGGGTGGTTTTGTTTTTGGGAAGTGTTATTATCATTCAAACTGTAAATTTCTCCCAAAGTCAGTTTGGCCCACACCTAGGACAGATTGGAGGGTAGAAGGATAGCTTGTACATAGAGTTTAGGGAGATTTTTAATTTTTTTTTTTTACCTTTTTTTGAAGAGACAGAGTCTCACTCTGTCACCCAGGCTGGAGGGCAGTGACCCTATCATAGCTCACTGCAGCCTCAACCTCTTTCTGTTTCCCCTGTGGAGTATAGTACACCAAAGGATAAAATCCTCAGCTCAAAAGTTTTGCTTTGCTTTCACACTGCTGATAAAGACATACTCAAGACTGGACAATTTATACAGGAAAAGGGGGTTTTTTGGACTTACAATTCCACATGGCTGGGGAGGCCTCACAATCATGGCAGAAGGCAAGGAGGAGCAAGTCACATCTTACATGGATGGCAGCAGGCAAAGAGAGAGAGCTTGTGCAGGCAAACTCCTCTTTATAAAATGATCAGATCTTGTGAGACTTATTCACCATCATGAGAACAGTGCAAGAAAGACCTGTCCCCATGATTCAACCACCTCCCACCAGGTCCCTCCCACAACACTTGGGAATTGTGGAAGTTACAATTCAAGATGAGATTTGTGTGGGGACACAGACAAACTGTATCACCTACTCCTACCTAAAACTCAGTAGGAAAGATTGCATCGAGGCTTCCTTAGTCTTCCATCTTCTCTCTCTAGTGAGCATGAAGCACAGCAACAACACACCAATTACAGAAAGTGCTGTCAGGATTACTTTCTGACGTACTTTCAGAATGTCAAGTAACGCCTACTTCCACAGTTGTGGAAAGAGGAAGTGGGTGACTGCCCTGGGCGTGGAATGCCAGCAGGTGAATCTTAACTCACTTTTCTGCTAGAGAAGGTTGGCTTTGGGGTTTCTACAGAAAATATGGATCTAGCATATTTAGTTAAAAACAGTGGTTCCCAAACACTAAACTGCCAGTTTTCATTGGTCTCCTGTAAAACGATAAAAATAACTACAATGTGCTGTGTTTTTAATAAAACTAAATATATTCAATAAAAAAAACCTGGGCTTTATTCTGAAACAATTCCTTATTTTTTAGTATAAGACATTTATTTTCTTTAAGGCATAATTCCGGCCATATATTTTCTTCATATTCCTAATTAGCAAGATTAAAAGATGGCAATCCTACAGTCATCCCCATATTGAGTTTCAAAAATGTTACCGATTTGTGATATCCAGTGATCCCCTCCAAACGACCACCTTCTGGGGACTCTTTGGGGTCCATGTGCATTGCTTATTAAAAAGGGATTCCCTTCTGAGGTCAGAACAAACTGCTTGACATAAGAAACAGGTCCAAAACTCTGAATTCTGCCTGTGACAGTCCAGTTGCCTAGGCTCGAACAAGTCATTTATCCTCAGGGCCTTCTAGCCAGCAAATTCAGTAAATAACTCGGGTTTCCCCCGCTGCAGGGCCGGGAGAAGTGAAAGGCTTAATTGTGGCAAGAGCAGAGCGCTGTGTAAGTGCTGAGTGTCTTCATTGTGCAGCATCCTAGGAGCTTTCCTTCACAAAGCCTGCTCAGCAGGTCCCATAATAGCTGGAGAAAAAAATGTGAGGAGGGAGACTCTAACATATCAAGTATTTCCCTGGGAGTTTCTCATTTCAATGAGAAGAATATTCTCTAATTAAAATGCCACTACATTTTTTTTAAAACAAATTGCTGTCTAATTTCCCTTTGATCTTTTTTTTTTTCCATTTGGGTTGTAAGGTTTTACAGAAACTTTACAAACGTTTAGAGTCTGCAGTTATTTTCTTTTATTCTGATTAAACTTCAAAGGACGAAATGAAAAGCCATCATAGCAAGCTAAGCTTTTTTTCTGTGTATGCAATAAGCATTTATGGGGCATCTCCAGCGTGCCTGTCATTGTGCTGGGTGTAGGAGATACAAAGATGAATAAATACAACACAGACCTTGCCCTCACTGAGTTCAGTGTTTCCAGGAGGTGATCACACCATCAACAGAACACTGGAATGCAACGTGGTAACAGCAGAAACACCATCACACAGCCATCTTACATAGGGCACTGTGGCTGAGCTGTCTCTTTAAATGAAACTTAAAGGATGACTAAAATTCACCCAAAGGACAGCAAGGACATTCCAGGCAGAAGAGATAACATATAAGCACAGGTTCTGGGGTGGAAAACATCATGTCATGGCCTGTGTGTGTGTGTGTGTGTGTGTGTGTGTGTCTGTGTGTGTGATTCTGTCTCCGTAATGAGAAAGCGTCAGAGTGGGTATGGTTCCGGGAGACTTTACTGAATGGCATGGGCACAGGCCCGCTAACCTAAGCAGGCCGTAAAAGAATTCTCTGAGCTTCCTCTGAAGTAGGTCATAAGGCCCTCGTTCCATGGGTGAGGAAAAGATATGACCTTCCCTCCCCTACATTGTTATTGTGGGGTGTGACTTCTATACGTGAAGCAAGGCCAGCCACATCCTACATCATATATCGGTCTGAGGATTCAAAGGTTTACCTTAACAATCCGGAAAGAAATTTAAAAATGATTCCTGCATAAATAAATTAGACTTTGTGAGTGTTTTAAACACATACACCCCTACTAAAGGATTTGCAGATACCTTTGCTGACCCTGGAGGGAAGAATTACCTTGTCCACAGTTCTCCTGTGTAGTGACTTGAGGGGCACTTGCCTACTGGGGGCTAACCCAGGGCTCAGAAGGAATGACTGGAAATCTTGTTAAGATGAAGATTCTGATTCAGTGGGCCAAGATTTATCATTTCTAACAAGCTCCAAGGTGACGCCAGTGCTGCCGGTCTACAGACCACACTTGAACATTGAGATCTAATCCACTCGCTCCCCGCCCTGCCCCCCAGTCGTGATGGCACAGCAACTGAGATGAACCATAGGGATCCACTGCCCTCAACTCCGTGGCCAATGGTGCAGAGGCTGCTAGAAGACTGTCCAAATCCTCCCTGCACCCGAGGCACAGGGTCCCATCCAGCAGGAGTCCAGCCAGGCCCTCAGGGCTGGCAGAGAGCTGACTAGTATGTAACTAAGTCCACGGACCCAGAATTGGAGGGTGAAAGTGGGGAGGAAGGAGGTAGAAATTGTGGGATGGGGCTGGTGCTTGCCCAGATATCTCCTATGATAGGAGCTAAGAAAGATACTAAGGGACATAAAAAGGATGGAAGAGCTTGGGCAAGGGCCCAGGCAGAGCCTCTGAGTCATGGCATCAAGCAATGATTATGTGCCAGGGACTGTTTGCATGCATCACATAGATGTCACATTTCATCTCCACACAACATCCTTGCAAAACAGATTTTAAATCCCTGCTAACAGATGAGAAACTTGAAGTGCAGAGCAGTTCAGCAAATCACTCAATCTCAGCTGGCACACAGTGGAGCCCAGCTCACACCCAGGTCTGCACAATCTGAAAGCCCAGGTCTTTCAAGTACCCCCCACCCCCACTGTGCACTATCTTCATAAAGATGGATGAGACGGGACGTTATGCCCTAGGGGAGGGTCTTTAGATATCTGAATCTGAAAGCAAGTGATATCGGTGGTGACTGAAAGAGGTGCTAGGCCAAGAGAAAGCAGGTCAAGAGAAGGTGACATCTAAAGAAGACCTGAGTATCTGGAACTGGACCACCTTTGGACAAAGTGGCCTGGGCCTTCCTGGTCCTGAAGGGGATTTGCCTTCATGTGAGCCAGCCAGGGATTCATGGTGCCTCATAGTCTTGGCATGCACTGGTTGGTGGGCATCTTGGCAGAAATGGAATATTTACCTGAGATAAAAGAAGATAGATGTATTAGTTCATTATCACACTGCTATAAAGACATACCCAAGACTGGGTAATTTATAAAGGAAAAAGGTTTAATTGACTCATAGTTCCGCATGGCTGGGGAGGCCTCAGGAAACTTACAATCATAGTGGAAGGTGAGAGAGAAGCAAAGTCACATCTTACATGGTGGCAGGCAAGAGAGACAGCAAATGAGTGAAAGGGGAAGAGCCTCTTATGAAATCATCAGATCTCGTGAGAACTCACTCACTATCACCAGCGAGGCCCATGGGGAAACTGTCCCCATAATCCAATCACTCCCCACCAGGTTTCTCCCTAAACATGTGGTGATCCTATGGGGATTACAATTCAAGGTGAGATTTGGGTGGGGACACAGAGCCAAACCATATCAACAGAGAACTAAATGGGAAAGACCATCACATGACAAGGTGTCTAGAACATAGTAAGCAATCAACACTTGGTAGCTGCTATTTACTATTATTGTTGTTGTGGTGGTTGTTGTTGATGATGATGAGGCTCAAGACATGCTACCGCAATACATAGCACCTCAGCATTTAAGAAAACAGAAGCAGGAAGGTCTCTTTGACCTTTTCCTGCCATTCTCCCCTGAAGCAGGCCATGAAAGAATTCTCTGACCTTCCTCTGAAGTAGGTCCGAAGGCCCTCATTCCATGAGTGAGGAAAAGATATTACCTTCCCTTCCTCACATTGTTGTTGTGGGATGCTATTTCTGCACATGCTTAACAACCAGTCAGCAGTATGCTAGGAACATTCTCAGGCATAATTGTATATAAAATATTTCTGAAAATCCAAAGTCTGAGTAAGTCCAGCGAGGTGGCCAAACAAACCAGCCAAAGCCGCATAACTTATTATGAAGGCACATTCACCCCATGGTGTTTTACATCACTTTTATTTAGGTATCAGGATGATGTTAACAGGTGGTCAGTCACTGCTTATCCCTACTTGTCCCTCCTTACTGAGTTCTGATAGTTTAAAAATTGTGTTTCTAGATGGAGGGAGCCTCCCTGCCGAAAGAGTCTCCGCCTGGAATTGAAAGACCCACTCTGCTCCTCACTGATGTGCTCTCAGTCTCCTCATCTGTAAAATGGAGACAATCAAATCACACCTGTGCTGCCCACCTCAGGATCATTGCTGCGAGGACCGAGCAAGATGACGCGTGTGAAAGAGGGGCAAAACTGCCAAGTCCTCCACACATAGAAGTCATGCGGACTCTGCAGACGTCTCGCCATTCTATTCTAATTTGGGAGCTAATTCTTTATTAAAATTTTATTTTTATACCCTCCGTGTTTCCTCTAAATGCCTCAGATCCTCTGAGGAACCAGCTGGCATTTACTTCCATGTGTACCTCCATGAAAGCTTACATGGAACTTAAATGAAAAATTACATGCATATATCATTCATATGTAGATATACGTATGTATACACACACATAATTTTTACATACACATAAAATTTCTTCTCTGTACTAAATTTAAAGGACTACTCGTTAAAGCGGGTGAGACATTTGTACAATCAGTTTAAAAGATTTTTATTTAAAAACGGAAATTGCCCAAAGCAGACAACAGGAAATCATTCCTCACTGCAACTCAGATGGAGGAAGCCATCTAATTCTTGGGAATTTAGACACTCCTGTAGTAACGTAGCACAAAAATGGGCCTGGCTCAATCTGCTCTTCACATTTTGGTAATTTAAAAGGACATAACGGCATTTTATTTCAATGGTAATTGCAAACTCATGCAGAAAATGTAAATGCACATTTCATGATTAGCTTGCAGCATAAACTATGGCTTCTATTAATGTATTCCAATTTGTAATTCTTTTCACAGTATGAGATTTGAAAGCTGTGATTAAAATTAATTAGGTTAAGTAAAGTTTATCCCCCCTGAGCACTGCTATTGGGAACAAGCAAGAGGAAAACGCGAGCTACATCTGGCTCTGCAGGAAGCTGTGTCTTCACAAGAAGTCGGCTGACTTCTTTTCTCCCCACAGAGGTTGCATGCTGCTTATTTGGCATATCTCAACCACCATGTATCTCCTCAAGGAGCTAATTGAACCATTAAACTATTCTTTGCTGGCTCACAAAACCACATAGGCTGTGACTACATCATCTTCAAATAAGGACAGTAGGTGGATCCATCAATTGTTTAAATACAGTAAATCTTGGAGGGAAAAACACATACACCTAGTAAACCTGAGGTAGTGGTGGTTACCCCAAATCCAGTACCATAATTGCTATAGAAGAGGTGCCAAATGAGGGAACAATCATAAAGACAGTAACTAACACCAGTACAGGCCTCTCTGCTTTACACATAACTGTCTCAAACATTACCTCACTGGATCGCCTTAGCAATCCTGACAAGTTCTTATTATATAGTCCCATTTTACAGATGAAGGTGCTGATGTTAAGTGAGGAGCCCAGAATCAAAGGGCACTGGAGAGTAGACCAAGGTCTTTGGAGTTCCTGTCCTATGCTCCTTTGCGCTCACACACCACACTGGAGAAGTTTAAAATTCCCTAACAGTAGGTTTACAGACTATTGACCCTTAGGATCTTGAACCTATCACTTCAACACAACACCCAAATTTTGTGTATCAAGACCTTGGCACATTTTGGGGTAGAGCTGGTGTAACTGTTGCTATGTCAAGGAGAAAAGCACCCACAGAGAACAGGCCCATGTAAGCGTTGTTTGATATTCTTGGGGCAGTTGATTCAAGGGAAAAACCCACATTCCGAAACCAAAGGGTCTCCATAGATAAAGACTACTTCCCTGAAATTCAGAAATTAAAAAGAAATGCAAAGAACGTGTGCTTAGAAGCCAGAGAACATGGGGCCAGGGAAGCAGCATGTTAGAAAGAGGAGAACAAGTGGCTCCACATTTCAACCTCCCAGCCATTTACTGAGAGGTACACTTGGGGAATTAACTTCCATTTTTTTTCCTAGAGAAAACAGAAGGTTTAAGCCACTTCCTCCAAGTTATATTGGGAGTTGTCACTCAAAGGAGCCTTCGAACTCCTAGGCTGGTGCTCTTCACTCTATTTTGACTCTCACAAACTTTTCAGTGCTTTGTGGGGGGAATGATGAAATTAAATTAGGAAATTAGCATGCCAAGTTTTCAATAAAATATTCATCTTACTAAATTTTCATGAGGAAGATGCTAGTGCTTAGTGATTGACTGCACAGCTCGGACTACGGGATCCAGGACCCTTCCCAAAGCGAGCCGTACTTTTTTAAACCACTAGATGGCAGTACAAGCACAGCCTTCCAAGGACCCCTTAACGTTGCCTGCTCACAGCAGTGACGGGAGAGTTTTCCTACCCAGGCAGGGTGAGTCACCGCACAGCTCCAGGGTGTGGTGTCACTGTCAGTGTGTTTGGTAATCTGGAGTTTTCTCTGTGCTCTCCAGCCTCACCAGAGGCTGTGTAGTTTTGCTGGGGAGATACCTACTATGGGATCTTGAATATAGTCAATGAGAGAAGAGCTTAACTGGACTCCCCACTGTTTAAATACCAAGTCATTTCCATCCTTATGAATAAGCAGGGCCACTCGGATCCAGAAGGCGACACTCCAGATCTCCTCAACTACAGAAGCAACTCCCCAGGCTGCAAACACTCCAATCCCTTCCGCGTTGTGACCACCTGTAGAGTACGAGCTGTTAAAACGAAACCAGAGACTCAGAGGTAGGGATTTACTGGCAGCAAATTTCTTCCAAAACATGATGTTTAGCACGCATCTCAAAGCATCTTTTAGGATCATCCAGCCTGCTTGCCTCTAGAAAGGAGCACCCTGCACCAATGTTATTAATATTAGTTAATGCACATTGAACACACAGTAAGTGCTACATTATATACTTTATGTAGATTACCTCATTTAATCTCACAATGGCTATGAGAGGTAGGTGTTACGAATGGCCCTATTTTCAAACAAGAAGGCTGAATATTAGAAAGGTGAAGTGACTTGCCCAAGCCCCAGAATTTGAAATCAGGGCTCTCTAATTGAAAGTTAGAATTTGACTCGTGATATTAGTGTTTAGCACATTGTTTAACAGGGCATAGCATCTCACTTCTCCCATCTCTGCCACAGAAGGTTGCACACCCATGTTCTGGTTCAGAATTCTTTGGTGAGGTCAAGCAAGATGGCAGGAGGGAGAGCCTGAGCTGACCCTCCCTACCAGCCTGGGACCTGAATGCAGTTCCTACAGGCCTGGTTCAGCGGAGGTTCAGCTCAACAGCCCCATCCCTAGGGCCAAGGAGGCTTAGCAATCATCAGTTTTGTTCCTGACAAACAGAAGGCTGAGATGGCCCAGATGAAGCGGGGGGAGGGGTGGCTCAGCAACACACCCAGTACATATGCAGCGATTCCTGTGTGCTTGCCTCATCTTAGTGAGTGTCCTAGTCCATTTCGGCTGCTATAACAAAATACCTGAGACTGGGTAATTTATAAAGAAAAGGAATTTATTTCTCCCAGTTCTGGAGGTTAGGAAGTCCAAGATCAAGGTGCTGGCAGGTTCAGTGTCTGATGAAGGCTCATTCCTTCCTCATAGATGAGGCCATCTAGGTGTTGTCACCTGGTGGAAGAGCAACAGAGGAGTCTAAGCTGGCTCCTTCCAACCCTCTTACAAGGCACTAAACCCTTCATGAGGGTGGAGCCCTCACTACTTAAACACTTCCCAAAGGCCCCACCTCTTAAGACAATGCAGTGCAGATTAAGTTTCAACACATGAATTTGGGGGACATTCAGACTATAGCATGAGTTTTATCAAATGTCAACCCCTGTTTCTTCTTTGTGTCTCTGGATTGAAACTTTACTTAGCTCTTAGATTCATTTTGAAGATAACATAGTGCAAGATCGATTATCTTAATTCCACTCATGGAAACACAACCTGGAATTATAAATCTTCCTCTAGGTTTATTTCCCAAATGCTTGTTCATGATGATTCTTTCACTGGTCTGCATCAAAATGAGCACAAAAGAACAATGTGGTAAGTTTTTCATAAAGCTACTTTGAGATTTACAAGATAATTTCTTGTTTTGAGATTCTGTCCTTCCTATTTCTTCATGACTAAAATGTTTCTCTTAGGGAGGAATGGAAGTTGATTTATATCTAATGATGTCCCCTGGCAAGATAAAAACTTGGCAAGCCAATGGCTCTCTCCTGTTTTCGTTTTCTTTTTCTTTTTTTAAGGCAGGGTGTCATTTCGTTGCCCAAGCTGGAATGCCCAGAGTCTTGTTTTGTTGCCCACGCAGTGTGATCACGGCTCACTGCAGCCACAACCTCCAGGCTCAATCAATCCTCCCACCTCAGCCTCCCAAGAAGCTGGGCCTACAGGTGTGTGCCACCACACCTGGCTAATTTTTTCTTTTTTGTAGAGATGGGGTCTCACTATGACTGGTCTCGAATTGTACTCAAGCAATTATTCCACTTTAACCTCCCAAAGTGCTGGTATTACAGGCACTGGGCCTTCTTTTCCTTTTTAAAAAATTTTACAGATCAGAATCTGGGAATCGCAGCTCTGGGCAGTATTCAAACTTCGTTCACCTGAGCACCTAAGAGGTGTTTTATATACTGTCATCTAGTGGTCATCCTAGCTCACCCTCGCCAACTCTTCCCTTTGAGAACACAAATGGTAGGACTATGGAGCCCCGACGTGTGTGTGTGTGTGTGTGTGTGTGTGTGTGTGTGTGTGTGTGTACATTAAGATGCTGACAGCAGAGATGTGTTAGCGTAAAAAAATGCAGGTTTTGAAGATTGCGTAGAAATATTCAGAGTGAACAAACCTCTGGCACCAGACTCATGTGGGCCGAATTGAAAGCAGGTGCGTGGGATTAGCACTCTATTTTTTCCAACACACCTAGAGGGCAGTAGCACAGAGACATTCATGCTCAGGAGTGTTATCAGCTAATAGGACATGAAAAGTTCTAGAGGAAAAGCCTTCAAAACTGCAACCAAATATGTTCACAATTGAACAACAGAAAATACCCCTTCAAACGCTCAGAAGACCCGTCAACCTTTCAAAAATGGGTAAGTATATATTTCTTCAAGAGCCTGGCACCCTAGAGGCAGGAGGGGGGTGGTGCGGGTTTGCAAGTGTCAGGCAGTCCTTGCCTTTTGAGTATCCTCCATGTACACATGGCCTGTCCACTAGTGCTCCCACGTCCACCTCTGTCCTGCCCTCCAAGGCTGCTGCAGTCTCTGCAGCTGTCTCCCCTCGGTCTCCCATTGACATCCTCCTCCCAGCCAGCCGCTCCCCGTCCAGACAAAGGGGACTCCATTTCTCACTGTTAACTTTTTTTTTTTAGGTGGAGTCTCGTTCTGTCGCCCAGGCTGGTGTGCAGTGGCGTGATCTCAGCTCACTGCAACCTCTGCCTCCCAGCTTCAAGCAATTCTCCTGCCTCAGCCTCCTGAGTAGCTGGGATTACAGGCACCTGCCACCACACCCAGCTAATTTTTGTATTTTTAGTAAAGATAGGGTTTTGCCCCGTTGGCCAGGCTTGTCTTGAACTCCTGGCCTCAAGTGATCCAACCACCTCAGCCTCCCAAAGTGCTGGGATTACAGGCGTGAGCCACCACCCCCAGCCCACTTCTGACTGTTTAATAACAAAGCAGAGAGATGGCAAAAAGCCCCAAGGCTGGGGTATACAGGAAACTGGTGGTTGGCTCTTTAGAAGGCCTGCATGTGGACAGCCCTTCTGAAACCCAGAAGACCACATATAAAAGGAATTTCAACCATGTGGTGTTCTGTAATTCACCTGAGTCATCTTCAATTGAAACACAGAGAAGCAGTTTTTGGACCTTGGTGCACAAGCAGGCAGCATATAACTTGCTAGCAGTTATGTTCTGAAATGCCAAGTGTATTGCTACTATTTGAAATTTGAAACACATTCACACTTAAAACCAGTGAATGACAGTGCTTAGGTTCCCAGGCTAGCTCAGGAAATCCCTTTAAGCTTTTCTGTATTTCTGAACTTTGGTTCTGACCTCCTTCCAGCCACCTGAGCTTTCCCTATGCTGGGCAGAGGGTGGGGATGAGGAGGTTCTGCAGAAACTTAATTGTTAATTCTTTTAATGATTCTCCAGTACAGACCCTTAGCACATCAGAAAAAAAAAAAAAAACAGAAGTAAATAAATCTAAATATCATTAATCACATTTGCCAAGGGGATGTGTTCAAAGAATTCTTAGAGAAGGCAGCAGCCAACCGGTACAGAAAGAAATTCCAAGAGTGCAAACAGAATTGTTATGACGCCCTGGCTCTCCTGGGCTTCTGGACACCAGGATTTACTTTTACTTGTTTCAGTTTTCTCCTTGACTGTCTGCCAGTCAGACTGTATGCTCCAGGACAGCTCTGCACCCCTATGGGTGTGGCTCATAGTAGGTACACAATAAGCATCTAATGTACCGAACTGCCAAAACCAGACATAATCTATTCCTTTCATTCATTCTATTTACATTAATCAAGTGCCTACTATGAAGAAGGTTTGTGCCAAGTACTAGGATCAACAGTGAGCAAGGCAGATCAAGTCCATGCTTTCATAGCTTGTCTAGGCTGAATATTGAGTCCTCCAAAGATGTTTATATCTCAATCCCCAGAACCTCTGAATATGTTAGCTTACATGGCAAAAGGGATTTTGCAAGTGTGATTGGGTTAAGGATCTTGAGATGAGACAATTATCCTGGATTATCCAGGCAGGCCTGATGTAATCACAAAGATTCTTCTGAGAGGGAGGCAGGAATATGGGTTAGAGAGCTGAGGACCACGATCCAAGGAATACAGGCAGCCTGTAGCCCCTGGGAAAGGCCAGGACACAGATTCTCCTCTGGAGCCTCCAGAAGGAACACAGCCCTGCTAACACCTTGATTTTGACCCAGTAAAACTGATCTTGGAATTCCAACTTCCAGAACCGTAAGATAGTGAATTTGTGTGAACCATAAGATAGTGAATTTGTGTGTACTTAAAGTCACTGTGTTTATGGTAACTTGTTACGACAGCAATACGAAATGAATACAAGCTGAATGTAGCTTTAGTTTATGAAACATCTTGCCTCATGTTTAACAGACATTTAAAAAGTCCCTATACAATGTGATAATGGAAGAAATATAGAGTGCCATTAGCTCATTCACCTTATTATGGCTTCGCAGACTGGCTTAATAATTTATTCTTCTCTTTGCCAATCAGAGTACCTACCTATCTGAGGCTATACCTTCCTTGGGTAGCAGGAATCCTATTTGTAGCTTCCAGTGCCAGGGCCTGAGGCTGCAAATACTTATGGAAGTCATTGGGTAATGAATCCTTCACCATCGTGACAGTTTGTACTTAGGAGGAATGTTGTTCCTTAATTTTCAGTCAAGTTCAACTTGGTTTTCCAGTCATGGCACCTTTAAGAAATAGAGGGGAGCTCTTATTTGCATCCCCTTTTTCCAAAGGGGAAACTGAGGCAGCAATCTCAAGTTTCCTTCACCACCCAGTAGCAAGAATATGAGCTCAGCTCTTTGACACCTAAAACAAGGGTGTTCCTCTGGCCTCTACTTATTGTTTCCCAAGGTAATAAGGAGGCAAGAGAAAAGGATTACACTTATAGGAGGAAGGAGATTATCAGGGTACCAGAGGGAGAGGAGAGGAATTTAGGGGAAAAAAACTAATACGAAATAAGAGAGACCTCCGTTTTAAAACTTAAAACCTGGGGGAAAATTTGACAACTGGATGCATTTCATTTTGAAACTTACTTAACCCTAAAAGTCAAAATGAAACTCCAGGGGTGCAAACCCACAACAATCAAAATAAAAACAAGTTTTTACAAGCCTGCTGCAAAGCTAAATATAGATTTTCAGCTAGACCTACTCACCTCCAAGTTCATGACTTTGAACGATTTCAAACGTTATTTCAAAAAAGAATGTCAAACAAAAGAAAAGTAGTTTTATGTAGGAGGTGGAGGACAGGCTGTATAAATATGTGGGAGGTGGATCTCCAAACCGTCGTGATGTTTTCAAATACCATTTGTGGTCACTACACTGGTAATATTTTCTAACTGTGGTCAAAACAAGCTGACTAAAGGTTCATGTATTTGCTGCAGAAGGAAATGTTACTGTCATGTGCCACTGCCTTAGTGCACAGGTGCCTTCTGTCATCTCCTTTATGACCTGGTTTGCTGGTGCATTTGGATGGAACTCTCTTCATTCTGATATGATAAAAAGCAAAATTAAAATTGGAAACCAGGCTGTGCGCGGTGGCTCACACCTGTAATCCCAGCACTTTGGGAGGCTGAGACGGGCAGATCACCTGAGGTCAGGAGTTCGAGTCCAGTCTGGCCAATATGGTGAAACCCTGTCTCTACTAAAAGTACACACACACACACACACACACACACACACACACACACACAAAGAAGCTCAGTGTGGTATCAGGTGCCTGTAATCCCAGCTACTTACTCGGGAGGCTGAGGCAGGAGAACTGCTTGAACCTAGGAGGTGATGGTTGCAGTGAGCCGAGATCACACCACTGCACTCCAGCCTAGGTGACAGAGGAAGACTCCATCTCTAAAATAAAATAAAATAAAAAGGAAACCGAAGTCCTCTGACTTCAGCTGGGAACACTAGGGCCCTTTCCTTTTTCTACTCATCCCACAGCACCTCTGGGCTGAGCAGAAGGAAGAGGGAGGGTTCAGGACTGACAAAGATGAAGGCGTCTCTAAAACACCCTGTGCCCTTGTGCAATCTGTTCAGAATCACCCATGGCCTGAGGGTTACCCGGAACAATGGCCTCAGGTTCCTCGCCTTGTAGGGAGGGCTTTGAACCAGGGCATTTGAACTGCTGAGCAATTTCTTATTAAGGCATGAACAGAGTCAGCTGGGGTTTTAGGCTTTTATTTGTGGTGGGCTGTTTTCCTGCCACGGTTGTTGTGGTTTACCGTCTACCTGAGTGTTCAAAACTGCTTTGCAAAATCCAGTGACTTTGTTTCAGATCAGGCACCTCTCCTGTGCCTGCCCGGCCTTGGTTCCCCGTGATACGCCATTGTCCCATCTCTCGGGCCTCTGTGAGTTACCATCAGGAGAATCAGCTGGTGAACAAGCACTGGCATTCTCAGACCTTCAGCATAATGTGTGTTTCCAGGAATGACAATTTGGGGAAATCTAAGCTGGATCTCCAGACTGCTGTGCAAAAGATAATTTCACAAATTGGGCAACAAAAGCCAATCATCAAACCATGCAGTGCAAAAAGGAATTTTTTGTTTGCTTGTTTGGAGACAAGGTCTCACTTTGTCACCCAGGCTGAAGTGCAGCCCCAGCCTCCCAGGCTCAGGTGATCCTCCCACCTCCACCTCTCAACTAACTGGGACTACAGGGGTGAGCCAACACACCCAGCTAATTTTTGTATTTTTTGTAGAAATAGGGGTCTCCTTATGTTGCCCAGGCTGGTCTCAAACTCCTGGGCTCAACTGATCCTCCTGCCTCAGCCTCCTACAGTACTGGGATTATAAGCACGAGCCACCGTGCCTTGCCAAGAATTGTTAAATTAAAAGGCTTAACATTTTGCAAACCACTCCTAGAGATTTATGCTAAGGAAATGATCATAAATATGTAAAAAACATTGTATAGTCACAAGAGTGCCCACTAGGAGCTTGTCTATAATAACAAAAATGGAAAAAAAAAAACTCCTAAATAATCAATAGGCTATTGGTCAAATAAATGATGTTAACTGTATTATTGCCATAGTCAATAACTAGCATTTATTGAATGCTTACTATGTGCTAGGTGTTATTAATTGCTTTATGTGTATTATTATCACATTTAATCCTTAAAATACCCTGGGGAAATTACACTTAGAGTGTAAAGTACTCAGAGAAGTAAAGTTCCTTGTCCATGGACACAAAGCCAGGGTAGCAAGATAAACAACGGCTCCCCTCCCCCAAATCCATATCCACCCACAACCCAGAATGTGACCTTATTTGGAAATGGGGGTCTTTCCAGATATAACTTGTTAAAGATCTTGAGATGAAATCGCCCTAGATTTAGGGTGGGCCCTAAACTCAATGACTGGTGTCCTTATGTGACAAAGGAAAGAGCGACTAGAGAAACACAGAGACACAGGGTAGAAGTCCATGTGAAGATGGAAGAGAAATTGGAGTCACGTGCTTCCAAGCCAAGGAATGTAAAAGGTTGCCAGCAGTCATCGGAAGCCAGGAGACAGGCAGGGGACAGACTCACTCTCAGACGCTCCAATAAGAACCAACTCTGCCAGCACTTGGATCTTACACTTCTGGCCTCCTGAACTATGAGATTAAATTTCTGTTGTTTTAAGCCACCTGGTTTGTGGTAACTTGTTAGGGGAGCCACAGGAAACGAACACAGCTAGTGAGTGGTACACTCAGGATCTGAACCCAGAGTGACTCCAGAACCAGAGCTCTTCCACCCCACTATGCTGCCTCTAACAGCAGGGCTCAAGATTGCATGTACAATATCACATTTGTATAAGAAATGTGAATATATGCATGGAAAAGAAGTGGAAGAATAGACAGCAAAATGTTTATTTCTGGGTGGTGAGATTCCAGATGGATTTTAATTACCTTCTTTTGCTTATCTCCTTTTTCTTTTTTCAGCACTGAAGTGCAATACTTTTTATCGTGAGATACACTGAAGTATGTACGAGTAAAGCAGCATCGTGCTATAACTTACTTTGAAATCATTCAGACACAAAACTAATAATGTAGATACACATGGAGAGAAAATGATAGAGCAAATGGGGAAATCAACTGTTGGAGAACCTGGGTACAGAGCATGTGGGAATTCTTTGTATTATTTTTGCAGCTTTTCAGGAATTCTGAAATGAGTTCAAAATTTTAAAGTTACCAAATTTTTTTTTTTAATTTTGAGAGTCTTAACATGAAAGGAGTCCACAATTGAAACAGAAATGACTTTATAAACATAAATACCAAGAGGACTGCCAAGAATTAGAAAAGTTTGAGGGACAAAAGAGAATATTTGTGTTATAGCAAAAATAACTTTCAAAGGAAAAAAAAATGCAGAGCATAAGAGAGAGACAAGGAAAGAGGTAACAGAACAAAACAATGCCCAAACGAAGTCCCTCGCTGTTGAATGACACAAAAGGCTGTGCAGCCTCGCTCAGCTCTCAAATATCATTCTTTGCACATACTTAAGACCCTATAACATAGGGTGAGGCCTGGACAAGAAGTCAGAAGATGAGGGTTCGCCTGACCTGCAGGAAGGGAAGAGAGGCCAAGATGATCTTTACAGTGTTTTCAAACTCTGACAGCAGCTTTAAGTCACTGGTTACTCATCCCCCCAGAGGGTGGTCATCAATAATTCTACAGGTGACATTTAAAAATAATATAGATAGAGACAAGCCAGAAGAAGGTTTTGTGGTCGTTAGAAAATGTTAAAGTATTAACAAGCTACTCGATATTTTTATTTTAGTAGGACAGAGATTCTAATTATGTGCCAATTTTAAAGCTCACTTCCAACCAACATGTCTCGTTTACCATCTGGGCAAATACAGGGAACAGTATGTCCATAATTTGGACTTATCTAAAAGGGGAAAAAGTCACATTACTAAATGGCATTATTTCAGATGGCCCATTTCTCTATCACGGATTTCTATAAAAATCTGTGGCCATTACAAAAACTAACCTAATGTTATTGGCATCATTTGACTTGTGTACAAGATATTGTGCAATGGAGCTAGTTCTCATCCATTTGAAGGAACTGCTTGTTCCTTTCATTCCAAGTTGGTAAGGGCCAGGGCTGGGGCTAATGGGCCTTGGGAGTAGTCCCACTCTCACTCTCAAACAGCAGAGATAAATATATGGTTTGGCAAAAGCAGACTGAATATATTATGTGCACTTAGTTGAGTCAAAGAACAATAGGTCCATTTTTATTCTACTCCCAAGTTGTTTCACGTTCAGCATTCCTTCATCACAAAGGTTTGCTAATTGTTCCAATTTGCAGTGCCAAGTAATTTGTGCCTGGTAATTCCATAAACGTTGGCATTTCTGGGTTCCTACAAAGCAATCCTACTTCACAATGCCTCCAAGTAGCCATTTGTAGGGAAATGGTCCCCCAAAGAGCACAGGTAGCGTCCGCATCCTGTCCTGTCATCACGTGTGAGTATTCTGTGTGTCCCTGGAGATACGGCAAGTAGCACAATGATGTATCGGCTGCACAGGATGCCACCCACAGACCCTCCAAATAGAATGACCAGCCAGGGGAAGGGTGTCTGGGCGGGAGGTTTGTTGTGTGTATATGTATTTTTTCCTGATGTATTTAAAACTGGTTTGAAGTACAAATGGGAAGATTTCTTTTTAGCCTGACTTCTTATGGAAAGAAAAGCGGTGTCTTGTTAAGATTCCAGGCCACCAGCCCCAAACCCACTTCAAGCTCTTTTGAACCCTTTTCTTCTGGTTTTATTAACACTTTCTGCTTGGAGCCATCATCATGAGGTACAAAGAGTTTCCCTTTAAGCCACCAACCCTTCTTTTCAAAGTAAAATCTCCTCCCAAAGCCTGTAGTGGTCATGGCATTTTGGATTTTTGTTCTTATTATGTGTGTTACAGCAAAAGCACTTACAAACTTATGCATAATGCACGACCTACTGATCATAATGAACTCTGGGTCTAAGAGCAGTTTTTAAATCATTTAGGTCAGCCAACCTTAACAGATAAATATCTGTGGACCTGGTGACATGATTAAGATGCCTTCATCCAGCTTGGGCCACTAGACCCATAGTCCTGCAGAGAAAGGACTGAAGCCATTTACTGATAAGCTTTTAGTGGATCTGATGATAAAGTTAAAACCTTGCTTCTGGGAATACACTGGAAACAGTGTTATCTTGTCAAAAATTACTAGTGTTTTCATGATTTTGGTTGAGACTGTGTTTTCATATTTGAACTCAGGGCACTTAGCCTACATACATTCTCTGGTCTGTGTTCCTCTAGTCCACTTATAAGGGAGGGAAGAACAAAGTTGTTGCATTTCTTTCTATACTTCCAGGACACAAGGATTACATACATTGTGTCTGATGAATTCCATTTTGTCCTAGAGTCAGAAAAATGGTTTTCTCTGAAGGTTTACACACTGAGTTCATTACGCTTGGGGCAAAGGTATCCTTTATAGCATTGGACCCCAACCTTTTTGGCACCAGGGACCAGTTTCATGGAAGATGATTTTTCCACATATGGGGTATGGGGAAGGAGATGGTTCCCAGATGAAAATCATCAACTTCAAATCATCAGGCATTAGATTCTCATAAGGAGTGTACAGCCTAGAGCCCTTGTATGCACAGTTCACAGTAGTGTTCTCACTCCTATGAGAAATGAATGCTGGTGCTGATCTGGCAGGAGGCAGTGCTCAGGAGGTAATGCTCACCCGCCACTCACCGCCATTACGGCCCGGGGTTGGGGACCCCTGTCGTACAGGGTTACTTATCTCTGAGACAGTGATTCTTGAACCTGCAGTCAGTGCAATGGTCACCAAGCTAGCAAAAGCGCCTTGGTTCTAGGGAGATGACTCACAAACTCCAGTGTGCATAAGAATCACCCATCAGTGATAGAAGTAGTAAGAGTGTGGGCTCTGGATGGGGGTGGTGACTCATGCCTGTAATCCCAGAACATTGGGAGGCCAAGGTGGGAAGATCACTTGAGCCCACGATTTCAAGACCAGCCTGGACAACAAGTAAGACCCCATCTCTACAAAAAATTAAAAAAATTAAAATGTGGGCCCTAGAGCCCCTACCCCAGGTATTGGTTCTGTAGGCTGGGGGAGATTTGAATGTTTAACAAACACTCTGGGTAATTCTAATGCACATAGTTTGCAATGAGAAACACTGTTCTGCAAATTCTGATGGAGAATATTTAGACATGTGCTTTATGGTTTTCAGATTTTCCCTTCAAAATTGTATTATTTCAAATATTTTTCTTAATAAGAAACATTTAGGACATGAAAAGATAACCAACACCATTAGTCATTACAGTTATGAAATTGAATTGAATTATGCAATAGAAAACAGCAATAAAATACTACTACACACTCATTAGAATGGCTGTAATCAAAAAGACTGACAATACCAAACATAGAGGATGTGGAGGAACAGGAACTCTCACATATTACTGATGGGAATGTAAATGATAAAACCACTTTGGAAAGCAGTTTGGCAGTTTCTTAGAAAGTTAAGCATACACTTACATATTACCCAGTAATTGTACTCCTAGCTGTGTACCCACAAGAAATGAAAACATGTCTACACAAAAACTTGTACATAAATGTTCATATGAGCATTATTCATAATCGCTCTAAACTGAAAACAACCCAAATGTCCATCTACTGGTGAATGGATGTACAAAATGGGATATATCCACACAATGAAATATTATTCAGCATTGAAAGAATGAACTACCAATACATGGTACAACATGGATGAACCGCAAAAACATTATGCAAAATGAAATAAGCCTGACACAAAAGACTGTAGATCATATGATTCCATTTAGATAAAATTTCTAGAAAATACAAATCTATAGAACTAGAAAGCACATCAGTAGTTGCTTGGGGCTAAGAGGAAGGATCGACTGTGAATGGCAAAAGGGAACATTTTGGCGAGATGAGATGTTCTAAAACTGGATTGGGGGAATGTAGAACTCTAAAAAGTTACCCCCCAAAATCATTAAACTATACAGCTACAGGGATGAATTTTAAGGTATGTAAATTACACCTCAAAAAAGGGGTTTGAAAAAAGAGGACTCCCCCGAATGGCAATTGAGTGGTAGATGAGTGAGTGAATCACACAATTAAAAAATATTTCAAAGTATTTAGGAGACAGTGTTCAAAGATACATATATCTCTATATGACTAGGTAGTGCTTTCTGCATTTTGTTATCAGCTATGGTCGAATGTCAGTCTCGTTCGTAGGTGGCTCTTTTTCTTTTCAACTCACTCTGAGTCACAGTTTCAGCCCCAGCCTTCACTAACTTATCCACAACTTGCAAGCAGCTTTTGTCAATTTTAATTACCAGGAGGCTCTTCCCCTTTAGGCTAACTAAGAGGCTATTAGGTCCTTTCAGCTTCTGTAACAGCCAGAAAGGACAGTCCACCATTACCTCTGACTCATCTGCTTTCTTTTCCATGTGGCAGGAGAAGAAAAAAAGAGTTTTCAGTCACATTACATGTCTCAGTGTCAGCAATTCAATTGTTCCCTTAGCAACCATCGCTTTTACCGCTGGCTTTCTGAGACACACTGCCTTCTCAAAGAGCTGAGAGTCACAAAATATCTTGGTGCATGCCAGAAGCTGTTTTCTAAAAAGGCCAGTATGTCTTCTAGAGAAAATCCTTTTTAAAACAATGTTCAAACACAGCATACCATTTTTAGACAAGGGTGATAATGGGGACAACGCTGAGGAGATGATACTTCTTAGGGTCATTTGGCTTCCACTGAGATAAGGGGTGTGTGCAGTCACAGACTCCCTGCTCCCATCCCTGCCGGTGGATGTGATGGGTCACAGGGAACTCAAGAGTGGAGTGGAGGGAGAATGACTCTGGGCAGAAGCAATGCAGTGACTTTCCTGCCCATGGAGGGATCGATGGAGACACTGCTTTTGCGTATGAAGCATCCAAATTTACCATTTTCTTATCTGACTCATGGGAATATACTGCCCCTCCTATATTTCTACAGCCAGGTGACAACTAAGAACAAGGGATAGCTCAAAAGTGTGGTTTCCTTTATTATTCCATCCATGATTTATTTTCCAAGAGGACCTTGTGATGGTTAATACTGAGTGTCAACTTGATTGAAGGATGCAAAGCATTGTTCCTGGGTGTGTCTGTGAGCGTGCTGCCAGAGGAGATTAACATGTGAGTCAGTGACTGGAAGAGGCAGACCCACCCTCAATCTGGTGGGCACCATCTAATCAGCTGCCAGCTCAGCTAGAATAAAGTTGGCAAGAGAAGATGGAAGGGCAGACTTGCTGAGTCTTCCATCCTTCACCTTTCTCTCATGCTGGATGTTTCCTGCCCTGAAACATCGGACTCCAGGTTCTTCAGCTTTTGGACTCTTGGACTTACACCAGTGCTTTGCCAGGGGCTCTCGGGCCTTTGGCCACAGACTGAAGGCTGCACTGTCAACTTCCCTACTTTTGAGGTTTTGGGACTTGGACTGATCCACCACTGGCTTCCTTGCTCCTCAACTTGTAGATGGCCTATTGTGAGACTTCACCTTGTGACCGTGGGAGTCAATACTCCTTAATAAACTCCCTTTCATATATACATCTATCCTATTAGTTCTGCCCCTCTAGAGAACCCTGACTAATACCTGTCCTGTAATTAAAAAACAAAAAACAAATATTATCTGTTTACCACTATTTGAAAAGCAAGGACATCTCAGAATACAGAGATCATGTGAAGGTTCTCCAGAAAATATTTCTCAAACACTTTGAACAGGATGTGGAGTCTGTGATAATTCTATTTCACAGGCCCATCTCTAGGAATAAAATATCTTACTAACAACTTGATAGTTTTTTTTTTTTAATTAGTAAGAATAGAGAGGTATTTTAGCACTATTTAAGGGTACCTGTACTTCAAACAATTGATACCAAATCTCTTTAATGAAACTCTGCTAAATATTAATTCTTAAGTACTAGGAATTGGGTAGATTAATTACAAGATTCTGGTACCTGCCTTATTTTTATTTTTTACAACTTGTACTTCTACTTTTCTTTTAAATCAGTTATGTCAGGTCTTCTTTGAGAAGTGCAAATTAAGGAGATTTCCCTATATATAAATATTTCAAAACTGTTAACCCAGTATCTATTGACCCAGTGGGCTTTCAGAAAAGGGAGGAAATCCTCTGCTGTATTTTATAACCTGCAGGAGACTCCTGGCTGGTAACAGTGTGCCCCTGCTGCGGTGTTGCCAAGAATCCCAGCTTTGGGGTATGCATGTCTCCAAATCAAGATGTTTGGAAAGATTGCTTTTCAGGCCTATCCACTTCCTTAGGTTTTCCCAAAATAATACTAAGTTACCAAGAATGAAAAACCCAAACCACAAGATAAAGTTCTGACTCCACTCAGAAGGCTCTGAAGATAAGATCCACGGGCGATTTATCTTGCAGAGCCTATGCATAAACACATTCAACCATTCCCCACCCACAGAAAGACGAAGAACGATTTACTTTTCAGTTCAGAAAAGGAAAAGGGATTCATAACAATTCGAGTTTGCCTTCAGGAAATCAATACAATTTGTGACCGGGTGCAGTGGCTCATGCCTGTAATCCCAGCACTTTAGGAGGCCAAGGCGGGCGGATCACCTGAGGTCAGGAGTTTGAGACCAGCCTGGCCAACATGGTGAAACCCCATCTCTAATAAAAATACAAAAATTAGCTAGGCATGGTGGTGTGTGCCTGTAATCCCAGGTACTCGGGAGGCTGAGGCAGGAGAATCACTTGAACTTGGGAAGCAGAGGCTATAGTGAGCCGAGATCACACTACTGCACTCCAGCCTGGATGACAGAACAAGACTCCCTCTCAAAAAAAAAAAAAAAAAAATTGTTTTCTTATGACAGAAGAAGAATATATGTCTTCTTAATTCCTCTCTTCTTAATAAAAACCATCACTTCTCACTGAAGCAGGCAGACGTGTGTGGGTCTAATCTGTGGTCATTGAGCTACTGAAGAGTGGGGCTTTCCTAACATCTCTGGGTGTATTCCCTCACCTGCAAAGACAGGGGCTAGAATGAATGTCCTCTGGGGTCCCTCATGGCTACGATCTGTGTTTCTATCTACTTCCTCCTGGTGGACTGTGGAATTTCAAGGCCTTCAGCTCGTCTGTCCCCACTGTCCGCACCTTTTCCTGGAGCCCTGTTTCTGGGCACCCAGCAGCTGCCACATGCGATGTTCCTGCCTTTCAGTTGACACAAGCATTTCTTCCCACCACCAGCAAAGTCCCAGTCAGAGATGTGAAAGGGAAGAAGGAAAAAAATAGACACAGACACATACATGTGAATATATGCACATATAAAAATATGTGTTCTAGAGCAGATTCAGAGGACTGGGATAGCCCTGAGTTTAGTGCTCTGAGTCTCATCAAGGTAACTCTCCTTGGCAGGAAGTGACCCAGTGAACATCCTGCCCAGTTACATGGGGCCTCCCACACATCCTGTTCCTCACTGGGGAAGGCTTACCTGCCACCCAGCCTGGCTTTTTAGGCTAGAGTGACTGACCGATTGGGTATCTCCTAACCATTTCGCAGTTTCTATAATAAAGTTGTAGGGCAGCATGGCTCAGGAAGTGGCATGCTACCACCCAACCCCTCAGTCCCAATCTCACACATGTGGCCTTCCTAGTTCCTTAGCAAAACTATATGTTAAGGAGCTGCATGTCCCATGGTCGTTTGCCCTGAGTCAAAGGCTGATAGGAAAGCCTAAAGCTACTCACTTTCTGTTGTCTGCTTATGTAACAAACAGGAGCCAACTATTATTCCTAGGGGTTTTATTTTGGTTTGTTTTTGGGGCAGGGTCTCACTCTGTTGCCCATGCTGAAGTGCAGTGGTGCCATCTCAGCTCACTGCAACCTCTGCCTCTCAGGTTCAAGTGATTCTCTTGACTCAGCCTCCCTAGTAGCTGGGATTCAGGCGTGCACCACTAGGCCTGGCTAATTTTTGTATTTTTTAGAAACAGGATTTCACCACGTTGGCCAGGCTGGTCTCAAACTCCTGACCTCAAGTGATCCTCCCGCCTCAGCCTCCCTAAGTGTTGGGATTACAGGCATGAGCCACTGTGCCTGGCCTATTCCTAGGGTTTTTCACTTTCATTCAGGAAACAAGAAACAAAAATCTCCCCATGCTCTTGTCTCAGGTTTGGTCATCTACTCCTTTCCCCATCAAAAATGGGTCAGAGCCAGAATGATTCCCATGTTAGGTGGAGGCTTTGAGGCTGTGACTTGCTGTCACTTTTTAAAATAAATGAATTAATGATTGACTGCTGTGTGACTGCCAAAGTAGTACTGATGTTCATTGTAGACAATGGCTTTCTGGGCTATCACAGTGGGGACTGGGTTGGGGTATGGATATTGAAGGTGTAGAATGAAAAGGGGCAGGAAGGAACAATCAAAAGAGGAAAAAAAAATAAAGACCACCGTATGAATGTATGTAACTTATGCATATATACATGCATCTATTAAATCATATTAAAAGATTTGGAAAATGTAGAAAAGTTCAAGGAAAAAAATTAAGTCTATAACTTTGCTTTGCAGAGAGGACCCTTGCTAAAACTAGGATTATTTCATGGACCTTATTTTGTTTGTTTACATAAATGTAACATAAGCGTCCATTTCTGTAACCTGTCTTCTTTCCAGCTATTAATATATCACAGACCATTTTCATGGCTAGTAGCTGTGGGCCCCAGGCAAGGCTGAGCTCCTTGAATCATTCCAGGAACCACTGCAGTGATTTATTGCTTATTTTATGACGGAGGATGCAACCTTTGGTTTACCTGGGTTCAGTGATGGACTCACTCAGTCCTCAGAGCCTCAGAATTATAGCCTATGAGAGCTCATGAGTGATCCTGGAGATCAGGCCTCTCATTTCACAGATGAGAAAACTGAGGACTGAATCAGAGCCAAGCACAGGACTAGATCCAAATCTGCCACTCAAGGTCTATTTCACACATGCACATCCAAAGAAGGAAAAGTCTTCCCTTTCAGCAAACAGCCCACAAGAGGACTCGAGGTGGAAAGGGATGTGCAGCCTTGTACAGGATTTTACTTAGTGGTGTGTGCTCAGCCCCACCAAGGGGAAGGAGAGGCCACGGCTGGGGGACGGGGAGGGCGTGGGCTGGGGATTCGGCAGGATACAGTGGATCAAAAGCCCAGCTGCTCCAACACAGCAAAATACACACTCTACTATTCCAGAGAATGGGGCCTCAGGTGTTGGAGGTGTTAGCTCTGCCTTCTTTGTGAAGAACTGGGCCACTTCTCAGCCCTCTCCTCAGCTGCCACCCTGTTCAGGGCCACCTTCTGTCTCCTGGATTATTGCAGGGGCTCCTTACTGGAATTCCTGCTTCCACTCTGCCGACCACAATCCTTAGGCTGAGCTCTTACAAGAGCCAGCCGGACCCTTTTAAAATACAAAACTGCTCGAAACCTGCAGTGGCTTTCTATCTTACTCAGGCCAAAAGGCAAAGTCCTACAAGTATCCACAGGGCTCCACCCTGCTCATTTGCTTCCTGGTCCTCCCACTACTTTTCTCTCCTGTTTACTGGGCCCCTGCCATGTTGGTCCCCTTAGTGTTTCCCAAACTCATCTCCACTAGAATGTAAGTTCTAGGAAGCCTGGGATTTCTGTCTGTCTGTTTACTTAGGCAAGCCCCTTGTTGCTAGTCATAGAAACTAACTACAGCTAGCTTAAGGGGGAAAAGGAGACAATTTACTACAAGAACTCATGAAATCTAAGGGCAGGAGGGAAGCCTGGACTCAAGAAAGGATTGGAGCTCTGGGAAAAGGCTCTGCTCTCCTGTTGGCCTCTGAACCATAGAATAGGATATGACCACCCTAACTCCAATTCATTTATTTAACTATTAACTTTTTTTTTTTCAGACGAGGTTTCATTCTTGTTGCCAAGGCTGGAGTGCAATGGCACGATCTCGGCTAGGTGCGATCTCGGCTCACCGCAACCTCCACCTCACAGGTTCAAGTGATTCTCCTGCCTCAGCCTCCCGAGTAGCTGGGATTACAGGCATGAGCCACCATGCCTAGATAATTTTGTATTTTTAGTAGAGACAGGGTTTCACCATGTTGGCCAGGCTGGTCTCAAACTCCTGACCTCAAGTGATCCGCCCACCTCAGCCTCCCAAAGTGCTGGGATACTACTAATTTTTGTGTATCGTAGTGGCAGGCACTGGCGTGGGTGCTTGGGCTGCATCAGGAACAAAGCTACATTCTAGTAGGAGAGGTAGACCACGAGTGTAACCAATGAGCACTTATAGCTTGTTAGATTATAAGGGTTGTAGAGAAAGAAGGATGGGGTGGAGTAAGAGGGGATCCGGAGCAGGAGGTAGGGGTGCTGTGGGCAGGATGCACTTTTAAACATGGGCAGAGTAAACCCCAGGGAGAAGGTAAGACTTGAGGAAAGACTTCTGGTCACCACAGAGACTGACTTGGAAACCCCCAGGTGTCCACCTCAGGTTCAATCAACTGTCACTAGGGAAGGCAGGGTCCCACGAAGCAAGCATGGTTTCTGGATGGGGTGGAAAGGTGAAAGCCATTCCCAGAGAAGAGGGAGTTATCCTGAGCTGGAAAGACATCTCCAAATGTATCTTCCACTAGGGGATTTAGGGACCCTCTGTTCTTACTGCACATAGAGTGCCTGCAATGACTTTATAGCTTGCTTTTTTTTTTTTAAGTTGTACTCAAATTAAGCTGTTCAGGTGACTCGCCTGTTGGAGGTCTGTGGTAAACCAGACACCTCGCCCCCCACCCTCACCCCGCAGTCCTGCCGCATTTGTGGGAAGGCGGTATGCTGCTAATTTCCTGCTGAATTGCTGAAGACAAGAGGATAGAAATGGTGATATTGTAAGGAAACTTGCTGAATGCATATTGACTCAGAATGACTGAAAATTATGCACCACATCCCCAACTGACAGGCTGTTCCTGCCTCTGGGGCAGGGTGGCCCATTTGCAGGACAAGTGAACTCCTTTCTCATCCCTACCCTAAGGATTTTCTCCTTGAAAGAGCAAAAAGTCACAGAGAATTAAGGGCTTGAGAGGGAATAAGGGATGAGACATATTGGAGGACATAATGGCAAAAGCTATGCGATTTGGGTTATTTCCTTGTAAGGGAAAAACAAAAATAGGAATGGAAAATTTGATAAACCCCAAGTCCTCCACTGCTTTGCAAGAAAAGCCTGAAAGAATTTTGAGTCTGGAGGACGAGCTCAGAGGACCCTCATATATTTACAACCTTATCTGAATTGTTACCCTTTGAAAAGGAGAGAAGTGATAGTTATAAATTGATGAACTTAGAAATGTCAGGGCCCCATTATTAGAAGCAAGTAATGTGAGACTCTTCTGGAGTTTCATGTAGCTTACTATGGCTGTGAGGTCATGGCAGAGCTCTAGGCTGACCTCTGAGTACAGAAATCTCTCCCCTGCACTTCCCGTTTTACAGGATTTGCAGGCAGCCGACACTAAAGTCTTGACATGTGGAACTCCTTGCTGGTGGAGAAAGATGCTGCAGGCAAGGTGGAGACAGAGTGAAACTAAAGGATGTTCTTTGTTTGCCATGGCCAAAGGAAGAGTGTGTGCATGTTTATGGCTCCAAGTCCCCAGGGCGTTTTTATGGGGGCCGCCTGCCCAAAGCCATCCAAACCTGAAAGAAAGTCCCATTCTGGCTCACACCAGCCTAAGGGAGCTAGAGCCTCCTGGGAGCTTGTTGGTAAACAGAAGATGCATTGTCCCTGGGTCACCCATGATTGTCTGCCTCCTGACAGTAAACAATTAATGCATACAATCACAAGCAACACTGAAGATTTGCATGAGTCAAAATTAGGAAAATGTCTTCTGATTTGCCTTTGAGTCTCAAGAGAATACTAAGCATTGACTAGCCTGCAGATCTTGTTATATTTACCTGGGCTTCCCTTCCACGGTTTGAAGCAGATCCCTCAGAGGCTGCCTCCACCCACGTGTGACCTCTGACCACAAGGGACCATATAGCAAAGACTTCAGAAGCATTTTGGAGAATCCCAAGGCCCTGAGAGATTGGTCTGTAAAGCTAGGGGACCTTGGCTTTATAAACCCAGTAGAAAAATATCCCCATAGGTTTTCTGGAGCAGAAGGAAAGATTCCCAAGTGCAGCTGGCTCTCTCTCTACAGAAAGTTCCATCTGAGGAGCCACCGGAAGTTCTGTCTGCTGCACCTTGGCACAAAGCCCAAAGATCAGACTTCAACAAGCCGGTACCCTCTGCCTCAAGTAGGTCCACTCCCTGTGCCGTGCAGAAGCGTGGAACCCAGGGCTGCCAATTTGCCACATGCTGCTCACTGCTCATTTTACCATTGTCCAGTTTGGGCCCCTCCCAGGAACCTGGGCTTCACCTTGCCACTGTAAAGCTGCTTTCTGTAGAAGTAATATGACCATAGCACTTTCGCTTTTCAAACTGTTTGCCTCCCATATTTCCCAGAGACCTCTCTGAGTTCCTGGAAAGATGAATAAGAACCTGCCAAGCAATGCGTCATCCTGTAGATGCACAAGAACACAGGGGACTGCTGTACTCAGGGGCCGGTGGAGAGTCCCAGGGTGAACTGGCTGCCCCCACTCAGTTCCAGACAGCACTCGGGTGATATCTTCAACATCAGGATGACACTTTTTCTCTTAAATGACATCAGGGAGTTGTAAGGGAGCAGCAAGTGAGTAATACTTGAAGCCTCTATAAAAAGAACGTGTAGGGATTATGAAAAATGTATATTCTTTCCTGTGTAGATTACTCCAGCCTATTTTTGTAGGAGGTATAGAGGCAGTGACTCTGTTGGGAAGAGCATAGGCTTTAGAGCCATGTAAACTCAAGTTCAAATCCTAACTCTGTAATTTCCTCATATATAGTCGTGGGCAAATCATTTACCATCTCTAAGCCTCAGTTTCCTATCTGTGAAATAAGGACAGTGATCATCTTGCAGTGGGGATTATTGTAACTGGATTGGAAGCAAGGTAGAAAAGTCAGCTAGCACAATGCCGGGTACACAGTAGGTAGTCAATAAATGGCAGTTGCAGCTTCTGTTGCCATTTTAAATAAAAATAGTGGCAGTAATGAAAGTAGTAAGAAAAAATGGAATGATCTGGGAAGGTATATTCAGACACTTTCCCCAATGCCAGAGAAGCAAGTTAATAGATTATGCAGAAAGACCTACAAAATGTGGTCATCAGTGTGGGCTGGCCTTTCCTAACCCTCATTCCTTTTTCTTTCTTTTCCACTGTGGGGACAAGAAAAGCTAAATAGCCACTTTTCCAGCAAAAGATTGCCATAAGATATAGTTCTGGCCAAAAAGATGTGGGCAAAGAGCTTCTTTCTTGATAAAAACATGGCTAGTGCAACTTTTACTTTCCTTCCTCCTGCCATGAATGGAGGCATGAGGCATGGAGCTAACATGGCCACGTTGTACCCATGAAGTCATGAGCCAACGTGGTTAGGGTGTCAGAAGAGAACGAAAAAAGGCCTTAAGTTCTTACCAACATCGTTGAGCTGTTGCATCAGCCTTGAGCTGCCTACTTTCAGACTTTTGTGTTTTGTTTTGTTTTGTTTTTTGAGATGGAGTCTTGCTCTGTCACCCAGGCTGGAGTGCAATGGCGTGATCTCGGCTCACTACAACCTCTGCCTCCCAGGTTCAAGCGATTCTCCTGCCTCAGCCACCCGAGTAGCTAGGATTACAGGCACCCACCACCACGCCCAGCTAATTTTTGTATTTTTGGTAGAGATGGGATTTCACCATGTTGGCCAGGCTGGTCTCGAACTCGTGACCTCACGTGATCCGCCCGCCGTGGCCTCCCAAGTGCTGGGATTACAGGTGTGAGCCACCGTGCCCGGCCCAGACTTTTTAGTTTTGTAAGAAAAAATACCTTTCTATCTATTTCAGTGACTCAGATGGGCTTTCTGTTGCTTACTGCTGAAAACGTTCTTATCTGATAAAGAGTTTTGTGATAAGCTTCTAAAATACCTTGCTGACGTACCAGAAAAACTCAGTCACTTTGACTTCCTAATCACACTCTCAAGAGCATTAGTTTTGTAGACATTAGATAATCCTAACTATTTTAGTGAAAATGAA
The DNA here is from genome assembly GCF_000001405.40 of Homo sapiens. Lineage (NCBI taxonomy): Eukaryota > Metazoa > Chordata > Mammalia > Primates > Hominidae > Homo > Homo sapiens. The sequence continues at coordinate 90,456,956 of NC_000006.12, read as the reverse complement.
TATGTATCTATGAATGTGTGTATATACACATATATTTATATAGCAGTTTATTAAATCTGAGAGATTTGCTTTAGATGCAATTCTTGACCTTTAGTGTGCACATGTGCATCATAATCACAGTGGAATCTTTTAAACACACCCATGCCTGGGCTCTAACCCCAGAGCTTCCAGCTTCACACACCTCTAGTGAGGGCAGGGCATTACAAAATTTTAAAGCTCCCCAGTTACCTGTGTACCAAAGGAGAACTACAATGGAGCCCTCCCTAACAGGGACCCAAGCTCAGCAGACTCTGTCTCCTACATAACTAACTCCTCCAAGAGTCAGGTTGGAAAGGTACAATAGCTTTATGGGCAGCCTGGCATAGCTCTACTATTTTAACTCAACAGAATTATTGTACATAATTACAAAAAGTTATCAAGCTTCATAAAACACAGAATTATTGTACATAATTACAAAAAGTTATCAAGCTTCATAAAACACAGAATTTATATGCAACCCTCTACTGTAAATTATACAGGTTTCTACTTTAATTTTACACAGCACATGGTCTAGATTAACCTCATTCAACCTGTGTTGAATTCTGATATTTCTGTGCAGGGACCAGAAATACCAGAATTGCTGCATTATTATCTTATTTTACTAACTCAGTTAACCATGATAGAAATTCATATGCTAGTATACGTCCCATGAGCTAAGCCCAACATAATCACATATGGCAGAGCAGAGCTATCTTGATGATAGGCAGGCGGCTGACTCTTCGCCTTTTGAAAGGTTGCTATAGTGTGTTGCATCCCTCACAATGTAAAGTATCCATATGGTAAGATGAGAATCCCTCACATTGCTGACCCACTGCATGTTTTCCTCTGAATTTTAAATTTTTTTACACTATCTGTAGCTTCTCTGTCAGAGTTACCCCCTTGCTTATATTTCCTGAATAGATTTTAAATGAGACATTTATGTGCATAAAATAAATATGTATAAATATCTGGAGGATTTTTGTTTTTTGTTTTATCCAGTAGCAAAATGTTTGTTTAATGGGACAAATCTGTTGGCTTGTCAATTAAGCTTCAATTCTAATATAATCAGTAGAAGTTATTGCTAAAAAATCTTAGGAGTGACTTATTAATGCCAGTATAATAATACATGGAGACCAGACATGGTGGCTCATGCCTGTAATTCTAGAGCTTTGGGAAGCTGAGGCAGAAAGATCACTTGAGACCGGGAGTTCAAGAACAGCCAGGGCAAATATAGCAAAACCTTGTCTCTACCAAAAAAAAAAAAAGCCAGGAGTGGTAACACACGTTTGCAGTTCTAGCTGTTCAGGAGGCTGAGTCAGGAGGATCGCTTGAGCCCAGGAGTTCAAGGTTACAGTGAGCTGTGGTCACACCACTGCACTTTAGTCTAGGTGACACAGTGAGACCCTGTCTCCAAAAAAAAAAAAAAAAAAAAAACTGTGGAGTACTGTGTTAATTCCTTCATCAGCCCACCTTTGAAAAATAATTAGTAGGATTCACAATATAATATCTGTTGGTGCAATTTATGGCAACCCATCTTTACATTGCATTTTTAGTTTTCACTAGTAGTAATAATGGTATAGCTTCGAAGAGTTCTAACTGTATACCAATGACTATGCTCTATTCTTTATATGAATTATTTTATGTAATCCCCACTACAACTCAGTGGGAGAAGGTACTGTTATTATGACCATTTTACAGATGAGTAAACTGAGTTTGAGAAGTTAAATTACTTGCCCGAAGTCCCAAAGCCAGTAAGTGGTAGAGCCAGGCTTTGAACCTACATGTGGCCGATGCTAAAGTCCACCCTCTTAACCACTGTGCTCTGTTAGCACCATTTATTATCCATATTTGTCAACCATATTTTTCTCTGAGACATGTTGTAAGAATCTTTGTAACAATTATCCTATCATGAATCACCAGCAATAAACCCTCCAGTCACATTCTGTTTCAGCCTCATCTGTCGGTCTATCAAATCCTTTTCTTTTCATTTCTTTTTTTGTTTGTTTGAGACAGAGTTTCACCCTTGTCACCCAGGCTAGAGTACAATGGCATGATCTCGGCTCACTGCAACCTCCGCCTCCCGGATTCAAGTGATTCTCCTGCTTTGGTCTCCCAAGTAGCTGGAATTACAGGCACCTGCCATCACGCCCGGCTAATTTTTTGTATTTTTAGTAGAGATGGGGTTTCACCATGTTGGCCAGGCTGGTCTCGAACTCCTGACCTCAAGTGATCCACCCTCCTAGGCACCCCAAAGTCCTGGGATTACAGGCATGAGCCACCCCACTCCCAGCCTATCAAATCATTTAAAACCAGCAGTGGATCTGAATTACACTTTACTTGTTTCTGTGACTGTATTTGTTGTAAAGTCACTTCCATAGCTGCTGGTGTGATGGAAGGAGCACAGGTTTTGGAGTCAGATGTTTTATGTGGCTCAGGCTGGAAACATAATCTCTTTAAGCTATAGTTTGCACATCTATGAAGGGGAGGTACCTTCCCACACCCGGGGAGTTTATATGATGACTAGACAAGCTAGCGCATGTCAGAAGTGCTCTGAGGCCGGGCACGGTGGCTCACGCCTGTAATCCCAGCACTTTGGGAGGCTGAGGCGGCAGATCACTTGAAGTCAGGAGTTCAAGAACAGCCTGGCCAACATGGTGAAACCCCGCCTCTACTAAAAATACAAAAAAGAGTTAGCCGGGCCTGGTGGCAGCTGCCTGTAATCCCAGCTACTCAGGAGGCTGAGGCAGGAGAATCTCTTGAACCTGGGAGGCAGAGGTTGCAGTGAGCCAAGATTGCAACATTGCACTTCAGCCTGGGCTACAGAGTGAGACTCCATCTCAGATAAATAAATAAATAAATAAATAAATAAATAAATAAATAAATAAAGTGCTTTGAGAGCAGTGGTGTGAGACACACATGTTATTTTTAACTTTCTTTTAACCCAACTTCCTGACAAGTTTCACTAATTCATGGCCACAAATCTCAGATTGGCCTTCAGTGATGCCTCATAGTCCTATACACTCTCCACATCTCTTAACTCTTTCATTCTTCAAACTAACTATTTCACATCTCTCTTCACATTGTCCCCACTCCAATTCTAGCTGGCGACCTTGCCTCACACTTCATCAACAAAACTGAAACAACCAAAAAGACCTCCCTCATCATGTTGCATCCCCACCACCACCCTACGGACCTGATGACCTTTTCTTATTACTAAGGATCAAGTGTCCCACAGAAACCAACCAGCTTTCAGCTCCCATCATCCTTCCCAGGGACTTTGTTTCTCTCTTTCTTCTCTTCAGCATCACCCATTTTACTTTCTCTAACAGATAGTATGATCCTTTACCTCTCATATTAAATAATAGAAAGAAAAAAGATTAACTCTCTTGACCATGTATTCCTGCCCAGCTCCCACCATTTTACTTTGTTCTCCTTCACAGCAAACCTTCCTAAAGTCCTTGATTATTATCACTGCCTCCACTTCCTCACCTCGCATTCTCCCCTCAACCCACTTCTGCTGAGTTCCAGCCCCTTCGCTCTTTATGCTGCAGAGTCCAACCTGCAAGCCCTGTCCTCATCACACTTGAGCTCTCAGCAGAAGTCGGCAGCCTTTGCCACTCCCTCCTTTTAAAATCCTTTTTTCTCCTACCCAGCAACACACTCTCCTGGTTCTGCTTCCCCCTTGCTAATTGCCTCTTGTCCAGCACTTTTGCCAAATTTGCTTCATTTTCCTGACTTCTGATTCTTCAAGTAGCTCAGGATTTGTGCTCTGACCTCTTCTTCGTCTGCACTCATTAGTCTCACTCAGTGTCGTGGCTTTAAATATTATGTATATACCCATCACTCCCTCTCCCTCGCACCAGCTATTTGAACTCCTTGGCACTGCCACATGGATGTTAAGCAAGTATCTGAAACTTGTGCCCAATCAAAATTTTTGATTTTCCCTCCCAAAGTTCCTCCACCAGTCTTCTCTATCTCGATATATGGCACCATCATGGTACCACCAACTGGAGCCATTAAATGGTACCATTTGCTTATGACAAAAAATCTAGAAATTATCCTTGATAACTTTCTTTGCATCACCCTCACATCCAAACCATTGACAAAACTCTCAAGTTCACCTTAAAACATAGGCTGAATCTATCCATTTATCTCCATCCTCTGCCAACACACATTGGTAGAAGCCATTATTACCTCTCCTGTGGCATACTTCAACAACCTACTAACTGATTTCCTTGCTTCATTTTTACTTTCCTATGATCTCTTTTTAACATAATAAATGGAAGAAAGGAAAGCTCTTCCTTATAGTTGAATTCCAAATAATAAACATAGAAGTGATGTATTTAGAAATTCATCAATGGGTGCTAAAACTAGTAAAAGTTTGATGAGCAATAGGATATTTACATAGTCTCAAAGAAACTCCTCAGGAATGACTTATTAATTACAAAGGGAAAATTAGTCACTTTAAAGAGGACAGACTTGGGGAACATGGCCTTAAGCAAGTGATCAAAGCTAACATCACCAGTATTGGGACAAACAATACTCACAGGTCCACATGGCTGGGGAGGCCTCAGAAACTTACAATCATGGCAGAAGGCACCTCTTCACAGGGTGGCAGGGGAGAGAATGAGAGCCAGCAGGGGAAATGCAAGATGCTTATAAAACCATCGATCTCGTGAGAACTCACTCACTATCACGAGAACGGCATGGGGGAAATAACCCCCATGATTCAATTACCTCCACCTGGTCCCACCCTTCACATGTGGGAATTATTACAATTCAGGGTGAGATTTGGGTAGGGACACAGAGCCAAACCATTTCACTGTTCTTGCAAATTTCTTGTAAGTTTGAAATCATATCAAAATGAAAAGTTTCCAAAACACTATACTCATCTGGCCATGTGATTTTTCTGCTTTCTGCCCCTCAGTAGCTTCCTAACTTCTTTATAGTAAAACTCAATGCCTTGCCATGGCTTACATAGCCCTCTGTGATCTGGCCCCTGCCCGCTGCTCATGTCATGCTGTATCATTCTTTCTCAGCCTCCTAAACCAGGTGTCGACAAAAAGAGTCAAACTCTGTAAAATATTTGAAGAGATTTATTTTGAGTCAAATATGAGAGACCATGGCCCATGGCACAGCCCTCAAGAGATCCTGAGAACATGTACCCAAGGTGGTCAGGGCACAGCCTAGTTTTATACACTACAGGGAGACATGAGACATCAATCAAATACATGTAAGATATACATTGGTTTGGTCTGGAAAGGCCTGTAAGGAGAAGGAGGGCTTCCAGATTATAGGAAGATCTGAAAATTTTCTGATTGGCAATTGGTCAAAAGCGTTACTATCAATAGAAAGTAATGTCTGTGTTATGATAAGGGGTTGTGGAGATCAAAGTTTTATCATGCAGATGAAGACTCCAAGTAGCAGGCCTCAGAGAGCACAGGTTGTAAATGTTTCTAATTAGACTTAAGGTCTGTGTTGATGTTGAATGCTGGTCAGCTTTTTCTAAATTTCAAAAGTGGGGAGGGTATAATGAGGCATGTCCCACCCCCTCTTCTTGTCGTGGCCTGAACCAGTTTTTCAGGTTAATTTTGTAGTGTCCTGGCCAAGAGGAGGGGTCCATTCAGATGGCTGGGGGACCTTAGAATTTTATTTTTGGTTTACACAAGCCAGTGTCTTTCTGTCCCTGAAATATACCAACCTCTCTCACCTTAGTGCCTGAGAGCTGTTTCTCTGCCTGGAATGCTCTTCCCCTCAACTTTGTAGATTTGGTTCTTCCTTGACATTCAGACATCAGCTTCAAGGTCACCTCCTTAAAGAGGCCTTCCTTAGCCACACCCCCTCACTCTCTCTCATCCTACCTTAAAGTGGCTTCCATGTAGAGCACTTATCACTCTATGTTTTCTTTATTTACTGATTCGCTTATTATCTTCCCCACCGTGGACCATAAAACCACGATAACAAGCATTTTGTCATATTCATGGCTGCACCTTTCGTGCCTAGAATAGTGCTAGTCCCTACTACATGCTCAATAAATAAGTGCTGAATGCAGCTCGTGTTTTCTATGCATTTTGGTAATGCTAATAAATGACAATAAAATTCTAAGCCCCTCCCACTGATTGAATGGGTCTTCCTCTCAGCCAAGGGGACACAATGAAACCTGAGAATCTAGTTCAGGTCATGATGGAAAGGTGGGGGGCAGAGATGGGGCTGGAGTCTGTCTGACTGAACAGACTCTCTGTAGCCATAAGACACCAAATTTCAACCTCACTATTATACCATCACATGACAGATAGCAGGGCCCTGAAAGAAACTGAAGTTTTTTGACCCTAAAATATGCTTACTTGACACGTTTTGAAATGGCCCTGCAAAGCTGTTTCTTGTGGGGGGAAGTTAGCATTCTGTAGAGAATCTGCTTCCTTTACCAGGTCTCTCCAAACAGTCTGATACCTTTGGTAAGAGACATTCACATCTATTCTCTCTGAAGCCTGGAGGCTTGTCTACATGATAAAAACCTTGGCTTCCACAACCACCACCCCCCAACCCTTACCTCAAGCCGACTTCAACTTTTCAGGCAGAGTTTAACCCTTTCAACTAATCACCAATTTGAAAATCTTTGAATTCACCTATGACCTATAAGCAACCCCTCCCCTCTTCAAGTTGTTTGGCCTCTCCGGACCTAACTACTGTATATCTCACATACCTTGATTGATGTCTTATGTCTCCCTAAAACATATAAAACCAAGCTATAACCCAACTGCCTTCAGCACATGTTCTCAGGAGCTCCTGAGACTATGTCATGGGTTATGATCCTTAACTGGCAAAATAAACTTCTAAGTTGATGGAGATCTGTCTCAGATACTTTTTGGCTTACACTATGTATTATTTTCATATTGAAATAAGTCTTCTGGTAATAGAATCTCCCTCTCACCAGTCATGGATACCCTTTCCTATGTAACTCCAGAGTTTTCAGTTCTGGGCATCATTATGGTTATATTCAGAACAATAGCTATTTTCTTTCAGTTCTTTTTTTCTAGGGAGCCAAAGCTCATTAAGCCCCTTCCCCATTAGGATCCTTGGGGACCAAGGCAATTACTAAGAGGATAATGGGCATTATGTGCTCCCACCCTTCCCAGAAACGATGGCTGCATCTCATAAATGCCAGGGCTTCAGTATGCAGTGATGATTTTTATCCTCATTGTTTTGATACTGCTGATGAAATACCCTCATATGCCAATTCCTACAAGCCATACAATAGCGATAGTTTTCATAAGTTGGGGCCCGGGAGAGAAGTTTGATCCTGCTGTCTTCTGCCAACTCTGAGTGGGGTCTCAGATTTGCCCTTTGAGTTCTCTGTGACAGCTGCTTCCCTTTGAATTTAGAGAGTGGCTCTTTCAACTTTGTGAATGAAGCATGGGGCCTGCAGAATCAGAAACCTAGGCCTCCTTCCCACTGGTAACCTATCTTCACAATCTCCTGTATTAGTTGCATTCATGAGCGGCGGTGAAACTCTAAGGACTGTGTGTTGTAAAAGAGACCCTTGATCTGATCCATAAAATTTATGCCTGTCATCATCTTTCATCCACTCCAGGAGGCCTTTCAATGGCACTGCCCTTCAAAATCGCCTCCAAATACTCAGGAATATTGCATCTCCCTGTTAACCCACATAAAGGCAGCTAACTACCCCAGGGAGTAAGAGAGAAATGCGTGGACATAAAAAAAAAACAAGTCTCTCCTAGTGCCTGTGATCCCTAAAAGATTGGTCCTGCTTGCTGCAGATTCATAGGAACAGATGTGCCCGGTGAGGGAATATTGCTCAGAGGCACCAATGGGCAGATGGATTAATTACACCATCTAATGAAAAGCAGTGATTTACCGTGGCCCAGGGGAAGGAATTTTAGAGGCATAAAGAAGATATACACACTTGGACACTTTCACACACAGAGATGTGCAGACGGAGAAAATGCCATGATGGTCCAGGTGAGAAGATGCTCGTGCTTCTCCCAGAACTGCCAAGAAGGCCCCAACTGCATCCAGTTTATGTTCACATCCACTGCTGCATGGGAGCTTGTGTGACTGGCAGCCTCAAGTTACCATAACCAGCAGTACTAACTGCAAATTAAACAAGCCCACGTTGAAACAATGGCTGGAAACCGGCTGGAGAGGATTTAGAAGGACTACAGTGTGATGGTATCTTGCTTCCTTTTAATTACCAGCTGAGTGACCTTGGGCATTTAATTAACCTCCTAAACCTCAAATGACTCGTCTACAAAAAGGAGGTACAGTTTAAGCATCCCCAATCCAAAAATCCAAAATCCAAAATCCAAAATGCTCTAGAATTCAAAACTTTTTGAGTGCCGACGTGACACCACAGTGGAAAATTCCACACCTGACTTCATGTGATGGGTCACAGTAAAAGAACAGTTGACACTTTGTTTCATGCACAAAACGTTATTTAAAATATTATGTAATATTACCTTTGAGCTCTGTGTATAAGGTGGATATAAAATATAAACGAATATCATGTTTAGACTTGGGTCCCATCCCCCAGATATCTCATTATGTATATGCAAATATTCCAAAATCTAAAACAATGCAAACTTGGAAACACTTATGTGTCCTCCAGCAATTTGGATAAGTGATACTCAACCTGTAATAATAGTATCCACAGCCAGGCACAGTGGCTCACACTTTTAATCCCAAGGAGGGTGGACCACTTGAGCCCATGAATTAGAGACCAGCATGGGCAACATAGTGAGATCTTATCTCTACAAAAAAAAAAAAAAATTAAAACTTAGCTGGGAATGATGGTGTATGCCTGTAGTCCCAACTACCTGGGAGGCTGAGATGGGAAGATCACTTGCACCCCAGAGATGAGGCTGCAGTGAGCCATGATCCAGCCTGGGCCACAGAGTGAGGCCCTAATCAAAAATAATAACATAAAAATAGTACCCACCTCCTGTGGTTAATGTAGGGTTAAATGTTAATATATATAAACACTTAGCACCATGCCTGGCACAGGGTAACCCTTCAATAAGGTAATAAGGATGTTAGGTATCACCATTACTTCCTTTTAATCATTAGGTGCCTAAATGATCTCAATTGTACCCTTGCTGCTTTAATAAAATTCAAACCTTTTTCATGGCTTACACAGCCCTATACTGTCTCATTCCTACCTGTCTCTCAGACCTCATCCCATATCACTCTTTCTTATTTACACTGCTTGAACCAGGCTAGATGTCTTTCTGTCCCTGAAACATATCAAGCTTATTCTCATTTTAGGACATTTCTATAGATTAGAAACAGACTTGAAAGCCATATTCATCTGCTCAGCCAGGGACTTTGTAATAAATATAATGAAGTTTGAATTCCAAGTGCAGGATCCAAAATAATATATTCATGAAAGGAAATAAATATTCTTTGTGTAACCTACCTTAAGAGGCCAGGGCTGTAAGTGAGAAATCAGTTCTAAAAAATGGACAGAACAAGATTATGCTTAGGATCTCTTGCATATAAAGAGAACTATATTTGAATAACCAGCTGGTAAGCATTATTTTGCCAGTGAGAAAACTGAGGTTTAGAGAGGTTAACCTTGCCAGAAACAGCACGTAACTAATGGACCTGGGTCTTGAACCCAGGCCTGACTCCAAGAACTCTTCTCTGTAATTATTACCCTCTACTGACAACATGGGTTCAACATGGGTTCTCCCATCAGTTTTAAAGGCTACTGGGTCCCATTCCACCCGTGGAAAGAGCACTCAAACTAGGAGGGGCCATTCTGATATCTGTACTGATCCTGCACACGTTGGTCTGATACAAATTGCCTCACCAGAAGAATTTCTTAAGAGGGCCAGCCTGGCCTACTCTGCCCCACAGGTCTTGGCTCACCTGGCACTAGATCTGCTTTCTGAAAACCCAGTCCCCCTGCCCTTCAGCCAGCCTCAGGGACCATGCCTCAACTTTCCACCCAGGATCCCTTCCCCAGTCTTTTCTCTCCATACCCCTTGGCCCACATTTTCTTCCTTTACCAAGAAACTCCCAGTAGCCACTGTATCTCTTGCTACTTAAAGGACAGTTCTCAGCATCACCCAGGAGCTTGTTAAAAATGCAGAGTCTGAAGTCCTCTCCCAGACCTGCTCAATCTAAATCTGAATCTTAACAAGATCCTTGGATAATCCATAAGCCCATTAAGGCTTGAGAAGCACTTGTCTTGCCCATAACTTGGCAAAGCCTCCACCAATTCCAAGGGTTATAAATTAACTCCATTGTATCTCTCTGTCTGATTCCTCAGCCTCTGTGCAATCAAGACATCTGCCCCCAAAAGTTCCAATCAGCATTTTTTTAGCAGCTCCACCTGGCTTCTGCTGCTTCTTTCATAAACCCAGAGGCAATTAGTTGGATTTTATGAACAAGAGCAAAATAGAGATGGGAGACCATCCCTTATAACACTTATAGGTGTCATTCCATGCCAATTGGCATGAGTCCCAGCCAGCATATTATTGTTACTGTTGAATAATACGTCATAAATACATATGAGTTCAGCACACTGTCCGAGGATAGGGGAATGTGGTGACTTCCATTTAGGAAATAAACACAGCAAGCAGGGAATTAGATCATAGGCTTCTCCTGCCTGATTCTGATGTTTTCTTGTTAGTTATGCTATTTTTGGCCAGCCCTTCAAGGTCAATGGCTGGTAGAATAATGTGTCTTAAAACAAAGTTAAAATGACTTGCATTTGTTGCATAAAGGCACTTCCAGAAAGGCTAAGTGTATTGTTCCAGACTGCAGTAAGAGTTCATAAGTTTCTTAATTCTGAATCTGTACACAGTCTAGAAGTAGTAGCGATAACAATGATTGAAGTGATATCGTTGCTTTATAAATATTACTGCCAAGTATTAAGTCAGATATTATCTCCATCTTCACCTCCCAGAAAACCAAGGTCCAGACCAAAGACATGGTGATTATGATTGAACTTCAGTAACAGTTCAGCCAGTCAAACTGCTATCCCTCCCACTACATACAGGCACATTGATATTAAATTTGGCTTCACTGTAAAATGGACTAAAAATAAGAACAGCTTCAGTCAAGTGCAACCACATCAGAGATTTCACACTGAAAAAGTCACTTTCAGAAAAGGGATATACTGAAAGGTCACATGGAAATTTCCCCTTTCCCACCCCTAAGTGCCAACACCTCTGTTATTGAGGCTAGGCTCTTTAAGAAGGTGGCTGTGGGCAAGAGTGATCACCCCTCTTGTCTGATATATATAGAAACTGTCTTAAAAAGAAACATGAAAATGAGTGTAAGGATTCAGGGAGGTGGGAGTTAGATGATTTTCCACCATCTGAGGTCAGGTATAGATAATTCAATTTACTTCCCTTGTAAAGTCAAGCAAACTCTCTATAATAGAGAGAAAAAAAAAGGTGTTACTTGAATTACCTCTGGCCTATTTGATTTTTTTGTTCACTTTACCTACTCAAGCCAAACTCTTATCACTTAGAAAAAGTGAAGAGAAAAATTAGACAATATCTTCTCCCTTTAACACAGCCACTAATACTCAGAAAGTCCAAATTTTTTAATGTTCATTCATGTTTCCTTGGTAGTTTTGATCCTGTTAATAAAGTTCAGGCAATAAAAATGTATTTTGAAGTAAACATTAAACTAAACCAACCCACCACTGGGTAGCCATTTCTTTCCAGGAAATGAAATGAATAATTAAAAAATTTAGAAACATTTTCCACAGCCTTTACTTCCTGCTTTCCCTACCTCCTTTCTTGTTTAATTTCCTCACTGAAAGTACTTTTTATGGTGCTGGTTCTTAATGAGGATCCTTATCTCTTGCCCTGAAATAATTGACCAAGTGAAAGTAGTTCTCTGTTTTAATTTTGCCTTTTGGAACATCACCTTTGTCTCTCTTTCTATTCTGTCTTTCAAAAGAGTTGACTGAACATCTCAAATTTGTCATCTTAATATCCAGCAGTAAGAATATGTGTTCAAATAGTTTCATTCTTCCATCTTGAATGAAAGTCCTATCTAACACATGTCTTCAAATGACCATTTTTCTGTATTTTAATATTCAAAGCATGAAAAACATAAGACTAAACCAAATAAGTTTTATGGGGAGAAAAAAAGCACTAGTTCATTCAGAGTCATTTATTCCATTTCTTGTTCCAACTGAACATTCATTGCCTCCCGCCCCCTCCTCTTCAGTGTTTTCATCTCCACGGACTGGATATTAGCTTCGAATGGTTGAGGAAACAGACTTAGGTATTATTTTAGTAACTTTACACTAACCCGACAATGCAATTTATAGCACCTACAAGGAGCCCTCCATGTTCCAATCAATTGTAGCTCTTCTGCTCTGGGTACCAGCACCAGCTGTTATATTTCCCATGAGTCTTTCATTAACACAGCACCAAGGCCCCAAACAGAAACTGAAAAAGCAACAAAGACATAAAGCTTACTTTTTTTTCAGCACTGACTTCATGCTGCTCTAGCAGTAAAGAACAGATAGAAATTGCATGGAGAAGTTGGCTGTCAACAAAGGGCTGGTTCTTTGCGACTGATCTGAGTTTTCCACTTGAGGGCTTTTAAGCACACAGAATGCGATGCAACACCTCAAAGCATTCCACGCAGTGGCCTATGTTCTTAAAGAAGACTGGCCTCTGGGAGCTTTACGTTTCGAAACAAAGCTGGGGCTAGAGGTCTGTGAGGGTCCATGGCTTTGCTGAAAGGATCTTGTCTGAGGTATGTCAGGAGAGAAACTTAAAATGGCCTAGAGAACATCAAGAACCCTTCTCGCTGTTTCAGAATAAGGAAATGTTAGAAGCCCCAATGTCATATTATTTGGAGTTCAGAAAGCCCTGACTGTGGACACTAACACATTTACAAAATAATCCGACCATTCAAATTAAGCTTTTGTTGAATTCAGACTTGAGCCCTGCTTTTTCCATAATTCAACCTGAAATTATTTTTCATTCGATTCTACTTTTCAAAGAAGGGAAGTCTAGGATTTTAAAATGTTACCCTTAAAGCTCTACACAAAAACAAAGCCGCACATTTTACTAAAATGCATATAATCAAGACCGTTCAAAGCTCAAGCTTTGTATATGGGTTAGGGGTACTATCTACTTGTGCTTGTCTAGCTATTTCTGAGCCAAAGCCCTTAGTCCCTGTCACCAAAACACAGGTGGAGAATAGGTATTCTTACCTTTGTGCAAGGAGGACAGGGATCACAACCCAAGGCTAGGGAAATATAAGACATGAAGAAAAGAAAAACTGGGAAAGGCAAATGCCCAATCTTAAACATGCAGTCATATTCAATATACAATCCTTATTTTTAGCACAGGGCTTTAAAATAATAATTAAGCCTCAATTACTGCAGGCAGATAACAGCAATCCCTCTACCCACACAAAATCACACCAAATGCCTTCAGAAGTCATCACTGATTGCTGTTCTTCTGTATTACACACTCCCTCATCCCCTCCAAGTCTTTCTACTTCTTCTTTGGCTTCATTCTTTGTTCCTATTTCAAGACCAACACTATGATTTCACTAAACTTGAATTATTGCACTATTGCCCTCATTTGTCTCCTTGCCTCTAGTTTCTTATCTAATGCATGCTGGATACCATCACTGAGCTATTTTGCTACAACTCCATTATTTCATCGAAATAGCTTCCTGGTAAAGAACCAGCAATGCCTTCCTATGGTCCACACACTTCAGTGTTCGTTCACCCACTGGTTCTGTTTTCATTTACAGCATCCTTCCCTGCCACTCTCTTTGAGGGAACAGCCACCCTCTGATATCCATGAAGATGCTTTTCTATTAAAAGTATTTCAAGTTAAGACTCTGAGTGTTCACCTCTAGTGGGAGGGAGGGGAAGAGGACACCCAAATCACCTGAAAGGGGCTGAGCTGACCTGGGGCTGGGAAAGACCAGCCGTTCCTTGGGCTTAATCCACCAGACATCTTTGTTCTGCACATGAGCTGAAAGTAGAGATACCTACTTCTCAGACTGGAAACAGGAATTCGGTGGGGTGTTCCCTTTGGGCAGAGGTTGAAAACCAAGCCTTCTGTTGACTAAGTGGGGAGTAGGCTTGAGGTCGATGGCTCCATGCTCACACAGTTCAAGAAAGACGCAGCCTGGCTGCCAACCTAGAATCATGGAAACGGAAGCTAGGCATCAACTTAACAAACCGAGTGAAGACACTTCAGATGCAAGGTGGATACCATGACCTCTGGGAAGCCTTCTCTGACCTTATGCCCTTTCTCTGTGATCTCCACTGGGCTTCCTTAGCATCCCACAGTGATGTAAATCATAGATCTTAGCTCATGTAGGAAGTTATTCTCCTGCCTGTCTCCACTACTGAAAGCTTGTTGCACAATGCCTGGTATGTAGAGCAGCTCAGTAAATGAAACCAAGCTGTTCTGAAAGGAAAAGCCAGGGTAAGAGTAGGATGGATTGGAAGCTTTCCTTGTGAGCAGGACTCTGATACTTCTTTCCTCCTCATAACCCAGCTCAGGACTGTGCACAGAAGAACTTGCTTAGTGAGTCAGTCACTGATAAGCTAATGCCATTTTTTATATTCTGGTGTCCCTTGCATTTTTCTTAGATTAAATGCAAAAGTCGAATACTATTACTACTGTAATTCTAAAAGCCTTATATTTAAAACTAATGGTTAAAAATACACCACTCATTGGGGCTTTGATTTTTAAAACTTCTATGTTAAAAAGTATTCAAATTCATATATTTTGTTTTAATCTTTATTTTTCAAGAATGGGAAATTTGAAAATATTGCCTTTTATAATGCCTATTACTCCTTATTTAAAAGAAAAAAGGCCAGATGCAGTGGCTGACACGTGTAATCCCAGCATTTTGGGAGGCCGAGGTGGGTAGATTGCTTGAGTGAAGCAGTTGAAGACCAGCCTGGGCAACATGGCAAGACCCCATCTCTACAAAAACCTAGCCAGGCATGGTGGCATGCACCTTTAGTCCCAACTACCACAGAGGCTGAGGTGGGAGGATCACCTGACCCTAGGAGGTTTAGAATGCAGTGAGCCATATGCATCCTGCACTCCAGTCTGGGCAACAGAATGAGACTCTGTGTCAAAAAAAAAAAAAAAAAAAAAGATAAAAAGAAAAAATTTCCAAAAACTATTTTTAATAAACATTTCTTTAATATTTTTTCAATAATTTTAATTTTTGTGCCAGAGTAGTTTATTAGAAGCAAAAAGTGGTGATATTGTATTGATTGTTCTACCGCCTGCACAGTGGTCTTTTCTTGAAAAGATAAATAATCATGGTCATTTAGTAGCTTTTATAGGCTTGCCAGGTGAGCTTTTAAAAATTAAGTAGTTATCCTTGTCCAGATGGCTGAGTTTACTAGGTAAAGAGTGAGAGGGAGCCATCATTCAGTAATAAAACTTTTAAAGCAGCTGAATTAAGATTAGCAAGTAATTTAACCACATGCATAAATACTGCAAACTTGATCCTGATCAAATCACAACTCTTTCTTTACTCCAAGAGAATGAGCCTGTGTACTACAATGGTGTATTGTAATGCGTAATCATTATTCACACAAATCCCTTTATCTCTTATATGCTTTAGAATGAGAAGATACCCTCCCAAATTTTAATCGCACAAGCCCCTTCTAACTATTTAAAAAGCGTAAATGATCTTGATAAAAACAAAAAAATTGCACCAATCAAATGTGTAGCTTTAGAGCAACTCTCTTGGTGTGAAGGTAGATCTATTTTGATGTTTTACATCATGCCGCAGATGACTTTGGAGCATTTGCAAGGTTGTCTGTGATTTGATCTCCAGATGGGGCTACAGCAGCACCGTGGTAGCTCTCCTAATTGGATGTGTTGCTAATGAGAGAGAGGGGCTTGCAGTTGCCTGTTTTGTGTACATGGCATCTCTGTGATGCACACAAACTCTAATTTAGAGCACAGCTTAGTCTGCCGGTTGGGGAAATCTGGCCTACAGGGTCTGACTTCAAACACAGAAATAAAGAGAATTCCCAATCCTGGTTTCCACTTTGGCCTTAACTAGCTCCTATTGTGCTCCATATGGCAGGACATATGTTTCTCGCGGCAGAAATTTAAAACATCTGAAAATAATATTTTCCTGATTGGGCAGCCATTAGGGATGAGGCAGCGTTTTCTGAGCAAAAGATTGAGTCAGTGGTGAACCTGAGAGGCGGTGTCACAGGGACAGCTGCCACCCCCTCACCATGGCTCATTTCAAACCCAACAACAATCTAAAAGTCCATAGTAGGTTGGGAGAGCAGGTACCTTTCACTGCTGGAGTATGAGCTTCAAAATAAAGAAAAGAACAGACCACACACATTATGCAAAAAGCAGTGCTGAAATATACATTCTTCAATAGATTAATTTTTGTGATCTTATCTGTGTTTTTCACAAAGTCATTTTTAGGCCCTGGACAGTCTCCTGTACCTTGTGGGGAGAAAGAAGGAATACCTTTCCCATCAATTACCCTGAATTGGACTACATCAGGCCTGGCTGGGCCCCAGGGAAACAGAGTTCAGGTGAGGAAATGTTACAATTTTGCTGATGATGTGGTCCTGTAATTCCCTGGGATTCAGGAAGGGGAATTAGTTGGCAAGGAGATTGAGGGTCTCAGGTAGGGGAAAATGAGGTATTTGGAGACCTTAGGGTTATGAAAGGGTAGGATGCAGGGAGAATTCTGGTAAAACCCAAGGCAGCCGGATTAATAATGGAGGCTGAGCCAGGGTGGCCAAATGCCACATCCTGTAACAGGCCTGGGGCGAGGGAGCCTTCTCATGGGATTCCTAATTCAGGGGACGCTGCAAAGTCAACATGCAGTTCACCTCGAAAGGCAGTTTCAACTAAGCTAAGAGAGCTGACCAGGATCCAGACTAGAAAAAGAAAAAGAAAGAGGAAGGAAGGGAAGAAGCAGCAAGTTAGCACTCAAGGTGCTGTAACTTTCCTGCCACCTCCTTCACTGCTGCAAACCAGCCATCCTTCCCTGACAAGCACTTTTCCACTGCATTCATTTGTCCCCAGCCTTCTCCCAGAGGCTCTCTCCTGCCTCTGCCTCTCCAAATCTTGCCCATCCTTCAGCGCCCAGATCACGCCCCACCTCTTCTGTAGATATCTTTGGTCAGAATTAATCTCTCTCCTCTCAGCTCCCCCATCACTCCATCTGGCTTTTTTCCTCTTTTCCATGATTTGTATGAGAGTGATTTGTGCAAATGTCTTTTCTCTTTAACAAGAGGGATTTTTGATCCCTGGAGAATTCATTCATTCATTCCTGAGACATTTATTGATTGTTGCCTATGTGCAGACACTGTGTCAGGCACTGCATTAGGGGGTTAAGTGTAGGATAAGATATATGAAATTCTGGTTTTTATACTGCTTACCTTCAAGACCTGACATTCAAAATGGGTCCTCAAACCAGCTGCATCAGCACCACTCACCTCCTTATTAGAAATGCAGCATTTCTGGGGTCCCCAGACCTAAAGAAACAGAATCTGCACTGTAACAAGCTCTGCAGTTGGGTTCGTGTGCACAGTAAAGTTTGAGAGAGTGTGCTCTAGAGGGACAGATAATGAACAGATAAATAAGTGTATAACAAAAAGTCAGGGAGAACTACTTTAAAAATTAAGCAGGAGGCCAGGCGCGGTGGCTCACGCCTGTAATCCCAGCACTTTGGGAGGCTGAGGCAGGCGGATCACAAGGTCAGGAGATCGAGACCATCCTGGCTAACATGGTGAAACCCCATCTCTACTAAAAAAAAAAAAAAATAGAAAAAAATAGAAAAAATTAGCTGGACGTGGTGGCAGACGCCTGTAGTCCCAGCTACTCGGGAGGCTGAGGCAAGAGAATGACGTGAACCCAGGAGGCGGAGCTTTCAGTGAGCCGAGATCGCACCACTGCACTCCAGCCTGGATGACAGAGTGAGACTCTGTCTCGAAAAAAGAAAAAAAAAAGAAGCAGGATGAGGGGAATGAGGAAAACAGCGCAGGGTAAGCCGGGCACCCTGGCTTACACCTGTAATCCTAGCACTTTGGGTGGTAAGGTGGGAGGATCACTGGATCCCAGGAGTTCAAGTCCAGCCTGGGCAACATAGTGAGTAGAGAGAGTGTGAATAAATTAAACTAAGGCAGCAGAGTTCACGGAACTTGAGGTGGGGTAGGATGCACTGGGGAGAACTGGCTGTGAAGGGAGAACACATGTAAAGCATGGAGAAGTGACCCGGTGAAGGCCTGGAAGGACATCAGCACCCAAACCTGCTTCTGTAGCAGAGTAAGGGCGCCTCATCCCCTCTCCAACACCTCGTGTCTCCCTCCCCTGCTTTAGTTTTTCTAACATACCATCTATTTTTCTTACTTATCTTGTTTTTTCACTCCCCATCTAGAGCATTAACTCCATGAAGATAGGGGATGGTATTTGCTGTGCCCACTGTTCTATGCCCTCTAAAATTGAGTGTCAGGAAAATTGCTCTCATTCCACGCTGCCTCTGACACCCTTGAATTGATGGTGAAGCTACAGTTAAGCAGATTCAGGAGAGATGGGGAAAGAGTTGAGGACTCCTGAGACCTTGAATTTGCGAGGAGAGGCTCCTGTCCCTGAGGAGAGGTGGCTACACACAGCAAGCATAAGCCACACTCAGTGTGCTCTTGGCCATGCTCAGGCTAAACACCACATCACGCCATTCAATTCTCCCAGCAACTCTATGAGGCAAGCACGATTTTTACCCCTTATATTTTACATCATTGAGGAGCAGAGAAGTAAAAAAAAATAGGTTGTGTCCTATGAAAATGTACATAAAAAATTATCAAAGTCAGCAATACTATATGGTTCAACGTAACTGTATGCCCAAGATAATGAACTTCTTAAGTGGCAGAATGCAGATGCAAATGCACGTCCATCTATCTGACCCCAGAGCTCAAGTTCAAGGGCAAAGCTCTTCCTGGAGGAAGGGCACCACGGGGAAGCCATGCCATTAATCCTCATTAGAATATTCATACAATGAGTCCTGGGAGAGAGAAGAGAGGATTGGAAATAATTGTCTCTATGAACTATGGCCATATGGTCATCCCAAAATACCTCAATTTTAAAATGAAATCTCCTAATTCAGCCTTAAAAAGGAATAAAATTCCGACATAGGCTACAACATGGATGAACCTTAAACTCATCATTCTTAGTGTAATAAGCCAGACAAAAAAAAGGACAAACAGTGTAGGATTCCACTTAGATGAGGGACCTAGAATAGTCCAATTCATACAGATGGCAAACAGAGTGGTCATGGCCAGAAGCTGGTGGGAGGAGGGAATGGAAAGATTAGTGTTTAATGAGTACAGAGTTTCATCTGGGGAAGACAAAACTTCTAGAGATGGACGGTGATGATGGCTGCACAACAATGTGAATATATTTAATGCCACTGAACTGTACACTTTAAAGTGGGTAAAATGGTAAATAGCATGCCATGAATATTTCACTACAAAAAGAGGCAGCCCTTGCTTCAGTTCAGACTTGAGTTAATCATAAGCATTGTTGGATACTTCAATGCTAAAAGATGAGGACTATTATTTCAAGTCTGTATCTTTGTGTCATAAAATGCACATATATGTGCAAATATATTTGCATGTATTATATATAAGTAATAATAATAAGGATAGCTAACATTTATTGAGCACTCACCTTGTGCCAAACTCTGATTTAAATATTGTATATGTAGTAATGCACTCAATGTTCACAGTAGCACTATAAAACAGGTATTTTGATTATCTCTGTTTTGTTTCATACCCACTCCCCTATAACGGATATACATACGATCATCCCTTGGTATCTGAGGGCGATTGGTTCCAGAACTCCTGTGGATACCAAAATCAGCAGATGTTTAAGTCCCTAATGTAAAATGGGACAGTATTTACATATATTGTATGCACATTCTCCCATATACTTTAAATCATCTCTAAATTACTTTGTATAACCAATACAAAGTAAATATTATATGTGTTAGTCTGTTTGCATTGCTATATAGGAATACTTGAAGCTGGGTAATTTATAGAGAAAAGAGGTATATTTTGGCTTACGGGTCTGCAGGCTCTATGGGAAACATGGTACCAGGATCTGCTCCTGGCGAGGGCTTCTGGAAGCTTCCAATCATGGTAGAAGGAAAAGGGGAGCTGGTATATCACACAGTGGGAGAGGGAGTGAGAGAGAAAGGGGGAGGTGCCAGGCTGTTTTAAACAACCAGCTCTCACATGAACTAACAGTGAGAACTCAGTCATCACCAAAGGGATGGCACTAAGCCATTCATGAAGAATCCACCCCCCAGGCCCCACCTCCAACATTGGGGATCACATTTCAATATGAGATTTAAAGGGGACACACCCAAACCATATTCCTATGTAGGTCATTGCTACCTCGTATTGTTCAGGGAATAATGGCAGGAAAAACATGTGTACAAGTTCAGTATAGACACAACCATCCATTTTTTTTCTTGAATATTTCCAATGCACAGTTGGTTGAATCCATGGATGTGGAATCCGCAGCTACAGAGGGCTGACTGTACATGTTAGAGTGCCTTCACCTTGTTTTTGTACTATTTGGGGATCTCCTTGAGGGCTTTCAGTACAAAAGACTCTATAATGAAGACTGATTAGAATCAGAGGCTTGGAACAACCTCCGAGTGAAGTCCTTAATAAATTTTCAAATGAATAACAACATCATAATGAAAATTTCTGCCAAAATGCATCCTGATATTTTTACTAAGTGGAAACGTGACTAGATATAGCCTACAAAAGCTGGCCCTACTTAAAAATGGTCTTTGGTTTGTATGTTTCACCCAAATTATAGTATCATAAAAAGGCCTTTTTTAGATGAAGGAAATTTCATGCAATGGTTTTGTGTCATCTCACCATTTCTGTGGATAATATGACCTCCCCCTCACTAGTTTCAACCCTGCCTTATTAGAAGCAGGACGCTCTATAGTTTGGCCACAGAATATTTTTAGTTTCTTCTGACAGTATTAGAACTGGGTGTAGGACAGTCAGCTAACAGTTCTCTCTAATTGTTGCACCTACTGCATAGAAACTGAAAAAAAATGATTGAAGTTCCAGTCACAATTTTACTGGAAAAGGTGTGATGTCTGTCAGCTCTTCAAGAGTTAAGCAGCAGATCTTGCACTTTCAAAGCCGGTTGTTTTGCAAGAAGTCTTAGGTGAAAACAATGAGACAAAACGATGCTTTGTGAAAGACAATGACATCCATTCAAATGCCTCTCACCAGCTCTTTATACTCACCTATTTTGCACAGACGTGTATCCAGAATTACCCTGTTCTATTAACTAGTCTGGTATAGGCTCAAAGGAAAAAAAAAAAAAAGACACTTTTTTCCCCCTTAAATGCAGGGTTGGGGGTGGAAAAAAATGAAAGCAAAAAGACATCTCTTTCAACTCATTCAGTCCCAGCATTCACTGGGTGGAGAGGTTGTTTCTAGTCAAAGTTCCTTTCAGCACTTTATGGGAAGAGCCAAAAGCTTCCCAGAAGTGCAAATTCCCAAGTGCATGCTTCATGGTTTAAAATAACTCACTTCTCTACAAATGAAGTAGCCCCCATGATAGGGGCAAAGGGAAATGTCCTTTTGTTTCTTTTCTTTTTTAATATGTCAACATGATTCATTGCAAAAATCCTGAAAATTGGAGAGGAAAACAGCTTATTAGGTCTCTGGTCCATTTCATGTCTTTCTCCTTCAACACATTTCTCAGAGATTAATCTCATCTTATATATGTTGAAGGAATATATTAATCCCATCTTAAATATGCCCACCACTTCCCGAAGAACTTAGTGCACAATTTATGAGATTCTGTGGTCAGGACACTTAGATTTTTGGTCTGCAGTTCAAGTTTATTGCAGTTCAAGTTCACAGGGCTCAGAGTGTGAGGGAAATGGCTGTCAGGAAGGTGATCTCCAAGCAAAACTACTCATGAGAGGAGAGGACGGTGGAGGGAATGGCCCATCACTGAGCCAAGCTGGGGTCCTGGGTAAGGGTCCAAGGTTTCCTGGGTCAGGAAGGGGCAATCAGGTCCCTCAGGGCAGCCTTTGAGATGCACCTGTCAGGCATCCATCAGACTGAGGAGCTGTGGACACAAGGCGCTTTACAAATTGCATTTGCAGGAGCGAGCATAACCAACCAATTGCAAGAAAACTGAGTTGAGTATAGTGCCCTGTGTGAAGAGGTCCAGGCTGATGAGTAAAATTCTGGCCCTGTCCATTATGGGCTATAATGCCTCCCATCATTACATCTTTTCACTTAAATAGTCAAAAGCTTGCTTTCATCTATGTCATCACTTTGTCCCTGGTTTCACCAACCTGTGAATGCAAAATAAGCCATGTTTACAATTAGGCCTAACTTATAAGGGCCTCAAGCCTCCACTACTTCTGGTAAGAATTTCAGTCTTTTCCAGAATAATTCACTCCAAATATTTAAGAACTTCCTCAGAGTGTCTTGCGTGTATCAGTGAACTAATCTTTACTGCAGTCCCTTGCAGTGGCTGCAGAAATCCAGACAAGGCCCTGTCTACCTGATACCCCAATCATCAGCCTGCTCTGCCAACATTCTATGGCAGGTGGAGCTAGAAGCCCACTATTGCTGAGTGCCAGGCTGAAAATTCCCACACTCCAGCCATGTGGCTATGACCAAGCCATCCATCTGCTGACCCTCTGCCTTGCTGTCAGCACTGTCACCACCTCCACCAACACAGAGCCATCCCCCTCATATACCCCAGTGATGCAGGAGACACCCTACCCATTCAGCCCACCAGGCCATGCTGGGCTTACACACCAGCTCAGCCTGCATACCTCAGCCCACTTTGTTGTAACTCATACCCACACTGGGTGGTTTCTAAGCTCTTGTCCCTCATCCAAGAAGAATGAAAATAGGCTGACAACTGAAGGGTGAGGAAGGCAGACAATAATTTTATTGAGCAATGAAACAGCCCTCAGAGGAGAGGGGACACTAGGGTGGTCAACCACGGGTGGTTTTTCTCTGTTAGTGTGGCTGAGTCCAGGGCTTTTATGGGCTCAGAATAGGGGAGTGAGTGCTGATTGGTTTGTGAATATGCAAAAATGGTTAAAACAAAGGCACCACTCAAAGGTGGGCACAACAGCGGAAAAAACCAATTAGGGAAGGGTAGGCATATGTAAAATAGGTGAAGGATGGGGATCAATCAGAGGAAAACATGCAAAACCAGAAGACAGGTTCTCAATCTGGTCCATGGATTTAGCTTGTAGCTAGGCTTTTAGGCTTTAAAGTGTCTTTGGTTTGGAGATGGGGTTTCACCAGGGACCCACCCCTGTCTGCCTAGGATTTGTCTGCCTCCTGCCACTATGACCAGGAGAGATCTCTGACAATTTGCCCAGGCTGGTGTGGCTTCTTGTGGTAGGAGTGTAGGTGTTCCTTCTTGTGATTGTCTTCAGGTATGACCTACAGCAACACTGCCTGAGCCCAGGCATTACAGTGTTTCAGTTGAATAGCACAGCTCTTTCAATTGTCATGTTTGCAACCATTTACCCCAAAGCTCTCTCATGGCAACAGGTGGCTGCTGCAGCAGTGTTGCTAGTATCTTTCTGAAGATCAGCACCTCACAGCAAAGATGCAAACCCTGGTATTGAGTTCAGCTTACCTCTTCAAGCTCATCCTCTCTATGGTGAAGTTCTTACCCAAAGCCCTATTACCCTCTCCCTCAAACTTTGATCTGGGACACTGAAGGCCATCAGTCATGATTTTATGTTTTCACTTCTCCTTTTTGGGACCAGGGTTGTACCCCTCCATTCCCATGTACATTTGTGGAGGGACAAGGTTACATAAAGCCACAAAAACACATGGCTAGGTTGGAGGAGAGAGACTTTTTTGGCATCTGAGCCCCAGACCCTGAATTAGGCCATATTATTCTGTTATGAAAACAAATTGTATCAGATTCTTCTTGTGCCCATTCAGACAATGGTTATCAAGTGTCTATTACAATTCACTTATTCATTTATTTATCTAGCACCTATTGAACACCTACCATCTGACCATGTGCCAGGCACTGTGCTAGGCTTTGGAAACACAAAGATGAGTAAAACAAGGTTCTTTAACTCGACAAACAGTCTATGTGAAAGACATCTGTATAAATTACTTACAATGTAATGTTATCTTTAGGGCTGTGAGGAACAGAAGAGCAGAGGATTCCTTCTGTCTGGCAGAGTCAAAGTAAACTTCTCAAAGTCAATGATATTGAGGCTTGGTATTAAGGAATGAATAGGACTACCTTAGGAAGAGAAGTGTAAGGAATTTCAGAGAGTCAGGAATGAGCATTGGCCCTGGGGCATGGAAGTTCCTTGCTAACTTAGAGAAGCACTAGAATTAGATGTGGCTGGAGCACATGGCTGAGGAGAGACTGGAATAGCATGAATGAAGCTGGTTAGTTGCACTGGAACAGCTCACAAAGAGCCTTCCCTTGTAAGAACGTAATTTTGTTCGATTTCAAAAACATTTATTAAACACCTACTAGGTTTCTGGCATTCCGTTCTTTGGGCACTAGGGGTGAAAAGATTACTAAAGCATGGCCCCTATCTTTGAGGGGGTTAAGTCATCTGAAAAGAAAAAGTTATGCAGATCATTTCAATTTGATGTTAGGACAGGGCTAAATACAGGATGCCCTGGGGCACCCAACCTGAGGGGAGAAGGGGTGGGGCTTGTCTGGACCAGGTTTCCTGGAAGCATTACTACCAAAGTTTAATCTTGAAGGATAATCTTCCAGCAAAGAAAAGGGAGAAAAAGCTTTCCAGGCAGATAGAACAAAGAACAAAGACATCATTTATTGTTTTCCTTTATTTTGAAGGAGGACATGATAAGAAGCAGCTCAGTACTGCTGAAATATGAAATGAAAGGCTGGAGATGGCAGGAGGTAAGAATGGGGAGACAGGTAAGAGCTAGAATATTTGAGGTTCTGATACACCAGGCTGAGATCATTAGATTGAGTCTTGGAGGAAATGGAGAGCTATGGAAATGTCTCAGTCAGGGGAGTGATGTAATCAATTCTGCATTTTAGATATGTCATTCCAGTGCAGTGGGAAACAGGACAAATCTGGGGGCAAGGAGACTTGGCTATAGCAATATTCAGGCAAGAAATGCTGAATTCTTGAAGGAGGGGGTGGAGGGAGGAGATTACTTCATCTATGACTTGTTTGCCTAGATATCTTCTATTGAGCTAATTTCTAAATGACACTATTATGTTAAATGTGGCACTTCAGGTTCATGGCTGATGCTAGAACTAGACAGAAAGAAAACTCATGCTTTAAAAATGAGTCTGGAACACATGTTTATAGCAGCATTATTCACAAAAGTCAAAAGGTAAAAGCAACCTAGTTGTCCATTGAGGGGTGAATTGATAAACAAAATATGGCATATACGTACAATGGAAAATATTCAGCCTTAAAAAGGAATAAAATTCTACACATGCTGCAAAATAGATGAACTTTGAGGATATGCTAAGTGAACAAGCCAGTCACAGAAAGACAAATACTATATTATTCCACTTATATGAGGTAGCTAGAGCAGTCAAATTCACAGGGACAAAAAGTAGAATTATGGTTGCCAGGGCTCAGGAGAGGGAAGAATGGTGAGCTAACTTTTTAATAGATACATATTTCCAGTTGGAGAAGATGAAAATTTCTGGTGATGTACAGTGATGATGGTTGCACAACAATGTGAATGTTCTTAATGCCACTGAACTATACACTTAAAAATGGGTACAGTGGTAAATTTTGTGTTAAAATATATATTTTAACACATTTTTTTTTAAAAAAAGAGACAAAGCCATGTATTAGTTATGGTAAATATTGGTCTTGTCAAATAAAAAAGAGGTAGATCTGCTGAAACTAGATTCACAGAAATGAAGAAATGTAAGAGGTAAAATGATATATGGTTGAATAATCCAATCCATGGCAATCCATAGCAAAAGCTTTTCAAAACCAAGACTGAATTCTGTAATACATCTTGAATTATGAGATTTATAAGGCTAAAATAAAATCTAGCACCAATTTTTTAAAATAATAAAAATTCTAGACCATACCACCATCTGTTTCTGTAAATAAAGTTTTATTGGGACCTAACCACACTCATTTGTGTTATGCATTGTCTGTAGCTGCTTCCACTCTACCGTTACAAAGTTGACTAGTTGCAACAGAGAATGTCTGACCTGAAAAGATTAAAATAGTTACTGTCTGGCCCGATACTGAAGAAGTTTGCTGAACCCTGTCCTAAACATTTGAATATAAACTTTGCATTAGATAAAAGCCTTGTACCAATGTTAAATTTGCCTAGTGTGAGACTGTATTTTGGTTATTGGTGAGAATTCTTTTGTTCTTAGGAAAGGAGTGCTGAATATTTATGGGAGAACATTCAAATGGTAGGTAGACGGGTGGGTGAATGGAGAGAGAAAGAGACAGAGCAAATGTGGTAAAATGGTAACACTTAGTGGATCTTCATGAAGAGTAGAAAGGTGTTTACATATTCTTCTTGCAACTTTTCTAAAATTTGAAGTTTGTCAAAATAAAAATAGGAGAAAAAAAAACAAATAAATCTACCTTTAGAACCCAATTCCTTTCTGTTCTACTCTGCACCTTCTTGAGCCCTGGTGATTTTATGACTTCTTATGATTGCAGATTAGCATAAAATGTTCAAGTCAGGGACAAGATCATGCCCTCTCTGCCCTGTAAAGGCACAAAACTATTAAAACCAATCACAACCAATTAGTTCCTGGATTCCTTTTGGTGTTTTTTTTAAAATTACTTTTGGATTATTGTGTTTGGGGTTCTCCACATGCTATACAGATAATGCCAGCAAGTTCTCTTGTTGATGGGCTATAAAAATAACAAATGAGTAGCACACTTTCCCTACTTACATTTCTATAGACACTTAGAAGTAGAATGAGTCTACTTATGTTCCACTTGCCACTTTAAGGCACCACTTATCCCAGTGTTGGACCAGCTTTCTCTTCACTGTTTTTTGTTTGAAGAGCTGAAAGTGACCTCACTGCTCACAAGCTAATTAGGGATATATAACATGCATCCAGAAAGAGATACTTGAGAACAACTGTCAAGGAGTATATAGCTTCATACTGTCTCAACAATTCCACACTTAGAATATATTCTTAAGACTTGCTCAGCACAAGCTTTAAAGTGACATGTACAGGATTTTCTTTGCAAGATTTTTGTTTATTTGTTTATGGTGGTAGGGAATTGAAGGTAATCTGGGAATTGATGGAGGAGTGAATAGATATAATGTGGTAAATGCACACCATGGAGTACTTTGTGTCCTTAAGAAGAACAGAGTAGACATGTCCATAGCAACATGTGCACAGCACAAAAACAGTGCTTGGTGAGAAACAGAGTGACAGATAGTAACACAATAGCATTTGAGGAAATTAGAAGAACTTGCACAGAAGACACTGGTAGACATTTTTCAAAAACACTTAAAGCTAAGTGATACACATTAAATACTTTTCAAAGGTTGTTAGCAGAAAAGGGGAATAGAAAGGAATATATAATTAAATTAAACATTAGGAAACTCTTGAAAAGAGAGAAGAGCCTTGCAGCCCCAATGATGAGGTTTAAGGAAAAGAAAAAATAACTTACAAGAAGATCCAAGCAACAACATACAATATATAAGCGATGAATATATGAAGCCAAGAAGCAGTCAGCAAGAGTAGTTTATCAGGGAATCTTCCTGGAAAAGGTGACTTTTAGGCACAATACTTTATCCCTCACTCATTACCATCCCCCACTAATACTCCTATTAATCCCACAGAATAGCTGTGGCCATCATAGAAACTAATAATACTTAATGATAACACTGACTATGTTCTGGATATTTATTTAGTGCCAAAATACAATCTTGAATAATTTACATGCATTATTTTATTTAACCTCCACAAAACTCAGGACATCAGGATTATTATCATCCTATTTCATAGATGGCGAAACTGAGACTCAGAGACATTAATTTTTCCAAGGTGATATAGCTGGAATGTGGCAAAACAAGATTGATACCCCATATGTTTGACTACAAAGGCTGTGCTCTTAACATATTTTCTGGTGATGACACATGGCAGACACTCAAAAAATGCTTGCTTAATGCCAAACCAAAGAAGGCAACAGTGCTTTTAGAGCTTCCTTCCAGATTTGAAGCCACGCAAGTGGCAGCCAAAACAAATTCCTGTTAATTAACATGCTTGTTATGACAGGTAGTCCCAGTCCTGGATCTCTCTAGGTTTATTCATTCATTGAAAAAAAATGTATTTGATGGAGAATGTACATGTGCTATATTGTTCTAAGTGCTGAGGATACAGCAATGAACAATTCAAGCAAGGTTTCTACTTTCATGAAGTTACAAATATGTTGGGGGAGAGAGAAGGGGGGGCTATATTAAAGCTGAGATTATCACCTATCATAGTAAATCAAAATACAATTGTAAAGTATTAAAAGGCAGCAATATACATGTTATTTAAAGAAAATATACTGGTAAACACCAAAAGAAACTGCTATTTTATGTAGTTGCTGCTGAAGAGTGGAGTGGATCTTTGTGTGTGTGTGGCAGTATTTTGTTATAAACGTTTTTAGAATTATTTGACTTTTTAAACTACACACGTGTCACTTTGTTAAAAAAAAAAAAAAAAAAACACACTACAAAGCTACCATTCACCAAACCAGGGATAGAGGGAGATATGACAAATGCATCATATATGTTTAAATTTATTCACAGCCTAGAAATCATCATAGAAACTAATCTTTCCTTCAAATTTTATATCCTAAAATTTCAGCGGACATACTGTCCATTCAATAAATAATATTAGGCTGGGCATGGTGGCTCGCACTTGTAATTCCAGCACTTTCAGAGTCTGAGGTAGGACAGTTGCTTAAGGCCAGGAGTTTGCAACCAGCCTGGGCAACATAGAAAGACCCTGTCATAAATAAATAAAGAAATGGTTTGCAGCCAATAATCATAGTTTTAAATTAGTTGGGAAAATCTGTAGAGTCATAAAGCACATGTTTGCTCACTATTTGGATTACCAAAAAAAGAAAATGGTATGTTCACAAAGACCCATGCTCAAAGAATTCTTAACTAGTTAAAATCACCAACTATCCATAGAATTAAATTCAATGATTACAGAGAAAGGTTTGAAAAATATAGATAGGAATAATAAAACTATACTTATATGAGATAAAGAACTGGCAAAATATTCAGACTGACTAGTAAAGATTCTGGATTACTTAGAAATGACCAAAATAGACTAAAATCAAAATTGAACTTAACCTTTTTTTTTTTAACAAATTATATTCAAAAATCATAACATGATTGGGGAAATTGCTCATGGTATATGTGACAATTATGTAAGGCTTGATATGCATCAGATTCTTACACTGATGTGCTACCTGCTCTAAACTGTTCTCTTAGCCAATACCAGGAAAATACCTGTAAGTTTTTCTTTCTTTTGAGATGAAGTCTTGCTCTGTTGCCCAGGCTGGAGTGCAGTGGCATGATCTTGGCTCACTGCAACCTCTGCCTCCCGATTATCAAGGATTCTCCTGCCTCAGCCTCCCGAGTAGCTTGAATTACAGGTGCATACCACCACACCCAGCTAATTTTTGTATTTTTAGTAGAGACGGGGTTTCACCACGTTGGCCAGGCTGGTCTCAAACTCCTGACCTTGTGATCCACCTGCCTCAGCCTCCAAAATGCTGGGATTTACAGGCGTGAACCACTGTGCCTGGCAAAGTTTTTCTATTTTTATTGCTAGTACCTACTACTATTTTTCTGATTCTTCTGTCTCCAAAACCTCACTGCCATTCTTTTCTATAGTACTTCTTTTTTTTTCCTCTCTCTTTTCTTTTTCCTTTTGTTTTTTTGAGACAAGGTCTCACTCTATCACCCAAGTTGGAATGTGGAGGCTCACTGCAGCCTCCACCTCCCAGGCTCAAGCAATCCTCCCACTTCAGCCTCCTCAGTAGCTGGGACTACAGGTGCATGTCACCTGTTTAATTTTTTTACAAATTTTTGCAAAGATGGGGTCCCACTATGTTGCCCTGTCTGGTCTTGAACTCCTGGGCTCAAGCAATCCTCCCACTTCAGCTTCCCAAAGTGCTGCAATTACAGGCATGTAATCAGCCTCTTTTCTATAAAAATATTCTATTGCAGTACTTGATTTAAGGAGATTGTAGAAAATTTGGGGAAAGGTTCCAAGATATTGACACTTTGGTAAATAATTCTTAAGAGAAAAACCAAAAGAGCTTGATCTATTAAGTCAGAAGTGAGATAAGGAACATAAGGACTTTTTCTTGTTTGTATCCAGACCAATAACAACAACAAAAAACATAGACCTGTGAGCAGCTGACATGAAATTTGTGGTGACTAATTAATTTTTAATTAATTAACTTGTGCTGCCTTGTTCATCTACTAATTTCCAGGTTCCCAATGGCTTACTGATAAATTAGTCCTAATGAAATCAAACAGATCTAAAAGGAACCAGTGTTTCTCTCTCCTAGGATTATCTCCATGTTTCTAAAGACAGACCAAAACCAGAAGGTTACTTCCAAGATTTAATCTGTACCAACCAGTCCAAATATTATTGGTTTTCAAGCATTCGATTTCCCTGCACAAAGAGCATGTACTTTCTTAACAGTGACTTGGCACTAAACTCCGTCTTCAAATTTAGCTATGCAGTCTTGACTTTGAACTAGACAGGGGATTTCCATATTTTCCCCATCTTCATTTTAATAAAATGCCTCAATTTTCTTCAGTACTACTTTAAAAAATTCAGGCTCTGTCTCTAAGAAACGAAAGAGTAGAGTGTTGTAGTTTTATAGAAATTTAAATTTAAAGTTTCATATATTATAGGCACCATTCATAAAACTACATATGGAAATTTAGAACTTAAATTAAGCATAAATATTTATCAAAGAGAGGAGTAGGGGCAAGAAATGCATACAGCTAAGGATATGGTAGCTTGAATTAGGATCATGGTAGTGGAAATGAAAATTGAAAGCATTCAGTAAGCGTTTCAGAAGTAGATGGATAATAATGGGGATGGTGGGAGATGACAGATGGCAAGAGAGGAGGCAAGGATGATTTCTAAGTTTTTAGCTCAAGTGACTTGGGGGACACAGTGCCATTTACTGGGATATGTAGGCTAGAGTACAGGTATGAGAAAATAACCCTTTCAATTTTGTAGACATTTTACTTTTGAGAAGCCTAGTAGACTTCCAGATGAAGATGTCAAATAAGACATTAGATATATGACTTTGGGGCTTTGGGGTGAGGTCAGGGCCATAGGTGTTGATTTGGTGGTCATAGGCATAGAGACAGTATTTAAAGCCATAGTCCCTGATGAAGTAAGAGTGTAAAAAAAAAAAAGAGAGAGCGAACTGGGGCTAAGAAGCTAACCCTCATACATGTCACAGTTTAGAGGTTTTGGAAAGAGAAGACAGAAAATGAAACTAAAAAGATGTGAATAGAGAGGAGGAACACCAAGAGTATGAAAGATGAGACAGAGACCAAGAAAAGAAACTAACGAATGTCGCTGAGAGATGAGTCAAGTGAGGAAAGAAAATGACCTCTTGTTTGGGCTACATGAAGGTCAATAGGTCTTCAATGACCTCAAGAACCTTGACATGAGTCCACGGAGTTGTGGGGAGAAAAGCTTGAATGGAAGGTGAAGATGCGAAAATTGTGTCTGTAGTCAACTCTTTCAAGAAATTTTTTTAGACAGGAGGCCCAGAAGTGGTATGATTGTGAGAGGGGAATGTGAGGTCAAGGGGTTTGCTCTGTCATTGTTGTTGTTTTTATTCCTTTTTACTTTGGAAATTTAACCTACAAACAACCAGAGAATAATATAAAGTACCCTCATGTACCCATCACCCAGCTTCAATAATGATCAACTTTTTTGTTTGTTTCAACTATTGCCCCATTAAAATTGTTTTATTAAGGTAAATTTACAAAAGTAAAATTCACTGTTTTGGGTGTACAGTTCTGAGTGTGTATAATTGTATACAGCCATATATAACCACCACTAAAATCAAGACATAGAACAGTTCAATCACCCCCAAATGGTGCTTCCTGCCCCTTTGTAGTCATCTTCTCCTTTCACTCACAGATCCTGAGTCTTCATCTAGCTCTTCTAGACTCTAGACCTCCATATCTGACTCCCTGCTGGAGAGCTCTACTTGTATGTCTCATAGAAATGTCAGATTCACTATGTTTAAAAATAAATTATTGGAAATGAAAAGGCAAGCCACAGACTGGTATAAAAAATATTTGCAAATCATAGCTTCAACAAAAAACATATATCCAACAAAGACCTTATTATTGAGCTACTGTGATTCAATAATAAGACAAACAGCTCAATTTTTTAAATGAGCAAAAGATTTAAATAGATACTTTAACAAAAAGATATACAGATGGCAAATAAACACGTTAGAAGATGCTCGACATTATTAGTCATTATGGAAATGCAAATCAAACCACAACAAGATAGCACTGCATACCCACTAGAATGGCTAAAATTAAAAAGCTAGACCATATCATGTGTTGGCAAGGATGTAGAGCAACTGAAGCTCTCCCATATACTGCTGGTGGGAATGTAAAATGATATCATCACTTTGGAAAATGGTTTGTCAGTTTCTTTAAAAGTTAAACATATACTTAACCATATAATTTAGCTATCCCACTCATAGATACTTACCCAAGCTATAAATGAAAGCATGCCCAAGAGAAAGAAAAACATCATCTGTACACACAAAGACTTGTACACTCATGTTCCTAGCAGCTTTATTTGTAACAGTCTAAATTAAAAACAACCCAAATGTCCATCGACAGGTGAATGAATAAAAAATTTTGGTGTATCTATACAATGGAATATTACTCAGCAATAAAAGGAAGTGAACTATTGATACACACAACGTGGATAGATTCAAAATAATTATGCTGAATGGGAGAAGCCAAACAAAAAGGAGTAATTCATATAGTATTCAATTCATGTCAAATTCTAGAAAATCCAAACTAATATACAGTGACAGAAAGCAGATCAGTGGTTCCCTGGGATGACAGGGCACAGATGGAGTGATGGATTATAAAGGAACACCAGGAAGCTTTTGAAGATGATGGAAATGTTTATTATGTTGACCATGGTAATGCTTTCATGGGGTACAAACATGTTAAAACCCATTAGATTTTACATTTTAAATGTGAGCTGCTCATTATATGTCAATTAGGTGTCATGAAGCTATAAATAAAACTTAAATTATTTATCCTTCCCTTAAAACTTGCTCATCCTTTGCTATTCCTTCGGTGAATGGCTGTACCCTCTTCTCAACCACCCAAGTCAGAACCTTGAAGTCATCCAACTCCTCTCTTTGACACTCACCCTCCCATTCAGTGCTTACGTCCTATTCACCTGAGCTATTTTCATACAGAGTTGTAAAAAAAACTCTGCTCACCCTAAAGCATGTTTCAGAGAAACTCCCAGAATCCAGAATATATGGGTTTTAAGACGATAAAACCATAGGTAGAAAGGTTAACAGTGAAGAGTACGTTTTTCTCTTAGCAGCCCTATCCCCTACACTTGAAAACTTTTCCTGAGTAAAAGCTTGGGATGATGATCCAATAAGCCTGAGCTTCCTGTGACCCTTTAGAGATAGAAACGTGTCCTGTGTGCTGCCAGGTCACCAGGAGGAATAAGGGAGTTGAGATTTTGAGAAGCCAAGTTCATATACAGAAGGCACTGCTCTTAGTGGAAAACTGTACTAAAGTTGCTTTCATCCTAGTGTGCACATTGTTTGGATCACCATTTGGAAAAAGCAACTCTTAATATTAATAGGTCTTGGATGGGAATACATGCTTAATTGGGAGGAAACAAAGTAAGTAAATTGCTCAAAAAGAAGTGGAAATAATAGACATGGGAAACCCAGGGAATATATAAAATAAACATATATAGGAAAACTTGAAAAGGAAAAACAAAGGAATGAGAGAAAATAGACCAAACCACTAAAACCAAACCAATGTGACAAGGGGGAAACACAGTAAAGTACTAAAAAATATATATATACAAATGATGTGATGCATAGTTTTTATTGCTTTCCTCTATATGCAGTTTTCCTGCCAAAATATTAAACACATGCAATCATGATTTACATGCTGTGTATAAAACCAAACAAAATATACACAGCCTTCAAATAAATGTTCATTGTATTTTACTTAAAATCAGTGATGTCCCATGATAGAGGCACCTGGAATATCACGTCTAAATACTTTTTTATTCAACCTGAGAAAGCATAAATTTAAAAAGATGAAAATATAGAAAAAATTAAAAACATAAATACTTTTTGAAAGCATGACATGACAAATATTCTTTGATATATGTAATCCCAGCAGTTTGG
The DNA here is from genome assembly GCF_000001405.40 of Homo sapiens. Lineage (NCBI taxonomy): Eukaryota > Metazoa > Chordata > Mammalia > Primates > Hominidae > Homo > Homo sapiens. Next base: position 90,422,468 of record NC_000006.12, on the reverse strand, counting down.
GAAGCTGAGGCGGGTGGATCACCTGAGGTCGGGAGTTCGAGACCAGCCTGACAAACATGGAGAAACCCCATCTCTACTGAAAAATACAAAATCAGCCGGACGTGGTGGCACATGCCTATAATCCCAGCTACTGAGGAGGCTGAGGCAGGAGAATTGTTTGAACCGGGGAGGCAGAGGTTGCGGTGAGCTGAGATAGCACCGTTGCACCCCAGCCTGGACAACAAGAGCGAAACTCTGTCTCAAAAAAAAAAAAAAGAATAGATATCAGTATATTACTCATTACTCATATAAGCCTATGACTTAAAATTTGTATTTTATTTCTAGGACATTTTCAAGTACTGTCCTCAATATACCTCTTAATACATGATGGTAGAGAAATACAAGCTGTTTGAGAATTAATTATAAAAAATTGGAGGGAGTGGGTTATATGGAGTGCTGCCTATTTTTAGCTCCTCAACCCTAAAACTACACATCTGATATTTAAAAATGAAGATCAAATACAGTTCTCTTGGATGCCTGCCCTCAGCTCCTGCCTCACATGTGATCATTTTGGCCACAGCTCTGCTCTCAGTGTGTCTTTGCATGACAGTTTTTTTCTTCCTGTTTTTAAGCATTACTGACTTCCACTGTCTCTCTGGACCCCTCTAGGCATATTGTGGTCCAGCCTTTAGCTCATAGGCCCTTTAATTATGCCATGTGCAGGAAGCAGGTTGGAAAGGATGGCAACTGTAGACATATCTGCCAACAGATGAGTGAAAATGTGCCTTCACTTGCCTTATGCGCTGGGAATATCTCTGACAGAAAAGAAAAAATATATATCTACATATATATATGACCTCTGTCTTGCTGTCAGGGTAGCGAAATCCATTGTGATCTGTTGTGTAGGTGTCAGCTCCACCATTTTCTAGTGCCTGGAGGCAGATTTAAGTTGAGTACTCAAATGCAACCCGAAATCATCTCTCTGAAATCTAAGTGAAATGCACCTATTTTTTCCTTGCTCCATTTATCAAGATTATCTGGAAATTCTCGACTACTTCTATTTATATATTCATTTTCTGTATTTTATCACTTTGAAGTTTCCCCTAATCACCAGGGAATGGCTCAACATATTACTGCTGCTTGAATGTCACTTCTAGCAGGATGATGTTGTCACATTAATGATCCTGTGACCTTTAGGAATAAGAAATATATAAACACCAACTGCTTCCATTAGAAACAGTGGTTCCTTCCACCGTAAAGAAAAATATAATGTTCACATATTGAGTACAGAGTAATGGAAATCCCATTCCAAGCTTAGAGAAAAACTTCCCTGCATTTATGGCTATAATACCTGAAGTTACCATCTGTTGGATTTTTCCATAAAATCCTCTCTGACTGCAGTGGACTAACCAGCATGCTTTCTGAAAATAAATTGGTATAATTTCCAGTAAATGTGGTAGATGGAACTGACAAGTTCAGGCCACTTTCCCACTAGAAACACCTAAAATTGTGGGATAAAATAAAGCAAAATGATTTACTTACTATATAGTTGAGCTCAAACTAAAGAAAGGAAATTTTCCAGGAGCTGGGAAAGAAGCCGGCACCAAAACCTAAAATGGTAAGAATAGAAGTGTTGGGGACCACACAGCCAACAGACCCAGGCGTGGGCCTTCGGGGCTTGAGGCTAATATTTTAATGTCTTTAGAGGAACAGAAGAATTGAGGCTTCAGCTATTCAGAGGCAAGGCATGGCAACAGCATTATTTTTCACCATCTGTGAAATAGGACCCTGGCCAGCTCCTCCTGCAAGCCCAAGGGAGCATCTATCTCCTGGGCACTAGGCAAAGAGAATCACCTATGAATAATCAGAAAGCTAAGCTTGAGCCTTTGTCTGTGGTATCCAAATTTGTGATACCAGCACGATATAGGATTTTAAAAAACTGGTCCGGAACCGACAAGAGTCCTAGAGTCTCTGCAGAGGAAGACATAAAGGAAACAGCTCAAATGAGACTTCCACAGAAAACTTGATTGCAGCTGAGTTCGCAGTAAAGTATTACACTTACGGAAGGAAATAAACTGCTATGAGGAAGAGCGGGGCATGCAGACCCAGGAACTAAGGTAACAGAACAATCAGAAAAAGTCTATACAGTAAATATGATTATAATACTTAAACAGATTTTAAGGGTAATATGGAAAGCAATCAGCTAAGACTTTCCCCCGCAATGAACTAGGATGGGATGAATATGGGTGGTCACAGATACACTAGCTGGTACAATGTCCCAGGCATTGGGAGAGATGAGGGAAATGAACATTATAAGGACTGTGGAATTTAGCCGCTGTTGCTAAGTACCACTGATTGAAGGGTGAAAGAAAATGACAGACTCAGATTTATTAACCACTGAAAGCAAAGTGTGAGAATTAGGGGGTGGGGGCCTCTTAACAGGCTTTAAAGAGACTAATCTTCTGCAGCCAGAGGGCAGAGGACAACCAAAAGATGGGCACAAAGCTTAATCAGATGAATGGCAGAACTTCAGAGAAGACTGAATTCTCAGCCTAGGCCAGTCTCCTATGTCAAAGTCAGGGTCCCCATGGGGAATGAGAGGGATCCTGAGAGCTGGGATGTGATATCTGGGTAGATTCAAATGAGAGCCTTAGATCTCCAGTTTCTTCGGAAACTTCTGGAACTTAAAAAAAAAAGTCCCCCCTTACTACTTTCCTGAAAACTATTTAGAGGCATCAAATGAAGAAGGAGCTTGACCTCCGGGATCTGCTCTTTCCATGGCCACCAGCTTCATACTTAGGATCAAATCTCAGCAGAACCAAAATGGGGAGGAGGGCCTGCTAAGGGTGGAGAGAGATGATGTCAAGGTTGCTGCAGGACCTGGCTAACAAGAAAACAGGAATGGGGGTGATTTGGCAAGAGTGAGGAGGACATGCAAGGAGAGGATTCTCTGGGTACCAGATCAAGGTGAGTGAAACCTAAAGTTAAATAAGGGGGAGTTTACTGATATGGGGGCACTCTGCCATAACCTTTAACAAAATTTAACATCCTCCCAAGGGCCCTAGGTGACGTTTCTAATACTCTGCTTAGATTCCTCTTAAAATCTTAGAAAAAGTGATAGTTCACATTCAGTAAAGTCGAGATGTGATTATTGTAGTGGCAAACTGTAGAGAAACGGATCAAAAGGCTCAGAGAAGAAGACATGCTAGAATGGATCTAATCCTGCTGGCTGACCACTATGGGGTCAGTCCTTCCTGGAGAACAGTCTATTTTCCAAGGTGAGAAAGAGTGCACTGGTGAGGGAATGCCAACAAAGCTCAAGATGCATGTTCTTTGTAAATGAGAGTGGAAAACAGAAGATGCCAATTCATATCTCAGCTCCCTGAAAGCAATGGAAGCAATGGTATCCCAGAGGAGCAAAGGCCAAATGGCAATATCTAACCATCAAACATAAGATGGGTGTGACTTCAATAACAGGCAGCAAGGATGCAATGGCAGCATAGATCTACAGGGATCTATGAAGGTAGCTCAAGGAACATGGTGTTCTTAGGGCAACACAGATGGGCAACTAACAAAGGCATATTTAAAAGAGATCAAGAATATGGAAGGCCGAGGCAGGAGGATCACTTGAGCCCAGGAGTTTGAGACCACCCTGGGAAACATGGTAAAACCCCATCTCTACCAAAAATACAAAAAAAAAAAAAAAAAATTTGGCCGGGCATGGTGGCGTGCCTGTAGTCCCAGCTACTCGGGAAACTGAGGCATGAGAATCACTTGAACCCGGGAGGCAGAGGTTGCAGTTAGCCAAGGTCATGCCACTGCACTCTAGCCTGAGCGACAGAGCAAGGAGAAGGACTCCATCTCAAAAAAAAAAAAAAAAAAAGATACAGAGATCAAGAATAGAGGAGCAGAAGCCTGGAGTCAGCCAGCCCAGTAGAGAAACATGATCTCCTCCTGCTCAGTGCCCAGGCCAGAACCAGTTTTCTAACCAGAACCCACTGACAAAAGGACAGACTGAGTCTCCATGAGGTTGGGCTCTGTACCACCATGGCAAGAATATACTGTATTGATTCTCCCAGTCTTTCCCAAGACATCCTATGGCCACTTGCTCAGATAAACATATATTAGGAGAAGGGGACTACTCAAAGTACCACCATGGCCCTCCCATTGGAGTAGTAGTAAATGGGGAGGTTAGATAGTCGATGGAGTTCTCACCTAGTGCCATCTCACAGCAGGTTTCACTCATGCACAGACCCATCTCATGGTCGTTTCCTTGGTTCCTAAATGCATATTTGGAGTAGGCATACTTAGGAGTTGGCAGAAAGCTCACATTTGTTTATTTTTTGACCTATAAAATAAGAACTTGAGGTAGGAAAAGCCAAGCAGATGCCCCTGAAACTCTCCTCTGACCAGGACAGAAAATCTAAACAATATCAGCCCTGGAGGGGGTGGCGGGATTATTGTCACCCTTCAAGACTTGGGGGACTCAAGAGTGTTGGTCTTTGTTATATATCCCCTTTTAATTCAATAGATTCTCTCTCATATAAATTGAATGGATGAAGGCACTTGATGGTTAACTGCTCTAACTTAACCAAGTAGGAGCCCCAGTTGCAGCTTCTGTGCCAGATGTGGTGTCTTTGCTAGAGCAGATGAACACAGCTTCAGGACGTGGTGTGAGGTCACTGGTCTGGCCTGAAGGAGGATCAGAGGCAGTTTGCATTCACATGGGACAGACAACAATATAGATTTATAGTTTTGTCCAGGGCTATGTTAATTTTCCTGCTCTCTGTCACAACAGAGTCTGAAGGTACTGTTAGGTGACATGAAAGGCTGCTAGCTTTAATAACAAGACAGAGCTCGGTAGCAGGCCCAGACTTCAGCACTAGCAGCCTTGCCACTTGGGCCACATGACCAAAAAGATCTCTCAGCACTTAGAAGTGTCTGTGATGGAGAAAGACAATCTGTGGAGCCTCTGGCAAGTGCTAACAGAAAACATTTAGGGTTCTGGTGCAAGACCCTGCAGTCTACAGCAGAGAACCATAGACCATTTGAAAATCAGTTCCTGACATGCTTCTAGGCCCTGGTGGAAGCCAGACAATGCCAGGCTCAACAAGGCCTAAACTGCATGGGTCTTGAACAAGCTATTGCAAAATGAAAATGGTATATTTGGGATCAGGCTCAAGAGAATCCAGAGGGTACAAGAGCTTGGTTCGTGGGTGGAGTGGCTTTGTAAACTGTTACAAGCTGAAAATGGAATGTTTCCATACAACAGCCCAATTCAAGGTGTCTCAGAAAGAGTGGTGAGGGGAAATCTCTCTGATGAATAGATTCAGATAATGCACATCAGCATCCGTTTTGTGTGGAAAGAGAAGTGACCCAAGATAAAGCTATATGAGGACTCATGAGCAGTGGCAGATGGCTGAAGGAAAATTACAAAGCATATAATTTTCATGTTTACTCTTGATTCAGAAAAATGGTGTATGCTGGCTTCTTTATAATGTTTATATCATTAGAGAAGAGAAAAGCCCATTTCTCGGTGTCCCGAATAAGAAAAGAACAAGTTACAGTTGCATTCCATCTTTGCCAATTATTCTAGTTTATAAAAAGGGAGTTAGGACACCTTCCCTAACTAGGAAACAGTTGCAAGGTTATGTCCGCTGAATGACAGCCTTTGAGTCCACCTTTCTCAAGATGGGGCAGAACGGAGGACTGGCTCTTAACTATGCAGACTTTTGAAATACAAGTAGGAACTTCAGCAGCAGAAGCTGAAAAAATAGCATAGTTAATAGTTATTTAGATCTAATATTATCTTGGTTGGAAAACAAAAAAGACTTGCTTGAAAAATCTTTAAGTTAATTTTCATACCCTGTTTTAATTTATTTCTCACTGTTATATAAAAGAACCAACTAGTGAATTCAGGTATGCCATTGAGAAGAACACTATCCCTGCTCTTGCCAAGTGTTCCTAAGATAGACATGTAACCAGCAAAGCATCACTGCCCAGAGTGCTTGAAGAGCTCCTACAAATAAATAGGATAAAGTAAACCCCAAAGAGAAACCAAGCAAATAATTCACAGAAGATGAAAACCTGAATGGCTAAAAAACATTTAAAGAGATGCTCACCTTCAATACTAATCACAGAAATGCAAAGTAAAACAGTGGCAAAATGTTCATCATACATTACTAAGTATTGGGAAGGTTGTGAGGGAATTAGAATTCTCATTCAGTCCTGATAGAAGGGTAACCATTTTGGAGAGCAATTTAGTAGCACCCAGAAAGTTGAAGTTTGTACACCATACACAGATTAGAAATACTAAGATACAAGTGCACAAGAATAACTACACAATAATATTTTAGACATATTGTCATAGAAAAATAGTGAAGCAACCTAAATATTCATCAACTGGGGATTGAAACATAATTATGATACATTCCTAGATGGAAACTATGTAGTGGTTTACATGTGAATGAGCTAGTTCTACAAGCATCAAAATAGGATAAGTCTTGGAAACACAATATTGAATAAAAACAGCAAAATACTATTTATTTAAACATTGTAACTACCCCAAACAGCACTACAGGCAATATTGTTTGTGGATCCATACATATACCATAAAATTCAAAAGCATGAAAAAGAAATAAGAACCAACTTCAAGAGAATAGTTAGCTCTGGGGTGGAACAAAGAGAAGATTCCAATTCTATCTGTAATTTTTTCATACCTTTAAAAAATCCTACAGGGCATGATGGCATGCACCTGCAGTCCCAGTTACTCGGGAGGCTGAGGCAGGAGCATCAGTCGAGCCCAGGAGTTGGAGGTTACAGTGAGTTATGATTACACCACTGCATTCCAGCCTGGGAGACAGAGGAAGATCCTGTCTAAAATAAAAATAAAAATTAAAAAAAATCTGAAGTAAATATGGCAGAAAGCTAACATTTGTTAAATATTGACAGTGGGTAGTTTTATGTTTGAAATGTTTTGTCATTTTAAAAAAATAATCAATTCATTAAATTAAAACATATGATGCAATAAAGCAGAGGGAACACCAGGCCTGCAGCAGGGCAGCTATTCATTGTGGGCTAGGGCAGATGGGTGGAGGGACTCAGGAGAGCCAATGGGGCCCCCAGCTCAGTGTGGGTTGAGAGCTGTGGCTGTGGAAATGAGAATGGCACAGGAAGCAGGTGAGCTGTAGGGAAAGTCACCTGGCCTGGGTTGGATACGGCCAGGGTGGAGGAGGAAGGGCTTGGGCTGTCCGGGTCCAGCCAAGTCAGGGCAGGTAAAGGGGAGGGCATGTGGGCTGAGGGTCAGAATTGCCCAGCATTAGATGTTGGGGCACCCATGGGGATGCCTCCCTTCCCCCGTCTCCCCCCAGCCCCTGTGTTGCTCTCCTGCCTCCTCTTTTTCCAGCCCCCTTCCCTACACAGAAATCGTCTTTCCCTTTCTCCAGCTATCCATCATGGGCACCCCTCTTTTGTCTATATTATAGTATCTGTGTCAACATTAATTTATTTATCCTTCTGCCTCAGCCTCCTGAGTAGCTGAGACTACAGGTGCACATCACCACACCTAGCTAATTATTTTATTTAAATTTTTAAGTTAAATTAAGTTTTAAAATTTTTTGGCTTCCAATTCCCCCATCCTATTCAGCAGCTGTTGAAGGAAAAAAAGTCTTCCCTTTTAATACTTCCCTTCTAAGACTTTATTTCAGGTCTTTTCTAGTGGGCTCAGTACTTTACAGAAATGATTTCATTTAATTCTCATTTTTAAACAGTAAAGAAAAAGAAATAACCTGATGAGAGAGTTTAGCCCTGTGCTACGGGTTATCTCCATCTATAGATGTGAAACTGAGGTTCAAAAAGGTGAAGTCACTGAAATAGGGTCCACAAAATCGCCCAGTGGAAACTTAAATTCAGCCAGCTTCTAGAGCTCAACCGCGGGGCTGATGGAACCATGGGGCTACAAGGGAAGGGTTGTCCCAGACCAGAAGTCTGAAAGGGGCTCTGGAGCATAATATTTTACTCAGTGTTATAAGTTTTACGAGTCCTGTTTTCCTGTAAATTTAGGACTTTGTGACTTTTCAGTGTAAGTGCTTAGATGATTCAATTTTCTACACAAAACTGAATTTTATTTGGAAGGTGTCACATCATTCTCAAATATGAAAAACTGTATTGTGGAAGAAACATCAAACATCTAATAAACCCATTTCAGTCTCTCTCTCTCTCTCTGTCTCTCTCTCTCTGTCTCTCTCTCTTTCTCTCTCTGTCTCTCTCTCTTTCTCTCTCTGTCTCCCTCTCTCTCTCTCTGTCTCCCACACACACACACACACACACACACACACACTCGCTCACAGGCACCCACACTTCCGGATCTACTAACCTAGATCAGCAGGCTAAAGGGCTTCTCAGAGACTCCCCTCAGCATTAAGGATGCTAATTGCTACTCTAGCAGTTACTGGAAGATCAAAGGCCCGCCCACAGAGCAGAGCTGCGTTTCATCTTCCACAGACCAAACACTAATACTGCCCATCCCCCGCCAGCCTCTCCCCTCTCAAGCTGGCGAGTTGGACCAATTCCCTTTCCTCTTCCTCACATGCTCTCCCCCCGCCCCTAAAATAGCTCTGCGCCAGAAATAAACACTCAAAAATGCTTGCGGAATGAATGGAGAAAGGTAACTTCACTATCGTTGTTTCCCTTCTAATTACCACGGCTTGTCGATGGATGTGCTTGTTTGTTTCTGGTAGCCATTCAGAAACCCATCGCAGGGAATCCTCTCCAGTCCCTCTCCCAGGAGCGGGAACAGGAATTCTACAGCCTCATCATCCTTCCCTCTGGCACCAAAGGCCCTGGGCATACACCACGAATCCCCGTCCCGCACTCTGGGTCCCAGCCCTCGTGGGCTGCGTGGTCACTGGGCTTTCACTCAGGAGGGTTCCAGTTTTGCTGGAAAGCAGCTCTATGGAAAAAGCTTCCCCTTTCCTGGGGCAAGGCATTGCCCTGCTGGGGTTGGCACAATAACAGGAGGAGTGGGGGGCGGGGGGGTGCCACGCATGGCAAAGAGGAGTCGGCACAACCAAAGACGCCCGGTCACTCTGATGATGTCAACTGTCTGGCTCTGAGATGGGATAAATGAGGTGACCCTCCACACTCCAGGGACTTCAGCAAAGCTGTTCCTAGTTCCATGGAGGCGAATGAGACTGAATGGCAGGACAAGGAGCCCCTCAGTGTGGGGTGAAGAGATGAGAAGTCTCAGACAAGAGGCTTCCTGAGGAGCCTGGGTCAAGGGCACTGTGATGGGGCATTCTTGGTGGAACAGGTGTATCAGTGCCCCTCCCCCGCAGATGGATGCCCATGCACTGCAGTGGGTAGCTGGAGTCTTCAGTTAAGAAGCTGCCCAGCACAGAACTGGGTCCCCCTTCATGCCATAGTCTGCTTCCTCCCTGACCTGTGGAGAAGGAGCCTCTTTCCACTGCCATCCCAGACAGTCAGGCACAGCTCTTACAGCTCTAGTCACCAATGAAGAGCAGAGGCCTGGCCCCACATTCACACTTGGCTCCTTGTCCTGGGCTCCTGGAGTGAGCTCAGTTCTGTTCTCAGCTCAGCTCCTGCTGCCAGCTCAGAATCTCTGTGTCCTGAGGGGCCACAGGTTTCCCAGGCCCTCCCCATGATACTGAGCCTCCTCACTCTGTTCCTGGCCTACAGAGATTTCCATGTCCTCTTTCTTTCCTTCTTTCCTTTCTTCCTTTCCTTCTTCCCCCAATCCCACCTTCCTTTTTTCCTTTCCTTTCCTTTCCTTTCCTTCTTTCTTTCTCCTTTTTTAATCATGGTTTTCCTCTAAAGAAGTGTTTCTAAAACCCACGCCCACCCTTCCACATCTAGCTCAGTTCCTTGGTTCAAGGTTTTTCTCCCTGGGCCCATTATCAGTTTCCTAACAATTTGCCATTTCCCACCTCTGCTCTCTCAAATCTGTTAGGGAACGACTGCCAAGTGCAGTCTTCTCCAAAAGTGGTTCTGCTCATTGCATGTCCCTACTTAAATGCCCTTGATGACCCCCATTAAAGACATTACTATTTAAGCTGTGTTGAGGATCCCCAAGTGGAGGTATGTAAGTGAAATATCAATCCAGAGTTCTAATTTGTGCAATTTTTCTCTCTGGGCAAATGCACTTGGCCCACCAGGGTCCAAGTTGCAGAAAAGTCTTAAGAGACTGAGTACAAGATAGGAGATAAATGAACAGGTGTTGGCTTTTGGCCACCAAGCCTGAGAACCCTTAACCCAAGTGACCATTCCTAGGTGAGGTGCTGGGGGAAAAGAATGTATTCCCAGGGGTCAGAGATTCAGGATGCACAGGTTTCTTCTAGGAACAAAGGTTGCAGGATATTTGACTATAATATAGTGCAGAGTCACCTAAATTGTCTTCCATCTAAAATCCCTCAAACCTACCATCCCTTTTAGTGCCAGCTTTCTGGGCTAAAAACTGAAGGGATGAGCAGGGTGTGGTGGCACATGCTTGTAATCCAGCCACTTGGGAGGCTGAGGTGGGAGGATCACTTGAGCCCAGAAGTTTGAGTCCAACCTAGGCAACATAGTGAGTGAGACCCTGTCTCTAAAGTATATATATATATATATATATTTAAGTAAAGGGATAAGAAAGTCAAGTGAAAGATGAGAAACATCCAAGCTGCTCTCGTAGAGGTGATTGTCAGACCCCGGGCGTTCCTTTGCCGCAGTCAGCAAGAAGACAGAGTAGTCCAATTCTCAGCAGCCGGAAGGTGCCTCAGCACCACAAGCCAGGCCCCTGAGTCAGAGGAAAGACCAAGGCTGAAAGGAGAGAGAAGAATGCGTTTGCTGTAGAGTTCACCTGTGAAGCACGCCAGGGAGCCCTTATATGGAAAGGCAAGATTATAGGGAGGCGCTTTTCTAGATGTCAGTTTCATTCTAGTGACAGCTATCCCTCATTTACATATTCAGGCCGATAACCTAAGGGAAGGTAAATTACAGCTGACTCATTTGTAAATTGAACAGAGAAAGTCCCTTCTCCTTAGCCAGCACTCACATTTGGCCCCTAGCCATCAGACCAAGCATGAACTGTTCACCTCTTGGTGAACACACCCTAAACATCTCTGCCATTGCACTTTTGCTCATGCTATAGTCAGCTGGGTGCCCTCCCTTCCTCCACTTCTCTGGCCTTCATTTTAAAAATATCACCCATCCTTCAGGACCCAAGTGAAATGCTACTTTGGACATGAAGCTTTCCGTGATTGTTTCGTCCTAAATGATTTTCCTCTCCTGGGTTCACGTGGCCCTTTCAACTTGCATTTTGTTCATTTTGTTTTCCACCACATCCTACTTTGTGATGGAGCTATTTGTGTGGGTCTGAGGGCACCAGTGACTTCCAAGTGGCTAATCCCTGTCCTTATCTTTCTTGGTGTCTTAAAGGTATTTCTTTCTTTTTTTTCTTTCTTTCTTTCTTTTTTTTTTTTTTTTTTTTTTTTGAGACGGAGCCTCACTCTGTCACCCAGGCTGGAGTGCAGTGGTGTGATCTTGGCTCACTGCAACCTCTGCCACCCAGATTCAAGTGATTCTCCTGCCTCAGCCTCCCGAGCAGCAGGGATTACAGGCGCCTGCCGCCACAGCTAATTTTTGTATTTTTAGTAGAGATGGGGTTTCACCATCTTGGCCAGGCTGGCCTTGAACTCCTGACCTCATGATCCACCACCTCAGCCTCCCAAAGTGCTGGGATTACAGGCATGAGCCACTGCACCCAGCCTTAACGGTATTTCATACTCTTAAATATACTTTCCCTCTTAAAATTCTTATCACTTCGGCATCTGTATAGACATCTGGGATCTTGCCTGCCTGGCTTCTTCTCAGTTTCTTCAGGTAACAGCACCCTGATTTTCTTTTGAGGAACCATTCCTTTCCCAACTTTCAGTCTATGTGAAGTGTGGGTAGAGCTGATGTCAACCTCTAGCTCAGAGATGGGCATCTAGCCTAAGCTAGGCTAACAATAGTCACACCTGGTGTGGTTGCTGGAACCAATCGAAGAAGGACATTTCTTTACTTTGGGTAGGATGTAAACCTGAAGCCTCTGCTGGTGACCCTATCAGGCCACCACATGGGAATATCCACCTGGCAAAGAAGCCCATCCAGAAGGAGACAGAACTGAGAGATGGGGGGAGAGGCTGTTTCCCAAGGAGCTGGATGTTTGAGCTCTTGAACCCAGGCATATCTGACCAGTCCTGATTTCAGGCTATAGGAGCCAATAAATTATTCTTTTTTTGGTTACATCAATTGAAGATGGATTTCAGTAATATGCATTTGAAAGATTCCTAATTCAGCCTCTAGTATACTACACTCTTCTGCCTTTCCACCTACCTAGCTGTTCCTCCTCAATCTCCTCTGCAGACAAATCCCCCTCTCCTCAGACTTTAAAGGTCATAATCCATCAAAGACTGGTCCTAGTCTCCCTTGTTTTCCTGCTCTTTATATCTCCCTTGGCAATTCCAACCACCCATGATTTCAATCACCATCTCAAAATTCACAGCTAATTTAACCCAGGTCTCTCTAAATATGTACATGCATCTGCCGACTCAGCATGTATACTTGAATGGCTCCCCAAACAGCTCTCCTGTGTTCCTAGCATAGCAAAAAACCTGGAGTCATCTAACCTGTTCTCCAAACTTTAGCCATTAATGTAAATTAGATCATTTCTTTTCTGCCCATATCCTTCCAAAACTTTCCCAGTGGTAGTAGCAGCACAGACCCCAAGGCCCTGCTCAATGTAGTTCCTGCCCACTTCACCTCTCAGGGCTCTTCTCCTTGCTCCCTGAGCTCAGTCACTCTGGCCTCTTATTACTTCTTGGAAGGTCGTGTGCTCTCTTCCACCTGAGGGCCTTTGCACTCATTCTTCTCTTTGCCTGGAACTCCCTCTGCCATCTTCACCTAGTTCACCGCAAATCATCCTCAGATCTCAGCTAGAAGGCCCAAGAAGCCTTGCCTTACTCTTCTAGACTAGATCAGGCCACCATTACATACTCTCATAACATCCAGTAACTCCTTCATCATACTCACTATTCAGTTGATTCTTTGATTAATAGATTTGTCTCTCAGGAGACTTTGCTTCAGGAGGCAAACACCATGTCTGTTTTTCTCATTTATGTTTTCTTAGCACTTAGGCCTGCTGTATAATGGGCACCGGGCATCAGTGAATAATTGCAGAATAAAATGATGAATACTTAATGTCTCCTGCTAAGTGAATAAGCGCTTCCAAACATGTGGAAGCAGGTGGGCGTGCAGGAAGGGCGGCCTCCAAGCAGTGGGACTGCCATGAAAAAGGCCAGAGAATGGCAAAGGGAACTTCCAAGGGAAATAGCACTCCCATGGGCAGACAGAGGCCTGGGAGAGCAGCAGCATGGTAGGACTATGCCTGAATTAAGGTCACACTGATAAGGGGAAGTAGGATGAGACATGATCACAGAATGGTGTGTTTGTAGATAGATATTGACTTGGCTGGGATGTTGAGAATGGAGTGGAAAGTCCCAGGTAATGTCTTCTAATACAGATGAATTTTGAGGATAAGCATTTATAATCTAATTGAAGATCTTGTAATGTGTGTGTGATGTGTATCATATATCAAATTAAAGTAAGATGCAAGACCAGGCATGGGGGCTCATGCCTGTAATCTCGGCACTTTGGGAGGCTGAGGCAGGCAGATCATTGAGGTCAGGAGTCTGAGACCAGCCTGGCCAACATGGTGAAACCCCGTCTCTACTAAAACTACAAAAATTAGCCAGAGGTGGTGGCAGGCACCTGTAATCCTAGCGACTCCGGAGGCTGAGGCAGGAGAATTGCTTGAACTCAGGAAGCGGAGTTTGCAGTGAGCTGAGATTGCACCACTACACTTCAGCCTGGGTGACAGAGTGAGACTCCATCTCAAAAAAATAAAATAAAATAAAATAAGATGCAGTGTTAATGGGCTTGTTGTGGATAATTCTGTCAAATAACCTTCAGATGTTTGATATTCATGCTATTGTTGTGTGTTAAAACTTTAGAAGGAAATGTGAACTAGTACTCTTGGAAAATTAAGAAGGTAGGGACAGAGAAAGCATTAGGCTTTGCAAGCTACCTGTGCCAGGAGATTGTTATGTGCTATCAAACAATAGAAGCTGCCTGGACAGGGGTGTCAGGAACAAAAATAAAGGAATTTAAAATTTTTTAAATAAATATTTATTGTACACTTAATTTATGCTACTTTTGCTTTTGCTTCTTCCTAAGTCTATGATCCCATTTAACTTCTTTGTGTCTCAGTAAAACTGGGATAATAAAGTGTGTTAGGAGGATTAAACGAGCTAATAATACATTTAGGGTCTTAGGAACAGTGCCTGGTACAATATAAACAATCAAAAAGTTAGCTGATATTATTTTTAAATATTTCATCATGCCTACATCCTGGGCCCTTGTGGGAGTTCAGTCAGGCTAGTGGGAAAAATTTTAAGATGAAGTTGTACGATATAGACACAAATCTTCTTGGAATGCCAGAAGGTTTTTGCAAAAGTCTCAGGATAGGGTTATGGCTGAAAGCAGCCTAATCCTTACCTTGAATAAATAACTTCGAGTAGATGTATAGGAATGTAGAGGAGTTTATCTAAATAACTTGTTTACTCATGTGGTCCTAAAACTAACTTTTGATCATTCCGGGGCAGGATGGCTCTCTTGGTGGGGAAGGCAACCAGGTTGATTACCCTCTAATGGTGTTGACACAAAGCCTTTGTCATTTAACATGTGCTGAATAAATGCCAGCAGGGCCAGCTAGTCGCGGAGGCAGGGGTGCCACAGCTGCCACTCTTTACAGCACTCTCCTTGGAGTCTGTAAGTGGCCCAGACCCTCAGCTGGACTGACAAGCATAATATCTGTGTCAGTGTACGTTATTCATCCATTGTTGGGTCAGGGTCTGTGGGACAGACCCCCACAGGCCCTTTCTAGGAGCTGAGGCTACAGTTGTGAAGCCAACAGACAAGATCTGACTCCCACGAAGCTTCTATTCCAGTTAATGTGGAGACAAATTAGTAAGTGGTAAACAATATAATCTCAGAGAAAGATTGATGCAAAGAAGGGTGATAAGCGGAATGTTCTGGGGGCAGAGGCCACTTTTAAAAGGGCAGTTAGGAAAGGCCCCTCTGCAGGGGAGGCAGTGGGGCTGGGACCTGAGTGATGGGAGTCCTGCAGACAACCCTAGCCAGGGTGTTCCCAGCCAGATGCACAACGAGTGCAAAGGCCCTGAGGCAGAACTGAGTCAAAGTGTTAGAGGCACAAGAATGCAGTGTGGCTGGAGTGTGGGGAGAGCAGAAGTTGGTATGAGATGAGGTAATGCAATGAGATGAAGAAACCCACCAGCACCAGGCTGGACTGACCTGAGAGCAAGCCAATGTATCCTGCCACAGTTATCATCTTGACAGGGCATGCCTGCTGATAAGAGGCTACAACTCCGCAGAATGTGACCCTGGAAGTCAGCGCACTGGGCTTAGGGAAAAGACAGCAGCAGTGCCGAGGCAGAGCCTTACCACAGCCAGGCCCCAGAGGATACATGGCCTGTAGCAGGCAGGACCTCTCTGTGGGTCAATTATCTCCCCACCTATTCACAATAACAGACACCACTAGTTGCCTGATCAATGGCCATTCATTCCCTCTTTCTTCCTTGCAGTAGAAGCTTGATTTTGTTCATGGTGGCAATAGACCAGCCCAAAGCAAAACAGCATTAGTCCAACCCAATCAAAACACGCCTGCAACTTGAAGCCTGTGACAAAAGAAGTCCCCAGGACTCCAGCCCCAGGGAAGCAGATCTTCTCCTAGGTGTGAGAATCAAGACAATCTACTCCACACTCAGCCTGGGCACCAAGAGCTGAAAGCACTTCTCACTGTCTACATTAACGCGACTTTGCTTTTGCAGGACCGCTGCCCAAACTTCACAAAAAATTCCTCAACCCTTCAAAGGAAAGCATCAGCAGATCATTTCACCCTAAGTTTTTTTGTATCCCTCCTCCCGGAATCCCCACCTTCCTCTTTCCACTGATCTTACTGCTAACAAACTTCCAATTTTCAAGAAATTCTGATGTCACCTTTCTCCTCTGAGTCATTGCCAAAGCTCTGCCTAGATGGTGTTTGCTCTTCTGTACTATGGTGAGTAATACTCTCTGCTTTGCTTATTAAAGGGCTCTGGTGGTAATGTTCAGGAAGCCAGCCTTTGACAGGTCTGTCAGCAGAAACTCTGCTTAGTGTTGTTTATAAGTAAACACACCCAAGTTTTATATATGTGTGCGTATATATGTATAATATATATAAAATATATATAATGTATTATACTTTATATGTGTATAAATAAAGTATATATTTATATAACATATACAACACATATATAAAACATATATTTATATAACATATATACTTTATATATATATATATAAAAAACTAAAGATTTCAATGATGATAAGAGATTTGACATAAAGGAGTTCAGATAAATATGCATCAGCTTTGGATAGTTCTCTGATACTTGTTGAGATGCCTTTTACCAGAAAATCAGGTTATAAATCTAGTGTTACAGAAGTTCTCAAAGATGTAGGGGAGGAAAAGTGCCTTAGATCCCTAAACAATAAAGAGATTAAAAAGAGAAATGCAGCTGGATGTGGTGGCTCATGCCTATAATCCCAGCATTTTGGGAGGCTGAGGTAGGAGGTATTGCTTGAGCCCCAGAGTTTAAGACCAGCCTGGGCAACACGGGAAGACCCTATTTCTACAAAAAATTTAAAAATTAGCCAAGCATCATGGTGCCTTATGGCTGTAATCCCAGCACTTGGGGAGGCTGAGGCAGGCAGATCAGTTGAAGTCAGGAGTCAAGACCAGCCTGGCCAACAGGGTGAAACCCCGTGTCTACTAAAAATACAAAAATTAGCTGGGCATGGTGGCAGGTGCCTGTAATCCCAGCTACTCAGGAGACTGAGGCAGGGGAATCCCTTGAACCTGGAAGGCGGAGGTTGCAGTGAGCCAAGATCGCATCACTGCACTCCAGCCTGGGCAATAGAGTGAGACTCCATCTCAAAAAAAAAAAAAAATTAGCCAGGCGTGATGCATGCCTGTGCTCCCGGCTACTCCAGAGGCTGAGGCGGGAGGGTCACTTGACACTTGAGCCAGGGAGGTCGAGGCTGCAGTGAGCTGTGTTCATGCCACTGCACCTCAGCCTAGGTGACAAGGCGAGACCCTGTCAAAAAAAAAAAAAAGAGAGAGAGAAATGCATGCACATTTGTTTAAGTTTTACATGACACAGAAGTCTTCATAAGGAAATGAGGATCCAAAGAAATGGTTAAATCTGTGTATTTTTATGCTAGGTTTGATAGATAAAGAGAGGACACTTGTGGAGAAATATGATAGGGCAAAAAGGGCAGAATTTAATGTAATAAACTAGGGGACGGAGGGGACTTAGCAAGGCCTGTTTGTTCAGATTCTTCTCTGTGTCCCTGTGTCTTCAGAGATGAGGTTGTTCCTTTCCTCTGGTATAGGGAGCACATCTCTTACATGAGCGTCTTATGACCTGCTCCTAGGAAAGGTCAGAAAATCCTTCAGGGAGGAAGGGCAGGGAAGGCCAGGGAGATCTTTCTGCTTCCGCAATTTTTTTCAAATTCCTTCAGCTTAAAATATTCAATACGCAAAAGTACCATATTTGGGTGTAGCATGTTGAACCCCATCAATGTCAGATGCCACAAGTCCTTTCCAGAAAATATTTTTCTCAAAGTTTGAAAGCATCAATAACTTAGGCTCTTATCTTTCCTAAATCAGGAAAAACAACAACTACCAACAAGTAAAAGATATTACAAATTAATGGACCTTTATTTTTTCTCTGATATTAGGATCAGTAAGCATGTTAGAAACCTGATTTTTAAAAATTATTTCTACATTTGAAGTTCTAGACAATGGCTTGTTATTTATACGTAATTATTCTTTGGTTGATAATAACAAATTCATGAAATTGATTGATATTATCAATGAACAGAGTTCCACTTCCAATTGACTAGGCAGATTTTACATTTCTTTGCAAAATGAAGCAAAGTGTCACCTAATGTCACGTTAAAACAAAACATTCAAGAGTGAAGTCTTGAAATGCTTTTGCAATGCACAATGAACGCATTGTGGTGGAGTGGTTGATTATGTAAGGTGACCCAGCACAATGCTTGGAATGTGTACATGCTCATGAGTGAGAGCTTGGGGGTGGGAAGTGCCCTGCAGGGGCTATGGTTGACCCGCTGCCAGAATCCAGATACAGACCCGGGGATAAGCACTTTATGTGGGTCTTCTTATCATCAACACCTTGTGAACTAGGTACTAGTTCATGTGCGTTTCACAGAAGAAAAATTTAGGCACAGAGGAGTTAAATACTACAGTGAAGATCACACAGCTAGGAAGGGCTGGAACAAGAATTCATGCCAAGGACATCTGTCCTTGCCTCTACGTGGTAATGCCTGTTAGCGGTAGTGGCGTGGCAGTGGCAGAGAAGAATGAGAGGAAGCCAAATGAGCATGGTGTCTGCAGCCTCCGGGGAGCTGGTAGGAGACTGGGAGGCTCACGTTACACATTGCATCAAACTCTAGGCCATGCTGAAAGAGCAGAGATAAGATCCTCCCTTGTTTCCAGCTGTGAGACTTGGGCCAGACCCAGACGCTGCTGCTCTCTCCTCTAGCAGGCTCCTACTGGACACTGACTGTCAAAGAGGTCTTCTTAATAATGCAGACTAGTAACACAAGCAGGATGTCAGCTTTGAAGGGAGGCTTGCCGCGGCCCAGCTCCGCTGCTGAACACATGTGGAGCAGAGCTATCCACGATGCTAGGTGAGCGGAAGACAGCCGCCGCCAGGGGAAAGAACTGTGAATTCTGTTAGTTGTAATGAGGAAGGAAGTCCAAGGGGGCTATGAGGCTGAGGACATGGGATGTGGCAGAAGCCAAGAGACTGTGGGGAAATGTCAGAAATGGGCCACCTACTAAGACGAACTAAAGGAAAGGGCAGAATAGCAAAAAGCCGCAAGTAACTACCAGGAAGGATCATGAAGAAAACTCCAAGCAGAGGAGCAAAGATGACAAGAGGTGATTCCCTTGAGGGGAGAAAATATTTATTACCTGGACATGGAGGGGCATTGGGACAGAAAAGATTCCCCATGGTTCTGACAGGACACATTTACACAGTCATTGGGAGCATTCTTTAGCCACCATTGAAAATGTGGCTGGGTGCCTCTGCGTCCAACATCACTGGCCTCATCTCTGTAGGAACTTAAGCTACAGGATGGCCACAGCTATGATAGGTTTACTCACCACTGTGTTTCCGGGACATAGCACAGTGCCTGGGATGTGGTCCATGCTCAATAATAGTTCTTGAATAAAAGAAAGAACGAAGAGAGGAAGGGAGGGAGGGAGGGAGGAAAGAAAGGTGGAAAGAGGGAAGGAAAAAAAGGAAGAAAGGAAGGAAGGGAGGGAGGGAGAGAGGAAAAGGGGAAGGAAGGAAAAAAGGAAGAAAGGGATGGAGGGAGGGAGAAGGAAGGAAGGAAAGAAGGGAGGGAAGGAGGGAGGGAGGGAGGGCTGTGACCCAGGATGGCATGCTATACTTAGTCAGCCTAGCTGACTTTAGGAGGGCTACATCACAAATCATCTCCTCCCTCTTCCTGCCTCTCCACCTCCTGTCTCAACACACAGGCAGCAGTCCCACCAGCTCACACACACAGGGCCAAACAACCCAGGGCGTGAATGGCAAAGCTCTCAGAAAGCTCTGGTAGCCCACACCCCAGCTCCTGGGCTCCCAGGGCATGCCAGCAGGGTGCTAGGTCAGTCTCTACAGCTGCTTCGGAGTTAGCTTCTGGTCCTGGGCGGTCTTCAAAATTCAACCCAAGTGAGCTGGTTTAACACCTCCCCATAGGTTCTCAACTGCTCAATGAAGCCAACGCCGTGCCAGGAGCTTGATGGGGCTTCCCTCTCTTCTAAGAAATACTGCCCTTTCTCCCCAGGTTGAAACACTCCTGGTATTATGGTCAAGAGGAAGAGGGTGGGGCAGAGAGTGGTACCTTGTTTATCAGGCAGGATAGGCTAGTCTGCGCAACAGTATCAACCCCAAAACCTCAGTGACTGAAAAACAAGGTTTATTTCTCAGTCTCACTCCCTATTCATCACAGTTTGGCTGAAGACTCAATTCTGCATTGCTCTTTCTCTGGCACCCAGGCTAATAGAGCAACCACCACGTTCCTATGGTAGAAGGAAAAACAGGTGTGGAGGTTCTCAGGCTGATATTCAAATACTCCAGTCTGGACATAACATACATCACATCTGTGCACTGTCATTGGCTGGAATCAACACGTGGTCCCACACAGTCACAAAAGGTTCAGTAGTACAATCCTACCATGGGTAGGGAAGGCAAAGAGCTAGAAATAACGACCCCAGTCAGGAAAGGAGCCTTAGAGCTGTGACCCAATTATTCCTAAGCCCTGCTCCTCACGCACTGGTTGCCCTCCATTGAGGAATTGGCTGGTGGCCTAGCCCAGAGAAGCGGGGTTACTTACTAGTCAAATCTGATGCTGAAAAGGTGTCCTGTTTTATACTTTCTGATCAGAGGATTTCCACTTGTCCTTCAGTCGCAGCTCTCCTGAGAGGGACAGTCCTCAATGAGGATGGTGAGTGTCGGGGCAGTCCGGCGGGCCTCCCCGAAGACTCCAGCCCGGGGAGGTTAGCTTCCTCGCAACGGACCGCTGACTCCCACCAAAAGTCCAGCGAGGATAGCATTGAAATCAACAACCGAAACAATGCAGTTGGCTTGAGGATTCATTTTCTTTATTTAAAAAAATATTTTCAGCTGGGCGCGATGGCTCACGTCTGTAATCCCAGGACTTTGGGAGGCCGAGGCGGGTGGATCACGAGGTCAAGAGATCAAGACCATCCTGGCCAACATGGTGAAACCCCATCTCTACCAAAAATACAAAAATTAGCCAGGCATGCTGACATGTGCCTGTAGTCCCAGCTACTCAGGAGGCTGAGGCAGGAGAATCGCTTGAACCCAGGAGACGGAGATTGCAGTGAGCCTAGATTGTGCCACTGCACTCCAGCCGGGTGACAGAGGGAGACTCCGTCTCAAAACAAACAAACAAATGTTTTCCCCTATGTTATTTTAGGAATCAAGCAACATGGGAGGTGTTGAAGAGACAGCACAATCGGGCAGGGAGGAGGGTTGAAGAGCAGACAGGCTCGCTGGGAGAGCAGAGGACAGGGACGGGGAGAAAGGGTAGGAGGGAGAGGGCATCTGAGTGGAGACGATCAGAGGTCAACTGCTGTCCTCAAGCCCTTTTTCAAAGTCATCCCAGCTCTTTGAACGGCTCATTTGCTATGTAACAGCTGTTGATGTTTCTTTAAAAATGAATCTGAGGGTGTGTGGCTGGGCAGCAGGCACCCGCATCAAGAGGAGGACAAACAAGGTTCCTGGGCTGAGGATCCCACCCTGGGCAAAGCCTGTAGTGCAGAGAAGTGGTGGGAAACTTAGGGCTCAAAGAGGCAAACCTACGGGGAGCTGGCCATTTGCACCCACCCTTCCGATCCTAGTCAAAAGAGGGAGCAAGCTGAGGAAAAGTTAGAACTAGGCTTCTTTAAAGTAACAGATTAAGCACTATTTAATTTCTGGTCTAGAGCTCAAAGGAGTTAAACCAGGTGACTGCCACCAGATTTTCTTGATTCTGTGTTTGTTCCATAAGAAGCTATAGGTTCGATCCTGTGCAAGTTCTAGAACCTTCTGGAACCTGCAGAACCTATATGGGCAGTTGAAGTGAGTGGAGAAAGCAGGAATCTCAAGATACCTCAATCTAAAGACACCACTCCTTCCTCTCTCTTCACTGCCCTCACAAAAGCAGGTCCTCCACGCCACTGCTGCCTTCCCAGACCTCTGCACTCACACTAATGAAGCCATTTCTTTCTTGACTTCACTGTGCTCTTGGCCCAGTGACAGTGATCAGAAATAATCAGGCGCGATCAAGCCCATGCTACCCTGGACAGGGGGTAATATTTCCATCGAGGGCCTCCCTAGTGGCTTTCCCTCTCTGAGCAGCGGGGACATGGAGTGGCTGTCAAAACACCAAGGCAGGCCCAGGAAAGATGCTCATCTCCGGGGAGGAGAAGAGGTGACAGCCAGCGTGTCTTCAGCCAGGAAGGGGGATGATAGCACAGGGCAGTCCGCAGGGGCATGGCGGGCTGAGAAATCTTCCTGTGGCTGTGGAAATCTTGATAAGGTGGCAAGCGTGTTGTGCAGCGGTATCCTGAGGGCTGCCCGTCCTCCCACGCACCCATGGTGGGCAGGCAAGCTGCACGCTGTCATCGCCTAAGTCAGCAGCATTGGGCACACTTAATTACGGGGGAAGCAGAATCCAATTGCACTTTCTGTGCCAGCTCCTGACTTCACTTGCATCGTCATTTATTTTCCCTTTTTCATACCTCAGTGGAATAAATCTGAAAGATGTTTAGAGCTAAATTTTCACCAGCAGGTCTTCAGAAATGAATACAGGGATGAGGAATTTCATTCATTTATCCTTGCATTGGCTAAGCAAACATTTAATGAGTGCCTGTTGTATCCAGGTACTGTGCTTGGTGGTAGAGGGATTCTCAGATTTGTTTTCTAAGGTGAAAGAATTGGGATTTGGAGTCACTGATATTTTCCATGCTCATCACAAGGGAGAGGGGAGCTATAATATGTGGACATCATAATGAGATAAACTGGAAGTAATCAGCCTAGAAGACACTGTCTGGTTCCTGGAAGGTGAAGATTGAGATGCAGGTTCATAGGTGGGAAGCTCTGCCTTAGATCTGGGCTTTTGCGTTATTTCCATTAATGAGGCATAAGGTGGAAAGGTGGTGCCTCGCATCTGGGTCTGACAATCTTCTCAAATGCCCTAGAAGAAAGTCTTCCCTCCTATGGCCATTTCTCTTTCTCTTTTCTTTTGTTTGGAGAGCTTGTCAGAAAGAAGATTATACAGAGAAATACTGTTGATCATTGGGTCTCCTATGTCATGAAGGTAAATGATTGAGGATTTATTTTCCCTGCAGTTAGGAACCCCAAGCCAAGTCTGTAGGAGTCCTTTAAAGGATAGGGATTCAGACCCAAGTTTGTGTTTCTCCTAATGATACAAGATTGTTTTGAAAACTGACTGAAATGGATATTCCCGAACTCTTTGTCCTCCTTGCTAGAAAAGTCTACGTCTTCTTTGGCTGGTAAGACTAGGAAAGCAGCTCTCGTAGAGAGTTTGCAGATCATGAAATAACACAGCTACAGGGCTTTTCCAACTGGAGCCTAGAGGTTCCTGAGGTTCAGGGGCTTCTGGAAACATATACTTCCGACCTCTCTCCTGCTTCGCTTAACCAGAGAAGGTTCATGCTTAATATTCTTATATATATTAGTTTTCCTTTCTTAAGAGATCGCATCTAAAGAAAGGGTTTCTATACTGAGAGCTAGAGAGGAGAGAAAGAAGGAAGGTAGGAAGGCAGGAAGGCAGGAAGGAAAGAAGGAAGGTCCAAATCACATATTTAACAGAGGAGGAGACCAAGGCCCAGGAAGGCACAAGACTTACCAGGCTCATACAGCTTCCCAGAGCTAGCACTGGAGTGCAGGTGGACATCCTGCAGGGAACTTCCTGGATGCCAAGGCCTTTGAGTACTTTCACATATTTTTAGAGGGCATTTAATATGCTGAGTGTTATTTACTTTTAATTTAGCAAGTTCCAAAATGAACTTCTGTTGGGCCTCTACTGCTTTTGCTCTCTTCAATAGATTGTTGAGGGACAAAGCTCTATCTAAATGTCCCTATCTAACTGAAGAGAAAGACAATCCTGTTATGTTGAAGCTTAGAGGCTGTGATGAGCACCGCTTGTCACGCCCTTGTGGTGTCCTTGTTTGGAGAGGGGTGTTTGTAGAAGCAAGAGCATGAGAGAGGCAGTACAGTTTGCACTGATACAAACCCCCCTCCTCCACAATATATTAGAAGAAGAGAACCTCTGTGATGGGAGAGGAGGCAGAAGCTTGGACTAAGCCAACATCTATAATGAGAATGTCTCATTGAAACAAACTCTTTCCTTTTCAACACTACCTTGGTAGTCAACTTTTCCGTTGTTGCCCAGCTTTATCTTCCTGTCAGCATAAAAAATACCATCATAAGGTGAAATGTGTATGATATTCCCATAAATGCATACTGTCAGGAAGTTTCACTGCCATAAACTTGCCCTATCATTCCTCCCATTTCCTCCAGCTCTGTGCTTATATTCTGGTGCCTGGCAACCCTGTGCCTGCTGCAGTCACACACACAGGGGCAGGCAAGAGGTGAGAGCCTTGGGGAATCCCCTGCAAAAGGGCAGATCTGCCAAGGGCCGTTATCAGATGAGGGTGAGGGGTGTGAGGTGACTCAGACACTGTGAAAAGGCATTATTCATCTAGAACCCTACTTTCCTTTATGGTTCAGAAAACGTGCTCTTGAAATGCTATGTCTAAACAAAGTTCTGCAAATCAGGTCCTGTGTTACGTGGGTTGGAGAATCTTGCTACTCAAATGATTTCCTACAAAGCACCCTCTATCTACGAGACTTCATCCATTTGTTTGTTTATTTGTCCACTCAACAAATACATATTTATTCGGGACTTTGAGCAGGGCACTGGCTCAGGCATTGGGAATATGGGGGAAAATAAGATATGTCCCTGGGCTTATGAGCTTCAGATCATTACACAACTACTACAAGAGAGAAATCCAGAGGTTCTCATTGATCTTTTGCAAAATTGGATCTTCAAATGTAATTGCTTACAGCAGATTAGTAACTAAATAGAATTAGGTCCCTGGGTCAGCTTCCTCTCCTTCCTAGGCTCCTGTCAGCTGATTCTTCCAGAGCAGAATCTCCCACCTCTTCCTTCCAAAGTTGTAGTTTTAGTTTTACTTTGATCCAAGTTTTCTGTTGCTGCCTATTTGAAGTACAATGTGATCTGTTGAGCTTGGATCACAAACACATCTGGGAAAATTACTCTTTGAAGAAACAGCAGGAGATAAGAGCACCTAGTTTGAGCGAAAAGATCATTAGCAACGTCTCATTAACAAATATGTCTCTGCCTGTTTAGGGTCAGGTATCTAAAATCAGGTAGACAGAGCAATTAGCAGGAGGGAGGAGGAAAGATCAAACACTGAGGTTGATCCAACTGCTACTGCTGTTGCTGTCTGATCTCTCAGCAGCAGAAACAAACCCCAGGGCTGGATAAGATACCATGCCTGGAGGAGACCAAACAAACACTTGGTGCAAGTTGATTATATCAGATCCCGTCCACCTAGGACAAGAGCTGGGGCAGTAATTTGTCCTTATTAAGATTGATATACGTTCTGGGCCTGGATTTTACCTCCCCTGCCCACCATGCCTGGGCCAGGCCCACCATCTGAGTGCTCTCAGAGCTTCTGACTTGTTCACATCACTCATAACATTGCTTCAGACCCAGGGACCCACTCTATGGCAAGGGAGTGCAACAGTGGCTATACCTGCAGGACCCATTGTACTTTTTATATGCTGCACAAGCTGGAGGCTGCCAGCTTGAGAGTATCCAAAAACCCCCAAAAAGGCCCAGTCATCTTTCCAGATACACAGTATACTTTAGATACTTTGAACAGATGGGAAGAGTGGGTCATTTCATCATTACTTCCACTGACTGAGTTAGGGAATTCATGCTTCCTATTCCTGAAACTTTAGGCACAATCACCAGAGGCAATCGGAGCCTGACAAAAACATGGCCACCAGAAGTTCAGATCCTCAGAGGTAAATTTCAGGGTTATTCCACCAGGCAAGCAACCTAGACCAGAAAGCTGCCTTCTGCAAAGATGAATATTAGCCATGGCCTCAGGGCAACATCAAGGATGGCAGCTTGTGCCACCAGCCCACAAGCACCCCTCCTGTAAAGTTTTCCTTTTAAGAAACTGAGAGGAAAACTAAGTGAGAGTGGGGTGAGCCACCATCACCTTCTTGCAGAATCAGGGATGGGTCAGCGTGAATCTAACAGGGCACATGAGTGCATTTAGGCAGTGGAAGGAGTAGACTGCAGCAGAGGCTATCAGTGCCTTGTCCATATGCCCTCAGCGCTCACTGCTTCTGTGCACAACCACAGCCTCTGCAAACACCTGCTGCTAAGTACGTCAGCTGGACTTAGGATAATGCTTGGCCTATGCACAGGGAAGCCAGAGGTGCTGGGAAATTGATGCACCCAGGAACAGGCCTCAAGTGTAGCAAATGGTATAACTGGATAAGGGACCTGGAGAGCATTAACAGGGAAAGCTAAGTTGCCTAGTGCTCGGGAAAGGCCTCTCTGAGACCTGAAGGATGAGTAGGAGTCAGTCAGACAAAGAGCTGGAAGAAGAGTGTGAATAGGAAGACAGGTAAGATGAAGTCATGGCACACACAAGGAAAGGGCAGGAGAGTGGAGTGGGACACAGAGCAGCAAGAGGGACAGGCAGATCCCATAAAGGGTCTTGGGATTCTTGTCTCGGAATCTCAATTTTATGCTCCAACTTATGTGTTGGGAGATCACTGTGCCTGGATTATGAAGAATGGTTTTGAGGGAACAAGACTGGAGACAGGGAGACCAGCATGCCCACTTAGCATTTGGAGATATATGTCTGATGTGCAGAGGATATCACATGACCAGTGATACAGTAATTAAACCCACTGTAGAGGGAATGAGATATTCCAAAGGGAAGCCTTAAAAACAGCCCAGGCCTGAGCCCTGATGGACACAAACATTGAAGAAAAAGATAGAGGCAGAGGGGATGACAAAGAAGATCAAAGAAGAATAGCCAGAGAGGTAGATGAAAAACTAGAATAGAAAGGCACCTAGGGAGCCCTGGGGAAGAGAGTATTTGTAGAAGGCAGGCATGGTCAGCAGTATCAAATGCTGTTGAGAGGATAAGCAAGAGAAGTCTCATCCACTGCTCTTGGCAGAGCAAAATAACACAATCTTTTGGGAAAACAATTAGCCATGCACATCAGGAATCATAATCCAACTCCTGGAAATTTATTCAGAGGAAATACTGAGATTTAAGTGGAGAAAGAGATCTGTTTTTATAACCATGATGACATTATTTATAGTGGTTTTTAAAAACTTGATGGTAAAAACTTTTAATGCCTCTATAGATAATTTACTAAGTAAATTAAGACATATATCTAATGAAATATTTTGCAACCATTAAAATTGTAATTATGGCTACCATGAAGTAACATTAAAATGCATGTAAAATAACATCAAATTAAAAAATGCAAGAATCTACATAAAGAGTAAACATCCACATGGATAAAGATTGGAAGAACATGGAAAATGTAAATACTTCATATATAAGAGAGGTGGAATTGTTAATTTTAAAAATTATTCTCAGTATTTACTGTTATACTACTTACAGATAATAAATTACAATCTAGAGAAAAGAACACAGTGTAGCAACTTTATAATCAGTAGAAAAACCTAGTACAATGCCAAACAACTTGATGTCTTGTTATGATGAGAGAAAAAAAACCATAAAATTTGCCTCCTATACATAAAAATGGGAACACTGGACACTCAGGACTACCAGAGGTGGGAGGTAGGGAGGGAGACCCCGGTTGAAAAACAACATATCAGGTACTATACTCACTACATGGGTGATGGGATCATTCGTACATCAAACCTCAGAAACACACAATTTACCCAGTAAAAAACCTGCACGTATACCCCCTGAACCCAAAATAAAAGTTGAAAAAAAATTTGCCACCTATAACATGATTTTTTTGCAAGTATCTACTGCTTTCTGGACCAAAGAGCCTCAACCAACTTAACATATACTCAGTGATCATCTAAAGAGAATAAACGTCCAAATAGCCCTTAATGTGAAAACTGTTTACACTTAGAAGCTAATGAAAATAAAAGGAAATTAAGTTAAATGCAGCATAATAGTCACTGGAAATATGGGCTTCTCAAAATCATTGATTCTATGCACCCTCCCACCAGTGGGGAAAGGAGAAAGAGAACTAACATATTTGAGTACCAACCTGTGCTAAGAATGATGCTAGTCACTCACATCCATAGCTCATGCCAACCCAGGAAGCATGAGGACCTGCAGCAGCATCAGTAACATTCTCCAGGCAACAAGCATCAGAGTCTTGGAGTCTGGTCCTGCTTTATTCTCCGTTTCTCATGAAGAATTTCAGTGACCGTCTGCACAAGGGAAGCAAGTTAGACCCAACCTAGTGAAGTGATGGCTTTGTTTCATCAACTTACCTACATTTCCAAGTCAGAATTGGATAGTCACTTCTTTCTTTTATATTTAAACACTTCCTTTCTCTCATCTCAGATTCTTCATCATAGCCCTGAAATTCACTTATGCGGGAGCCTACAGCTGAATCTCTGTTGTGTAATGGTCCTTTATTCTAGTATTTAATCTTTTCATCTCACCTACATACCACAGTGTTATGGAACATCGGGGCAATCCCTTCTAATTGACTAGTAAGGAGGATTTCATTTCATCCCTTGGTAATCACATCCTGGGTTTATTCACCCTTCTAATAATTCTATTAGAATGTTTATAAGATGACGTGCTTTTAATTGTTTTCCTGGTCCCAAAGATCCAGAGAGCAAGTTTCTCTAATGGGCTTTGTAACATCCATCCTTTATTTTTATTGCTAATGGACTCTCCAGTAATATAAAATGACTGATGAGTGCAATCAGAGAAAAGCAGAAAAATCAATACCTGTCCAGACTGCATATTAGTTAAAAGCAGGTGAGAAGCTGAGGCTAGCAGACAATAGGATTTTTTCTGCCTCTAAGTATCAGAAAAGGGGGGGAGATTATCTCAGATGGGCTGTGAAGCTCTCTGCAAAGGAGACTACAGGATGTTGAAACAAGGGAGTGCTGAAATCACTTGGTTATTTCTTAGAAATCTGTGGGAACTGCTTCCAGTAGAGGGCAGTGGTGCACACACACGCTGACCCCAGGCACTACCAAATTAATGTTGTCTCTTGCGGGGTTTCTCTCCTCACCTTCTACATCCTGTAGTGAGTCTGGCACAATCGAATTGGAAAGCGCACCCTTGTTCAGACACGGTTATTGTTAGCAGAGCCTCAGCAGCTGCAGGTTCACATTTGATGAGCTAGATTCTACACAGCAGACATGCTAAACATGGTACATGTATCGTCTCATTTAGTCTTCATAACAACCTTATGATACAGGTATTACTATCAACATCATCATCCCCATTTATAGATAAGAAGAGGTTATCTTGCCCAAGAACACCCAAACAGTGGTTCATAGAGCTGAGATTGGAATTGGCTCTACCCCACAACCCAAGAGCCTAGCTACTGCTGCTGCTACTACTACTACTACTACTAGTACTGCTACTACTGCTACTACTGCTACTATTCAGTGGCAGGCCTTACTATCTGTTCCATTCATGTGTACCCTTCATTATCTTACTGTGTGAAATTTCCAAACAGTCAGACCCTAGGTTACTCATACTTCCACCCATTCATAGCTCACAAATAATTTTATATATTTGGCTGGATGCAGTGGCTCATGCCTGTAATCCCAGCACTCTGGGGGGCTGAGGCGGGTGGATCACCTGAGCTTAGGAGTTCGAGACCAGCCTGGTGAAACCCTGTCTCTACTAAAAACACAAAAATTAGTTGGGCATGGTGAGACGAGCCTGTAATCCCAGCTACTCAGGAGGCTGAGGCAAGAGAATTGCTTGAACCCGGGAGGTGGAGGTTACAGTGAGCCGAGATTGCACCGCTGCGCTCCAGCCTGGGTGACAGAGCGAGACTCCGTCTCAAAGAAAAAAAAAGAATTTTATATAAGTGCACAATAAGTAAATAAATTTGAATAATTCATCATTCAAAAGCCCTTTAGATGTCTTTTACTGTACTGTGATGTATAGAGTAAACTCTACGTGCTCCCTACTTTGTCTTCATTTGCAATCTAAGACAAGTAAATAGCAATGATAAAGATGAACCTGTTGAAGACATAGACAAATGAGAAAGAAACTTGAACAAATACCTAAATGGAGGAAATCTTCATATATATATATATATATATATATATATATATATATATAATTTTATACATGTAAATGGAGGAACTAAGTATTCATATATATATAATTTTATATATGTAAATGGAGGAAGTAAGTATTCATATATATATATATATCAAGGGCAAAAGGCTCAGATGTTTTTCTATGCCTGCTTCTTGAATCTTCCCAGTCTGCTACTCCCAGATTTCTTGAAACCTTTCATTCAAGTCCTGGTTAGTTACAACTTCTGATCATTGTCTCCAGGAGTTTCTGCCAGTGGCCACTCCCAGGGAGGGGGAACTTGGGTGGGTTTCTGCACCCAGCCTTTCCTCTGAAGTTTCCAGCCAACCACTAGTCTCCTACTGTCTCTCAGAGCTTACCCCACTCACCCCAGAATACTCAGCCTCATCCTGATTCCTATCAGAGGCAATGACACTGACTCCTGCCTTATCTGTAGTTGATTACCCTTGCTTGTTAAGACAGTATAAATATTTACATTTCAATGTGTCTACGTGTCATATCTTTTATCATCTTGATTACTAACAAGGGTTCATATCAATTATCTAAT
Organism: Homo sapiens; assembly: GCF_000001405.40. Classification (NCBI taxonomy): domain Eukaryota; kingdom Metazoa; phylum Chordata; class Mammalia; order Primates; family Hominidae; genus Homo; species Homo sapiens. The sequence continues at coordinate 90,391,815 of NC_000006.12, read as the reverse complement.
ATAGTTCTATGGCCTTAGAAAATACCTTATGGTTAACTGAGGTCATTGTGGATAAAATTAGGATATATTTTTATAATTTAAAGAATTAGGCCAGGCGCAGTGGCTCACGCTTGTGATCCTAGCACTTTGGGAAGCCAAGGCAGGTGGATCACAAGGAGTTTGAGACCAGCCTGGCCAACATGGTGAAACCCCGTCTCTACCAAAAATAAAAAAATTAGCCAGGTGTGGTGGCACGTGCCTGTAGTCCCAGTTACTCGGGAGGCTAAGGCAGGAGACTGGCTTGAACCTGGGAGGCGGAGGTTGCAGTGAGCCGAGATCGCGCCACTGCACTCCAGCCTGGGTGACAGACCAAGACTCTGTCTCAAAAAAAAAAAAAAAAAGAATTAAAGAACACCATGCTGTAGTGACTCCTGGAAATAGTAATGGGTTTAAGAGTAGATAATTGAATGTTTGTTCTTCAAATTGGGGTTGACGGATGATTTCTAAGAGGCCCTAACTCTGTTCTAGGGGAATGTTTAATTTTGAGTTTTATTATATTTCATAAAAAAAGTAAGCATATTCTGGATTACAATTACCTGTCGAAGTAGAGCGCAGTGGTTAAGAGCTTGGTTCTGAAACAGGCTGCCTAAGTTTACATCCTGGCTTTGCCCCTTACTCGCTCTGTGACCTTGGAAATTCTCAGTACCTCAGTTTTCTCATGTGCATATGGAGTGACTTCATTTGCACCCCAATGCAATGAGGCGGCAATGAGGGTTACATGGATTAAAACACATAAAGCACTTGGAACAGTGTCTGGCTTATATTAAGCAGCTTATAGCTATTAGTCATTTTTATTATGAGCAAGAAATGCCATATGATTTCAGGGTTTGTGTTTGCCTGAGTATTTATAATCAAATCATTGTCAAATAACACTACTTGAACTTCAGAGCTAAAAGAGAAAAGAAGAAGTTCGGATACATAAATGATGTGCTTACACCAAGTAAAGTCCAAATGCTATAACAATGTGCTATGCAAGGATGGATCTTCAGGAGTTTAAATGGAGAAAATGGGTGGGAGAACTGAGTCACTCCAAAAGCCTACAGTGATAAATATTGAACTGAACAGAATGCATATCATAGTAGGCAACACCATATTCCCATTGCAAGAGGCAATTTATTCTCAATAAAACCTCATCTGTCAATATTAAAATCACATAATAATTTATTATTTTAAAATAATAAATCATTTTAATTTTTAAAATAATATAAAGAAATAATTTATTATTTTAAATTTCATTTATGTTTAGTTTTGTTTTTACTTCATTTGAAAATTTCTTTGGAATTGTATAACAGTTTAAAGCATGAAATGTTTGTGTCTCATTTTTGCTTTAGATATCTAAGTAGCATTATCTCAGATTAAGACTGGGACTCCAATGGACTTCTTCCTTTGAAATGACCCTTAAGTTACTCAGGTTTAAAAACACCGCACTGATTGCTACAGCTTTTCCCTCTGGTTTGAAGTTGACTTTTTAAAAAGTTAAGTCCAGTTTTGCTCTGCTCATGTGAAATTCGAATTCTATAAATCCCTGCTCATATGCAGTGGCCACTTGCATATTGTCATTATTTACTGATTTAACTTTGAAGGCACTTAAATTTTAACATTTGAAAATGTTCTTATCACTTAGTTTGTCTTACACACTATATATTCATTCAAATGTGCAAACTTAAAAAACAAAACAGCAAAGAACAGGACTTTTGAGCTCTTTTTATTTCTTCTTTCTGAAGAAATAAAAAATAATCTATACACCCAGCAGCCCCTGTGTTTTTCACGAGAAGAATTCAGCTGCTAGGAAGCCCCCTGAAGAAACCATACCTCAATAAGACATGAGCGTTCAATTGGAGTGTGGCTGAGGTGACATGAGCCAGGTCATGGCCGCCCTGGGTCCCTCCTCATGCATCACAGTTTGGGCCCATGCTTGGAAAGCCCCTGAACATAGAAAGGAATGGGGCCACCTCCATTTTTTATTTTTTGTGCTTTTACTTCTCTTACCATGCCTGCATACCAAGTGTTCTGGCGCTTGCAGAGGAAGAATTGTATTTACAGAAGCCTTGAAGTTTTAATTAACTGGTCTAAACTGTTGAATAAATGCCTGTGTCCCTAGGGATCAAACCCCCATTGAATAAGAGGAAAGAAGCTAAGTGCATAGACTGAGACAAATTCCTAGGTGTAATGTCTAATTACTGGCTCCTTCTTTACCCGAGTAGTAAAGGACTATTGATGTCACCATAACATTTAAGAGTTTGCATGAAATAGTGAGGAAGGTAGATGTGTAATCAGTCATTTTCAGCATGATGAATGCAAGCCAGGAGTGATATTCAAATTAACAACTGGGAGGGAAAGGGGGTTGAACAATCAACCCAGTTTCCCTGAAGGCCCCAGCTGTGCCACATGTTGACCCTTCAGTTGCCATATCATGGGGGTGCTCCAGGTGGTCAGAAGAGAGGGTGGGGAGGGGTGCCCAAGGGGCTCAGAGAACAGCTATTTATCAGCCAATGGGAAAATGTTAGGATATTCTACTATGGCTATGGCTATACTTGTGTGTACTGGCTAAACAGCAGCCTGAATTTACCAGTCCTCATGCCCCAGGTGTAAACAAGTGACTTAGTGAAACACAAAGGCTGATGGTAGACCTTGGCTCAGGTTAGAAAGGAGGGTAGGAATTTGCTTCTTTTCCACTGGGGCATGAGAATGGGAACTCCTTTCAACACTTGGCAGTTTTGACTAATTGTTGAAAGGCAAAGAAAGCAACCCCAACATAAGAGGGTGTGCCAGAATCTACCTTATTTTGAGGACAAGATCTTAGATTTTAGCTGAAGTGAGCAGACAGTAGATTTTCCATTTTAATTGAATGTAGGGTTGTTTTTGCAGTGAGGGTATCCTCTTATATATTCAAATCAAATTTCAAAGCATTTGTTTTGTGGATGTTTAAACTGCATGTTCTCTAGCTACTATCAAGCCAGTTGCAAAAATAAACAATCATTGATGGATGGGTAAATGGTAAAACCGGTGCTTTTCTATTTGCTACAGGCCTAGAAGCCACTGATTTTTCACCTCTCTTGCCAGGAGCAGGTAGGCTTTTGAGTGAAAGAGAAGTCATGCTTTCATGAATGGGAGGGTGGGTGTTTGCAAGATAAGTACTTTGGATCTGAATGATTGAAGGAAATGACTTTTCTAAACCACCCTTGCAAATAATTAAGTCAGTCAGGGTACAATTTCTTTCATACGACATGGTTCACCCACCCATCCCATCCGCAGCTCCCACACTTCCCACGTGGACCCTGCGTCATGCACAAAATAGCCCACACTCACTTTCATGCTGATATCAAATATCAACACATGAGAACACACAAGCTGTCACCAAATCTGATGTGGTAAACTAAAGCTATCATTATTTCACATCTCTCTTCACCTAAATACTTTTCATTCCAGGCAGTTATTATGCTTTCTTAAACTAAGTTCCTCAAGTCATATTATTTGAAGCCGTTGTCCAAGCTTGTCATTTAATGGAAACTCTATGTAGAAAATTGCCAAGATGAGGATCTTAAGAGTCAAGCAGCCCTTTAACCAGAGAAAGGAAAGAGAAGCAAATTCTTCCTATTTCTCTCTTGTGACAGAAGTCTGTCTATGGGGCAGGTTTATTAAGAATATCACTGCTCCCCTCTCGGCAGTTGGGGGTGGGAACAGTGACTTTGGTGTGGACCTCCCCTTCAAATTTGCAGTTTGTTAGAGCTACCTGTCAATCATCTCTACCTTACTGCCACTCCCTGGGAAGGAGGAGGGGAGAGAGGGAGGAGAACACAGCTCAAGGCAGGTGCCTAAACCCAGGTCTGAAAATAGCCTGGTCCAGAACCTTCTGGTGATTGCAAGTGTTGATATTTATGGTCTCCAGAAACAGGTTTAGTTGTCTTCTGGAAAATGGGCAGTCTTGTGTGAAAAAACAGGACAAAGTTATGGTTTCCTCATGCCCTTATCTGGGCTTTGTTTTGCCGGACTTCGTGTGAGCCCTAATTAGCTGGTCTCCACCAAGCCTTTTGTGGGGCTGAGTGAGGTGGCCCACTCGCTGACCTGGGGAGTTGGGAGTGAAGAGCTGGAGCGATTGCTGCGTCTACCCCTTTCTTCTGCGGCAGCTGAGGTCCCCAGCAGAAGGGCTCCCCTGAGAACCAAACCCCAGCAGAGGAATTGTGTGCCTTGACATCCTTTGCTGATGACTCAGGCAGTATGTCATTTAAAAATCCCTGAAGGTTTTTGAAAAGAGAGAAAGGGAAATGGATGTGGAATGAATGCCTGTTCTATAGTGGGCAGTGCCTCATTTAATCTTCCCCAAAGTTAAATTATTTTCCAGGTGAGGAAACCAATACTCACGGAGAAGCAAGATCAATTAGAAAATATGGATTAGGATATAGAGAAAGGAAGCTCCCCTCTCCCTCACCCTCCCCTCCCCCAACACTCCCACCCCTACTGCCCCCCAAAAACGAATGCCGACATCCAGGCAACTCACACCAGAACAAAAGTACTGTGTTTTCCTAGTGGTGCCAGCGAAGCCTCGAGGCTGGCAAACAGAAGCCTATGGCAGCATCCCAAGATCTCCTCCCTGTCCTGTGTCCAGTCGACTCCAATGCTAAAGGGAACCTATGACTCTTATATTCCACGTGGCGTGGCTCTCACCAGTCCTGCTTCTTCCTCACAACTTCTCTCCTCGTGGTCTTCTTATCCTGTGTCTTTTCCCTTCTTAATCACAGTGTTATAGATAAAGGGTCCCTCGCCTCATGAAATCCAGTCCCCAGCTGATTTGCTTGCCTGGCATACAACTTTTAAGTACTCTCCACTGCAGTCTATAAAGCCAGGACAATAACACTCACCCTCACACCTCAGGATTTTGCACATTAACTTGTTAATGGTTTGGCAAACATTAGCCCCACCATAAAGGCTGAGATAAAACTCTGTCTTCCCTTTCTGTTCTTTTTTTTTTTTTAACTAAAGCTAAAAATCTTCTTGTGCATTAGAAAGCTGATATTTTCTTTATGATAACTGTAAAAATCAGCAAGTTGGATGCACTGGGGAAAAAAACCAAATTGCACATACCTGTACTTCACTTTTTATCTAACCAAACAGTGCAATGTTATGGGGACACAGATGCCTTCTCTGTGTAAGTGATCGTCATCTAGAGCTTGACATCCCTCATCCATCACACTGCCCTCTGTGCATTTCAGGGCTTGGAATAAACAAATCTGGGAAGCCATATATGTTCTTGTTGTCTAAGTTCATTTCACAGCACATTGGTTAAAGTGGATTTTTAATATGTCATCCACATTCATGTCAGTAAGCCAGTCTGAGGAGCTAATGAAGGTGTGTCAGTTGAGGGAGGACTGGCTACCTCAGTGCCCTGATTCCTTGATCCCCTGGGGCTCTCTCTCTGCACAATTCTACCCCAGCGTTACAAACACACACTTTCCTGGCCAAACCTCCCTTGAGTCAAGGCTGTCAGTCATTCCCAGCCCAGCAGTAGTTTTACAAAATGCACAAAGGGTAATTACAGAAAGACCACCCCCACTGATTTTCATATGTAATCTTACCTTGGGACTGGAACCCAAGCCCCCACTTCAACTGCTTCCTATGCAACTTAAACTTGGCAAGCACAATACCATATAACTGCTTGGAGGGGGAGAAGAAAGCAGGGGGTGGAGGTGGGAAAGGGGAAGTTCAGATTAGCACAGCCTTGATCTTGAAGATTATTATAAATCCTTTAGCACTGTTGAAACAATTAGATCACTTGATTGGCCTTAACATTCCTCATCCCATAAATTAGCCTGGTGGGTGCCTCCTACTGTTAAGCAATGCATTACATTGTTCCAACACCAACATCTGGCTAACAGAGAACAGACCAATTTTAATTTTAGCTCTTAGAAATTATACCTATCCCAGTCCTTATGATAACCTCTATAATGAATACGTAGAAATGTGGCTTTTGTCATTAACATTTTATTTGAAAAATTCCTTTTGTTCTAGGTATAACATGAATAAAACTTCTAAATGGTGCTCAGTTTCAAAAGTTGTTTTCTTCCTCAAAATTTGCAAGTAGATATTTTCAAATGGTAAATTTCATTGAAAATAGTTTATTTCAAACATCATCTTTTACAAATTGCAAATACTAATACTTCTGAGATGCGAATATTGACACAGCATAAAGTACAATGCTTTCTACCACTATAACACTAAAACAAATAGAACATATGTTCCCTGATTCTTTATAATTCTCCTAAATTATAAAACCAAATAGACATATAAGCACATATATCAATCATTGAACCCACAAAAGTAAAAAGATAGTGTCAGGTTCATCATTAATTTTCACCTATATTTGAGAGAGAGATGAGACGAAGAGTGATATACAGAAAAGAGAAGGTGAGAGGGAGAAAGAGAAGGCAAGGAGAGAGAAAAAAGAAAGTAAAACTTTGCAGGGGCACCAGGGTGGCACTCACTGAGGAGGAGGCACTGCCCCCGCTACATCCCAGGAGGGCAGAAGCAGCAATGGGATCTCACAAGAGGGGGCAAAAGGTACGTGATAGTAATCAGCCCTAAAACAATGCTTTCTATGTGCCAGATACCCTAAATGCATGAATTGCTTTAATCCTCATAACAACCTTATGAGGTTTAAATCCATTTTTGGATGAAGACATTAAGATACAAGGAGGTTAAGTACCTTGCCCAAGGTCATACAGCCAGTAAATGGCAGAGCCAGGATTAGAACCCGGGAGACAGACTCCAAGAGTCCATGCACTCAGCACCATGCTGTACTCCATCCCAAATGTGCTGGAATTTACCCAGCCGAGTTACTGTTGCTCCATCAGACCAGCCGCCTGAGAGGATCTGCCTCCATTCTAAAGACTGTGCCCCTGCTCAGCCTCTGGGTCACTTCCTTTGAAACTGTCCTGAGACCTGTACCACATTCCTTTGCTCTTTAGTGGTGGCAAGTTTTAAACCTCTTGAGAGTGGATACGACTTTTTGGAACTGCCGAGAATCAGAGGCATGCATAGAGAACAGAGTGAGCTCTGGAAAATAATTTTTAGATTATTTTCTAAAATTATTTTTAGATTAAAATTATTTTTAGATTACGATTATTTTTAGATTAAAAACAGAATGATGTTAAAGGTAATAAAGTAGTTTCCTTTGTGGCCCAGGAATTAGCTTTGCTAGTAACAAAAGCATCTTAATCTCCAATTGTATTGGCAATTGTATACGACTAAAATTTGCATGTAAGGATCATCTAGATCTTCTGGAAGTCTGCTTGTTTTGACCACTTTCCAGTCATTTCCAGACTCTGCTACTCACTGTGTCCGAGGAGACTTTCCACTAAGCTGTAATATTTATCTTTAGTATAGTCTTTTGTACCCTCAGCTTTCCTACAAGGGCTTCTAGAGCATTCTTGTCTTTCCTGATAAGCAGAGAAAGTATTAGGTATAATGACATTGGTAGGACTGAAATAGGAATCCTGATCTTTTAAACTCTGATATCTAATGAGAGATATACCAGGAGATAAAACAACTTCAATAGGCAGACTCCACAGGCCATAGTGCTCGGGGAATTCTCAATTCTGATGCAGGGGCATCAGTGTTGCTTGCTCCAAGACTTATTAGTTCATGCAGCATTAATTAATTAGAATCAGGAGAACTGACTCACACTATACACATTAAAAACTGATGTATAAACTGGAGTAGACATTTATTTGTTTGTTTGGGGGGAATTGTCCTTCTCATAACTATACAACCTGTTGTGATCAAGTACAGTGTATTTATCCAGTATGTTAAAACTTATTTCTGTCTTTCTGGATTTCAAGGCCTTTAATCATTGGTTACCGCATCATCACTTAAGACAGTAGATATTACAATGGATTAGGTTACTAATTCTGCATTAGGTTATCTGCATTATCCATTTCCTTGCATTATTATCTGTGTTTGGTCACCTTAAATGGGCTATTTCCCAGCCCATGTGTAACTCACCTCTTGATTTGGACCATCACACGCTTTCTCAGTTGATAATTTTTGTTCTTTACTTGGTTAGAATTCAAGTATATAGTACTAGGCTTAAGCCAAATAAAAGCAAAATGTTTAACTGTTCCCTCCTCACTAATAACAATAACAATAATAGCTGGCATCTGTTGAGTTCCTCTTATTGCACTTTGCAGGTATTAAGTCATTTAACCCTCACTACTACCCTAGGAGGTAGTTTCCGTTATTATCTACATTTCATAGATAAGGAAATTGACCTGAGAAATAACTTTCTCAGGGTCACAGGGTGAGCAAGTGTCAGTAAGTGTCAGAGCTAAAATGCAAAAGCAGTTTGATGCCCACACGCTTAACCACAACACTGAATTACTCTCTTAGCCTCTTTGCAACTTGGGTGTTACTACTACTACTACTAAAAAAAAAAAAAAAAAAAAAAAAAAAAAAAAAGGAAGTAGCTGTTTTTCTCACTTGCCCTGACTCTAGCTAACCGTTCTTGACTTCTTTGCATTTTATCCATGCAGAACAAAGCTATATTTGTAATCGAACTCCAGATAAATAAGTACCTGTTCTTTAGCAGAGTCAAAATCTGAAAATGTTTAGCTGAAGCTGGTAAAATATTTAAATCCAATAACGTCCTGAATAGAATGTAAGGATTCTTTCCTTTGTTATCAAAACCTAAAGGCATCCATAGGTTCATTCCATTCTGCACTTCAGTTGTTTCCTTACAAACTCCCCACCCTCACCCCTACCCCTAGTTTCTGGGGCCACCAGATAGGGACAGCACCTCCTGGGCAGGAGAACGTGGAGCATAGTGGCTGCGCACACAATCAGCAGTGAGTTAGCGGAAAAGACCACAGAAATGTTGGGCATCTGGAATTATAGTTCGTGTCTGACTGAGAAATCTTAGGAAGCCCATTTAATTGTTCTGCCCCCGTTTTCCTCTCTTTGAAATGGTGTTAACAGTACTTGCCTCTGTCTACCTTATGCAGGGACATTTGACCCTCAAGAGGCAATGTTTAGAATAGCACTTTGCCCCCCAGGGTGTATAATCCAAATAGAAATCACATTTGTTGTATTATTTTCTGCTGCTGTATACCTGCATGAGACTATTTTTAAGTTCGTTTCTTTTAGCCTACTTATAGCAACAGATAGATTTTGAATGTTGACCTTTGCACAGCCTTAAAGAACATTATTAAACAAAGCAAATGGCCTCTCAGTGACAGCTGAGATGTAGTGGGAGGACTCCCAGGTGAAGTCAGGGTGTCTGGGTTCAAGTCCTGAGTCCAGGTTCTAGCATCTGAGTTGGATGCCACTGAGGAAGTCACTTACCCTCTCTGGGTCTCAGTTTCTTCATCTGTACAATAGGAGCACTACTTTGGAGTTCTGATGATTGCACAGGGGAATGAATATGAAATGGCTTTATAAAATGTCATAAACCTTCCAATGTTCATACTACCAGTAGGCAAGGAGAAGCAGAAAAGCCTCAGGACTGGAAGAAACATTTTGATGTTAGCATAGATGCTTGGGGCTCTTGTTCAAATGTAGATTCCATTGATCTGGGGGCAGGTATTGAAATCTGACATTTCTAAAATGCCATGGTTCCACAGGCTAACTCCCAGTCTCCTTTTCCCTGGTTTAAAATGTTCATACTATTCCAAGAGAGCTCAAACATTATCTGGTCCAATTCTTTCCTTTTACAGGTCGGAAAACTAAGGCTCAGAGAGGTCAGATGACTTCTCCAGGGTTGACTCCTCACACCTTCTCTATTTTCTCCAACTTCTGAGTGGTTTCTTACAGCAGGGGGCACAGGCTACCTCTGTGGACAAGGAGCTCCTGAAAGAATGGAGGGGGAGTGGGTACTATTTTAGGACACTAGTCAGTTTGCACCTCAATTGTGTTCTCTGTGCAAAGGAGAAAGGTCTATTCTTAGACATCAGCCAGAGCTTGGAAGAAGTAGACTCAATCATTAAAGTAATCCATGCACACCTCGGTAAGTTAATACAGTCATCCATAAAGGAGCTGGGTAGGAAGGAAACAACAGGTACTTTGAAGGGTTTACAAAATGTATTTGTACCAGGGCCATGTAAAAGCCATTTCCAAGCCAAGAGGAAGGGCATTTATTATTTTCATTTAACATTTATTGAATAAAGTGTGTTGCAGAGCAGGCTCTTATAATCTGAGCCCCCTTTGACTGTGTGCATAAGCTTTTCAGATACCTGCAATTTCTTCCTCTTACTTAGAAAGATGATTATTGAACTGCAAGAGGTAAGTAAACATTAGAAGAGATCTTGGAAGAAATCTGTTAAATAGTTCAAGGGCTCTTCCTGGCAGAAGGAATCAGATACCTGACCTTCAATATATCGCAAAAGACTCCAGCAGAAGGAATTGGACCTTCAAATGTTCATACTACTAGTAGGCAAGGGGAAACAGAAAAGCCTCAGCACTGACTGGAAGAAACATTCTGATGTTGGACTAGATGCTTGGAGCTCTTGTTCAAATGCAGATTCCATTGATATGGGGGTAGGTATTGAAATCTGGCATTTCTCACAAGCTCCCAGATGATCTAATACTGGGTTAGTGACACCACTTTGAGTAGCAACTTCATTCTGTATGTATCCATCCTTAGCTATCACTGGACAGTCTGCAAGCCTTTCTGGGGCTAGCATTAAGCAAAAAATGTAAGTTGATAAAGGTTGCCCCTCAATAGAGGAGTAACAAGTATTACCTCTATCACCAAACATAAAATCTGAAAGTCCTAAATAATATTGAGGAATTTGGAATTTAATATGTCACTCTCTCCAGGGATACTTGCCTTTGACTAACAGCTGGCAGGAGAGGAGACAGCTTAACACAATATTCCTCCAGAGGTGCCATTTCAGGTATGAAGGAAGTGCTGGTGAGAGTCCTATCTTAAGGGTCATGCCCTTTCTAGCATCCCACAGTCACTTTTAAATATTCCAACTTCAGAATATGTCTCTGAGTCCTACACCTGAAATAGCCAAAGCAGATTTGTGTACAGCTCTCTGTATCCACGGGTTTCACATTCATGGTTTCAACCAACTGTGGATCAAAAATGTTTTTAAAACAATATAATAAGGCAAAATAATACAAATAAAAACTATATAACTATTTATATAGAATTTATATTGCATTAGGTATTATAATATTGTATATATAATAATGTATTACATATATTCTATATAAGTATATAGAATTTATATTGTACTCGGTATTATAAGTAATCTAGAGATTATTTAAAGCCTATGGGAGAATGTGCATGGGTTACATGCAAATACAATACCACTTTATATAATGGACTTGAGCATCCCTGGATTTTGGTATCCAGAGGGGTCCTGGAACGAATCCCCCACAGATGCCGAAGGACAACTGTATGTGTTGTATAGGCACTTGAGCAAATTTCCAAGTGTAGAATTTTAACCAACTAGGACAAGGATCATGATAGCTTAAGCAGCTCTGTATCTCCTAGAGTACCTAGCGTAATGCCTGGCTTAAAATAAACTCCTAATAAATATATTTGACTGAAGGAGATGGTGAGTAGATATCTATTCATATCTCTGAGGAAATATGGTGATTGGAAAAAATACTATTTAATTGGTTTTCAAAGCAAAATTACAGAATAAACTGGATAACTATTTTTTTCCTCAAACCATCAACTGATTCCATATAATTAAACTGAGCCTTAAGCCATACTCAGGAGGAGTTCAGCTTCAGCCTCTGTTCTACATGGAGAATTTCTTCTGGTGTTAGGGGACTCATATGACAACCAGTATGTCACACAGGACCACAAAAATTCCAATACTCTAAATATAAAGTCTTCACAAGACAGTTGATCCAGTATGACAGTGGATCAACAAGTATAAAGACGAACTGAACTGACACAGAGAGCTGTACAACCATCGAATAAATGGTTATGGGGTTATCTTGATTATGAATAAATTTATTTCAATTTTTCTTTTTGCATCAAATATTTGTTATACAACAAATTCAAAAAACTTATTTTTTTCCAGTTGAAGAAGTAACTTCAGTTTTAAGATAACAGATAAAAAAACATTTTAAATCACAAACTGTGTTAAATATTTGGGGAAATAAGTTAGGCCGACCTCAATGGAAGCCAAACCTAGAGTTATAAAAATTGAATTGTCTCATATACAGCTGAATCACATATATTTTTTCTAATCAGCTTTACTGAGGTGTAATTTAAAGTGTGCTGCTCGTTAAGCTTTGACAAGTGTATACCATAACCAAGTTATAGAACATTTCCATCATTTCCAAATCTTTCCTCATGCTCTTTTATGGCCAGTCTCCATTGCATCCCAAGACCACCTCCCTGACAACCACAGATCTGCTTTATGTCACTATAATTTTGCCTTGTCTAGATTTCATATAAATGAAATCATATAGTAGGTATATGATTTTTTCTTCAGCTTCTTTCACTTAGCACCTTGCCTTTGAGATTCGTTCATTGGTTCCTATCAGTTCCTTTTTATTGTTAAATAATACTTTATTGTATGGATATATCATAATTAGCTTATCCATTTACTAGCTGATGGACATTTGGGTTGCATTCAGTTTGGGACTATTTCAAATAAAATTTCTATAAACATTCAGGTATAGGTCTTTGTGTAGACATAGCTTTTCATTTCTCATGGGTAAATAGGATTGGCAAGTCATATGGTAACTGTATATTTAACTTTATAAGAAATTGCCAAACTGTTTTTCTGAAAGTGGCTGTGTCATTTTGCATTTCCATCAGCAGCAGATGAGAGTTTTAGTTGCTTTACATTTTCACCAACACATGGTGTTGTCAGTGACTTTAATTTTAGCCATCTAGTGTATGTGTAGTGGTGTTTTGTTGTTTTCATTTTCCTAATAACTAGTGATGTAAGTATTTTTAATGTACCTATTGGCCATTTGTATATCTTCTTTAATTAAGAAAAATTAATGGTTTTAGAGTAAAGGTGGCCCCGCTTCAAAGATTGGTGAACTGAGGCCAAGAAAAGAAAGTATAAACTCTCACATTTATTCCACAGAGCCCCTGAGACAATGTCCTTGGGGAAGAAGTGAAAGGTTTTATTAAATAGAATTCATTTAATTAATGGCTAAAATTAAAACTGGTACATGTGAATTTCCACAATGTTATATATTTGATAGTCTATATATGTGTGTGTGTGTGTGTGTGTGTGTGTGTGTGTGTGTGTGTGTGTGTATATATATATATAGTCAACATAATGGAATAATTTTCAAATGAGAATAGACATCTAAATCCTAAATTAAATGATGGGAAGGATAACCCCTTAATGCTAATTCATAATACAAAAAATTCTAGTTTGGGTCAGACATTGAACATAAAGAGAATATAGCACAGTGGTTAAAAGTGCTGGCTCCAAAGTTGGACAGTGTAGATTCAAATCCTGGCTCTGTTACATGTGGGCATGTAAGCCAGGGTGACATATTGAGTTCTCTGAGTCTCAATATCTTGGTGTATAAAATGAAATTAATAGGCTGGGCACGGTGGTTCACACCTGTAATCCCAACACTTTGGGAGGCCAAGGTGGGCAGATCACTTGAGTTCAGGAGTTCAATATCAGCCTGGCCAATGTGGTGAAGCCCTGTCTCTACTACAAATACAAAAATTAGCCGGGTGTCGTAGGGGGTGCCTGTAATCCCAGCTACCTGGGAGGCTGAGGCAGGCGAATCCCTTGAACCTAGGAGGCAGAGGTTGCAGTGAGCTGAGATCACACCACTGCACTCCAGCCTGGGAGACAGAGGGGAGAGTCTGGAAAAAAAAAAAAAAAAGAAGAAGAAGAAGAAAGAAGAAAGCAAGCAAACAAGCAAGCAAGAGAAAATAATAATAGCTACCAGGAAAACTTGTTGAGTTTAACACATGTTAAGTGAGAAGGAAGGAAGGAAGGAAGGAAGGAAGGAAGGAAGGAAGGAAGGAGAAAGAAAGAAAGAAAGAAAGAAAGAAAGAAAGAAAGAAAGAAAGAAAAGAGAAGAGAGGAGAAGAGAAAAGAAAAGAAAAAAAGAAAAAAGAAGAAGGGGAAGGGGAAGGAGAAGGAGAAGAGGAGGAGGAGGAAGAGAAGAAGAAGGAGGAGGAGGAGGGGAGGGAGGGAGGAAGGAAGGAAGGAAGGAGAAAAGAAAAGAAAAAAATAATAGCTACCATGAAAACTTGAAAATTTGTTGAGATAACACATGTTAAGTGTTTAGAATAGTGTCTGGCATGTAATAAATGCTCAATAAACATTAGTCATTGTTATTATTATATGGACACTTAAAAGCACAGAATTGCAATAGGTACATATCAAAGCCTCTGAGCTAAAAACATACACAATTCACTCTGATAAATAGGCCTTTTACAAGCCCGACACTTGGAAAATGTCTATTTTCCATCTCAAAACATGTTTAACGAGGATTCGTTCTGCAAAATCATCCCATGTAATATGCTAGGTAAGTTGTCCTCCTTTCTAACAAGAGCAAGCACCAAGAAAACAAGGCTGAGGATAAGGTTTCCCGAAAACAAACCCCATAATTTGACCCTCTTCAACCCAAATAGTTGGCCAGTGGCTCCTAAGGAGTTTCTTTATGACATCCTGGACATGAGGCCAATGGCTTTTGAAGCAGCAGCTCCTATTCTACAGCTATACAGTAAGGTTAAAAAAATAATAAAAATTTTAAAAATCAAAAACTTTTAAAAAACACTAATAATTCAATATTGCATTTAAATTAATATTTTAATAATCATTTCAGTATCTACATTCTTGTGGAAAATAGAACACATATGTGTCAGATGGTTATTCATTAAATCATTTCCAAATGCTAGGACCCTTGTAATCAGTCCAAGTGCCCCCAAGGTCTGGAGCTCATACATGGTGAAACTCCATGCTAGAACACACATACAGATTTTCTCAGCCATGGCTCTCCTAACAGGATTTTTTCCATGTTGTGTTTAATGATATCCTCTTGCACTAAGATCACAACGTTTTCCCCGAGAGTTTTATGTTTATCATGGGAAGTCATTGTAGAATGTGTGTACAACCCACAGATGACACTGTGAAGGCCTCCCAGCACAAGGGAGACTGATTCCTTCAAATATACCAATTCTGTTTGCGTTCTTGACTGTGGCTTCTGACTTCTTCCTTCTGATTCTATCAGATCCCTTCTGGAGCTGGTCCTAATTGCTTTTCACAGAGGATGCAAACTGGAAAGTTCCTACCTATTCAGCGAAGGCACTCCAAGTCCTGGGCTCTTTTCTCCTCGGGGGCAAAGATGAGACTTCTCTTCTGTAGAGATCACAGGTGCATCTGTACAGGTTGGAGTGCTCCCCCAACCCTGGACCCCTAGGAGCAGCCGTGATTTGTGACACAAGGCCCCACCCGTTGATCTACTCTTCACACAGCCGTGGAGAGCCAAGAACTGGGAGGGAGGTGAGTCAGTGATGAATTTTTCTTGAACAGCAAAGACCAATTGGTGGTTCGCCTTTTTAGTAAATTCCAAGATTCTGGAGTCATTTAAGTCCAAAGGGGAAATTTGTGAGACTGGGGGAAGGGGAAGTAGTGAGAAAATAGAAGCAACAAAAATATGCCTCCAGTGTTCTCACTGCTCATTAGACCAGCACAGAGCCAGTTCTTGTATGGCCTGAATAACTGGTACTTTTTATAAGCAACTGAAGAGCTATAAAAAGCTTAACATTTAAGAAAACAACAAACAGCTGTGGCTAGTGAGCAAGGAAAATCTGAAGAGTGAGCCTGTCTGGGTGGCAGGAGGTCACACTGCTTCATGAGGAAGTACTAAAACATCACTAACATTTGCTACATCAGTGTGTTTCCCTGGTTGGTCACACTTCTCCTTCCCCCCACCTCAGCCCCACTCTCCTATCAAAATAGAAGAACAAATATACGTCACCAGAATGCTCAGCAATTATTTCCTGAAAACAGCATTTCTTTTACATGCGCTTAATCATGTGTTAAGCAGCGGTACACACGAGGGGATCCTGATCAACAGAGTGAGCAAACACCCATGTGTGAGTTTGGTTCCCAATGCATTTGGGCTGAGCCTCACTGACCCGGGACCCCTGGGCTTAGTTCACGTGCACCTTGAGGTTCTGCACAGCTGCCTTTCCCTTTAACGGAAAATGCCATCTGCAGGACCAGAGCTAGCAACAGGCAGCAATAGCTCTCCCAACTTCCTCTCATACTAATCCATAATAAGCTCAATGATAAGGCAATTACCAGTGGGAGGCAGTAAGGTAAAGTGATCAAATATATCGGCTTTGGCTTCTCAATTCAAACTCTAATGCTTACTACTGGGTGACCTTGAGCAAGTTAACTAGCCTTTCTGTGCATTAGTTTCCTTAATAGTAAATAGTAAGTCAAAATTATCTTCCTCTGGCCTTCAGCTGAGTCTTAGGTGGGCTTGTTAGACAATGCTCTAGGCTGACTTTGAGAGGCACACAATCATCTTTCCTTATTTCCAAGCTTTAGATAACTTTTCTTAACAGCACATAATAAATGTCACTTGGGACAAATAGAAAGTGAACAAGAAAGTGGTAGGCCTGAATTCAATCATATCAACAATTACGTTAAATGTAAGTGGACTAAACACTTTTAACAAAAAGGAAGAAATTGTCAGAGTGGACACAGAGCAAAATTCAAAACTAATACATTTCCTATAAGAGATACACTTTAAATGTAAAGATTCCAATCAGTTGAAATCAATTGGATGGAAAAAAGATACGTTATGCAAACAGTCTATATAGGAAGGCTGGAGTGGCTTTCATAATATCAGATAAAGCAGACTTCATTACAGAGTTTTGCCAGAGGAAAAGAGGGGCTTCTCATAATCACAAAAAACATGACAATTACAGATGTATATGTACCTAATAACAGCTTCAAAATACACAAAGTAAAAATTGACAATCTAGACAATTTACAATCACAGTTAGAGATTTTACTCCCCTCCCATAGCAATTGACAGAAAAACTAGACAAAATATCTGTAAAGATGTAGAGGATCTGAATAACACTATTAATAAATATCAGCTGCTATAATTTTCTCTTTCGTTTGATTCACATCTTCAGACATCTGCAAAGCTGCCAGTTCTGGCCCTCTAGACTCTGTGAGGAAGCCACTAAGGCCACTGTCCCTTCAGGAGACACAAACACATGGATGGCATCATGCTGCAGGAGACTTTCAGAGCTTAGTCTATGGAGAAAATGCTGAATGGTGCAAGGCTGCATCTTTTTTCCTCCTGAACCTGTTTCATATGAATCGATTCTAGGATCACCAGTCTGTCCCCACAGTCATCCTGCCATCTGCTAGGCTTGGTAGCTGTTGCCGGAACACTTAGGATCCTTCCCTAAGATGTCTAGAGTGTCGTCACAACAGATGTTTAACCATCAAATTCCACACATGTTGCCTAGGGCAAGTCTTCCATATGAGGACAATGCTGGAGGTCATGTGGGATTTAAGAATCTTTGAAAGTGTCCATAGCAAACGAATTTATTATATTTTGGCTCTGTCTTTTAGGTGAATTCTAAACAAATATAGCCCTCATTTATCTTTATATCCTTTACCAACTACTCTGATCTAATTGAAGTTTGTCTTTGAAGGAAAAAAATAATTGACAAAAAGTTCGTCCTTTTGAAGAGTGTGAAAGATGAGGTTTCTCTTTAGAAATCTTTTCTACCAAGGGCTGTGTAGCTACATTGCAGTATTAGAGCCTCTGGGGAATTATATGTGTGATACAATGGCCTTCTTATCCCAGGTGAATTGGGCAAAGGCTTCCCCAAATAACTTATTTTTCATTCACTTGAGACACATAAAGTTTCAGTTAAAGGATATGCACACAGAGAATTTCACATTTCCAAGTTTTGTGGCTTCTGTATGTTGGCATCTCTAACCACCATCAATCCCCTTTCCAGAAATTCCACTCATCCCAGCAGCCGTTACCAGGCTGAGGCCACAATGGAGGGCAAAAGCTAGGGGGTATGAATGTGGGCCATTAGAGGGGCCTTTGCAAAGGTTCTCTTTAAGATCCATAATTTAAATGGATACCTTTTGTCCATTCAGGCACAGATGGGGATAACAAAAGATCATGGCATTAATGAGGTAGAAAAGCCATTTCTGAATTGCGAGGGCTCTAGTCTCAGGATGGCCTCCTAACACAGCAGCACTCCCAAGAAAGAAGTGCCTACTACATTTCAAACCCTTCAACTTTAATCTCGTCGACAATTTTCATGTTTTCTCCTTAAAAAGCATTATGAGCATACACCTCCCAAATGACAGTACCAAAACCTAGTCAGCTACAGAAAGCTTGGCCATTGATAAGATATATTTCCCCTTCAAGAACTTGTTCACCTGGACTCTTCCTCCATGGATATACCATTAAAAATATACAATTCTAATATTCTCCACTTCTTTAAGAGAGTATTATACTTTACTGACCAAAAGGAGAATCCAGATGAGTATTATGTTTTACTGACCAAAAGGAGAATCTAGATCATCCCATGATTAATCTTTTCAATGCTCTGGAAAGGCAAATAGGTGGCAGGCACAAGGGGAAAGTGCTTACATGAACACATTTTTTACTGGAACTTGTCCTATTGCAAAGCTCTTCTGCCAGATTCCATTAGGAAATTGCAAGCAGATTCATATATCCAAGTGCTCCTCTCTCTCCTACTCATAAATATATAGACATCATATGGCAGGGAGGGGGGATGAAGCTGATTCTCTCATGGCATACCCTTGCACAGCAGACGTGTAGGCAAATGCAAATACCGAACATAGTAGTTCATGCATATGTGCACATGAATATATATCATGCTATTACTACTCATCAATGAGATTCCAAGTAGCTACCAGAGGGGAGAGAAAAGTCACAATCAATATAGCAGTACTTCAGAATGTCAATTAAAGACAGCGATAAGAAGACAGGCAGGCTGCCCCCAGCAATACAAAAATAACAGGAACACCTAATGATTGATTAGGGGCTGGGCCAAATTTCAGGTCTGAACTCATCACAAATTATGCTACGAGCTCATGGGGGAAGGTTCCAATTGGCATTTTTGAGCCACACGTCCCATTCCTTTGATACAGACATCAGGACTGTCTGGGAGATGATTGGAGAAAAAGCCCAAACAAGAAACGAATTCAGGAAGAGCTGTTTCCCATCCAAATGCTTTCAACTTTCCTGAGAACTCTCTCAGATTCTTTAAAACGGGCCAATAGTATTATTCCACTTTACCATTCTGGTTCTTATTGAAGGGCAAAGCCAGCATGCAGAAAGATAAGGAATAGCAAATGAAAATGTCAGTGGGCAGGTAGGAAGGTTGTAACACGGGAGAGTCTTCCATCTGGAATTGTGGATGAAAAAAAAACTATTTTTAAAGGAATACCTTTTAAGATTTTTTTCCATATTCTTCCAGGAACACTTAGGTCTTGTCCTTTTATAAACAAAGACCTACATTTAATTATAGGCATATTGTATGAAATAAAAATGTATAGAACTTCTAGACTCCAAAATATATAGCAGTGGTTCCAGTTTTCATTACCAGAAATAGCTAAAGGAAATGAAAAGCAGGTGAGAGAAGGTTTCCCTGAGCAAGGCCAGGGCTTCATTTTAATTCAGCTGCGTGGATGGCCTGCCATTGCCCCCTGGCCTCACTGCTCGCACACTCAGAGGTCAAGCTATTAAAATCAACCAAAATGCTCAAATTAATTTCTTTTAGACCCCAGCCCTATAATGCTTGCCAACAAAAGAACACTTCACTGACTTCTGGCAGGAGCGGCACTAAATCTCTGCAGTAGGAAATACAGTTTCTTCTTAGATGACACAAAATGTTTGGGACATAAGCTTTGGGGATCTCAGAATTAAAGAGAACATAAAATTATATTTGGGTGGGTGATAGAAATCTAAAATTAGTTCCGTATTTCTTCTATTGGTAAATTAAATTTTAATGGAATATGGTATAATGTGGCTTGTCGATATTAGCAATTGTTTATATCATGTTAATATCTGATAATGTCCCTTGTGACTACTGCTTGGAGAAAAGGAAAAGTGAAGTGGATCTGAAGATGTACCTTTTTTCCTTCTTATAAATAACCCTCATTTGCTTTTTTTATGTTCTTTAAGCAGCCCTTTTAATTCTTTGAAAATTTAGAATTGCCCAAGGATTAAAAAAGAAGTCGTTAGCATCTGCTTTGAATATATATACCAGAGATTAATGCCCACAGAGAAAATATAAGGAATAGCATATTCATTGGACAGGATTCTATTTGAAGTGCCTGTTGTAGGACAGTCCTTTCTTCATTTGCAGCCCTGCTCTGGCACTATCATTAATGGTGATTTCAGTAGAGAAAAAGGATCAGGAAATGGGTTTAAGCCCTGGTTCTGCGACTTATTGGTCGCTAACCTTTGACAAGTCACTTAACCTCTATAGAACTTAATTTCCCTATCTGTAAAATGAGGGATTGAACTAGATGATTTCCAAGGTCATTTTCTGCTATAACATTTTATGATTCTAAGTATCTGGCCCTCTTGGAAAAAGCATATATGGGCTGTGCTTATATGAATTTAGTATACTTCACACTCTAATGAGCTAAAAAGACCTTAAAGTGACAAATGATTATAACTAACAATAAAAGGATAAACATGATGTTAATGAATGAGTTTGCTCAAAATTCATCTTCTTGTAAGAAACATTAGCACAATATTGGTTTATAGCTATAGTAAACTTTAGAACCCAGGCCCTAGCAAAAGAAGTCCCCAAAAAGAGAGATCAGAATCTTACCTTTAGTGCTTAAACTCACTTGCTCCAGTGATCTCACACAGTGAATGTCCCAAGAATGCTGACTCTCCCTTACTAAGCCTCTAATCCAACCAGGAGAAAGGCAATAACTTCATACATGGATGTGCAAAGCTCATGGATGGATAGAAATGAGTCCCTATTAAAGGAATGAGTTCTTACATCAGCTGATCAATTATACCTTCAAGGCCAATATGCTCTTCTTTTGTAGCTGGAGTCAGAGATAAAGAGCTTCAGTCCACAAGGCTGACACCTCCCTAGTACCCAGAACTAACCCAGAACTCCATTTCCTGTGGAGCCATCCTTTCTGCTCATCTTATTCTTTGACTTCAGTGACTCAAGTGAACCTTTATTGCCTAGGTTCATTCTGATTCACACGAGGAACTTTTAAATGTTGTAAACAGCACAGATAGAGATATGTACACTGCACTCACAGGGGTGTGGGTATACATAGCTGTGCTCAACCACGTGCATGCTCCCTTTACAAGGATTGATGTCAAAAAGAAAAACAAGCTCTTTGAGCAACCTCAAAAGCTAAACTGAGTCTTAAAATTTTAGATACCAAATTTACCTTCTAGTCCAACAATTTTGTTAAAATTTCATGTTTTGCACTGTTAATGATGGCATGCTTGTGTGGCATTTGCATTCATAAATGCAAATGTATTTACATGGCATTATACCCAGATGATTAATAAATTGTTTGGTTAACTACTTTGTTTTAGGCTAGTGAGTCTCTATTATTTTTAAATAGTTACTCCTTCTAATATGAAATATATTCAAACTTTTTTAAAACTGAAATTTTCTTCTGGACTTAAAAAAGAGACTAACATTGATTAGCACAAAATTTCAAATGGATCCACTAGTTTTGTAATAAATTAGCTCTGGCTGATATGGAGAAGGCGATGGGTTGAATTCTGTCCCCCTCCTGTCCATTCTTATGTTGGAGTCCTAACTGCCAGGACCTCAGAAATGTGACCTTATTTGGAAATAGGAGCATTGCAGGTACAATTAGTTAACATGAGGCCATACTGGAGCAGAGTGGGCCCCTCATCCAATGTGACTGGTTTCTTCTAAAAGGAGGAAATTTGGAGACAGAGACACACAGGGAGAACGCCATGTGGAGGTGAAGATAAAGAACACAACGGTGCTTCTACAAGCCAAGGAATGCCAAGGACCTCCAGCAA
Source organism: Homo sapiens (assembly GCF_000001405.40). Taxonomy (NCBI): domain Eukaryota; kingdom Metazoa; phylum Chordata; class Mammalia; order Primates; family Hominidae; genus Homo; species Homo sapiens. Next base: position 90,369,765 of record NC_000006.12, on the reverse strand, counting down.
ACCACCAAGAAGCTCAGGGGGAGGCACAGAACGAATTCTTTCTCACAGACCTCAGAAGGAACCAACGCTGCTGACGCCTGGATCTCAGACTTCCAGCCTCCAGAACTGCCAGGGAATACATTTCTGTTGTTTAAGCCATTCAGTTTGTAGTATTTTGTTATGGCAGCCCCCAGGAAACTAATACAATAACTAAATTTGGAAACTTTCTCTTGGCTTTTTTTTTTTAATTATCAAGAACAAGTGCCTCTAACAATTTGTATAAGTCTGACTTGTTCATCCTACTAACTACAAACATGCACACATATGACCACGTCCAAACACAGAGATAAGTATCTGGACTCAGTCTCACTGAGCGTAGTTGCTGGGAATGCCCTGGAGAGCATGCTGTAATAGTGGGCGTCAACAAGGATGGTGTTTTCTTACTCTCAGTCTTGAATTAGTAAAAGACGAAGAAAAAAAGCACACTTGCGTATTCGCTGGTGTAGGCCCAGTCATGATTCTTTTAAAGACGCTGCCAATAGATTTTAGTCATTCTCTGGCCAAGGTTTCTCTTCAACCGCAAACACTACATAGTTGCTGAATGAGTCACCACCTTGAGTCATCTAATTCCTTGACCAGTACATGCCTGCTGCTGACAGCACACAGTGTCTCTGGTTGTGTATTTTGTTTTGCTCCCGTCTCTGGATCTTCTTTAATACTTTCTCAAGGGCAGGGTTAAAGATTCACTGTGAATCCTTAGAGGATGAATCTCACTTACTTAGTGGCATGTGCACTGGCTGGTCATCAAGAACCAAGACATTAAGTTTTATTAAGCTTTCTCATACCTGGATCTCAACCTTATGTGGTCTTATTACTGAAAAAAAAAAAACAGTAAATGTAAGCTGAAAATATTTTTCCCCCTTCAAACTGTAAACCTATGCTCAAAAATTCAGGGGAAAACAAAAGGAAAGAAGAATGATGTTCCCAGGAAGGATGCCAGTGGAGCACAGCCCACTAAAACAAATAAACCTCAGAGCTTATTTTTGCATGACTTTTAAAAAGTGTGGCTTAAAGATATTTTCTCTATCAACATAACCACAAGATTCTTTGTTCTTGAATAGGAAAATATTTTATTCTTCAAGGTTGGTAGACTGAAGCATTTTGAATATTTGTAACTTTCTTTGTAATTTCTATCACTTACCTAATTTTTATTTTTCCATGAATGGGTACTTATATTATGGAAATAGAAATTAGAAAAATGGAAAAAAAAGTTCTTTTAATTCATTTCAACTATGCTGCCCTAGCTCCTAACTTTACCAAATACAGGGAGGAGAAAGATACATCTTAAGTTTCTACCTTAAATGGATAGGCTTCCATAAGCTGAAGAATGACTGTTCAAAGGTATTATTCATAACATATATTTGCATGGCAATACACAATTCTCACAAAACCCAATTCATCCTAAAAACGACCCCAAGAACCATATTGAGGAAACAGAAGTCCTCAGGTTATATGGAAGGTGGTGGGGCCAAGGACTCTTGGCTCAGTGCTCTTTGTTCTCCAGCCTGCTAAGGCAAATTGCCCTGGACAGGAGGCACAGCCATCTGCCACGGAGAATACTATAGTTAACTCTCCATCAGACTCCTCTCTGCCTAAGGACAGCAAAGCAAGCCACAAAACGTCTCTGTGCTTCTGTTTCCTCATCTGCAAAATCAGAATAATGTCACCAACCCTAAAAAGATAAGGTGAGAGTAAAATTAAACAAGGCCAGTGAAAGAAAGTTAATAAACCATAACGTGTTGTACACATTTTATACAAATCCCTTCTTAGAAGTTATGTCACAACAGAACACAAATAGCCAAAGCAATCTGAAGAAAAAAAAAAAAGTGAGAGGCATCACACTTCCTGATTTCAAATTATGTTAAAAAGCTATAGTAATCAAAACATGTGGACACATAAACCAATGGAACGGAAGCCTAACCATATATAGTGAGAACAATTTTCAACAAGGCCACCAAAAGGTTGCAATGGGGAAATGTTGGTCTTTTCCATAAATGGTGCTGGGAAAACTGGATCTTCACATGCCAAAGAATGCAACTGGATCCTTATCTTACACCATATGCAAAAAAATCAATTCAAAATTAAAGACCTAAACATAAGCCCTGATACCATAAAACTCCTAGAAGAAAGTGTAGGAGGAAAGCTCCTTGAGATTGGCCTTGGCAATGAGTTTTGGATATCATAACAAAAGCTCAGGCAACAAAAGCAACAATGAACAACTGAGACTACATCAGACTAAAAAGCTTCTGCACAGTGAACAATTGGCAAAATGAAAAGACAGCCTACAGATTTAGGAGAAAATATTTGCCAACCATACATCTGATAAGGCATTGATAATTAAAATATAGAGGGAACTCACATGACTCAATAGCAAAAAAAAAAAAAAAACCAAATTTAAAAATGGGCAAAGGAGCTGAATATATATGAATATATATGCATATATGTATGCATACATATATACGTATATATGAATATATACGTATATATGTATGCATACATATATGTATATATAGAGAGGTATAGATATATATATAGAGGTGTATATATATATATATACTTTATACATATACGATATATATATTATATATCTCTCTCACAATTTCTTCTTTAAGAAGAAGGTATATATATATACACCTCTCTCTATATATATGTACATATAGAGAACATATATGAATATATATAGAGAGAGAGGTATAGATACACATATATATAGAGAGAGGTGTATATATAGAGAGAGGTATGTATAGGTATAAGTGGAACTTATACATATATAAAAACACAATTTCTTCTTTATCCATTCATATATATATATGAGAGAGGGAGAGAGAGAGAGTGCCTATTGAAGGAATGAGTTCTTATATCGGCTGGTTGTGTGTGTGTATATATATATATGTTGTATATATATATGTGTATATATATGTGTGTGTATATATATAGTGTGTGTGTGTATATATCTATATCTATATATATATATATATATATATAGAGAGAGAGAGAGAGAGAGAGAGAGAGAGGGAGAGAGAATGGAATATTATTCAGCCCTGAAATGTAGGATATTCTACCATTTGTGACAACATGGATGAACCTGGAGGACATTATGCTAAGTGAAGTAAGCCAAACACAAAGAGAAAAATACTACATGATCTCACTTACATGTGGAATCTAAAAAAAAGTGAAATACGTATAAACAGAGTGAATAGGGGTCACTGGGTGCATAGAGGGGCGAAGGAGGAATTGGGGAAATGTGGACCAAAATGTAGGCCAAAGGGTGCAAAGTTGTTGTTACATAGGATGAATAAGTCTAGAGATCTAATATGCGGCATGAGAACTATAATTAGTAATATTGCATTGAATATGAAAAATGTGCTAAAAGTTTAGATTTTAGATGCTCTTACCATTAAAAAGGTAACAATGTCAGGTGAAAGATATGTAAATTAGCTTGACTGTAGATATGATTTTACTATGTATATGTATTTCAAAATATCATGTTATATTCCTTAAATGTATACAATGTAAAAGAAGCTCTATTACAGAATGAAGAACGGCACTCATTTGGTGTTTGACCTTAGGCAAATTTCTTAATATTTCTAAGGCTTCATTTCCTTATCAGTAAAATGAGGATAATACTAGAACCTTGCCGATAAGACTGTTGTTGAAGAGTAAAGGAGATAAGCCATGCCTAGCACTTAGCACTGATTAGCGGATGGACATCGCAAGTCCTCAGTAAATCTTGGCTATCATTAGGAAAGCCATCCACATTTGATCCCAGCCCTTTACCGGCTCAGACAAGTAAAAGCAGATGAACGAAGCCCAGAGGGACTCCATATTGCAATCCTATCTGTCCAGGCTCTTTGCTCCAGTGGCAGTTTCAACACTATACTCTCAAAAAACATTTTTGGAAAAGTTCCACTTATACCTTGTTTTGCAAAGTTAACATCCCAGGTCCACAGCAAACATTCAGCCACTGAACATGGGTCACTGTCCGTTTAGCTCTACTGCACTGGATTGCAGGGCTTGGTTGGAAAATATTTACACCCAACCTGACACCAATATCCAAGGAATAAAACTGACCTACTCTACACCTCCATATTCCTCCTAAAAGAGGAACAGAGTGACAATACTACTTCAAAAGATATTTGGCAGTCACAGAACCAAGTTTTATGAACATACGCAAGATTAAATCATCTTATGTACTAACTAGGAAAAGCCAACTCAAGTTGTCAGGGAATAAAGGAATGTAAAAACCAGCAAAATACCTGACATATCATTGGCACTTAAGACAAGCAGGGATGGAAGAGAAGAGTAACATGGAGTATTTCTGATTGGATTTGTGTCTGATCATAGCTTTGAAGAATGTTTTAAAAGGAAAAGGAGAATAAACACCAGCACAAGCTAATCTTAAAATCTCACCAGTCTCTGGCTATGTACACTACCTCTTAATTTAATCAGGTAACTACATTTTTCTGTAACTTAGATCATCTGAATATACATCTTTTCGTATTGCCGGAGGGTGAGATGAATTACACAAAGCAACACACACATGAATGGAAACTGTTTACCTGTCTTAAGGTATGGCTTCAGCATCCGGGCCAGTTCCTCAGGATTGCTTTCAGATAATGTTAAAACCCTGAGAGGCCTCAGTGACTTTTAGAGAGGAGAGGAATGTCAGCTTGGAATGGTAACCACAGATGGATGCATCCTGAAACGCTGGCGTTCTCTTGTTTCCTTACCGTTCCAGAAGCAAATCTGTTAATCTTTCTCAAACATTTTATTTTCCTTAATTATTTCCTCTGGGAGGTCCTAAAGGATCTATTATTCAGATCCTGGACTTCTTACCCTGTCTGCCTTGTTTTTTCAGAATTTAAAAAATTTGAGCATGTGACTTGCTGTTGAATGGGGACCTGATTCATTCAATGAACGTCCATTAAGTGCCTGCTGCTTCAAAGGCATCATACAGGGCAGTGTGGTGGATACTGTAAACCCCCATTCATCCGCAAACACTATTGAGGACCAACTATATATCCACCACTAAAGAGGTGCATTTGAATAAAGCCCAACCCTTGTGCTCCGATTTATAGACTATAGACGAGTGAGGGAGGTAGGCTATACTTGTGTTGTAGGAATTACAATGCAATGTGATAACTGCAGAACAACAGACTTGTGAGGTTCCCCCCTTTGCTGACCCCTCCCACTGAAATGTGAGAACAGATGTGGTGGCAATGCCAGAGCACCCCCAGAGAAGCCGGTCACAGGCCTCCAGCAGCAGTTCATCATCACTCAGCCACGATGGAAATATAAGCCAAGCACTAGAGCCCCTCATCCTCCCACACTCCCACAGAGCTCTTTGGGGTGTTTTTCTTTCTTTCTTATAAAAACTATAGAATTTTCATTTGTCTCTGGGAAGGAAAGCCTTTCTCTGGGGCCCCTCGTTCTTCCCCTCATTCTCTTTCTAGTCTCGTTTTTCTTTTTTCTCATGTCTGTTGGTGTCTCTGATGTCCTTCTCCTCCACGGTTCTGACACCACCATCCTCTCATCATGCTGCCCCCCACCCCTAAATGACACCATGTAAACTGCCAAGTCCTGACTACACAAAAGTATTTCTTTTGCAGTGTGCTGTATATTAAACATTTAAAAGGTTTGACACTACAATATTTACATTTAGCATTTTTAATTGAAAGCAAAAATCTACAGATAAAATCCATCTTCTATTAAGACTATTAAATAATGATCTAAAAAAAAAAACCCAGAAAGAGTTTTTCCTTCATGAATCTGATTCAAATGAAAGCCCTGGAGAAAAGAAAATTGTCTAATTGTGAGCACTTCCTCCCTGTCTCAGGATGTGTACATTTCTGGAAAAATCGAGAAATGAAGAGTTATGTATGAGATGAGCTAAGCCAAGGGTGGGCATCCTTTTTTGTGGCATCTCCGTTGGATGCTGTGGCTTTGGGGTGCTTTGTCTCTCACTGGGTGAGACAAGAATGCCATTGTTGCTTTCACCACAGTTCTGGGAATGAAGAATAGCAATGTTCTTTATTTTTACATCTTGGTATAATCTCTTTATTGAAGGCCTACATTTCAGAAGTTCTCAATTTGAAATGTGGATCTTGGAAAACCCTACCTAGTAATCAGGAAGAAATCCAGGGGCTACATAGGAGATGGAGCCATGCTCCCAGCTGCACTGCTGTGTGGATGCTCTGACCCGGGGCATGAGGCTTGGGGACCGGGGCATGAGGCCCGGGGACCGGGGGTCCAACGCCATGGCTCCAGTGCTGGGAGGTAAGAGCAGAGGCTCTGGAATGTGACTGACTGCAGGTCAATCTTGGCTTTATCACTTTCTAATGTGACTTTGAGATACCGCCTTAACTTCTCTTTGCCTCAGTTTCCTCCCTGTGAAACAGGGGAGATAATAGAGCCTGCCTCATGGCATCCTCGTGAGAGGTGAATGCATTCGTATTTATAGAGTTCTTAGAGCTGTGTTCGCATGTGGTAAGCACTTGTGTACACACTATTATGATTCCCAAGACTCCAGGGGAAATCCAGTTAATGGCAGAATGGTCTTCTTTTTCTGGACATAAACCATGAATTCCTGGCATTTAATACACTTAAATCTCAAGTCCCAGAATTCCAGATCCTGAAGACAGGTTTTTAATAAGGCGCCATTTCATCATAATACCGTAACAAACAGCAAAACAGACGTAACAACGCAATATATAGGATGCTGCGGAGCCGTTTCAAGGCAAAAACAGTAATCGACCAACAGTATTAAGGTTGTGACATTGCCCTTGTGAGACATGCCTTTTAGGATTTGGGTGTGTTTGTGCTTCAGAAAATGGCACCTTTGAGACAGACAGACTTTTTCCTCAGATTCCCGGGTTCAGAGAAACCCACAGTTCACCAAGGCAGTTTGCTCAACTCTAATTAGGAATCTGATTGCTGGTTGGCCTTGCACAAAGGACTTTTAATTAGGGCTGAGAACGCTTAGAAAAATCCACTTGGCAAGTCGACTCCCTCCCTCTATCTCTTTTTTAACATCTTGCCAAGATCATAAGGAAAGGGAGAGCTTAATTACAGTTGGTGTATATATCTTTAAGAAAAAAAATACATTAAGTGCTTTAAAATAGGCTCTCTTGGCTCTGTGATCACAAGGATTTTACTCACTTCTTATCCCTGATTGGTCTCATTCTCAGTTACAGATGAATCAGACACATTTTGAGCAGCTTTAAGATTTGCTTTTCATCCGAAGCCAAGTAGGCAAATGGCAGTGAATTCACAAGCTTTTCCAAATGATCTCATAGGTTCCTCTGGCTCCACTTTGGGGGCCGTTTGCACTCTGCAATGCTGTTATCTTAAACACTCCCTGCCTGTTTGTGTCCAAGGAGAGGCCACGGTGTAGGACAAGGCAAGGCACTTCACTTTTTAAAAGACAAGTTTGAGCCTCTTTCTTTTTTTTTATTATTATTATTTTTGAGATGTAGTCTCGCTCTGTCGCCCAGGCTGGAGTGCAGTGGCACGATCTCAGCTCACTGCAACGTCCGCCTCCTGAGTTCAAGCAATTCTCTGCTTCAGCCTCCCGAGTAGCTGGGATTGCAGGTGCCCACCACCACACCCAGCTAATTTTTTGGGGTTTTTAGTAGAGATGGGGTTTCACCATCTTGGCCAGGCTGGTCTTGAACTCCCGACGTCGTGATCCACCCGCCTCGGCCTCCCAAAGTGCTGGGATTACAGGCGTGAGCCACTGTGCCTGGCCAAGTTTGAGCCTCTTAACATGTGCATATGGTAGCTGTGAATCAAAAAAGAATAATAAAAAGAGCACATGAAAAACCTTGAGCCAGAAAGGTGAGCCTGGAGGAGGTGGGGGTGGAAATACAGCCTTGGAGATGGATGCTGTCCTTAAATCCTTCACGAGAGCATCGTCATCTCTCAATGCCTTGTCCACCCTCTCATTAAGTCTCCCAGCCTGAAAACAGGTGACCCACGCTCCTTTTCAATCCATTTAAACCTGGCCCCAGCAGCCAGTGGCTTTTTAATTATTTATATGAAATACCTGATACTACGTGAAGCAGCGAAACCCAGTATAATGTATGCTCAGGACGACTCTGTGAAGCTCAAAACAGCCACTCTGATACACAAGATTTTTCCGACTGAAGTTTGCTTCTTACCATTCCTTTCGTCTCTGACTTTTTTTCATGTCTTTGTGCCTTGGTGCTAAGGATCCCTTTCATCTAATCTCAGGAACCTGAAGCTCTGCTATTGAATTACATTTCTTCACTTACTATTTATGTTTGATGCAAAAATAAGAAAGCGGGTAGAACCAGAAGATGCTGTCACTTACTTCAGAAAGGGATATGTCGATCATTCTTGAGCTTCATCCAGCTCTTTCACACTTTCTAAATGTGATGCTTCTGTGCACTCTTGAGTTTGGCTTTGTGGGATTATCTTAAAATTCAGGCACACCCTCCCTGTTGAGTTTGAGACACTCGTGGTCAATAGGAATTTTAGTCTTCTGCCTTTTGACTGACTACTGGGTGAGGGGTGTAGGAGGCAGGCTGCTTTGAAATGTTCCCCACCACCTGGGAATATCTGACGGCTGTAGAAGGCTTTCCTATGCAAACGTCTTTCTAAGGTCACTCTGATTCTGCAGTAGCAGCTGCCACAAATACATTTAATTATCTTTACAGTGAATGTCATTGGGCTAAAACCCCTTAATGTCAAAGAAAATATTGGAAAGAGAACAGCTTTCCCATTCAAGACAGGTGAATTTCCAAGATATTTGGCTGATTTATTACACCATACGTATGTCTCTCCTTTACATTGTTTTTACCCTGTCGTAAGAGAGACCAGACATTTATTTGTCATTGTTAGGTCCTTATGCTATTAAAAATAATCAGGTTTATTAGTTACCTTCTTTCCCAGCTGCCAAGAATGCTCTCCAGAATTTCGTGTTAGCTCTTCTGATGAGCTGGAGAAGGAAATATCATTACCCTTGTTTTACAGATGGAGAAATCTGAAGGCCCTGGAGACTGTTTTGCCTAAAGGTGAAAGTGTTTTAATCCTAGACTTTATTTTTATCTCTTCAATTTTCTTCCTGGGGGTAGTAATGAGCTTGGAGGATTCATAAGGACTAAACCTTGTCTGAAGACTTGTTTATAAAATTATTTCAATAAAATCCACAATCAGATTGGCTGGGGCAGGTCTTCAAACCAAGTGGCTTCCCTAATGAGCACACTCATCAAGGTGGCAAAAATCTCATTCCCAGCCAGCTTCTCCCACACTCTGTCAAGGCAGAGGATGGGGGCTGGTGGAAATTTATTAGTAATAAAGACCAAAGCCCTAGGAGCTTTTACACTTGAAGAAAGGAGGTTTCTTTTTCATTTGTTTAATTATTTAAAAAGTTAGGTTGGAAAATGTTTGGGGAGCAGCTAATAATGTGACTTCAGAGAGGGATGGCTTGGGCACATCCTACTCATTAGCTCCAGAGGCCACTTAAAGTTGGACTTTCCTCAGTTTAGTTGCTGTCTCCTCATTTCCCTTCCTTTTAGTTGTGCTATTTTTCCCTCTGACTTCTCCCTGCCTCCCCGACTCAACTCACACACTTATTTACAGGAAAGACTGAATTTTAAATCAAAAGGAATCTAGAAGGAGAAGTTTTATGCTTCAGAGCCCAGGGTTTTTGTATACGCATGTATATCCTGGTACTATATGTAACATAAATACATTGGTAATTTACAACAGGTCAACAGCATTGAATACATAAGGCCAAAATGTGGCCCATTGTGTGACTATGTTGTTAGGAGGCTCCATCACTCAAAGGTGGGAAGGTGCATCTCAGTTCTAAAGATCCAGCATTGCGTGCGCGCGCGCACACACACACACACACACACACACACACACCACCCTCCCCCAGGTTGGCTTAGTTGTCCCTGTGTCTCTGCTGAAATGGGAAGAAGGCTGAAGAGAGTAGGCATCATCATTGACTGCCTTGTGTAATGGAAGCTCAGCAAGTCAGGACTGTTATATAGACTTTCTACTTACTACTTGAAAACTGCATTTGGCACAGATGGACAGTTGTAATTCATTTCCATCCTATTTTTGTTATTTTCAATAACATTTACTGTTTTCTGATAAAATTTCTGATTTGCAAATGATAAAGCAATATATGCTCATTGCCAAGAACAAAAGAAAACAGAACAAAAAGTATTGAGAAGAAAATTACATTATCCATAATTACCCCACTCAGAAAATAAATGTTAACATTTGGTTTAGACCCTTCCCATCATAAAAGACACTTTTTTCCATTTAGGATTAGTATGTATATACAGTTCAGATCCTACTTTTCCATTTCACATTACTTCTTGAGCATTCTCCCATGTCATTGTCTTTGAAAATATGATTTTTACCAACTTAAATTCCATAGTATGATATGATATGATTTATGTACCCATCTCTCTAATGTTGGGTATTTAGGTTGTTCTACTTTTTAGTTATCATAAAGAATTCTGTAATGCACATCCCTTTACAGCAATATTTGCCCACAACTCTATTTTTGGAGGAATAGATTTTTCAAATAGAATGAATGAGTCAAAGCCTGCTAACATTGTAATAACTCTTAGTATCTGTTTTCAAAAAGCATTCTACCAATGTATATCCCAATAACTATATTTGACAGTATCCATCAAACTGAATCTTTATACCACAGTAAATTTTTTTAAATCTTGCTAATTGGATATATATTTACATCAGTAAATGATATCTTACGGACGTTAATTTGTATGTCTGTGATAACTAGCTATTTTTAACAGTTTCATTGAGGTAAAATTTACATACCATAAAAATCACCCAGCTTAAGTATACGATTCTAAGATTTTTTGGAAATTTATAGAGTTGTATAACCATCACTAATTTTAGAATGATTTGCAGAAATTCTAATTTTAGAAAGGTTCCTAGTATCCCCCTCCACCTCTACTCCAAATCCTGTCCCTGTGTAGCCACTGATCTGCTTTCTGACTCTGTAAGTTTGTCTTTTCTGGACATTTCATAGAAATGGAATAGAATGTAGTATTTTGTTTCTGGCTTTTTCACATAGCATAATATTTTTGAGGTTTATTCATGTTTTATCATGCTGTAAAAGCTTGTATCCATATTTAAGTCATTTTTTAGGGTTGAATAGTATTCCTTAGTATGGCCGTATTGCGTTTTTATTTTATTTTATTTTATTTTGAGATGGAGTTTCCCTCTTGTCGCCCAGGCTGGAGTGCAATGACGCGATCTCTGCTCACTGCAACCTCCACCTCCTGGGTTCAAGCAATTCTCCAGCCTCAGCCTCACGAGTAGTTGGGATTACAGGCATGTGCCACCATGCCCGGCTAATTTTTGTATTTTCAGTAGAGGCAGGGTTTCACCATGTTGGTCAGGCTGGTCTCGAACTCCTGACCTCAGGTGATCCACCCACCTTGGCCTCCCAAAGTGCTGGGATTATAGGCGTGAGCCACTGCGCCTGGCCTGCATTGCATTTTTATCTTATCAACAGGTGATGGACATTTGGATTGTTTCCAGTTTGGGTCCATTATTCATCCTGCTACTATGACTTCGTGTTTTCACATGTTTGCATTTCTCTTGGTAGAGTCCCAGGGGTGGAATTGCTGATTCATCTAGTTTTTAAAATGTCCATCAACTAACTTGTGAATAGATAAACAAAATTTGTTAAATTTTAAATTTCACTTATTTTCTTGAATGGTTTCTATAACATATTAAATCATACATTTTCTGAAATTTTGAAGAATTTTTTAGCAAGCCAGCTGGACCCAGAAAGCTTTTGAAAGGAGATATTTTGATGATTTCATAATTTCCTTCTCAAGGTTATTGGCATGTGTGTGTGTGAGAGTGTGTGTGTAAAACTTACTTTGTTTATATATTACTTAATCAACTTTAGCAATTTTCCCCAGAAAAACATCTATTTCATCAATATCTTCAAGTTATTAGCATAGAATGTAATCTTATTAAATTTAAATATCCTCTGTGGTATGTTCATATTCTTTTTCTCACTTCGAATATTGTTGGTTCATATTTTCTCTTTTCCTGGATTCAACAGATAAAAAGCACTTCTATATTGTTAGCCTTACAAAAATTAAAAACACTTGGATTTATCAATTATACTTTATTTTCTGATTATAAATTGCCATATTATCTTTCTTTTCCTTTTATTTCTGCTTAGTTGGATTTTATTCTTCTATTTCTCATTTTTTAGCCATATGCTTTAGTCATATGTTTACTCTCTGGCTTAATAATGATAGCATGTGGGGGCCTCAACGTACCTCTTTTGTACTGATCTAGTCACATTCTATGAATGCTTATATATAACTTTCTGATTTTTATTACTTTCTAAATAGCTGGTGATTATAGTTTTCATTTTCTTTTTAATGCAGTCATAATACATATTTTTTTAGTTTCTAAGTGGTGGAAGGGTGAGTTTTTAAAATTTTATTTACTTTGGTAATTTTTGTCTAGTTTTGTTGCATTTTGGACAAAAGTTCTCTTTGTGGCCTTTATAGTATTTGTTTTGCTCTGGTTTTCAAATAATACATCAGAAAGGCATATTCTTTGTTGCTAGGGAACAAAATTCAATATTTGTCTATTAATCAACTTTGATAATTATGGTGTATCAAACTTAGGTGTCTTTTTTTTTCCTCTGCTAATTGTCAAAGTCTGGTGCTTACGTCTCTTATAACAATTGTTTTTCTGCTGAATTCCCCTTTCATTCCTGTCAAATTTTTGTTTTTTATATTTAATATTGTGCTTTTATTGTGTGACTTTGATCATTATAATATCTTCATCCTGCATTGTACCTTTTATCAACATAAAATGCCCACAAATGGCTCTTTTATTCCAAGTGTTGCTTTATGATGAATTCTACTTTGTCTTATTATTACTGCCATTCTTCTTTTATTTTAATTTGCATTGGCTTGAAAAATAATTGGTTATCATTTTATTCTTTTAACTACTTAGAATTAACTCCAATATTTATTAGTGTTTTTCCTGATTTCGAAGTGAACTCATGTTCATTGCAGAAATCCTAGCAACTATAGAAAAGCACACACATACAAAATCATCCTTTACCCAATATGCAGACTTTTCTCCTTTTTTCTCCCCTCTTCTTTTAAAATTTTCTTTGGTATGTTCAAAGCTGGAAGAGTCTTACACAGGGGTCTGCAGGTCACAGACCAATTAAACTAGAAACTGTATCATTCTACAGACCATAGCGTAGAAGAACAAAGTTATCAAGAAACCAGCTCTTGTTTCTGTTTCATTTCTTGAAATCCAAAACAGCAAAACACATTCCTCCCTTGTCTCCTGTGGGAGCATAGAAACAAAGCGATTAGATTGCCAGGGATTCAAAGCAAGAATGACTTAAATCTGCAGCGGTCCAGAGACCTGAAGCCCAGGCGGCTCCCTTGTGTCAGGAGTTTAGAGAAGGTGAGTCTAGCGGCTGCCACTAAGAAACAAAACCCCAGCTTCAGCAAGGGCCTGGGGTGTGTGTCGCTGTGGTGGGAGTGTGAGCGTGTGCGTGAGTATATATTGCTGGTGGTGGTGTGTGTGCATGCGGAGGGGTGAGCCAAGAGGTCATAGCAGTAGAGAGAGTTCGGCAGCAAGCCCAGAGGTCCCGCCGAGGATAAGCAGATAGTCAACACACCTGAGTCCATTTCCTTGCCGACCTCTCCGGAGGGCGGAGAAACCCGGGGTCTGAGAACTGCCCCAAGTCATGTTCTGGCTTAAAAAAGTAAGGCCCGGAGCTTGAGCAAAAATGTTTCCTATGTCAAAGAATCTGCAAATAGGCTCCCCTAGGAAAGGTGAAAAGGATTGACTGCCTTTAACATAAACGAAGAAAAGACTAAGTGACTACTTAATTACTACCATCAAATCCATGAAGGTGTTCTTAAACAGAGTACTCAATGGTTTTCCACTTTCTCTGGAAGACAAAAAGGGTTAAATGTGATCACTTAACATAATGGAAATGTCAAGGAGTTTCTTAACCCTCAGATTTACACAACATGAAACGTCCAGGTGCGGTGGCTCACGTCTGTAATCCCAGCACTTTGGGAGGCTGAGGTGGGAGGACTGCTTGAGCCCAGGAGTTCAAGATCAGCTGGGGCAACATAGAGAGACCTCATCTCTACTAAAAGTCAGAAGTCAAAAAAATTAGCCCAGTGTGGTGTTGTGCACCTATGGTCCTAGTTACTCGGAAGGCTGAGGCTGGAAGATCACTTGATCCCAGGAGATCAAGGTTGCAGTGAGCTGAGGTCACAGCACTACACTCCAGCCTGGGTGACAAAGCAAGACTTTGTCTAAAAAAAAAAAAAAAAAAAAACCATGAAATGGTCTACAGGGAAAGACAGTAGCATTGCCCTTGTCATCCCCCCAGTGATTATTGAAGAGAGAGAAATAGCCATCCAGAACCAGAATGCAGGGTCTATAAACTCCTGGGAAACAGCACAGGCCTCTGGGTCAGGCAGATCTAGGCAGTAGCTTTGCACAATCTCAGAAAGATTACTTAACCCCTTTACCCTTAGTTTCTTCATCTGTAAAATGGGCATAATATCACAAGTATTTGTTGGATTAAAGCAAATGACATTGTAGGTGCTCAGCAAATTTTACCTTCCTCCCCCTTTCAACTATCATTTGATAAATAATTAATCTTGCACACTGACTACTAAAGAGGATACTAATTAAATTTCATTCTCTAAAGATTTACTGAGCATCTACTTTATGTAAGGCACTAGTGTGAACATTTGGTATTTCTTGGCTCCCCAGTATCCATTCACCCTCCTTTTGATAAGCCTCCAATTTGTGTGTGGATGTCCATCCCACCCTCCCTCTCTCTTGGTCAGTGTGGTTTTGGTGGAGTTTACTGGGGAGCCAGCCCTTTCTTCTCCTAGACCTGAACCTGGGAGGCAGGGGCTAGTGGAGCCATCTCACCTCCTCAAGAGCCTGAGAATGAAAATACACAGAGGAAAGCAGATCTGAGTTTATAGAAACAGGGAGAAGCCAGCCTAACACCTGGACTTTTCAGTTATGTGACTCAATGAATTCTACCTTTTGTTTAAGTGAGTTTGAGTTGCGTTTTCAGTTGCCAAAAGAGTCCAAACTGATTTAGCCTATGGAGGACATGTAAAAACAAATAAGGCTAAAATCTTATACATTATAAAGAAGACGTTTACAAGAATAATAATACAGGGCAAAACATTTATTATGTGCTATTTATCTAGTGCTTACTCAATACTAGTCACTATGCTAACTTTTTGCACACATTGTTTAATCTTCACAACAACTATTTTTATGGAAACAACAGCATTTGACTTTGAACTTGAGAGATGGGCAGAAACTGGACAGGTGCAAGAAGAGGGTAAACAGGATAAATGGAAGAAGGAGCAAATGATGACAGGAAAACTCGGGGACAGTTGGGGAAATAGTTGGTGTTCCTATTCATTGGGGCACAAAGGGCATGAGAGATGGTAGGGGGAATAATACTGGAAAGGAAGATCGAGATGAATGCATGAGGAGTCTGGAATGCCAGGGCAAGGAATTTGTGCTATTGACAATGAGATGTTCTAAGCAAAGCAGTAAGAGACCCCAAATCTACCCTCAAATAGCTTAGATTTATCTGGTGAAAATATTCTTACAATGTAAAGAAGTCGTGATCTTTTCCAAGGTGAATATAGAAGTGGGGAAATTATTAATACATAAGCATTCACAATTTAGCCCCTGTCCCTAGCTTTTAGAGTGACTTTCCTTTGTGTCAGCAGCCAGATGTCCTCAATTGTGCACAGTTTATATAGTGGGGAAACAATGCAAAAACTTTGAAAACCTAAGAGGGTAAGTTGATCATATAAAGAAGGATTTACCTGGTGGACAAGGCAGAGAGACAGAAAGTCTGAGTGTTGAGGCTGAAGAGGTTGGAATTTAACAAGAAAAGAGAGAAAGATTGATTCTTAGGGAGCTGGTGCCATCCATATGGAAGAAGCTGAGAGTGATAAGGAAAGAGCGTTTTTAGAATGTGATGTCATTTGCTTTGTTAAGAGAAAAAAGCAAAGACTTGAGGCACATCGTTGTAATTACTTTTTCACTTCCAGATTGCAGGTGCTGGGATTTATTATCAGTAGGGGGAAGAGCTTGAGTTGATACTTAGAGAAGGGCATGGTGGTGGGGAAGAGGAGAAGCATTTTGTGTTCAGCTTGCAGGGAGATACAGCTTGGGTCCACACAGGGACTGTGCTAGGAAACTGCCTACCTTGAGAAGAGGCGTCAAAAAAGAAAAGTGAGAACAAAGGTGGAGGTATGTCAAAACCATGTGACAGGCCTCTCCAAAAGTTAAAATTACTGTATGATCCAGCAATTCCCCTTCAAAAAGATTTGAAAGGATAGATTCAAACAGATACTTGCACACCAACGTTCATAGCACCACTATTCACAACAGCCAAAAGGTGGAAACAACCCAGATGTTCATTGACAGATTAATGGATAATCAAAATGTGGTATATACAATGGAATATTATTAATATAATATTATATTATTCAGCTTTAAACAAGTAATGAAATTCTGGGGCCAGGTGCGATGGCTCACACCTGTAATCCTAGCACCTTGGGAGGCCAAGGTGGGTGGATCACTTGAACCCAGAAGTTCAAGATCTGCCTGGGCATCATGGTGAAACCTCATCTGTAAAAAAAAAAAAAAATACAAAAATTAGCTGGACGTGGTTGTCCCTGTGGTCCCAGCTACTCGGAAGGCTGAGGTGGGAGGATCACCTGAGCCCAGGAGGCAGAGGTTGCAGTGAGTCATGATCATGCCACTGTACTCCAGCCTGGGCAACAGAGCAAGAAAAAAAAAAAAAAGAAAAGAAAAAAAGAAATTCTGATATGTGCTACATGAATGAACCTTAAAAACAGTACGTAAGTTAAAATAAGCCAGACACAAAATGACAAATATTGTATGATTTCATTTATATGAGGTACCTAGATAGGCAAATCCATAGACACAGAAAGAATAGAGGTTACCAGGGGATAGAGGAGGAGGAATGGGGAGTTATTGTTTAATGAGTGCAGAGTTTCTGTTTGGCATGATGAAAAAGTTCTGGAAATGAATAGTGGTGATGGTTCCACAATATTGTGAATGTACTTAATGCCACTGAATTATAGACTTAGAAATTGTTAAAATGTTAACTTTTCTGTTATGTATGTTTTACTACAATTTTAAAAACCACATGTGATGTAGGGTTATTGATGCCATACCAGGGAGTGGGAGTTTGCCTACTATCCCCAGAGACAAATCTTGATCAGAAGGGAGGGCTATAAAAATGTTGCTCTAAGAAGACTGATCAATAGCCATGAGGCAGAGAAGCTTGAATCAATGCCAGGCACCAGACTAGGGTGTGAACTTTTAAAACAGATAGAATGTGTTAACTCTAAGAGCCAGACAAAGAAAGAATCAGGGGGATTTGTGATTATTGGATGGGGAGAGAGGTACTGGGGATGCCAGCCAGTTTTCATTATTTCAGCTTTTTTCTCCCTTACCAAATATTTGCTACAGTGTTTGATTTGTATTTTTCAACAAGCCAGATATCTCCTTCTTAATAGTACCTAACGTTACCTTTCTCAATTGCTACCATAGTTAGAACTAATCAGCCACAAAGTCTTTAAATTGTCAACCTCAGCCAACAGACAGTATTTCAACCATATGGGAAAAAGTGGGCAGTCATGACTCAGGCTAAGTGATTCTGCTTTTCTGAATGGAAAAAACGTTCCACGTTTTGATCTTGGCCAAGAATGTTACTGAATGCAACTCTGAGGTCTGTAAATAAACTTTTTTTGTGTGGTAATGCAATGTTTCCTATTGCATCAGTATATGCCATGTCAAAGAGGCAAATGTCAAACTCTCGGCTGATCAATATAAAGCTATTTTCCAACTTGTTTTTCAGGATCTTTTAAATTTCACTTTGTATGATTTCACAACCTTACTATTCAAATAATATTTTAAAATTTCAACATGTTAAATCTTTGTACAAAATCCAAAATGAAGTATATTCTTATATAAAAACTTAAATTCCTGCACAGTCAAAAATGGTTTATTGTTGCTTTCTATAAGCCTTAGATACATCTTAGCTGTGTTTTATTATCAGAGGGCCCCTGGTACCTCTTAACCACGAATGAAGTTAAAACAGTTAAACTGTTTACCCCACTAACGCCCCCATCACCACACAGTAGCAGAGAAGTGTCTTCCAACTTCATGAACTGAGGAAAGAGGGAGGTATGTTTTGATAACAAGGAGAGAAGTCCAACACCAGACTAGGTCAGTGCTAAAGAGATCGGCCTGATTAGGTGCTGCAGTGACAGGCTCTGAGCAAACCAGCAGAAACAGAAAGACAGTCAGAAGAGATGACAAGGAAGGTTGGATCTGATATGAGGAATGAGGTCTACTAAACATTACCTTTGCCTCCAGCAGCCCACATGTTACATGTGTAAGGGAAATCCTAGTGGGTGCCAATCAGACTCGATCAGCCTGACAGCTGGAGATGGTGATATTCCTCCTCAAAGCATCTATTTGCATCCACTGATGTATGCAGAACTTTGGGGGCCTTACAGGAAAAATACGTGAACCTTGTTGTATTAGTCTGTTCTCACACTGCTATAAAGAACTACCTGAGCTGGGTAATTTATGAAGGAAAGAGGTTTAATTGACTCACAGTTCCTCAGGCTGTACAGAAAGCATAAAGCATGGTTGGGAGGCCTCAAAAAACTTACAATTACGGCAGAAGGGTGAAGAGGAAGCAAGTATGTCGTCATCTGGTGGCAGAGGAGAGGGAGGGAGGGAGGAAGAGAGAGAGAGTGAGAGAGAGAGCACAAAGAGGGAAGTGCCACACGTGTTTAAACCAACAGATCTCATGAGAACTCACTCACTATCACAAGAACAACAAGGGGGAAATCTGCCCCCATGATCCAATCACCTCCCAGCAGGTCCCTCTTCCAACACTGGGAATCACAATTCAACATGACATTTGGTTGGAGACACAGAGCCAAACCATATCACTTGTCCATTTCAAGCAAATACAGATACATTTATTCCCCAAATATTTATTGAGTTCTTACTGCTGTGCCAGACACTATAGAAGGTGCTAGGAAGACTGAGAAGACAAGGACCCTGCCCTCAAGGAACTTACAATCTTAGTGGAAGAGACAGCAATAAATAGAATAACAAATACATAAGATAATTAATATTGTGATAACTACAATGAAGGGAAAAAACAAGGGTGAGGCCACTTCAGACTGGGTGTTCAAGGATTGCCTTAGAAGAGGGTAATATCTGAGCTTAATCTTCAAGGATGAGAAAGGGCCAGCCAGTCTCCCCTAGAAGGTCAAGCATTCCAGAGGTGGGAGAACAGAAGGCAGAGTAGCTGAAGCTGGTGAGGTGGGTTTGTGGAGCTGGCAGAAGCTAAGTCTTGCAGGGCCTCACAGACCATGTTAAGGAGGGGATCAGAAGCCGCTGAAAAGTTTTAATCAGGGAAAGACATGATATGATTTACACTTCTGAAAGATCATTCTGGCTGCTGTAAGGAGAATGCAGGTAAAAGTGGAAGTAGATTAGTTAGGAAGCCAAAGTGATAGTCCAAATAAGTGATGATGATGGCTCAGACCAAGAAAGTGGTTCTCAAAGTGGGGCCCCTGGACCAGCAGCAGCAGCATCCAGCAACTTATTATAAACGCAAATTCTCAGGCCCTACCCCAGACCCACTGAATCAGAAACTCTGAGAGAGACCAGGCACAATGGCTGGCACCTGTAATCCCAAAACTTTAGGAAGCCAAGGCAGGAGGATCACTTGAGCCCAAGAGTTCAAGACCAGCCTGGGCAACATACTGAGACCCCATCTAGACAAAAATAAGTGTGATGGTTCACACCTGTAGTCCCAGCTACTCAGGAGGCTGAGACAGGAGGATTGCTTTACTCTGGGAGGTCAAGGTGGCAGTGATCCGTGATCTTGCAAATGCACTCTAGCCTTATTTTTAGAGACAGAGCCAGACCTTGTCTCTAAAAATAAGTTTTAAGAAAGAAACTCTGAGGATGAGAGCCAGAGATAGGTATATTAACAACTCCTCCAGTTGATTATCATGTACCCTAAAGCTTGAGAACTTCTGGACTAGGGGTATGGAAATAGAGAAGGGCAGAAGTGAACTGTGGTGGAAGTAAATGTTGATGGTTGAACTTGGTAATGTGTTGAATATGAAGGATGAGCTCACTATCAAAGCCAGAACTAAGGACTCCAGCTTAACCAGCAATGAGAGCAAGAGGCTAACTCAGAATAACAGTGCAGGCATATGAGTCCCTGTCTTGGACTCTTTGAAAGATGAGGAAGAAGCATGATGGAAGTTTGCCTTCACTGTCCAGCATCTGGCCGCTCTTCCTTATTCAGAATATCACCAAGAGTGTAGGTCCTAGTGGGAGACACAGCCCCATCTGTCCCTCTGTAAAAGTTAAAAGGGGCTGAGTTAAACAATAAAAGAGTTAAAATGTCCCCCATTTATTTATTTATTTTCTTTTAGAGACAGTGTCTTGCTCTGCTGCCCAGTCTTGAATGCAGTGGTGCTATCAAAGCTCACTGCACCCTCAAACTCCTGGGCTCAAGCAATCCTCTCCCACCTCAGCCTTATAAGTAGCTAGGTGTACAGGTGCACACTGCCTCACTTGGCTAATTTTTAAAATGGTGATGAGGTCTCACTACATTGCCCAAGCTGGTCTTGAACTCCTGGGCTCAACGGATCCTCCTTCTGTAGCCTCCCAAAGTGCTGGGATTACAGGCATGAGCCAGGACACCCAACCTTGATTTCCCTCCTGTAATTCACTACAATCCAGGGCTTACGAAGATGACCTAGACTCAGTCAATCAGATGCCCACGTAAGACTTTGGCTCTGGAAGGAGTTTATTCATGGCTATGACAGTGGAGTCAAGGGTTCATTGGGAAGGATGGATGACATGAACTTGGCTGTTATTTTCCCAGCCAGTTTTCCCACACTTCCCATCCATGTATGAGCAATTAGATATGCTTCTGATAGACTCCTTTTCTGCCAATTTACTAGATTTTTCATCCAAGCTCTCTGGTCAAAAGAAGAACTCTATGGAGACTATGTGTACATGGGAGCTCAGAGTTCTTAATATCTGGGTGCTAATTTTTATGTGGTGGTATTTTCACTCACAGGCTGCAGCAGCCAGAGACATTTGGGTTGCAGGTAGCTAAAGACCACAGCTTCTGGCAGTTGCTTCCCTGGACACAGTCAACCGGCAACCGAGACTTTAAATAACAGAGATTTCCTTTTCTTTCCAAAGCCTTTTGACCTTATCTCCTCATATTCGAGCCTATTGCCCATGATACTGGTCACATTGTAATGGTCTCCCCATAATCTCTGGCCTCCTCCACTGCAGAGGGTGATCCTAGAGCATGGCCCTGACCATGCCATGCCCTTAGCAAGCACCATTCACACAATGTTCAGAATAAAATCCAAACTATTTAGTTTGGTATTCAAAGTCCTACACAATTTCATTTCTACCTATTTTCCCTAACATACCTTTCTGTACTTTCCAACACACAGCTTATGCTTAAAATAGTTTGGTCTATTCACTGTGCCCTGGGCATGTGTCATGTATTCCTATTCTCCTCTCCTCCCCTCTTTCTCTCCAAATCCTTCCCACCCCTCAAGACCCATGTCCATCCCCACCTCTCTTGGGCAATACTTCTTGCGCTTAGCCACTATGATCTCTCCTCCTCTAAATGTTTAAAACCCATAATGCCCATGCCAGTCATCTGATGCTCAGTAGGCACTGCCTGATAGGTTTTCCTTTTCTTGGGCGTGTGCCTTATTGCATCAACCAGATGATAAACCCATTTAGAGCAGATGCCACACTCTACACAATGACTCCCTGCTATGATTACCCAACTTCTATATACTAGACTAGCTCATGGAACATGATTCAGAACAGGATGGAAACATGGGTCAGCAAGGATATAATAAACAGGTCTCCTTGCCTGCCCTACTCATGGCCCCTTCTGGAGAATCTAGTCTGCCAGGTTACCTAGAAAGAGCATCACTCCCTACCCCATAACCACCCTCCCCATCTCCTCCAACCATGGCTGAGTGTACCAGGGTTAGACATCTAACCCCAAAGCAGCTGCTCCAATGTGAAGCAACACGTGATCTGGACTGATCAGTCTTCTCCTTATAACAATTTGCCCAGGAGACACAGAGACTGTCATCAATTGCCAATGACTACTGGAGCTTGGAAATCATGAGACTAAGGTGGACTGGGAGCTGCGTGGGAGGAAGTGAGCAAGATGAGTATGCAGAGGAAGCAGGTTTAGGAGAAAGGATGAAGATTTTCAGAGACAGAGATCTCTGTAGCTCCTGAAGATAAAGAGAATGGCTTAGCTCCTGGTGGCTTTCTGGTTCTCAGGTCCAATCTTTCACAGGGACTGATTGCATATCCTGTCCATGAGATTTCTCTTTAACATTTCAGGAAATTGGAGCTAGCTTGAATAGCTTTCTGCTCCTTCTCATCCCCCACCCCGCCGCCCTTTTTTTTCCATCAAAGGAACCGTGACTAGAAAGAGGCACCACAGGCTGATAATAATTCTCACCCTCCATTCTTTATACTCTTCCCAGGGTCCTGCCCCTTCTCTTCTCCTAGGGCTGTCACAGCAAAACGTGACTACTAAATTCCTAATGTGGAGAATCAAGAATCAATTGCTCGAATGCTGTCAAAAATGACATTCAAGTTTGAGTGACAATGATGTCTCTGGTCCTGTCCCTATCCACTTCTCTATTTTTAGTTCTGTTCCTACTATCTGAAATTACAATGCCTGGTGCTTAAGCAATTGCCAGGAGTTATTTAACAAGTACCTTACCCTTCTTTGAAGACGATGCTTTGATCCTGAGCTTACATCCTTTTCTCAGTGACAGAGATTTTGGAATGTGCCATTTCACAAAACACCAAGTCTCTTCTGGTGTTTTCTTTGAATGAGGGGCTTGAGTCCATTGGCTGGTAACAGAAATTGGAGCTTGTCAGAAGAAATTTCCTATAACCCACTTCAGCAAGTTACTCCCCATATATTAAATAGGGCTAACATGGCCAGGCTTTCTCAAGGATGCGGTGAAATAAATCAATATAATGGGTTGAAAGTGCTTTGTAAACTAATTCCATATAGTACTATTATTCTTATTGTCAATGCCCATCTATCTTCAGAAGTATTATTCCAGGTGTAAAGGTCATACACAGACCTTTGAATAGCTCAGAGCAGAGCTATTCAATGTTCAGAGCTGTGTGAGGATGCAGAGGCTACATTAGACCTTCAAGTAAATGATGGCTATTTGATGTGCACTCAAGCATGTATATGTATATACTTCACGTTTGAATTTTTTACATTAAAGACGAATTATATCTTCCATCAGAAAAAAAGAATGTCAAATTTTTAAAGCCTATGTGTACAATTTAGGAATCAATTAAGACTAGGGAACTTGAGGAAGGAAGGGACTGGGGAAAGAGTTTAAGTAAGTAAAAAATATATTACCCTTACCCCAAGAATTTATGAAAGTTCATATGAATCTTACTCCAAAGTGTATCTCCATCCTTCAGCATTCAGAACATATTGTCAGGAGTTACAGGTCAGGTCCTCCAGAAACAGATTGGAAGTGTATTTGGGAGGGTCCCTGGGAACCACACCTATGGGAGAGTAGAGGAAACAGGATTGGACAGAAGGAGAAGCTGGACTACATTCAGGCATCACAAAAGCCTCAACTGACCCCCACGGGATGCTCTGAAGCTGAGATGACCCTGCAGAGTTGTTCCAATCCAAATTAAGAGGCAGGGTCTTTATGTTCTCATATGTCAGTCATCGAGTGCAGGCTACCCCCAGAAAGGGGCCCAATGCCTCTCTTCAGCCAAGGGCAATTACCAGGAGGGATTACTCCACTACAAGCTGTCAGCCATCACTCCCAGCAGCTGAGGGAATGAGCACCTCCATCCTGAAGCAGGGGCTATGAGGAGCTGGGGCACATTCAGCATTGACCACACCAGGTCAGAGCTACCATTGTGGGGTTTTGTGTATCAGTGAAATAAGAAACTCCATGAAGAAAATGTGCTCTTCACAATAATATTCTTGTCATTCCACTGGCACACTGTCAGGGACAGGAGCATACCCCAAACTAACTGGTATTTGAGATTCAGTAGAATCTGTGACCAGAGCAAGAAACCCCCACACAATACCCTGCACCTATACTCCAAGCCCAACAAGAAACACATCATACCATTGGCTCCTTAAACCAAGAACTTGCATCCTTTGTCAGTTTCTTAATTCCAAGAGTGAGGGCTCAGCTTTAAACCAGCTGAAAGGATTATTCTTGTTTCTCAAGTTTGCCATCTCCTTGGGCACATACAACTGGGGGTCGACAATATTATTATTTCAAAAAGGCTCATGGCTATTGAACAGAAAATTAAAGAAGTAGTATCAGAAACAATGTGAGGAATTAAAAGATCAAAAATAACATCTAGAATAATTGCAGTCCCCCCATTAAATGATAAGATATGCTAAAATTTATCTATACACAGCTTTGCAGGATTAAAATCCTTCTAGGTTTTCTTTAAAGTTTTATAAATACTCATTGCTTGTAAGACTTGTATAAAACTTACTGAAATATGTTACAAAAAATCTTACCTTAATTTTAATCAAAACTGTATTTTTCTTGTAAGATTTAAGGAAGGAATCTTTTTTCACTCAGTGAAATCTTAGAGTGGCATTTCTAGTTGTCTCTTTGTCCCTTCTTGCTAATTATCTTAGCTCAGAAATTTATCAGTGCAAGAACGTGTATTAGCTTCCTGGTTAATTCAAAGTTCACAGGTGTATGCTGTGATTTTTATCACACCTATCTATAATGCGCAATGTGTCCAGCTTCTTATATCCCAAGAGGATCACCATTTAAGCTTTTCCTGAATGCTCAATTCTTCTTTGTCCATCTGCTAGGATTTTCATCTTCAGCCAAGAAAAAATAATGTACATTGTCCTACATTAATGGTCTGGCAGATTACCCTTACCCGAAGAGTTATGAAAGTTCATATGAATCTTACTTCAAAGTGTATCTCCATCCCTGCTCCCTCCCATCCTTTCTCTTTTTGATGCTCTTCAGATGTTTAAAAATGACTTTAACAAGACCTTTGGGTGCCCCCGATCCATTCCAAGTTATTGTCATACTGTTGATGTACCTAATTGATAGACCAGTAACCATTCATTTTATGTCTGAGTATGAAACCAGTTCCTGTCTTCACTCAATGGTATAGATAGAGTCTCACCAGCATGTGAGGCTATAGAAATTACTCGCTAATAGCATGGATTCTTGAGCTAGATTTTCCAACTTCAAATCCTACCTCTGCCACTTAGCTATGGAAAAATCACCACCTCTGTGTCTCAGCTTCCCCAACTATAAAATGGGACTATCTAGTCATAGGGCTATTGTTAGAAACAGTCAATTTAAAAGCAGTGTCTGATATATTTTTTTAAAAGCAAGTACTATTATTGCTATGCTAGTTTTTAGAATTAATTTTGTTAAAAGAAGTACCTGACACATAAGTGCTATATATGTACTAGTACGATTATTGGTATGCTATTTTTACCAAAAAAAACCCCCACAAATTTAAAATTGTTATCACTTACACAGCTAAATTATGGCATTTTAAAAAATGACTTCACAAAATCTATCGTGAGGCTTTATCATTCTTTTCTGTTATAAACAAGATCGTATTCTATGCCACACTCAAGGCACCAAAAAGATGATATCCAAGCTAATGAAAATATGCCTTCATTTACTCCAAACCATCAGAGTGCTCTCTCTGAGCATGGCCTTGGGCTAGGTGCCAGTGCTCCAGATATGATTAAGCCACGGGTTATGTCCTCAGAGCAATTACCATCACAGCTCCTCCTGGAGGTCCACTAAAACTAGCCCTTTGTGAAGGTGAATCGTGGACTTCCCAGCACATTTTCTTATCTCACATTTATTCTCAAGCAATCTTTGTTAGCAAACGCTTTCATACCCTGGATGTGAAGCTTTCTTTCAGGTAATTGAAAGCTTAAAAGAGATACACATTGCATACTAGAGAATGAGAACAGATTCCAATGAAAAGATTTAGCAGAAGCTATGGTATTTTTCTACAAAATCATTGTGATATCCCTGCCAATATCTATTTCTAGGCAAGTACCTTATTAAGATACTACTTTCTACATATCTGCAATTTAAAAGAACTGATATAGCTAATAGTTCCCTTTCCCTGTAATTCCTTGGATAACATAATTTTGCTCACGAAATTGCTTGTTTAATTTGATGGCTTACTGGTGTTATCAATAGTATTTATTGGGCATATCTATCATTACTTGGGTCATGTGTACTCATTGAATGCTTGTTGTGTGATAAACATCATACTATCCAATACGTAGGAAATTTTAAAATACCAAAAAGGATGTTGACTAAATTTTTAAATTCAAAAATATTAATCAGGGAAAGCTTCAGGAATGTAAATTTCAAGCCAGAAAAAGTTACATATATAGATTGGTGATATCAGAAAAGAGGGTTCTGGTATCCAGCTGGGCACAGAAGAAGGAATTAAGAATTAGAAAATTGGAGAATCGGCCGGGCGCGGTGGCTTATGCCTGTAATCACAGCACTTTGGGAGGCCGAGGCGGGTGGATCACGAGGTCAGGAGATCAAGACCATCCTGGCTAACACGGTGAAACCCTGTCTCTACTAAAAGTATAAAAAATTAGCCAGGCATGGTGGCGGGCGCCTGTAGTCCCAGCTACTCAGGAGGCTGAGCAGGAGAATGGCATGAACCCGGGAGGTAGAGCTTGCAGTGAGCTGAGATAGTGCCACTGCACTCCAGCCTGGGCGACAGAGCGAGACTCCATCTCAAAAAAAAAAAAAAAAGAAGAAAGAAAATTGGAGAATCTTCCTATGGTAACACATCTCTCTCTCTCTCTCTCTCTCTCTCTCTCTCTTTCTCGCTCTCTCTCTCACACACACACACCCCTCTGCCCTTCCAAACCTCATGTTTGCATGAGAGCAAAAACAAACCAGTTAATGAACTTTTTTTATTTTTATTTTTTGTTGTTGTTCATTTGTTTTGAGAAGGAGTCTCACTTTCTCATTCAGGATGGAGTGCAATGGCACAATCTTAGCTCACTGCAAACTCCACCTCCCAGGTTCAAGGGATTCTCCTCCCTCAGCCTCCTGAGTAGCTGGGATTACAGGCGTGCACCACCACACTCCGCTAATTTTTGTATTTTTAGTAGAGATGGGGTTTCACCATGTTGGCCAGGCTGGTCTCAAACTCCTGACCTCATGTGATCCACCCACCTCGGCTTCCCAAAGTGCTGGGATTACAGGTGTGAGCCACTGCACCTGGCCCAGTCAATGAACTTGACAGATGTTGTGGAGTATGTGCCACATGGCTGGACAAGAACCACAGATTCTGTGGTCCTGGATGAGGCATGACCTTTTAAACTTTCCCCAGATCACTGGAATTCTACATCAGGAATCCCTGTGAACCCCAGGGGAGCTCTCAACCATCAGAGGAAAGCTTCAGATCCTATAAGATCTCTATCATTGGACACTGAGTAGTAAATTTAATTTCCTAAACTGTTGCTTGGAGAATGTTTCCCATCAATACAAGTATTTCAGGGCTGCCCAACCCAGAAATCTGTCTCCAAGTAGCTCCTAAAGGGCTTTAAAACTTTCCTCCCATGGCCACAGTATGGAAAAGAATAGACACCAGAGAAACCACACACTAAGAAGGCTCAGGTTAGAAATTCAGAGAGCTAAAGCATCTTGTTCCTGTGCCCACCATTAGCACGCAAAGATCAAGAACTCTCCGGCAGTGATGAGGAGGCATCAAGAAGCAAACGTCTACACAGAAAGACAAGCTGAGGACAAGAACAACACAAACACACCCAAGTATCAGACAGGACTAGCTCTCTTTCTGTGGGTCCGACTATGACTGAGGCTTCCAGTAGCTCCTGCAAGAGGAGAGACTGTGGCCTGACATCAAAATCTATGCCTTTTTGCAATCTTAGGATGGAGAGCAAGTTGAAGCATTTTCAACAAATTATTTGGTCTTCAAAAACATCCTAGGTTAAAGAACCATTTTAGGTTATCACTATCTGCACATACCTAGACCCAATGGACCCTACCTTTTGAATTAAGTTTCCAGTGCTTGGTGCAAAGCAAACATAATGGGCATCTCTCCACTCCCTCTACCCTTAAAAAATTGTTCTGAGAGAGTTACCTGTATTTCTTTGTGGCATACAACACAGAGCAGCTACCCGGAGATGAATCAATCATGTGCCTGTATCAGGCTGCTCTGGGACAGACTTTCAGGAATATTCTAAGCACCTGAACCTTCTCTAATCCTGAACTGTTTCTTCAGGGCTGCCCCAGTCAATCTGGTATGAGAAGAAGGAGAAATATACTCATGTTGGTGTTTCCCCAGCTTTCCTAACTTGAACTCGAGTCTACATTTATTTATTCATTTGTTTGTTTGTTTGTTTAACAAGCTCTTATATCATGTTCACTATGTTCCAGGCACTGTTCTAAGCCTTTTGTAGAATTGGCCTATTTAATCTCAATACCCTATCAACTGTGTACCTTCCTTTACACACACATATCACACATGCACACACATGAAAAACCTCCCTTGCCCCTCATGTGTGTCTACTTCTTGTCTATGCTTTTCATATGATAATGTGTTATGCCCTTATTTATGTGTTTATATCATCCCAACCTGAATTATAGGCAAGAACTCGATGCTGACATTAATCTGAATGCTGTGACTTCTAGGAACTTCTACATTTGTTTCCTCTCTGGCAAACTGTTGAAGAGGTGTCCCACTTGCTGTTGGTGTTGTTTCCTCTCAGGAACATGTCCCTCAGGCTTCCTGAGACTCAAATAGCTTGTTTCCTATATTAATCAGGCTTCTTCAGAGAAACAGAACCAATAGGATATTGTGTTCATCTGTTTTGCGTAAAGGAATAAAGGAATACTTGAGGCTGGATAAAGAAACGAGGTTTATTTTGGCTCATGGTTCTGCAGGCGTAAAAGCATGGCACTGGCATCTGCTCAGCTTCTGGTGAGGCCTCAGGAAGCTTTTAGTTATGGCGGAAGGGAAGAGGAGCTGACATGTCACATGGTAAGAGAGACAGCAAGAGAGAGGAGGAGGTGCATGGCTGGACAAGCTTTAAATACCCAGCTTTCACTTGAACTAACAGAGCAAGAACTCGCTCGTTACCCTGCAGAGGGCACCAAGCCATTCATGAGAAATTCTCCCCCATGACCCATATACCTCCCATCAGGCCCCATCTCCAACATTGGGATCACATTTCAACATAATATTTGAAGAGGATAAATATCCAAACCATATCAGATATATATTAAAGAGAGAGAAAGAGAGAGATTGATTTACTATGGGGATTTGCTCACGCAATTATGGAGCCCTATTATTAATTTCCATAATCTACCATCTGCAATCTGGAGAACCAGGAAAGCCAACAGTATAATTCAACCCAATTGTGGAGGCCTGAGAACCAAGTGAGTTGATGTCTAAGGGCAGGAAGGGATTGGTGTCCCAGCTCAAAAAGAAAGGGCAAATTTCCAGTCCTTTGCCTTCTTGTTCTGTTCAGGTCCTCAGCAGATTAGATGATGTCCATCCGCACTGGGAAGGGTCATCTGCTTTACCAGTGCACAAATTCAAATGCTAATCTCTTCTGCAAACACACTGATAGACACATGCAGAAACGATGTTGTGCTAGCTATTTGGGCATCCCTTAGCACAGGCAAGTTGACACATAAAATTTATTATCACAACTCCACCCCTGTCAACTTGACACCTATATGCTTCTCCTTAAACTGTACTTAATCTCCAAATAAAGACAATAACAAGGTAATAACTCCACCTAACATGATACAACTGTCCTGCATGCAACCAAAAATGCACTAATCCCTTCCCCAGAAGAGGAGGTAAAATCCTTGAGTGATGTTTACTCCTCTCTTGATATCCTATAACTTAAATACCATGATGTAAAATTAACAATACTTAAATATTCATTGGTATAAAGTCATCTTATGTTACAAGATAAGGAAATAAGAGGAAAGAAAACAAAGATATTTGCTTATTATATGTATATATACACACAAATGTATTCATAACAAAATAAGGAGGGAATATCCATGACAATTATATTCCTCATTTCTATAACTGGTCATGTGGTTGCAGCTGGTATTTATAACTACTTTCTTCTAGTATGCATTCTGTATTCCCTTTGCCATAAGCAAGAACCATAGGTGGTCATGGTTCTTTAACTGGTGGGATGACCCAAACCTTCATTTCTGAAAGATCTGGACTATTAATGTTCTTGCCTGGATTCGGTTGTTGTCATTTTCCACTGAATGTAATCACAGGGCCATGGTAATAACAAGAGACACCCTAAGAGATCTCCTGTATTCCAGACATACTCTTTCATACTTCTGTGGTGGAGCAGTAGGAAAATTTCTCCCCTTGGTAGTCAGGATCGATCACCCCAACAACACTGTAACTCTTTTTTTTTTTTTTTTTTTTGCCTGTTGACTCAGAGGCATGGAGGAGCCCCAAAGTGGCCAGGTAGAGTCTTAATTTCCAGTTCAATAGAATTATTGTTGAATCTCCTGCCAGAAGCATTCCTCCCTCTGGAACTAAGACCACTAGGCTAGCGGAACATAACATCTCAGGAATAGGAAGCAAGACTTTTGCTATTGGGTTTCTGGGGGTAATAATGAGTGGTGTCATTCCCATTTCTACCCCCTTGATTCCTGAAACTATGAATCCTGACTATTGGAGAAATAGCATCACATATTGACACTGATTCAGAGCATATTAGCCTTCTGGAGAATCTTGCTCCCACCCTGCAAGGTACTGCCACCTATCTGGTGCTGTAATTGAATTTTCAAAATGCCATTTCACCATTCTGTCAAGCCAGCTGTTTCAGAATGGTAGGGAATGTTGTAAGGCCAGCAAATTCCATAAGCATGAGCCTATTGCCACACTTCTTTTACCATAAAGAGAGTTCCTTGACAGGAAGCATTGCTGTGTAGAATACCATGATGATGGATAAGGCATTCTGTATGTCCACGGTCAGTAGTTTTGGCTAAAGGTAGGAACCAATTTTACTTGGGGTGGGGTGACTTCTTCCACTAGGAAAGACTCATCAGAATTTAGGGGTTCAATGTCCTTAGTTTCATCTGAGTCTTCCCACACATCCCCAATCAACCCACAGGATCCTATTTTTTTCCCTAATCAATGTCTTCACTTTAATAGTAGACATCCTATGAGCCTGGGAGTTCTGCTTGCATTGTAGCTCAGCCAATCACAGGATGAGTTTCTGCATTTGATTTCCAGCCATTTCAGCCCTACAGCTATAGGAGGTAAGTCTCCTTCAGGGCACACCTGGAAGCTCTTAGGTCATTTATGCAGTGCTTCAGCTGAAAATTCAAATCCCTAAGCTCATTTTTTTTTTCTTTCACCACTTTGTACAGTGACACTGGGAGCAACCACCCAACATCATTATATTCTCTAATTTTCAAAAAAATGTTCAAAAATATCATATACAGAGTCACTCAGTTCCTGGCTTCTTAAGATTGATTAGGAGTATCCGATGCAGATATTTTATTTACCTCTCTAAACAGTTCACATGCTATGGATTATCAGTGCTCACTTTTTTTTTTTTTTTTTTTTTTCAGAAGGAGTCTTATTCTGTCACCCAGGCTGGAGTGCAGTGGTGCCATCTCAGCTCACTGCAACCTCTACCTCCCAGATTCAAACAATTCTTATGCCTCAGCCTCCCGAGTAGCTGGGACTACAGGCACCCGCCACCACACTCAGCTAATTTTTGTATTTTTAGTAAAGACAGGGTTTACTATGTTAGCCAGACTGGTCTCAAACTCCTAACCTCTGGTGATCCACCTGCTTCAGCCTCCCAAAGTGCTGGGATTACAGGCGTGAGCCACCATGCCTGGCCAGTGCTCACTATATTACTGGAAATAGATACATTAAAGTATTTGTATCTTTAAATGTAATCAGATTAGATAGCCAACTCCAGAAACCACAGAACCAACTTAGAAAATTCATCCTTAAAAGTCTGTCCCTTTAGAAACATTCTTGGTACTAAAATTTGTATTAGTCAGGGTTCTCCAGAGAAACAGAACCAATAGTGTGTGTGTACCTGCGTGTGTGTGTGTGTAGATGGAGATTTTATTATGGGAATTGGTTCACATAATTATGGAGGCAGAGAAGTGCCACAGTCCTGGTCTGAATCTGAAGGCCTGAGAACTAGGAGCACTGATAACTGAGGGCAGGAGGAGATGGGTGTCACAGCTCAAAAAGAGAAAAATTTGCCACCACTCCTCTGCCTTTTGTTCTATTCAGAGGCTCACAAAATTGGATGATGCCCACCAACACTGGCGAGGTCATCTGCTTTACTCAGTTTACAAATTCAAATGCTAATCTCTTCTTCGTACGCCCTTACAGACCCTCCCCAAAATAATGTTTTACTGGCTCTCTGGACATCCTGTGGCTCAGTCAAGTTGACACGTAAAATGAACCACCACACCTCCCTTTCCTCTTCTCTGAGATGGGGTGGGGGTGTCTGTCTAGACCAGCACCACTGCTGCATGTCCTGCTGCTTTCATGTGCCCCACCCCAACTCAAGTATCTCAGCATCACTGGGAATACCTGGAAGACATCATTTTTCTGTTAAATTGCAGGACTGTGTGGATGAGGGTAATGGCAATAGCAGTTTTCTCCACACCCAGGCCTGTCTCTGTCATGCTCAGCTGTGCTGTGGCTGTGAAACTCTCTTTATGGAGTGCTTAATGCAGCACTCTGGGCAATTAGGGGCTTGACAAATGCTTTTTCATGATGCTGAAGCTGAAGATCAGAGGAACAAAACGTTCCCTAAAACAAAGGATGCATTGTGAGTGAATTCACCTTTCAGAATTGGCTGTCTGGCCACCGGGCCCCTCTATACCCAGCATGTACGGGATCATCATCCCGAACATAAGCATAGGACTGCGCATGCAGGCACTAGGGCCACAGCACTAGACTTCAGTGCCAAGATGCCTCTACTGCACGAACAGAGGAATAATAAGATCTTAAATTTAATAACCAAGCTGGGAAAAACATTAACTGACATAAAGAGTTAGCAACTCACAAACTGGCCTGAGCAAAAACCTCATAGATTCCAAACTCAGTAGCAAGTATTTATTCAAAAACACTAATTAGCAGGTAAAATGCAGGTTCATGAAATAGAGCTCATAAGGAAGTAAGGAATGATGGAGAGGTTGGGAAGAAAACAGTAAGACAATTTCCTTAGTGAGAATGATGAGAGAATTACTTGCTCAAGGGCAAATTTTATGGAAAATCATGATCCAGTGCTAACAGAGGGAGAAATCTTTCCAAAGAGTTAATGGAGCAGTTAGAGAAATTCAGGTTCAGTAAATCATGAGGACTGGGAGTATTGATTTGAACATTCTGGTAGATGAAAATATGGAGCTGAGCTGCTGACCAAACTATATAATAGAAGAGCTCTTCAAAAGTGGCTGGGAATTTTAGTTGCTGAGTTGATGCTGGAGTTTTGCCCATGGAGCTCGCCCTCCCAAGCTGATTCTCTTAAGAAATTCTATACACTCTATCCTAGAGGTTAGGAGGCTCTGGCACTCTCATAATTGCATCTTTTATCTCCCTGATGGTTCCCATATCCAAAATTCCCAGCCAAACCTCTCATCTGATCTTCAGGAGAGTATTTTCAAGTCTTTCCAGGACATTTCTACTTAAGGGACTCACTATCATAGCTAATTAGACACTCATCATCCCCAAGGCCCTCAGCATCATAAATAATGACAAAAACAAAACAAAGCAAAGAAACAAACCACAAGACCATCCAAATTGGTCTTGTGGTTTTCTGTCTTCCAGCCTCGAAAACATGGAAATACCTGTGATTCTTCCCACTTTTCCAGTTCCTCTACCCAATTTACCAAAAATATTAGCACTGAATCTCAGCTAGGTATTTAGTCTTTCTCTGATTCAGTTTTCGCATCTGGAGAATGTGAATAACAAATAGTTGAGTGAGGATTGAACAAGGCCATGCATGTAAAGCACTCACAGTGATATCTGGCTCACAGTTATACACAAGCCATCATTTTTACCAAAACTGGCATTATGTTAAAATCTTTCATTACTTCTTTCCTCTACAGACTATATCAGCATCAAATAGACACCTTCATCACCTCCGCTCTCTATTAGAGTACCAAACTTTTAGAGCCAGGAGACTCTTAAGAGAAGTGAGGACCAGTCCTTGCTACATGCCAAAATCTGCTGGGTGCTTCTAAAAAATACGGAACCCCAAGTCCCACCTCCAGACTTACTGAATTTGAAACTTGGAGAAAGGGCTGCTTAGGAAGTGACAATGGTTTGTCTATGTCCCCACCCAAATCTCATCTTGAATGGTAGTTCCCATAATCCCCATGTGTAGTGGGAGAGACCAGTGGAAGGTAATTGAATCATGAGGGCAGTTTCCCCCATGCTACTATTCTCTTGATAGTAAGCGCTTATGACATCTGAGCCCTCTTTGCTTGGCTCACATTCTTCTTCCTGCTGCCATGTAAAAAGGATGTGTTTGCTTCCCCTTCTGCCATGATTGTAAGCTTCCTGAGTCCTCCCCAGCCCTGAAGAACTGTGAGTCAATTAAACCTCTTTCCTTTATAATTTACCCAATCTTAGGCAGTTCTTTATAGCAGTGTGAGAATGGACTAATACAGTAAATTGGTACCACAGACAGTGGGGTGCTGGTATAAGGATACCCAAAAATGTGGAAGCAACTTTAGAAGTGGGTAACAGGCAGAGGTTGGAACAGTTTGGAGGGCTCAGAAGAAGACAGAAACATGTGGGAAAGTTTGGAACATCCTAGAGACTTGGAGTGCTCAGAAGACAGAAAGACGTGGGAAAGTTTGGAACTTCCTAGAGACTTCTTGAATGACTTCAACCAAAATGTTAACAGTGATATGGACAATGAAGTCCAGGCTGAGATGATCTCAGATGAAGATGAGGAACTTCTTGGGAACTGGAGCAAAGGATTAGTAAAGAGACTGGCAGCATTTTGGCCCTGTCCTAGAGATCTGTGGAACTTTGAACTTGAGAGAGATGATTTAGGATATCTGGCAGAAGATTTCTAAGTGACAAAGCATTCAAGAGGAAGCAGAGAATAAAAGTTTGGAAAATGTGCCACCTGATGATGTGATAGAAAAGAAAAACCCATTTTCTGGGGAGAAATTCAACCCATGCAGAAATTTGCATAAGTAATGAGGAGCCAAATGTTAATCACCAAGACAATGGGGAAAATGTCTTCAGGGCATGTCAGAGACCTTCACAGCAGCCCTTCCTAACACAGGCCCAGAGGCCTAGGAAGAAAAAATGATTTCATGAGCTGGGCCCAGGATCCCCCTGCTGTGTGCAGCTTGGGGACTTTGTCCCCTGTGTCCCAGCAGCTCCAGCTGTGGCTAAAAGGGGCCAAGGCACAGCTTGGGCCGTGGCTTGAGAGGGTGTAAGCCCCAAGCCTTGGTGGCTTCCACATAGTGTCAAGCCTGAGGGCACACCAGAATCAAGAATTGAGGTTTGGGAACCTTCACCTAAATTTCAGAGGATGTATGGAAATGCCTGGATGTCCAGGCAGAGGTGTGCTACAGGGGTGGAACCCTCATGGAAAACCTCTGCTAGGGCAGTGTGGAAGGGAAATGTGGGGATGGAGCTCCCATACAGAGTCTCCACTGGGGCACTGCCTAGTGGAGTTGTGAGAAGAGGGCCACCATCCTCCAGACCCCAGAATGGTAGATCCACTGACAGTTTGTGCCATGCTCATGGAAAAGCCACAGACACTTAACACTAGCCATAAAAGCAGCCAGGGGAGTGCTGTACCCTGCAAAGCCACAATGATGAAGCTGTCCAAGGCCATGGAAGTCTATCTCTTGCATCAGCATGCCCTGGATGTGAGATATGGAGTCAAAGGAGATCATTTTGGAACTTTGAGTTTTAATGACTGCTCTATTGGATTTTGGACTTGCATGGGGCCTGTATCTCCTTTGTTTGGGCCAATTTCTCCCATTTGAAATGGGTATATTTACCCAATACCTATACCTCCATTGTATCTAGAAAGTCACTAACTTGCTTTTGATTTTACAGGTTCATAGGCAGAAGAGACTTGCCTTGTCTCAGATGAGACTTTGGACTTGGACTTTTGGTTTAATGCTGGAATGAGCTAAGACTTTGAGGGACTGTTGGAAAGGCATGATTGTGTTTTGAAATGTGAGGACATGAGATTTGGGAGGGGCCAGGGGTAGAATTGTATGGTCTGGCTGTGTCTCCACCCAAATCTCATCTTGAATTGTAATTCTCTTAATCTCCATGTGTAGTGGGAGGAACCCAGTAGGAGGTAATTGAATCGTGGAGGCAATTTCCCTCATGCTATCCTCATGATAGTGAGTGAGTTCTCACAAGATCTGATGGTTTTATAAGGGGCTTCCGCCTTCTTTCAACTCTCATTCTTCTCCTTCCTGCTGCCATGTGAAGAAAGATGTGTTTGCTTCCCTTTCCACCATGATTTTAAGTTTCCTGAGGCCTCCCCAGCTCTGCAGAACTGTGAGTCAATTAAACCTCCTTCCTTTATAATTTACTCAGTCTTAGGTAGTTCTTTATAGCAGTGTGACAATGGAATAATATAGGAAGTAATATCATTTTTGAATAACTTCTCTATGTCTTCTGCTGCAAAGTCAGGTTTGAGAACCACTAAGACAACTATATTGAACTCCCTCATTTTATAGATGAATAAACTGAGACAGGGAGAGATTAAGAGATTTGATCAAGGCTGGGCATGGTGGCTCATGCCTGTAATC
Organism: Homo sapiens; assembly: GCF_000001405.40. NCBI lineage: Eukaryota > Metazoa > Chordata > Mammalia > Primates > Hominidae > Homo > Homo sapiens. The sequence continues at coordinate 90,332,686 of NC_000006.12, read as the reverse complement.
CCAGTACTTTGAGAGGCCGAGGTGGGAGGATTCCTTGAGCCCAGGAGTTCGAGATCAGCCTAGGCAACATGATGAGACCCCCATCTCAAAAAAAAAAATTTTTTTTTAATTAGTTGGGTGTGGTGGCATGCACCTGTGATCTCGGCTACTCAGGAGGCTAAGGTGGAAGGATTGCTTGAGCCCAGGAGGTCGAGGCTTCAGTGAGCTGTGTTGGTGCCACTGCACTGCAGCCCAGCAAAAGCACAAGAGCCCTTTCTCAAAAAAAAAGAAAAAAAAAAACACTTGATTAAGAACATAGAGCTGGGTAGTGGTAGTTCCAGGACCTCAGAGCCCATGATTTTCAACTTAGAGTAATTTCACTTTACCACACTAACTCCTCCTTAGCCCCGTTAGTGCCATAGATTTCTCTATTTGCTCTTTGTCATTTCCAATGTCCCCCCTCTAATTAGTTAGTCTACATCAGCCCCAGTTCCAGAGCCTATAGTGGTTCCCCAGGGCAAGGCTAGCCCCAGAAAGTACAATCCCTAGGCAAATATATTTTACAAGGCCACGTCTATATACATGATTTGATTAGAAAATGAGTTTGTGTGAGGTATAGTGATTTACTGGTAAAAATTTAGAATAATGGGTATTTGTTTATTGCCCAATCAGTGCATGTAAAAATTCTTGTCTTCTTCATCCCTCATAAATAAGTTACCCAAAATCAACCTGTGGAAACCATTCTAGAGGTCCAATGGCATGCAGTCTAACAAAAGAAATAACCTGTTGGTCAGTGTCAGTGGGAACATATTTTCATCAGACTGCTTTCTTGAACGAGGCTCCACCTTGGCCCTAAGATCATCTTACAGGTATGCGGTTCAGAGCTTCTCTGGACATCTGGTCAACCTTACCAGATGGCTAGAGAGTAGGATAGTGCTCTGAAGGAGAGAAATGGGATCTGGCTTGGACACTCCACCCCAATAAGACTGTAGGCCAGGCTTCAAGCAAAGCCATTTAAATCATGGGGGTCCCTGAGGTGTGGGGGCCCAAAGCAGGAGTCCGACCCATTGTTAAAGAGCAATACTGTCTCATCAGCTGGTTAGTAGATTGGGATGCTATGGAAGAGTATTTCAGAACCACTTTTCATAGCTTTATGAAGACATCTGGCCGACTGCATTGTATGTTAAATAAGTAGGAACTTGGATGCATTAAAAATTAATGGAAAATTGTATGAATAATGAATCTGTGGTGGTGTATAAAATGATCATACATTACCTCCAGGTTAGACAATGCCTCCCTGAAATGGTACAGGCTATGTGACCTTACATTCTTTTCACTGGTGGCCTGAGGAGGACAAGAACAGAAGAGAAAGTAAATAAAACCTGGGCCGGTTGAAGAACTTTCAGCTGTGCAAGCTACTTGTGCTTATAAAGCAATGTGCCTAAGGGTCTATCCCTGCTCCTTATTTTTCAGAGATGTGACTTAACTGCAGATGCTACAAACCCCTTGAACTGACCCAGCCCCCTGTAAATGAGAGACCCCTCAGGATGTCAGCAAAACTGATTTAGGTCAGCCATCTTGGAGCCATGCCAGCTAAAGATGTGGCTGCAGGAATTGCACTGATGTGGCTTGGCCCACAGAGGGTTGGGTGGAGGGGCACCAAGAATAAGGCAGTGTTTACCTAGTGCCCACCTTCACCCCATCCTCCTCCTCCCCACCAAGCCCGCTCTGCAACTTCCGGAGAAAAATAGTAAAATCCATGTCTGTCTCCAGCCTCATGGGGTTATTTCCAAAGGTTTGGTAGTTTCTCATGTTTTCCTTTTCATCCTGCCAGTATCCAATTACTTGGTTATGTCTCTCTCTCTCTCTCACACACACACTCACACACAGTGCTGGCACATTTTGACTTGCAAAATTTTAGATAATATGTATATATGTATATATATATACACACACATAGAAACAAAACATATATATGTTTATATATGTTTATATATATACATGTAAACATATGTGTATATATACATATATACATAGATATACATATAGAAAACATATATATGTTTAATATATAAAACATATATATGTTTAATATATGTATATATATACATATAAACAAAACATATATGTGTATATATATACACACATAAACAAAACATATATATGTTTATATGCGTATATATGTGTGTGTATATATGTACATATAAACATATATATATAGATGGAGTCTGGCTCTGTCACCCAGCCTGGAGTGCAGTACGCGATCTCGGCTCACTGCAACCTCCACATCCCAGGTTCAAGCAATTCTTCTGTGTCAGCCTCCTGAGTAGGTGGGACTACAGGTATGTGCCAACATGCCCGGCTAATTTTTGTATTTTTAGTAGAGGTGGGGTTTCACCATATTGGTCAGGCTTTTCTCAAACTCTTGATCTCAGTTGATCCACCCACCTCGGCCTCCCAAAGTTCTGGGATTATAGGCATGAACCACTGTGCCCAGCCAACAAAATATATTTAAAAACAAAATGAGAATCCAAAAATGAGCATTTTCTGACAAATTAAAGAGAGAGGAGCACCTAATAACACAAGTGATGGGACAAAGATTCACAAAGTCTGTCTCCTTACATAGTTTATTTGATTCAATTCTTTCTGGCCCTAAAGGAATTTCATGGTAATGAAATCTGTACTCAAAAACCAAGCCTTCCTAACTAGAGATACCTGGGGCCTGTTTGTTCTCTGCAGTGTAGCTGTGTGTGGCATGACCCTCTGAGTGTGTGTCTGAGAGAGTATGTGTATTGGGAGGAGGGGGATGTTGCTATCAGTGTGTGATGGAGTCTGCTTTCAAAGCTAATCCCAAGGGGTAAAATAAGATATGGATCTAATTTGATGAGACACTAAAATCTTCTGACTTGTCTTATCTAACAGAATTCCGGTGCTTGTTTTTCATTACAAAGATCTGGGGTAATAACTTTATTTAGTGCTTGGATTTCTTCCCCCCTGGACTGCTAGTGGAAAGTCAAAGACTGATTTACAAACAGAGGTTTGTTAAGTACTATTTTTAGAACAATGCTGTACCAGATTTACTAGGGGGTTGGGGGGAACAACTACAGTCACTTTTGAGCAAAGTAGCATTTCACTGCATAATAATGAAGTACTAATTGCTCTTTGTCATCACTTTTTATGCAAATTGCCCTGGAGCATTTGCCCAATATGCATTTTACATTTTAACAAAGAAAGTGGAGTCTTGACAAATAAGAATCGTATACCCAAGCAAAAATAAAAATATCAGCTATAAAATAAACTGCTTAAGGTGCATTCTCTAAGATACAAATTTTTCTATTATATCATCCCCATTATTAGATCTATCTGACCAATAAGATTACTTTGAATTCAAGTTAACAATTTGTGTGTTAGGCAAAAAAAAAAAAGTTTGTGCACAAAACTTGCACATTTTACATATCCTACAATTTATAATAGAAGTTTGATGTGAAAATTATGTTTCCAGCAGAATTTAAATAGACCAGGTCAAATAAGATTGTCAAGGGAATCAAACTGTGTCAAAGCATTTATCACAGGTACAAGTCTCACTATTTTAGAAGTTTCAGTTATTCTAATGATTTCATTTTCATAGAGACAGTCAACATTATAAAAAAAGAAATGTGATTTTCATATAATAAATAAGTACAAAGTTTGAAACATACCTCAAGGGTGTGTGTGTTCAAATTCTGGTCTAGAGACCAATACTGGTCACTATCATACTGACACCAGACAAACAGAAGAGTGAATTGTGATTTTAAAATTTTCCAGGACCTTCAGAGAAACCTAAAATTCAAATCTGGCCTTCCAGGTCATTATGAAGATATATTTGTCAAGGTAAGAGGATAGAACATATTTTATTTAACAGTCTGTTAGCTTGATCTATACCATTTAAATATTTAAACATATTGGTATGTGGGCCTACATTTGTACTCTTGCCCTGGGCTCCACAAATCTTAGGGGTAGGTCTACATCTTATAATTACTTTCTTACTTCCAACTCAAAGCTTCAGTGAAGTCTATGCATGCTTATTCTAAAAATTGAATGAAATTGGCTTTAACGGTTGCTGACTTCGAAGGCTATCACCTCTGCTTTCCAGTAAATCCACACTTTACAAATAGAAAAATACAGTATGTGACAAGGTGCTGTTGATTAAACAGTAGAGGATTTCTTCCCAAATGCACTGAAATGAACTACTGCCTTTTATGAATGACCATCATAGAGAGTTATTTCCAAAGTAGGATAATTCCTTGGAATAATAATAATAAACTGTGAAGTTCGTTTAACTCCAGACTTCAAAGCTGTTTACATCCTAAAGTCTACAGCCCCTTCTTCTAGGTTGGGTCTATAAAGTGTTATACACTCACTTTTACTTTTACCCAATCCCAGATCCAGAATAATACTTCCCTGAGGTCACTGAATGAGTCAGGGGCAAGTGGAGTGTGGAATCATCCATCAGTCATGCTCCCAGGCCCTCTCCATTAGACATCCTGATTATGAGATGAAATACTGGTAAACATGAGCTTCTGTACCCAGGAAATGTACTGTGAAGGGCATAATGAATTACTTATGCTGTGTAGTGTATATATAAATCATATTAAAGCATGCTGAATAGTACATTATCATGTTTCTATTTTGCATTACAAAAGTAACTAATGTAAGCTGCAAAGTGTACTTTTAATCCATTATTCATTTCTAAAAGTAGTCAGACCACTATTCAAGTACCATAAAGGGCTACCAGTATAAGCAAACCTACTTTTCAATTTATGAAGATGAAACAGCAAGATTTTTAAATCAATTTTAAATTAGTCAAGTTGTATTTATCAAAACCTATATTAAATCTATGCATTCCTGTTCAGATGGAGGAATTACAACAAATCATAACTTTTTGCTCAAAGAGTTTATATGTCTCAAGTCCAGAATCAATATAATTACCTTCATTATATGTGATTTTTTAATATTATTTGTTTTACCTCACTTTTAATGCTTACATTGGGTCAAAAATCTGTTTTTAGTTTCCTTTCTCATTTGAGTTCAGCTATGCACATCTGGTTTTCCACCAGTGCTGCCTCAATGGGGTTAGCTTCTCTTCCACAAATGTTTCCCCAGTGCACAAGCAAGGAGTTGGGGTGTGCTGATCTCCCTGGAGCACCCGTCTGCAGTGCCGCTCAAAGGCCTTTCTGATCATAGCTCAAGGTTCAATAACCATGACAGAAAAGGTTGATACAAATCATAAAAAAGCAACATAAGCACAGAATACAAACAACAAACTCAGAAAATGTTTGCAACCTATATCACAAAGGGCTGAGGTCCTTCATGCTTAAGAGTCTTAGAAATTGAGAAAAGTCCAATAACCCAAAGAAACCGAGCAAAGAATGTGAATAGAAAATTCACGGGCCGGGCTCAGTGGCTCATGCCTCTAATCCCAGCACTTTGGGAGGCCGAGGTAGGCAGATCACCTGAGGTCAGGAGTTCAAGACCAGCCTGGCCAACATGGTGAAACCCCATCTCTACCAAAAACACAAAAAATTAGCTGGGCATGGTGGCGGGCACCTGTAATCCCAGCTACTCAGGAGGCTGAGGCAGGAGAATTGCTTGAACCTGGGAGGCAGAGCTTGCAGTGAGCTCAGATCACGCCACTGCACTCTAGCCTGGGCAATGAGAGCACAAGAGCAAAACTCTGTCTCAAAAAAAAAAGAAAAGAAAAGAAAAGAAAAGAAAATTCACAAAGAAATGCAAATGGTCCTCAACCACATGAAAAGGTGTGCAAACTTACTCATATAAAGAGCAATTCAAATGAAAGCTACATGATGACACCATTTCTTACCTATCACGTTGGCAAAAAATTCCCCAAAGTTTGATTAATGCAAATTGTTAACAGGGCTATGGGGAAATAACCACTTACATATGCTGGTGGGACTTCAAATTAGAATAAATCTCATGGATGGCAATAGGACAATCTCTATCAAATTTATCTGCTATGACCCAGTAATCCCATGTCTGGGAATTAATCCTCCAGATGGATACACACACCTACACACTTATGATATGATGTATGCACTAGGTTATTCATTGCAGGGATGGGCATGGTGGCTCACATCTGTAATCCCAGCATTTTTGGAGGCTGAGGTGGGCAGATCACTTGGGCCCAGGAATTTGAGATCTGTCTGGGCAACATGGTGAAACCCCATCTGTACTAAAAATACAAAAAATTAGCCAGGTGCGGTGACATACACCTATAGTCTCAACTACTCAGGAGGCTGAGGTAGGAGACTCAGTCACCTGAGCCTGAGATGTCAAGGCTGCAGTAAGCCAGGATCTCACCACTGCACTCCAGCCTGGGTGATGGGAGTTAGACCCTGTCTCAAAAAACAAAACAAACAAACAACAACAAAAAAACAAGGTTAGGTTATTCATTGCAGTATTTGTAAGAGCAAAAGTTTGCAAACTACTCAAGTGCCCATTAATAAGTATAAAGGTTAATTTTATGTGTTGACTGGGCCACAGGGTGTCCAGATATTTGCACAAAACCCGTTCTGGGTGTTACTGTGAAAGTGTTTTGGGGTGAGATTAACACTTAAATTGATAGGCTAAGTAAAGCAGACTGCCCTAATGTGGCCTGCCCTGATGTGGGCGAGCCTCATCCAACCAATTGAAGGCTTAAATAGAACAAAAAGGTTGACTGTCCCCCAAGTAAGAAAGAAATCCTCCTGCCTGATGACCTTCAAATTGGGACCTTGGCTTTTTTCCTGCCTTCACATTTGAACTAAAATATCGGCTCTTCCTGGATCTTGAACCTGTTAGCCTCCAGATTGGAACTACACTCAGCTCTCGTAGGTCTCCAGGTTGCAGACTTGCTCAACAGACTTTGGGCCTGGTCAGCCTCCATAATCATGTGAACCAATTCCTTACAATAAATCTCTTTCTATGTACAGGTTATGTATCCGTTATCTGAAATGTTTGAGACCAGAAATATTTCATAATTTTGACTATTACAGATTCTGGAATATTTGCATTGCACATGCTGGTTGAGCATCTGAAATCCAAAAATCCAAAATCTGGAATGCTCCATTGAGCATTTCCTTTGAGTGTCATGTCCATTTTCAAAAAGTTTTGGATTTTGGAGCATTTTGAATTTCAGATTTGGGGTTTTCTGATGATCAAATATATATTGAATAATATATGTATTTATCCAATTGGTTCTATTTCTCTGGAAAACTATGACAAATACAATAAAGAATTGATTAAATAAGCTATAATACATATATTAGGAATAGTATAGGCATTCCTCATTTTATTGCACTTCACTTCGCAAATATTGTACTTTTTACAAATTGAAGGTTCATGGCAACCCTGAAGTGAACAAGTCTATTGGTACCATTTTTCCAACAGCATGTGCTCACTTTGTTTCTCTGTGTCACATTTTGGTAATTTTTGCAATATTTCAAACTTTTTCATTATTATTACATCTGTTATGGTGATCTGCAATCAGTGATCTTTGATGTTACTATTATAATTGTTTTCAAGTGCCACAAACTGCACACATTTAGGTAGCAAATTTCACCGATGAATGTCTATGTTCTGACTACTCTACTCACTGGTCATTCTCGTCTCTCACCCTCTTCTTGGGCCTCCTTATTCCCTGAGACACAACAATATTGAAATTAGCCTAATTAAGAAGCATTAAAGTAAAAGGAAGAATTGCATCTCAAAAGCCAAGCCAGGCAAAAAGCTAGGCCTCTTGCGCCAACAATTAGCCAAGTGATGAATGCAAAAAGTTATTGAAGTGGTGAAAGTAAAAGTTATTGAAAGAAATTAAAATGCTACTCCAGTGAACACATGAATTATAAGAAAATGAAACAGCCTTATTGCTGATATGGAAAAAGTTTTAGTGGTCTAGGTAGAAGATCAAACCAGTCACAACGTTCCTTTAAGCCAAAGCCTAAGGCAGAGCAAGGCCTTAACTCTCTTCAATTCTGTGAAGGCTGAGAGAGGTGAAGAAGCTGCAAAAGAAAAGTCTGAAGCTAGCAGAGGTTGGTTCATGAGGTTTAAGGAAAGAAGCCATCTCCATAACATAAAAGTGCAAGGTACTGACATGATCACTATACATTATATGATAACATCACTATGTACCCCATAAATATGTACAATTATTGTAAGTCCATTTTTTAAAATGCAAAGTGAAGCAGTAAGTGCTGATGTAGAAGCTGCAGCAAATTATCCAGATTTAACTAAGATCATTGATGAACGTGGCTACACTAAACAATAAAATTTCAATGTAGACAAAACAGCCTTCTATTGGAAGAAGATGTCATCTAGGACTTTCATAGCCAGAAAGGATAAGTCAATGCCTGGATTCAAAGCTTAAAAGGACAGGCTGGGCCAGGTGCGGTGGCTCATGCCTGTAATCCCAGAACTTTGGGAGGCTGAGGTGGACGGATCACGAGGTCAAGAGATCGAGACCATCCTGGCCAACATGGTGAAACCCCGACTCTACTAAAAATACAAAAATTAGCTGGGTGTGGTAGCATACACCTGTAGTCCCAGTTACTCAGGAGGCTGAGGCAGAAGAATCACTCGAACCTGAGAGGCAGAGGTTGCAGTGAGCCGAGATCGCACCTCTGCACTCCGGCCTGGCAACAGAGCGAGACTGTCTTAAAAAAAAAAAAAAAAAAAAAAAAAGGACAGGCTGACTCTCTGGTTAGAGTCTAATGCAGCTGGTGACTTGAAGTTGAAGCCAATGCTCATTTACCATTTCGAAAACCCTAGGGCCCTTAAGAATGATGCTAAATCTACTCTGCCTGTCCTCTGTAGATGGAACAACAAAGCCTGGATGACAGCACATCTGCACATCTGTTTACAGCATGGCTTACTGAATATTTTAACCCTAATATTGAAACATACTACTCAGAAAACAAAATAAAATTTCTTTCAAAATATCACTACCTATTGACAATGCACCTAGTCACTCAAGAGTTCTGATGAAGATGTACAAAGAGATTAACGTTGTTTTCATGCCTGCGGACACAACATCTATTCTGCAGCCCATGAACCAAAGAGTAATTTCAACTTTCAAGACTTCTTATTTAAGAAATACATTTCATAAAGCTATAGCTGCCATAGATAGTGATTCCTCTAATGGATCGTGGCAAAGTAAATTGAAAACCTTCCGGAAAGAATTCATCATTCTAGATGCCATTAAGAACATTTGTGATTCATGGGAGCAGGTCAAAATATCAACGTTAGCAGGAGTATGGAAGAAGTTGATTCCAAACCTCATGAATGACTTTGAGGGGTTCAATACTGAAGTGGAAGAAGTAACTGCAGTTGTGATGGAAATAGCAAGATAAGTAGAATTCGAAGTGAAGCCTGAAGACGTCAGAGAATTGCTGCAATCTCAAGATAAAGTTTGAACAGATGAGGAGTTGCTTTTTATGGATGAGTAAAGAAGGTGGTTTCTTGAGATGGAATCTACTCCTGATGAAGGTGCTGTGAATGTTGTTGAAATGACAACAAAGGAGTTAGAATACTATATAAACTTACTTGATAAAGCAGCAGCAGGGTTGGAGAGGATTGACTACAATTTTGAAAGAAGTTTTACTATGGGTATAATGCTGTCAAACAGCATTGCATGCTACAGTGAAATCTTTCATGAAAGAAAGAGTCCATTGATCCATTAATTATTTTCTGATTTTAAGAAGTTGCCACAGCCATCCCAACCTTCAGCAACCACCACCCTGATGAGTCAGCAGCCATCAACATCGAGGCGAGGCCCTCCACCAGCAAAAAAAAATTACGACTCACTGAAGGCTCAGATGATTGTTGGCATTTTTTAGCAATAAACTATTTTTTATTTAAGGTATGTACATTTTTAAAGATACAATGTTATGGCACACTTAATAAACTATAGTTTAGTATACACATAACTTTTATATGAACTGGAAAACAAACAAATTTACGTGACTGGCTTTATTGTGATGTTCATTTTACTGAGATGACCTGGAACCAAACCTGCAATATCTCAGAGGTATACACGTACTCCGCTATAAAAAAACAAGTAGAGATGATCTCTATTGACATTGAAAGATCACCAGAACATGTTAAATGAGTAACTGTAAGGTCTGGAACAGGATATCTTGTATGCTAACCTTTGCAGAAAATTGAGGTGGGTGGGTAGATAAGAATATACATTTATAATTGCTTATATTTGCATTAAGAAACATTGAAAAGAAACACAAAAGTATAAAAATAAAATTATCCTATTGGGGGTCAACAGGAACCAGGACATACACTTCTAAATGAATACTTTTTCAATCCTTTTGGGTTTTGAATCATGTGACTATATTACGAAAAAAATTTAATTAAAAAATCAATAATAGGGTCAGGTGCGGTGACTCACACCTGTAATCTCAGCATTTTGGGAGGCCAAGGCAGGTGGATCACTTTGAGCTCAGGAGTTTGGGACCAGCCTAGGCAACATGGCAAAACCCCATTTCTACTAAAAATACAAAAAATTAGCCTGGTATGGTGGTGTGCACCTGTAGTCCCAGCTACTTGGGAGGCTGAGGCATGAGAATCACTTGAACCTGGGAGGTGGAGGTTGCAGTGAGCCGAGATTGCACCACTGCACTCTAGCCTAACCTGGTGATAGAGTGAGGCTCTGTCTCAAAAAAAAAAAAAAACCAATAATGGTGTTTTGTTATCATATCACCCTAACTAATTTGTTTATGGCACTTACCACTATCTGATGTTTTCTTGTTTAATTATTTGTTTCCTTGTTTCCTCCCCTCTGGAATGGAATTCAGCAAATTATAACCCAAGGGCCAAATCTAACCTGCCTATTATTTTGGTAAATAAAGTTTTATTAAAACACATCCATGTCCATTCATTTATATATTTCTGAGGCTATTTTTGTGTAACAGTGGCAGATGTGAGCAGCTGTGACTGAAAAACATATTGCCCACAAAGCCTAAAAATGTACTATCTGTCTCTTACAGAAAAATAGTTTGCTGACCTTTGCTCTAGAATGTTAATTTCTTCCTAGTAAAACGTATGCACAGAAAGTTTATTTGGTCTCCACTCTCTCCCTCACCACCTGGAATAGTGTCTAGCACATAGTAGGTTCTCAATCCATACTGTCTCAAGTTGGGTTCATGGGGAAACGAACTGAGCTGCAGATTAGCGTGCCGGAAGTCCCTTCAGGAACACTCTGAGATCACCACGTGAGCAAGGCAAAGGAGCAGGCCTGGGCAGAGGGAGAAGTCAAGCTTTGGTGCAGTCTCCATGGAATGCCTCACCTAACCTGATGGGAAGTTCTGAAAATGGATGACTCTTCAGAGCCATCTGAATGAGCTGAGGGCTGGGCCTTTGTAGTCCTGCTTGAATCTGTCCTTGAATGGGGGCCACACTGGGAAAGAGGGGTGACCTTAGGGGAAGCAGCTTTCCTCAGCCAAAGCCCCTCCTGAAGCAGCGCTGCCTGCTGAGGGCTGTCTGCCAGCAGCACTCCCAACAGTTGGGGGTAATAAGTCCTTAATTCCTGGGGAGACAGCAGCACAACATAGCATCCATCACAAGTATGAACTGAATCAACGCACAACTGTGTGAGTATGTTTGTACGCACCTGCTCTGGTGATAATTCCAATGCCTTTGGAAGTACCATTCAATACATTTCATTTTCATAATCTTTCTTTGGACTTCTCAGTATGTGTCTGAGTTTGTGTTCTCTCAAAAGCAGATTGAGACAATGACTAGGTTTCAAGTAGTTTTTTGCAAAACACAGGGAACACCAGCGGAGGAAAGAAGAAGTCAGATAGGGAAGGGAAAGCAGTCGATCCTGCTGGCTGTGGGCAATAGAGAAACGTGCTACCCGACATGGGGTTCAGGGAATAGTGCCCATCCAGCAACTGTTTGCCAGTTTGACAACCACTGCATTTACAACCACAGTTGTTATCAATTCCACCTCATTCTGATTCTTGGTTTCTGATCAGAACTAAGCAGATTTTTTTTCACTCACTCCGAATCATTAACTTAAAGTTAACAGCCTATAACTGGACGGAAAATGTATGCTGGTACTTAAGTGCTCCAGAGCAGCTTAGTATAAAAATCCCTTCCCTTTGTTCCCTTCTGTAATAAGAAAACCAAACTACCATATCAAATGGAAAGTGTGGGCTTGCCTTTTCTGATGTCTCTGCTCTAAGAGGCCAAGGGGAGTTAGAGTCATCTTCCCTCACTCTCCTTCCATGCATCACCACGCATCACCATCAACACGAGGGAAGCAGAAAGAGAAAACAGCCACCTAGAACATTTTCACCCATTCAGAAGATTGCAACCCCATGACAATACTGTTCCAATCAGGGGATAGTAATTTTCACATTTTTCCAGGAAAGGTAAGATATTTCCCATCCCAAACCTAAGTTTTTATCCTTTGAAGCTAGAGATTCTATATTTCTCATTTTAAAACAATGGTTCCTATGGGAACAAAGTATCAGTTTCTCTTAGCAACCACTGAGCGTTTACAACATTGATAAAACTTAGTTTCCACATGAAACTACCTTTAGTAAGAGCTTATTGTTACTATAAAACCAAGGTTACCATAGTATAAGTAAAAAAAAAAAATCGAAGCAAGATACAAGATTAGATATAAATTACAATAACTGTAAAAAGTAACCTGTGTAGAAAACACAAAAAGACTTCAAAGAAGCATATTAAAATAGTAACTTACTTTCTTTGCATGCACATTTTCTAAATTTTTGTTTCATGTATAAAATATAGTAGAAAACAGAAAGATAACTAGACACTGTGTAATTGGATTTTAAATTAGAGATGGAGGATGGGAGTATTGAATCGTGCAATAAAAGCTAAGCTGACCAGCAGAGCACTTTTCTTCTAGCTCTGACTTCATGGCTACGTTACTGGGTGGCAGGGCCCAAATCACTTCTTCACGGGCCTCAGGCTCTTCCCATGAAAAAATTAAGTCTACGTTTCTTTTGAACTCTAAAACTCAAAGACTTATAATTTTACTTTCCCACAATAGTTTTATATAGGAGTATTGACCCAATATTGCAATGGTTCTCAGACTTTGGAGAGCATGAACATCACTAGGGGAGTGTTTCAAAAACAGATGCCTTGGTTGCAACTTCATTGATTCTCCACTATAGACTGTTAACCAGACATCTGTGCAAGTCTTGAAGACTTAAGCATTGCCTAATAAAATAAACCACTGGGCACATCTAACACTAAGTGCTACAATTAGAAGTTGGGGCAGTTTTTGTCCTACAATATTTTACTCAGACTCATCTACTCACCCCAGTCACCTTGTTCTGTTAATTTTCAGTCTTGGATCCATTAGTATTTTTTCACATCTTTGAAGCATCACTCTGCACCATCTGTAGCATCCTATATGACTCATCACTGAAACATAACAGACTCCCTTCACATGTAGAGCCTGACTCTCAGAAAATGCATGCTCTTCCAATGGCACTGGAGGCTTGCACGTCATTCTCTAACAGCAGCAGTGCTTTCTCTATTGTATACAACAGCAGCAGATCTTCCACTGGTGGAATGAAAGCTACAACAAAGCATGGGGACAAAAGTAAAAGAGTTTGCAAATTATGTTTAATACTCCATATTCAGGAGTAAATGTCCCATATGTTGACAAATCAGAAAATGAAACAATCAGGCTTTGGCTAGGACCTTTCTTCTCCTGTGAAAATGAACTCCAACCCACTGGTGAGCAAACAAAAAAGTCCTCATAGAGGAGTTTCTTCTTGAAGATAATCAAATTTTAAAAATTCAAAACAGAAATGTCTTTACAAGACATTCATTTAAAAAAGCTAGTTTTAAATTTAATAAATAGGAAAAAGCGGTCCAAAAATTGTATAATGCTGTTTTGATGTGCAGTTTGGGTGGGAGATGCCTTTATAACTTAGTGTTTACACTGTTCAAAATAGGTTCTCTTTAAATGCATCATGGATGTAAGAAAACACAAGCTATAAAGCAAGCGTGGTGGCTCATGCCTGTAATCCCAGCACTTTGGGAGGCTGAAGCAGGAAGATTGCTTGAGGTCAGGAGTTTGTGACCAGACTAGGCAACATAGCCAGACCCTGTCTCTACAAAAAAAATTAAAAATTAGCTGGGTATGGTGGTGCACACCTATAGTTCTAGCTACTCAGAAGGCTGAGGTGGGAGAGTCACTTGAGCCCAGGAGTTCGACACTGCAGTGAGCTATGATCAAACCACTGCCTCCAGCCTGGGTGACAGAACAAGACCCCAACTCTAAGAAAAAAAAAAAAGACACAAGCTATGAAAACCAGAATATATGAAACATAGTGAAACACATTTCAAATTTGTTCTTACCTTTACAAAAATTCTTTACATAAACTTTGAAATAGGAATATCCCATTCAGCATGTAAAAAATCAGTGGGGCCAGGCACTCTGGCTCATACCTGTTATCTCACCATTTTGGGAGGCTGAAATGGGAGGATTGCTTGAGCCCAGGAGTTGAAGGCTGCAATAAGCTATAACTGTGCCGCTGTGCTTCAGCCTGAGCAACACAGCGAGACCCTGTCTCTAAAACAAAAATGAATTAAAATGAAAATATCATTGGATTTACTGGCAGTATTCTTTTTTTTTCTTTCTTTTTTTTGAGACCGAGTCTTGCTCTGTCACCCAGGCTGGCGTGCAGTGGTTCAAATGATTCTCCTGCCTCAGCCTCCTCAGTAGCTGGGATTACCCACCAAAGGGCCTGGCTATTTTTTGTATTTTTAGTAGAGATGGGGTTTCACCATGTTGGCCAGGCTGGTCTTGAACTCGTGACCTCAAGGGATCCACCCACTGCAGCCTCCCAAAGTGCTGGGATTACAGGCATGAGCCACCATGGCCAGCCAGTAATATTCTATTTATTGATCTAGGTGCTGGTTATATGGATGTGTTCACTTTGAGAAGATGTATTGAACTGTGAATTTGTGCTCTTCATAATAAGTATGTTATATTTTAGTAAAAAGTTTACCTAAAAATTCATTAGATTTATAATCCCATATGCATGCAACTTTTCATGGATGAAAAATTGCTGTATCTTTGTAGGTGGTATGTAAGAAAACTAAACAAGGAAGGAAAAAAGGAACAGGATAGAACCAGCTTCTGAAATACATGAATGAGGCCACGTGAGCTGAGAGCAAAGGACCAAGTTGGAGTAAAGCATAACCCAATGTCTATAAGATGGTGTAGCCATCCAATATGACCATTTTTAGGGTAAAGTCAAATGTCAGAGTTGACCATTATTATTAGTCCCCTTTTAAAAGAAGACTAAGGGAGAGGAACTTCACACACCGGGGCCTGTCAGGGGGTGGAGGGCTAGAGGAGGGATAGCATTAGGAGAAATACCTAATGTAGATGACAGGTTGATGGGTGCAGCAAACCACCATGGCATGTGTATACCTATGTAACAAACCTGCAGTTCTGCACATATATCCCAGAACTTAAAGTATAATAAAAATGAAATAAAAGAAAACTAACAAGCCGGGCATGGTGGCTCACACCTATAATCCCAGCACTTTGGGAGGCCGAGGAGGTTGGATCACTTGAGGCCAGGAGTTCGAGACCAGCATGGCCAACATGGTGAAACTCCGTCTCTACTAAAAATACAAAAATGAGCTGGGCGTGGTGGCACACACTTGGAATCCCAGCTGCTTGGGAAGCCGAGGCAGGAGAAGCGCTTGAACCCAGGAGGTGGAGGTTGTAGTAAGCTGAGATTGAACCACTGCACTGCAGTCTGGGTGACAAAGCAAGACTCTGTTTTAAAAAAATAAAAAAATAAAATAAAAGAAGACTAACAGATAAAGATCCGACCTGGGGCATGAAGCAACGTAATTTTTCTCACAAGAAGACTGGAACTCTATTTCCAGAAATAGTGTGAAATCACAGAACCCAGGACTTGGATATAGAACTGGCCACTTATTAGCTGTATGATATTGGGCATATTTAACCTATCTGAGCCCTAATCTGTTCATCTATAAAAGGGAGACAATAAAACCTACCATGTGGAGTTGTGAAGATTAAGCAAATAATATATATGAAGTGCTGATTCACTGTCTAGTTTAAATAACAATAATTATTGTTCCTGTTCTGTCCATTAAGTGTAAATACTTTGAAGAAAAAATATGCCTCTACTTGGAATTATTTAAGTTTGTTTAAAGGCAAAATTGAATGTTTTGGTCAAAAAAATCATTTTATTTTTCCATGGTAGCACTAAACACATTTTTAGTACCAAAAATGATTTCTACATGCTGAAAGAATGTGATTTGGTGTTTTTCCCTTCTAGTTTTTGAATATAATGCAGTACACGTAGCTAAAAGGCTTCTAAGTGGGTACTGACTGTTGATGCTTACGCTCTCCATAGTTAATATAAACCCTGGATTTACATGGGCTTCAATTTCCTTTACAACAGTTGCCTGAGTAGGATTTATCACCCTTGTCCTGGTGCACTCGGGAGGATAGACAAGGTGAAAAGAACAGCCTAGCTAGTTAGACTGTCTTAATGTGAAAGTGTCTTTGAGCAAGCACTAGCTTTAATTTTCCCTCCCAAATCAAAATATGATGCAGTTGTGTTTACACAGGGCTTGCATCTAGATCTTGACTTTACTTGTATATACTTACCTAAATGCTTAAGTATTTGGGATTTCCCCCTATAAATTACCTCTGTGGTAATCATACGCTGTTTGAGTAGCATCAAATAGGTCCACATCTACAAAAAGCTTTGTTAATTTAAGCAGAAGTCTGGTAACATAAAAACCCTTTACAATAACATGGAGCCCAGATGAAACCCACAAATGCAAGTTTAGAGGTTGAGCGATACTCCCTCCTTCATTTGCCCTGCTGCTTTGATAGTTGAGACTCGGTGAACCGGAACCAAATTCACAAGGGGCAAGCTTGCCATTTCCAGTCTCTTAGATTAAATTGAAGTCTTGTTTTTAATTTCATTTCCTTTTTTATTTAAAAAAAGAACTTGTTATTCACTTTTCACAACTATGCTAAAATGTAAGTTAACTGTCCCAGTGTTGCCTCTCTGCCTGGTTGCTCATTGGATAAAACACAAATGTATTATCAAAAATAGCCTTGGTGCAGGCAGCCCAGCACAACCATTACAGTTAGCTGAGGAGGACTCTAAGGAATGACATAACCAGTATCTGGGAATCCCCTACGTGGTGTTATACAAAAAATCATTAACATGTTTATACTCAAGTCCATTTCAGGTATTGGAAAAGAATAGCTGGGGTTTACACTATATTTTAAAGAGAAAATTATTGGGAAAATAGAATTAATCCTTGAGTTGAGCAAAGATTCATTGCCAACAGTTTTCTAGTTTTGAACCTTGACTCTGTTATTGATAGTCCTTGTCATTCTCAGCAAGTTTTTGAGCCTCAATTTTACCATCTATGACACAGGAATAATACAAGCATGCTTTATTTTCTGCAGTTAATGTACCTGTGAAAACTTGTGTGAATTGAATTGTGGAAAATAAAATTACAAGCTTTGAATATATTAGAAAAAATCAATATTTTAAGAAACCTCAAGATGAATCCTTTTGTCAAGTGAAGAATCTTCTTTATACCTTATTTTTAAAAATAAACCCAATTTTAGTATTATATTTTTTAAAACTAGAACACATTTTAAAAGGGAAAGAATGGTGATTTTTGTGGTCCTCATGGCCATGGGCTTCCCTCTCCTCTTGGAAGGTTTCTCAGGAACCACCTTGCTCTGCTCAGCTCCTTGCCGCAGTGCTGGGTTGGGAAGGTAAGGTGGCCAAAGAAGGGTCTGTGCTTGCAGGATGATTCCTCAGGCATTAAAAACACTGTGTGTTACTGAGAGGATTAAGGGAATGGGCAGTAGAAACCAGCGCTGGGGAGATGGAAGGTAAGAAGAATAGGCGGACTTAGGGCTGATGAGGAAGTTTAAAGCAGAACTGGTAGAGTGCTTGATGTGTTTGAGAAACAAATCGTTGCATGTGATTTAGATGTGATGAATGGAGAGTGACTGAAGGTTGGAGGTAGAGGTAAGGGCCAGGTTACACAAAGCCTCATAGACCAGGATATGATGGCTGTCCTTTATCATAACCTCAGTGTGAGACCCTGTAGGGGCTCTGAACAGAGGGGTGACATGACACCATTCACATGTTAGAAAAATCTTTTTACTGCTAGGTGAGTATGGGTTGGACATAGGAAAGAGTGGAAGCAGAGACTGTTTAGGAGCCAGTGCACTTGCAGTAGTAAGGACAGGAAAGTCTACAACCTGGATGGAGATGGATAGCAGTGGACAGGTTCTATAAATGGAATTTGAGGGTAGAATTATCAGGTATGGCTGAAAGATGGAATATGCGGCAGTGAGGGGAGGAGGGAGCCAATGATGACTCCTAGGTTTCTAGAATGAGTGACTGTGTGCCCTTCACTCTTCCCTTATTTCTCTATAGTCTTTTGGATATAATATCATTATTTCTGTTACTCCAGCTGTCACTCTATTCACAGCTATTCTCCAGCTCGAACCTCCCTTCTGAGTTTCAGACCCATATTTCCAACTGCCTGCTGCACATCAAATGCAATATCCCCTTCTTCATCACCCCCGTGCTCAAAAACTATGAATGCTTCCTAATTGATGAAGAAATTGAGAGCAAAGATCCATGTCTGGTACTCAAAATCCTCTGCCACATAGACACCAGCTCATTTTAGGAGCACTGTCCACAGAAGTGGCATGACATTGTGGGAAAGAATATGCAGAAGGGGATGGGTAGCATCCGCTTGGGTTGGACATGAGCACATTGAATATGGGGCTGTGCCTGGATTATCCAAGGAAATGAAGAGCTGCTCCTCTTTAAGAAGGCTTTTCACAAAAATACTGTTCATCTTAGAATCAGACGCATCCCAGTTTATAATAGGTGTCTGAAGGAAAGTCTAGTGGAAATTGGCTGCTTTTGTCTGCCCAACACCCCTCTGTCCCTTAAGATGGAAATGTGCCAGTCATAGTTTCTGTCTCTCTTTCCTTAATGGCAGTTCCATGGCATAAGCATGTGACCCAGCAGGGCCACACAAAGGCCCGCCAGAGGTGTGCATATGGACCCTGGGAGAGGAAGTGTTGTTGCCCCTCCCCAGAGATGTGGAGCATAAGGACCTGCAGTAAGGAGCCTGGAGCTGCTGGTGACCACCTTGCCCTTCACATGGCGAGTACCAGCTTGAGTATGAGACCAGCAAAGAGGAAAATGAAGCTGAGAGAGTGTCAGGGACCCCAGATTTGGCAGTCACACTAGGCAAATAGTGACTATAAGAATGGTGGCTTGGAGGGAAATGTGAAACATTCCAGCCCACTGTCCTCATCACAAGGAGTCAATGTTTCATTTCCCCTAAACCTGCTCCTTGCCTTTGTGGTGCTCCTTGTCCACTGCTATCCACCCCAGCCCTGGGCCTCCACTCAAGCCAGGGTAGGGGCCACTGAGGTTTCCTTACCTCCCACCTCACAGGCAGGCATCCATGTAGGCAGCAGTCCTGGTTTCTCTCTGGCCATTCCATGCATCCCTACCACACTAGGGCTTTGAGAAGCATGCATGACTACTCCACTACCTCTGCCCCCTCAATCACCAAACTGCGCCCACCCTGGGTTCCCAGTGGATTACTTCAATCCTAAACAGAACTAATTATCTAAACATTTTGAGAATTGTTCAAGACAAAATATGGCACCAGTATACCACAGAGTTGGATACAAAACATAACCTTATTTATTGGAGATCAGAAGCAGGAGCATTGAAACACACACACACATACTCCTACTACACACACATACACGCAGCACAAAACTCTGAATTAGTAAGGTTTGGATACATGCAATAAAGTATGTCCTTTCAGCTGTGGACATACTTTATTGCATCTATCCAAACCTTACTAAGGTTCCTGATTTTTAATAAACTTATAATAGATTGAAGCAATTTTTATTTGCTGTTCCTGATTTTTAATAAACTTATAAAATAATAGATTGAAGCAATTTTTATTTGCATTCGATTCCACATTTGGGGCCAGATTCTCTTTGTGCCTTCTTCTTTGAGTGAACATCGAATGTCTTTGGATGAGCACTGGGCTCTGTCAGGCCATTACAGTTACTGTTTTAGAATACTAAATGTGACACTAGTGACCTAGTGGCATTAATGCACCTTTCAAAAGTGCCCAGTTTTCTCCTTGGAAGTAATTTCAGCAGTGATAGGCTACAACTGAGTAATTTCTGATAAGCAATTAGCACATATCAAATCAATGCACATTACTCAAGGTTTTATACTGCTAGTGGAGATATAGCAGGGGTTACCCATTAAAAAGCATCTGTGAAAAACTTCTGCTGTTATTATGGAAGCAGTGGGCAATATTCAAATCGAGGCAACTCAACCATTAAATAAATGTATTTTTAATCATGAAATGTCACTGTTCTACAGACCTGTTTTTCCTATTAACATGTGGGAGATAATGTTAATGAGATTTAGTTAGTGTTTTAAAAGCAATTGAAGTCTTATTATGAAAGGCAGCAGAAAAGGACACAGCAATATTCTTCTAAGCTGTGAATCACTCCATATCTGTGTGAAATCGAATAGTGTAGAAATCTACATGGGAATCATCTAAGCAACAAAAACATAGAAGACTCCCAAACACTCCTACTCTATATCATTTTTCATACCTAAAATGAAATAAGAAAGCACACTACGGTTGGAAATTTTAATGGGGGGAAGGCCCCCATGTTGATATTTCAGAAAACAGTTCATTCTTGAAGTATGAATGTATTTGAGGTATCAGTCATTGTGTTTACCCATCAATAGTGACTCTAAAGAAAGAGTATCCTATGCACAGCAGATGCTGAACGTGAAGGCCTGGGTGACCATGATTTGTTCCTTGGGACACCCCTCCCCTCTCGCCACCCACCTCAAGCTGGTAAATTGATTGGACCAGGGTTGGGCCAAGGCAGCCAATCCATGCCCGGCCTGTGTTAAATCATAAGTGGAGCCAATCAGATTTTTCCTCACATGCATTTGAACTAAGATCTAATAAATAAGAAAATAGGAGTTGAAGCTAAAAGGACAGATATAGAATGGTCATGAAGAGTCATATCTTTAAAAAGGGACACATTTGTTTTTAAAAGTTTTAGAAAACAGAAATTATGAACATAAAGGGATATCTTGGCTGGACCCCAAGCCAATGCTCGAATTGGCTTGTCTGTGAGGTGGAAGAAGCCCTAGAGATCCTCTGTACATTCACAGAACATGCAAGGGCCATGCAATAAGAATCCAGCCACATTCCTCAGTTTTCCTGGGTTTGCACACACCAGCATGTCTGTTTGACAGGCCAGAGAAGGAGAGAAGGAAAGTGACACGGGCTAAATTGCAGGGAGCAACTAACCCCTGGAAGGAAAACCCCCAAAACAATGAAGAAATCCAGTAGGGTGGACTAGAAGAAGGGCTTGGGTGTGGGATGAGAAGAGTGGCTTTGAATACAGTCTGAAGCGCCATCTGAAATCCAGACTTTCCTTCACAATCTCCACTCCCAGGGAGGAGTGGTGTCATCCAACCAAAAGAACTCACACACACATACACACAGCACACCACCCCACAAAACTCCAAATTAGTAAGGTTTGGATAGACACAATAGAGTGTGCCTCTATTGTGCTTCCCATGCTTCCCATGGGAATCATCGTCCCCCACATCACCTAGACCAGAGGAGGCTAGCAGAAGCAGCCATTTCCTTAGGAGGGAGATGCCCGCAAGTGAGCGAACAGAGGTCCTGGGGTGTATTAGAGGTCAGGGTTGGCCAGCACCTCTGTGGAGCAGCATGGGCCGTGCTATCAAGCAACATGAACGAGGGCTGGAGTGGCAGCCAGAACAGCCATGGCAGAGCCACAGAAGCTAACAGAGCCATCTCCCCAATCCCCCACTGAGTCCAGGCAGAGCTGACGTTCTGCCACTTGGCAAGTGGAGACTAGTAATCCAATGGATGCATGGACAAATTACTCCAGGAGACTTACCCAGATGCTCAGTGGATGGGGCTGAGATTCACATCATGACTTCCCAAGTAAACAGAGAAAGCTGGTCAGAAGTTCAAGGAATGGAGCAGAGATACTCAGAGAAAAACAGAACCCCATAGCCCTTGAGAGACGAACCTGACAGCTTTAAAATTCTAGTTTCAGATTGAATCCATGTGTTTCCTTACCATTACTCCCCTGACCTCTTTCTCATAGTGCCTTGGAAAGGTCTCTACTTCTTGCAACAGAAGAACAATCTAATTAAATAAGAAAATTAAAATATCCAAGTACAAATAACCCCATCATTTCTTTGACCTCCAGCAAATCGCCAAGTTGCTAGTGTTTGCCTGTGTGACTAGCACGCTTGTCCTCCTGCTCTGTGCTTCTCCCATTTCCTTCCCTGAGCCTGTCCTGGTAGCTGACAGGTTTACAATCTTCTCGAGCTGGCATGTGCCAGGCTGCTCACCTCTGGTCTGACTGTGGAGTAGAAGTAGCATTACCAAGTTAGTGCTTCTGGGAGTGGGAGAGAGGAGTAGAAAAGGATACATAAATGCAGCAGAGAGGAACTGCACAGGAAGTAGAAGAAAAGAAGCAAACCAAGACTAGATATGGTGGCCGCTAAGTGGTTCCATAGAGATGATAGAGTAAGTGCAGGATATGAAAGCCCTTCAAGGAGAGCCAGAATCCCACCTTGCACCACTCCGCCTTGAAGCTACCTATCCACCATGCCAATCTGGTCCATATTTCCCAATCTCATGCTTACCAAAATTAAAGGCACCACCAATATTAGAATCAAACGAGACACCAAATCTGACAGCCAGTCAAGTCTAGAAAGCAATCTTTGGCATTTTGTCAGCAACAAAGTACAAGTCTCCATTTTTAATTTTGGGAACTTTCATACTGTACAATTTACTATTTTCCCCATAGCCACCAGTGCTATTTGCCATCTACTTGGTATCTGGACCAAACCCAAACATTTGCTGGCAGAGGCAGCTTATACTGGCTTGGGCAGCCTTGCATGTTGGTCATGAGAAGAGGCCCTGGAGCCAGAATTCGTGAGTTCAAATCCTGCCTCTGGTACTTGATAGGGGTATGTCATTAGAAAATCATTTCACTCCTCTCTGCCAAGCTTCCTACTTCCCAGGGTGCTTGGGGTGACCAAACCTCCTGAATTGCCCCAGACTAAGGGGCTTCTTGAGATGTGGGACTTTCAGTGCTAAAGCTGGGAAAGTTCTAGGCAAACTGGAATGAGTTGGTCATCCAGAGATAAAATAAGATACTGCAAGTAAAGCACTAAGAATAATGAGTGTTCAACACATGTTAGCCATTGATGTTACATGAACCTGCAGCTAATGTGACTACTGGAATGGTCATGCTTTCCCCTAGACTTGGGACTCTGGGACAAGGTCCTGGACTTTTCTCAAAAGCAGGACCCCTTCCATTTCTACAAAGTCCTAGTACTGAGAATAGGACCAAGATGAAGGTGGGTGTGCCTGTGCTGATAGTGAAGTCCATGAGAAGATGGAGAGTGAGTCAGACCCCAGGCTCCTCTTCTGGCCCAGAATAATGCTAGAAGCCAACCCTCCTTCACCATCCTCCCCTAGACCTGAGCCATGCTGGCTGTCTGGCAGATCTACAGACAGAATTTGATCTACTGAGCAAAAACGTCTAGTTTGTAGAGTCAGATTGCCTCTCAGAACCCCCTGACTTCCCTGATAGGAGTTTCAAGGAGTTTCTGAAGAATGAAAGGGGCTGGCAAAATCAGGACAACCCTGCACACTCTGTTCTGCCATCCTGGGGGTTCCATTTCTTGCAGACTCTCCAGACATTTTATTTCTGAGGGCCTTGTGAGTTTCCTCACCTGGTCTCAGATATAGAAGCGAATGGTGTACACTTCAATGCAGGGCTTAAGTACTTACAAGTTCTAGACTGCCTGAGTGTGATTGAAGGCAGCTTATCCTTTTTAAACCTTGATTCCACATTTGAAAAGTTGAGATAATAATTATCAGTATTCACTAAGCACTTACTATGTCCTAAGGATCTGACATACAATATCTTAATTAAACTTCAAGACAAGCCAAAAAGGTATGCATTTTAGAAATCCCTTATTATAGGACTCTGAGGCACAGAGAGATTAAATAACTCAAACTCAGACAGTCTGACTCCAGAACTCAAACTCTCAACTCTATGTCTGCCTCACTGGGTTATTGTGAAAAACAAATTAACACATGCATAGACACTTTGTACATCTACATGCTCAATAAATATTAGGTGTCTTTTTAAAATTTTTATTTTACTTTAAGTTCTGGGATACATGTGCAGAATGCGTAGGTTTGTTACACAGGTACACATGTGCCATGGTGGTTTGCTGCACCTATCAACCCGTCATCTAGGTTTTAAGCCCTGGGATGCATTAGGTATCTGTCCTAATGCTCTCCCTCCCTTTGGCCCCCACCCCTCGGCAGGCCCGGGTGTGTGATGTTCCCCGCCTTGAGGTATCACTTTTTAAGAGGGAGGAGGAGGGCTGAAAAGATAGTCAAGGTAAGTGGTTCAGCATCAGTATACCATTTGTTCACATATAAGAATAGACAGTGGGTCTACTAAGCTAATCTAACACTATTAGACAATTTTAACAAGTGTTTATTGAGCACATACTCATTGACAAGTGCTATACAAAGAACTTGGGGTCTAGCTCTGAGCAAAACCAGACGCCGTTTCTACTGTCCTGAAGCTTATGGCCCAGAGAAAAAGATAAAAAATGAGCAGGTGACTCCACTTGAAAAAAGAGGAATAAATGAACAATTCAAAAAGGAAATTTAAGAAAACAATTCCATTTATAATAGCAATAGAAGAATAAAATATTTGGGAATAAACTTAACCAAGGAAGCAAAAGACTTGCATACTTAAAAATTATAAAGTATTACTAAAAGAAATTAAACACAAAATAAATGGAAAGATATCTCATGTTCATGAATTCAGACTTAATATTGTTAAAATAGCAATACTATCCAAGATTATCTACAGACTTAATGCATTTCCTATGGAAATCCCAATGGTGTTTTTTGCAGAAATAGAAAAATCCATCCTAATTCATATGAAATCTCAAGGGACCTTGAATAGCCAATTCAGTCTTGAAAAGGGACAAATTTGAAGGTCTTACACTTACTGATTTCAAAACTTATTACAAAACTATGTTAATCAAAACAGCATTGTACTGGCAGAAAGACAGACATATATACAAGAGAGTCTAGAAAAAAACCTCTCATATATATGGTCAAATGATTTTTGATAAGGTTGTCAAGATCATTAATGGGGAAAGGAGAGTCTTTTCAACCATGCTGGAAAAATCAGATATCCACATACAAATGAATGAAGACAGACCTTTACGTAATACCATATACAAAAATTAACTCGAAAATGGATCAAAGACCTAAACATAAGAGCTAAAACTATCAAACTCTTAGAAGAAAATACAGGGAAAAAACTCCTTGACATTGAATTTGGCAATGATTTATTGGATACGACACCGAAAACACAGGCAACGAAAGTAAAAATAATCAAATTAGACTACATCAAAATTTAAAACTGTCCATCAAAGGACACAATCAATAGAGTGAAATGGAAATCTAAAAAATGACAGAAAATATTTGCAAATTATCTATCTGATAAGGAGTTCATATCCAGAACATATGAAAAACTCCTACAACTCAACAGTAACAACACAACAACCCAATCAATAAATGGGCAAGCTGAACACAGTGGCTCATGCCTGTAATCCCAGTACTGAGAGGCCAAGGAGGGAGAATCGCTTGAAGCCAGGAATTCAAGACCAGCCTTGGCAACAAGTAAGACCCTGTCTCTACAAAAAGATTTAAAAATTAGCAGTTTAAAAACTACAGGTATGATGTGTACCTGTAGTTCGAGCTACTTGCGAGAAAGAGGCAGAAGAATCACTCGAGGCCAAGAGTTTGAGGCTGTGGTAAGCCATAATTGTGCCACTGCATTCCAGCCTGGGCAACAGAGTGAGACCTTGTCATTCATAGATAGATAGATAGATAGATAGATAGATAGATAGATAGATAGATAGACAGGAAAAGGAATGTAATGGACATTTCTCCAAAGAAGATATACAACTGGCCAGCAAGCACACACACAAAATTCTCAATATCACTAATCATTAGGGAAATGCAAATCAAAACCACAATGAGATACCACCTTACACCCATAAGGATGCCAACTATTAAAAAAAAACTAACGTGAAAAAAAATAAAATAAAAAGTATTGGTGATGATGTGGAGAAACTGATACCTAGAGTAGTCAAATTCATAGATATAAAAAGTTAAAAAGTGGTTTTCAGGGGTTGGGGAGTTGTTTCATGTTTTGCAAGATGAAAGGCATTCTGGAGATTGGTTGCACAATATGAATGTACTCAACTCTCCTGAACTGTACATTTAAAAATGATTAAGATGATACATTTTATATTATGTGGATTTCACCATAATTTAAAAAGTAAATTTTAAAAAAGAGGGGGTGGATATAATTATAATAATTGCTGCAAAGGATTTAGGTCCAAGGTACCTATAAAGAGGATCTGACCTGGGTAGTGGTGAAGAAAGCTCCACTTAGCTGAGAGCAGAATGAGTAGGAGTTTGCTGGGGGGAAGAAAAGAGGTAGAAAGAACAATATATGCAAAATCCTTGTGAGGTGAGTGATCTTCATGCACATGGGATGCTTTCTTAGGTATCAACTAAGTATAAACCTTTATTTTCACTTGACTATTTCTGTTTTTAAAAATGGAGACATAACTTATCAACACAGATTGCAAAAACCTTAAGTGAACAGCTCAGTAAATTTAGTAAAACACTTTGAATCCAGTAACAGTCAAAAAAGGTGCAGTTGTGCTTCCTTTATCCCTTCCTGCCCCTTCCCCTAATGCTTCCCTGGGCTGAGGATATGTCAGGGGGAGCTTTCCATACTGAAGGAGACTAAAGAGCTAGCACAACTAACTGTACCCCATGATCCTGACTCAAACTTTGCCCTAGAAAGGAAAAAAGATATTGTTGGTACAGTTGGTGAAATTTGAATAGGGTCTCTGGATTGAGTGGTATTGTTATACTGATGCTTACTTTCTGATTTGGATGTTGTATTGTGGTTATGTACCATTATTCCTTTTGAAAATGTGCACTGATGCATTTAGCAGCTGATGGAGCATCATTGTTGACAACTTACTTTCAAATTATTCAGAAAGAGAATAATGGTAATGGGTGTTTATATTAGATATTTCTGCAGGCATACGGAGAGAGAAAGAGAGAACAAATGTGTTAAAATATTAACAATTGGGATATCTGCATGAAGGAGATATGGTAGTTCTGTGTATTACTCTTGAAACTTTTCCTAAAGTTTAACATTATTCCAAGATCAATTATTTTTAAAAGATACTGTCTATGATGGCAATGGACTCACAGGTGAGGCAGCAGGTAAGAGAAGTGAGATTAGACATAAAGATAAACATTTTATCTGTCACTGAATTTGAAAAAGCAAAGTGTCAGAGAAAAGAATTAGTGTTCACTTAGCGCTTGCCAGAATGAAGTAGGCTATCCTGCAAATAACCCACTTATGGTTATCATAAATTAATAAGCATTCCGATTCAGCATCTGCTTTCATTAGCATAAGTTGGTCATCAGGCTGGGAGCACGGGTTCCTCCTCTAGACAATGGCCCAGCCACCAATCTTAAGACACCTTATATCCCAACCCACTTCCCTAGACCATCCTTTCCAGCTTTAGAAAATTAAGCACCAAGGAAATGTACCAATAGAAGCATGCCTGTTGACAAGACCTGGGAAGAGCTGTAAATCCAGAGGGTGCTGAAGTGCAGCTGGAACAAACACAGCACACCTCCATGTTTTCAGCCTTCTGCAAAATCACCAAAGGCTCAATTCAAGTTGGGGCACGAAACACTGGGTTTCCACACACACCTAACAATCGAAAGGCAGAGAAATTAGCTCCTCAGTGTGTGGTACTGTGGGAGACCTACTTAGAGAGCACCTGGGGAAAATGGAGAAACCGATGACACCTAAATGTCTGTCATTCACATAAGCACTATGCCGGATGCACACACGGGGCACAGAACAGCTGTGCTGACCAGCACATTGCTGCAACCACTGTTCAGGTTGGATGCCCTTGCATAATTATATCACATAAACAGATTTGTGAAAAACAGATTAGAAACTGTAGGTGCCATCTTACATATTCTTTGGGGAAATTGCTATAGGGTTAGTGAACTCAACTTTCTGTGTCTCTCAAAAACTCATAAGCTGAGTTGAGAAATATAATTCAATCGCAAGTATATTTTTATCAAAATAAAAGCATCAAGGCTTTCTTTTCACAGTAATTTAAAAATTGTCAGATTACTTCTGTCTACGACCAAACTTTTCCAAGTTTCTTTAAGCAAAGATGTAATAAAAGCTAAAACTCAGACCACTGATCAAAAACATCTTTTAGAGGTGGGCAGAATAAAGAGATGGACATTTAGTTAATGGAGTAGTTTAGAAAAAACTAGGCATCACAAACCCTGAGGGTAAAAAAAGGGAAGCATTGTTAGAGCTTTTTTTAAAAAAAAAAAAAAAAAGGGAAAAAAAGAAAGTAATCTTGTGATTATTATAAATTTTATTATTATTTTGCTTACCTGAGCCTGACCTAATCACCTCCTTCCCTGTTTCCCAGGTAAAAAAGAAAAATTAAGCTCTTACCCGAAATTTCATGTCTCTTGGCCCTACATCTTATCCTGAAGCTTCAAAATCTTTGCATCATCCCTTTCTTGGATGTCCCTGTAATCCAGACAGTTTTCAGAGGCGAGATCTGAGTGATCCTCCCCCGTCCTGCAAATTCTGTTTAATGCTCATGTTCTGCCTTTCTTCCACCTACCCATGTTTACCCCTGCCCCAGAGTTCTGCATTCTTGCCATTTTTTTCCTCTACATCAGTGCTCCTTCTGTTATCTGCTCCATTACCTTACCTTCTACCTCTTCCTTCACTCAGATTCCTACCTTCCTGCCTTTCTCCATCTTTCCAGGCCCCCACTTCTCTCATTCATTCCCCCCCTCCTCTGCAGTGGGTCTAGAAGCTCCTTGCTGTCATATCACACAGCCCCCATCCCACCAGACCTTTCTTAATCATGGGATGCTATTCCCAGGCCCCTCATTGAAATGCCCTTTTCCTTACCTTCCTCAACTTCCCAGTCTCTGCTTGATTTTCTACCTTCCTGTTGGCTCCATTCCTGTCTTTTTCATAAACTCCTTGTTCTGTGCCCACATCCATCCCCAACCCAGCTATTCCTCAAACTTCAGCATTGAGGAAGTCAAACTTCCCTCCTTTTGACTCCACCCTTTACCAGAGTGATCTTAGCCTCCTCCTGCCTCCCAGGGCCAGTTCCCTCCTAGTCACACAGGCTAGAGGTCTCCATTCCCTCTTTCTCTTCTTCCTCCCTCTCCGTCTCCTCCCACAAGCAAATGACCCCTAAACCATAAGCGCTTCCCAGCCCTGCTCACTGCCTTAACATAGGCTGTAGGACTTGAGCTACTGTCTTATAGTCTCCAGCCTCTTCAGGCCCCTTCATATGGCCAATGCTGTGTTCTTTCCAAAACCAGATCTGATTATGCCTCTTTGGCAACTGGGGATCACTCATCGGCTTTCTACCCATGCAGCCAGGCTTTTCAGTGTTTCTGGGGAAATTAGAAGATAAACTCGGAGCATTTTCCTCAAGTACATCCTTCAGTACTTTGATTTTGGGTGTGGGAGAGGAACTTTTAGTCCTGATCGTCACAAATTGTTAAACTTTTTTAGTAAAATCAACCCATGTACTTCAAAGAGAACAAAAGAAGTTCAGGTGATTTTTTAACATGTAACAGGAAACTGCAAAGACATTTTATGCTTTGAAAAGGCAATTTGGGGCCATGTTCTCAGATCCCTAGGAAGTTAGCATTCCATTTTCTCTGCCATTCTGAGCACTTCACTGGAAAAGTTCAATGAGAATTTTGATCTGTGGATAAAATTACACCTTCATGCTGATTTCCCATGTCTACCTTTCCAGTCCCATATTCCACCACTGGCTGTCGCTGCTAACCATCTCAATTCCTGCACTTTCGCTACTCCAATTTTCCTGCCTGGAATGACCTTCCAACATTTTCTTTTCACAAAATCTCATCCTTCAGAATCCAGCTCTGTTGTCACCTCCTCCAGGAAGCCATCCCACATTCTCCTAAGCAAAGTCACTTGCCAGAAGACTTTTGTCCTATTCAGGCCCTTAGCATGGTGTGCTGTGAGGACTTCTTCACCGGTTCACCTTCCCCACTAGTCCAGGAGCCCTGACTTATGCAGTGTTTTATCTCCAAAAGTTAGAATAGTGCTAGTACATAGGTTGTGTATGCTCGAGGTGTGTCTGGAAAAAAAGAAAACAGGCAAGTAACAGGTACAAGGTCTTGGCCATTGGGAGGGGAAAGAAGGAAAAATCTACATTTTGAAAAAATGAGTCATGATCACAATGGCATTTTGTCACCATGGTACTTCAGTACTCCTTGCTAGCCATGACAGCAGGCACAATCCCCCATACCTTCCACTTCTGACCTATCCTTCTTGACATCACAACCTCTCACTCTTTCCCAACACTGCAAGATATGAATGCTATAGTCAGATGAAAGTGTAACCTCAAGGGGTCCTTCTGCATTAAAAGTCCAGCCACCTTCCCTCCTCTCTGACTCCTTCCTGGCCTTGAGGTTCAACTGAAATTCCACCTTCTCAGTGAAACCTTTTCTGGCTACTTTAACCTTCATAATTTGTTTTTCCTCTTAACATCTACAATACTTAAGTTCTTGTTAGAATTTAATTATGCATATTTTGAATTTTACAACATTTATTGGCTACCTTTATTACAGAAGTAATATATTTATATTACAGAAAATTTTTTTAAAAAGCAAAAGTAAAACCACTTATAGGCTCTTTATTTCAAGAGAACCACTTGAACACTGTGCATATAGCCTTCCAGATTTTTCCTATGCATGCACTGGCAATTTTTTTTCACAAATAGGATCCTATTGTAAATAGTTATACAAATTATTGTTAAACTATACTAACAAAATATTAATATATCAATATACATAAATTTTCATCACTAATTTTTTTCATTATTATTATTATTTTTGGTAGAGATGGGGTTTCACTATGTTGTCCAGGCTGGTCTCAAACTCCTGAGCTCAAGAAATTTGCCTGCTTCAGCCTCTCAAAGTGCTGGGATTATAGGCATGAGCCACCGTGCCCAGCCACCAATATTATTTTTGATGGATCCATGATATTCATATTTTATATATGAACCACCATTTATTTAGCCAATCATTTCCTGTAAGGCATTTGGATTTTTCCATTTTCTTTTTGCTATCATACAAAAAAGATCTGTACATTCTTAATTTTTTCATTAGTATAAATTATAACACATACAATTTCTATATAATTTTAAATATTAATATATAAAAGTAATAAAATCAAATACAAAATTACATTTTTCAATTGTTTCATGTATATTAGTTTTGACTCCTTATGTAGATTTAAGTTCCTTAAGGATACAGTCCAATGTTTCTTAATTTTTCACCTCAACATGTAACAGATGCTCAGTAGTGTATGTTGAAAAATTAGTTTATTTCATATACCATATTTTACTAGTTTATTTCATATAAGCTTTTAGATAATAGTGGCATCAATTCTTTACTATAGAAGAAGATCACTATAGATAGTAATATAAGAACATCACTTTCTTTTAGGGACTATTTCCAAAGTCCTTCTTAGGAACTGAGGCAATCTTTGAGGAGATGAAGATGGGACAGATAAGAGATATACAGTTTGAAGGAAAAAGGCTGCCAGCCAAATTTAACAATAGCTAGAAGCAAAATTTTTGCTTTTCTGGTTTGGATTGCCCTGATCATTTTTCAAAACTTGTGTGAGATTTTGTACAATGAGAAATCTCTTCTTGGCAGTGGTGTGTCCAGAAAGCCCCCAGGAGTGGGCCCCCAAGGTCCTCTGTGCCGTCCAGCAATTCTGCCACATCCCTGGCACTGGTTCACATCTTTTCTCTATCCCCTAAATCTATCCTTCCCTCCTCCACTATCAGTGAACGGTCTATCTTCTTACTCCACTAAGAAAACAGAATTCCTCAGACAACGGCTTCCCATACTTCCTACCATGATATTCCAGCCTCCCTGCACTTCCCCACCTGTGCTGCCCTTCCTTCTGTTGGTTGGGATGAACTGGCCCCTTTCTCTCTCAAGGAAGCTTCTCAGCTTCCTTGTGGGGATCTTTTTTTCTTCATCTTGCTGACCTCTAAATGTCGGAGTGCCCCAGGTCTTAAACCTTAGACTTCTTCTCTTTGCTCCTCTTCTCCACCCATGTTTCCAGTTGCTGTGTTGATGACACACAGATTTCTATCTCTAGTCTGGACTTCTCCCCTAAATTCTAGATTCCCATGTCTGATTACCTGCTCACCTTTTCCACTTAGATGTCTGATAGACATCTGAAATGTACTATATCCAAAACCAAATGTTTCAGCATTTCCCCCATACCTGCTCCGCCTGGATAAATGAACTCTCCATTAATAAGCTGTTCAGTCCAAAATTCAGAATTTCCTTTGACTCTTCTCTCATATCCTACAATGGAATCATCAACAAATCTTGTCCGGTTTATGCTGAAAATATATCTGGATTCCATTTATGGCTGTCATTCTAGCATTCTATTAATAGTTTAAATCACCATCACCTCTCTAATGACTTATCTCAATAGCCTCCTACTTGGTCTCTCTGCTTCCATTCCTGTACTTCCCGTGACCCAGCAGAGTGATCCTTTAGGAGTTGAGGCCAGGACATGTTCCTTGTCTGCAGAAACCCCTACAGCATCCCACTCCATTCACTTTTGTCAGATTTCATTGG
The DNA here is from genome assembly GCF_000001405.40 of Homo sapiens. Lineage (NCBI taxonomy): Eukaryota > Metazoa > Chordata > Mammalia > Primates > Hominidae > Homo > Homo sapiens. The sequence continues at coordinate 90,299,671 of NC_000006.12, read as the reverse complement.
ATGTTAAATTTGCCCTGCCATGCCTTATTCAAGGTACCACATTTGAAATTCTGTCTACTGTTCTGCCTAAGAAAAAATACAATATTTTCTCAACATCATCAAATCCTGTACAGGGTGCTGGAGAGCAAGAAAATCAAAGGCTCAAGAACTGCCCATGTCTTTAGTCCGTCTTCCTTTCCTCATCTGTTTCCTGTATATTTTAATTTTTCCTGTTTTATTTTCTACAATCAAGAAGATTTCTATTATAGAAATAAAGTTTATTTGTTTCAATGCCATGATACAGATTTATTGTCCCTGGAAATATCATGCTTAGAAATGAATCACAGACAAAGCCCATGCTCTGGATCAACACACATGTGTAATTATGTAGGAAAAAAATGTATATCAGGAAAGGTTGAATGCTCCAGGCATGAGAAATAAATTGACCTCCACTCAACTTACTGCCATGATTATACAGAGGGAAGGACCTGGATCTGTTTCACATCATAAACGCCTAAATTGCCAGAGCAGCACAAGCCCAGGAGTGGCCATGCAAACTCATGATGGAGGTGCTAAGGCTGTCCACAGCCCAACCTCTGCAGCAGTACTGTTAAATGAGTGTCTAGTACTTGACTTACCATTTTAATTTCACATAATTCTGAATGTATTTTTCGGCTTGAATTCAAATAACCCACTTCTAACTACCGAAAATAAAGTAGAAAAATGAACTCACTACCAGACTTCAAAGCTTATCCAAAGCAAAGATTTCGTCTTACAGCCAGAGGTGCATGATTGCAGAGCTGGATGTAACCTGAGAGGCTAACTACTCCTAATTCAGCCTCCTTGAATGACTGGATGATGCAACCTATCACAGGTGTTTTAGGTTTTTTCATCTCTATTTAATGTCCCACCTCATGCTTGAAAATCTCAAAGTGAAAAAGCTCCAGTCTGAGTCTTTGGGCAAGCAGACTAACTGAAATGACCTGTTAGCCTTTGTTGTATCCATCTGACAAGATCAGCTTGTAGAATCCAGAATGGAGGTGGGAGATCAGCTGGCAGCCTCATTTCCCTCCTCAACCACCCCTACGCTGATGTGCCCAACTCCACTCACAGCTGGGCAGCCACCGCTTGCTTGAAAATAAATGAATCTACACCACTCTCATACGGATGCTCTCAAGCATCCCTTGTTGTGAGAAAAACATTTATTGCTGCTACTAAAATGCGTAAAGTTATCTCACAAACACATACTTACAAGAATGAGGAATGAGAAACAGAACCATCCATAAAACTATAAGAAACGGCCTGGCCAGGGCAGACCAGGAATTAGTACTCTGTCCTTGCCAGGGGTCAGGCAGGGACCTCAGAAGCAGGGTGTTTTGTCCTAGGGGGCACCAGACCAGAGGTCAGGAGACTGAGGGCTACTCCTAGCTCTAGGACTTTTCCTTATCTGAAGGCCGGGTCGGTTAGCAGAGAAAATCTCACAGTCCCGTGCCAGACCTCCACGCAGGGACTCTGCAGTGCTGTTAGAAAAATTAGCTCAGCACCTTCAGCTTGCTTTCAGCCATCACTTAGCTTTCCACACAGACATTCCAAATGGGGCCTTTCAAAACTCTGCCCTCAAATGAAGGTAGTTCAGAGCAACACTTTAGATGATATCACAAGACTCCCAGGACGCTTCACTGCTTCCTCAGCATACGCCAGTGCCCGTTTTACAGGGGGGATTTATGATCCTTCTCTCAGTAGAGCGAGCCAAACTTTTATAATATTCATTAAAAATCAGCACCACGTGTAATAATATGGAATACTGCCTGTACACAAGAGGGCCAAGTTATAGGTGTTTAGGGAAACGTGGCAGAATTTTCTGGCCTTGGCAAGAGGTAAAGTTGCAGGCACCAGCACAACACTAACACAACCTTATTTTATTGCAAATGTACATTCAGCCTAAATCCTAATTACCTTCTGTAAAATCCTAACCACCACCAAGCTTTCTTCTGACAGGGCACTCACACGACGGCCTTTAAGGGCAGCAACAACATCCTAAGAGCCGCAGAAAGGAAAGGCAGGGGAGAGTGGCTGGAAGGCAGTAGGAGCTGGGGCTGAAGCCCGGGAGGTTGGCTTTTAATGTCCTCCTGAAATTGACCACTCTCTTTCCAAAAACACTGGCTTGGGGGCTTAAAGGTTCGCTCAGTAGGGCAGGCGGAGGGCCTCCTGAAAAGGATTGAGAAGTCAACATTCAAAAGGCTGCTTTTACTCGCCCGGTCCCCACCCAAAAGGGAGTCCGGTCAGCTTTGTGGGGGCCAGTGGAGCATCTTTTCTTGCCCTTCCGGGAAAACGCTAGCTAACCCTGGGATCCCCGGTCCCGACGTCTGCTCTCCTTCCCCAGGTGCAGCACCTAGGGCTCTGGCCCCCTCCCCACGTGCCACACCAGCCCTCACCACTACTCTCACCCTGCTATGCCCCCAACCCTCGTCTTTCGTGGCCGGGAAGGCCAGGCCGAGCGGGGCGGTCAGCCGGGCCGGGAGGAGGGGGCTCTCCGGGCCGCGCGGCCGCACAAAGCGGGGAGATCTGCTGCTGCGGCGGCATGAGGCGCGCCCCCTCCCGCGAGCCAGCGGAGCGCGCGCGCCCGCCCCCGTCCCCCGCCCCCCGCCCCAGCCCCCGGAGCGCCATTCGCGGAGCGGCTTACGCTAGTCGCCGGGCGTACCGCGCCCCAGCGGCCGGGGAGGTGCGCTGCCCGGCTCCCGTAAAGTTATTGTGAATGGGGAGCGGGTGACGTCAGCGCCGAATGTCAACAATGTAGCGATTGAGAGTGTGGGCGTTCCGGGGAGAGCGCAAGCCGCGCGGCGCGGAGCAAACAGCGCCGAGCCGCCGCCGCCTCAGCAGCAGCAGCAGCAGCAGCAGCGGCAGCAGCGGCCGTGCACGCCCGGGCTGCGGTCGCACAGCGCTAACGTGAGCGGCCGCCGCCCTCGCCACCCCGCCTGCCCACTCCCGCCGCCGCCCCGCTCTCGCTTTCCCCCCGGCCTCCCCTCGCCCCTTCCCCTCCCCCTTCCCGGCGCACTCGGGGGGCTGGGAACGAGCTGCCATGTGATGCGCGTCCCCTCCGCGAGCTTTCGGTGACCCACGAACTGCCCACCTCGCCGGCTGCCGGGAGGGGGCTGCGAGCCGGGAAGACGCGGGGAAGAGGAGGCGGAAAAGGACGCAAAGTTCTCCGGCGAGGTGAGTCCCGGGCCCCGGGCCCCGGGCCCCGCCGCTGGGCGGGGTGGCGGGGCAAGTTTGCGGGGGGAGCGGGCGCGCGGGGCGGGCGGGGAGGCGTGGGGAAACGGCGCGGGAAGGGAGCCCCGGCCGCCGGGCGCGCAGCCGCCCTCCCCGCGCCCTGCCCGCTTTTATGGCATTTTCTAGGAACGGGAAGGGGGTGGGAGCCGAGCCGGCGGCCGCGCCGCGCCGAATGTGTGCTCTCCCTCCCGGCTGTTTACGGCGGCCGAGGCGCATTGTATTTTGCTGGCGTCGAAGGGTGTTTTGGAACAGCAGAGGGAGGAGGAGCAGAGAGTAATAAGTCAGGCATGGGGAGGGCGGGCTGCAGGAGGCGCGCGTCCGCGCGAGCCGCAGCAGCTGTCAGACCCGCGGCCCTGCCCCCGGCCCGGCGAGGCCCGGGTGTCCCGGCCCCCAGCCTGCGATCCCAGCTCCAGGCCGGGCGGCCTCCTCCTTAACCCTCGGCGTGCGCATCCCGGGCTGCTCCGCGAGGACCTTGGCCGCGGCGCCTTTGCGCTCAGCTGTCAGCCGCCGCCGGGTGGCCCGGACCACCGCGACCGGCGGGGAATCAAAGCCCAAGTTTAGGGTCGCAGGAAGAGGCGAGCTGGGGGCCTCGCGGCGCAGACCTGGATCGAATCTCTCCTAGCGAAAGATCGGGTTGTCGGAAAGCGTCCCGCGTAGCTAAGACCTAAGGGCGCCAGGCTTCTGAGAGGGAAACCTTGCACCTCCTCTCCCACAGATCCTCCATGAAGTCAAGGTGCAACACACACACACACACACACACACACACACCCTACACTCCAGTCTCCAAGCCCCAGAAGCTTCACCCAGGAGACTGGTTTATGAAGGGGACACTGCCCTCCCCGTCCCCGCGTCGAGGCGCTCCGTGGCCCCGCTGTGCTTCGCTCACCCGGCGGGTGTTCGGGAGCCCGGCGCCGCTGGAGACGGCGGCGGGCGGCGCTCACGGGCTACCCTAGGTGCCCACGAGGGGAGAGACTGGAGCGAGCATCTCGGCGACCTCGGTCTGGCCAAGCATTTGCAGGAACTCGGACCGTGAGGGGAAGCGTGCAGGGCCGGGAGTGAGTGTGTGAAGGGGTGGCACACTCCTGGCTTCTGGGGTCGCGGGCGCATGGGGCATCCCCAGCACTCTCCCGCGCGTAGGCGAGTTTGGTAACTTGAGGGAAGTTCCGGCGCGGCCGCTGCCGGGGTGGTTTGTCTGTGGCCCGATGAGGCGCGCCTCGCAGCCTGCTCTCCCGGTCACCGCCGTCGCCGTGACCTGTGGCCTCCAGGAAACGAGAGGGACCGGGGCGCCCCACCCGCGAGACGGACCCGCAGTCTCCCGGCGGGCCCGCGGGCGGCGAGACGCGGCGTTCCTGGTTTTCACCTTCGCTGTCTAGTGCTGCAGTCTCTCACTCTCTGTAAATTTCATCTGTTGAGTGTATTTAACTAAAAAGGGTAATTACTTTAGATAAAAATCCTTTCCTGCCTAGTGGGAACCTTGGCGGAGATGATGCCTAATGAGATATTTTGCTTTTGTCTGTTTAGAGTAAAATTAGAGATGTTAACGCTGATAACGGTTTTCTCAGATCATTAAAATGTAACATGTAGGAAAGGCACGTCTTGCTGCAAAGGCTCGGGCTGACATGAAAGAAGCTGAGCGTGAAAGGCTGCCCCTCCTTTGGCGGAGAGGGCTATTTTGGTAAGGCAGCGGGCGTCTTGCTTAAAATGTGAGATCGCCCCACCCTGGTTCTCGGGCACCTCCCGAGTAAACGGCGTTTTTCATTCTTGCAGGTAATAATAAACGTGAGTCAAAATGACATCTTGTTAGAATTAGTCTTTAGTCTGTAAGAGAGATTGCCAAATTACAGTGTTGCGTTCAAACTGCTCCACTGAAAGGTCTGTCAGCATTTCCATTATAAATTCAGTTTTTCTGGAGTTTATAATTTCACCACAAAACTTTGAGTGGCTGAAATGTTTTCCCTTCTAGTATTCTGGTTTTTGAAAGAAATTTATTGATTGCCCATTTCCAACGTTTTTTTTACTCTCGAAACCTGAATATCATTGAAATAGAGCGAAGTCCCAGAAATGGAACACACAACCATGGAATAAAGTATTTTTGTTAGAACATAACTTTATTGGTGCAGAGCCGTATTTTCGTTTTGCATTGCAGGAGGCTTCAGGTTTGCCATTTGGTAATCATGAATGTGTTGAGTAAATTCTTCTGCTGTCTGTCTATTCTGCAGGTGGACTGAAATGTCAGTTGGTAGTGTGTTTGCCAGGATTACATGGAGACACACACTTCTCAGTTAAGTGTGTGTCTGAACTCATAGCTAAATTGTGAACACTCCTGTTAGTTACTTTTTTGGTTCTTTGTATGTTGCATGTCAGGATCTGCTATGAAGAAGAAGGGGTGAGGTGAAAGAGAGGGAGGGGATCAGGATTCACTTTCTGTATTACCAGTGCCTGGGAGAAAGCCATTTATTATTTTCCTATTGAATTATGCCCTTTGACTTAGTATCTTCAGGCAATTCTTTTCCAGTAGCTCACCTCTGGCTGCTGTGTAAGGGGCTTAATTATTTGCAAACTGCCTTGAAATCCCTGGATGAAAGGCACTGAATAAGTGCACAGTATTGTTATTCAGATATGGAATTTAATGATCCATTATAGTTCATCAGGAAAATGCACTTTGCAGTGATGGTAGGAAATGTTTCCACCTGATAGAGGGTAATAATAACTGCTTAAAAGTAGATTCAGATTACAGATGAGACAATTAACTCTAGCCATGTGCTCTTCAATTTGTTGCAATTCATTTTGTGATCAAAGTGAGTCACAGAGGGCCAGATGGTCAGGTTCATGTTCAGATCTCTCCTAGGCCAGCCCTTCACTTCTGGGCCCACTGTCTGCACAGCCGACAGGACTTAGTTATTCATTAGCGCTTGTGAGCTGTTTCTCAGAATTCCTAATCGAGGCTCCTGTGATGCCAACAAAAGGGCTCAAGCCAATCTGTATTGTTGAGAGCAGTTTAATTTTACTTGGATTAACTTTCAGTGTCTCTGGTGTGGATCCAGTCTTAACAAAAAGGAAAGAGACCCTAGTGGCTCTCTATCTCTGCTGTGCCTGGCCCCTCTACTCTAGTTTTTGAACCTCAGATTTCAGGGGTGTGACATCTAGCTTATTGTAAATGCAGGCTTGATTGTTAATGAATGAGAGAATACTTAGATAAATAAATATCTTCCTGTGTGTCCAGGGGGTGAGAGCCAGTACTAGCTTCATGGGCATAAGACCTGTGCAGTTACATAGGCCCCCTTCCTCTTCCCTGCTCAGAAGGACCTCATATTTGGTATAAGGTTCTGCTGTTTTCTTCGGAAATTCTTAATAATTTTTGAACAAAGGGCCCCTCGTTTTCATTTTTCACTGAGCCCTGCAAATTATGTACTTACCTGGTTCTGGTGAGGAGCAGGGCATAGTGTGGAGTGGCAGGCCGCCCCTACTCAACTCATTGTAGACTCTTGCTAGGGAACAGTTGGTAGGACTACTGGCTTTGTGTTGCCACATCATTTGATTTTTCCAGGGGAAGCTGAATATTGGATATTTATGTGGAATTTCCTGATTTTTAAATATTGGCTCAAATCTTTAAAAAATTTTTGGATGAAAGCATATGTAAGAGCTAGTGTCGGCCTGGGGGCTGCTTGTCTCCCACTACTGAACAGACTGAAACATCTTTTTTTGTTTAATATCTTTGTGTGTCTCTGTTTTCTAAAGGCCTGGCATATAGTGGATGATTTGTGAGTATGCACCCAATGAATGGTTACAACTACCTGGAAAATAGAAAGATGCCAAAAAAACAAAACTTCAAATCAACATTGAGTCCCACTCAGGGATTGATCAGCTTCCTTTTTAACAGAGAATTCGACATGAAAGGCCGAATAATTTAATACCATGAGTACAGTGTGATTCCTTGCAGGTGAATAATCCATTACTTTTGAACCACCTGCCCTCTATTTAGTTGTTACTGACCAGATGGGGTAACTTGGCTGGGTAATGCCTGAGGACCTCCATGGGAGTTTGACATTTGAGAACACTCACCAAAATAATAGTTTTGATTTACTGAATCCGCACCATGTGCCAGACCCAGTGCTGACTACCTTGCCTGAATGTACTTCATTGATTCCTCAAAGCAACCCTTTGAAGTAGGTGTCGTGCCTGCCCATTCTGCAGAGTTGGAAGAACTAATCTCATGTTGGAATGAACTTAATCTGAATATAGTGCATGTTTTCTTGAATGTCTGAAGGTTATTTCCCCATTCCATTACACAGTCCAGTCCTGAATCAATGACTGGGCATGGTGTAGGACTGTGACATACAGAGAACATGGTCCCTGCCCTCACATAGAACAGAGAACAATATAAAATGTAACATATTTGTCAAAATCTGCAATTCAGATAGCAGACGCTGTAAATCTGCCTCCCTGTTTTTCTCCTTTCCCTGTCTGGATGTTGAAGAAGTTTCAGCGACATATGACCCTGTCAGAGGTACTCACAGTTCAGAAGTCAATGCTGGTTGCAAAAATTGGAATTTCTTTGGAAAAGAAGACAAGCTTTTGGCAGAGCTGGGGCCACATATGGGAACGCAGCACCAAGGCCTTGGGAATGACGGAAAATCGCTTCTGTATTGTTAATAGCAATATATGACCTCTGCTGTCCTCCTATCTTTAAATTTTATGTAAATATTTACAAACTGTTCATGTCCAAACTGAAACCTGCTATGAACTAAACATTTTGTAAACTCAGTAAGATTGCCCAAAATACAACTCAACTTTCACCTTTTTTTTTTTGTTTGTGATGACATTTAATTTAAAAAAAAAAGACAGTAGTTGCTTTTTTTTTTCTTTTTTTTTGTCAGTTCAGGGTCTTTTAATTTTTTCCCTTTACTTTTTTTTTTGTTAATTTCAAATGTCAGTCTATCTAAAACTGAAACTTAATTTTACTATCAGCATGCTACTCAGCTTCCGTAAGGCTGGAAATGTCCTGCGAATCTTACCACTATGTCTTTTCCAAGGGCCATTTCATTTCTAAAGAATGTATAAATTGAACCTCATCCTGCTAGTGACACTACTTCAAAATTCAGGCAGGAATTTTGCCATTTGTTTTTCCTTGAGCTATTTTTTTTCCAAAATAATAAATCTTCCCAATCCAAAAGCATTTCACATCATCCTTCATTCTAGTCATTGGAACTACAGCCAAAATGCCTCTCAGTCTTCCCCAGTGACTTCATAATCACCGTTTCTTCAGCATATTCCCTGGTTGACTTCTCCTTTGTTCCTTAGCCTCATAATGAATTGCCCTTTGGTTCTGAGATGTGTCATTTTCCTCCCTGACCTTTTTGTTCTTTTCCTGAAGGCTGTAGGACATGCTGCTGCTGATGTGATGAGAGCCGGCGCTTGGTTGCTAGGTCCCTCCTGTCCTTGTGTCAGCTTTCATTGGCTCCTTTCCTAAGCATTTAAATCCTCCACTTTCCAGTCCTCCCATTCATCTCATTATTCTCTTCATGTGTGCCTGAGCCTGTAGCTGGCATGTAGACAAAGTCCCAGTTAGTTAGAAGAAAGCTTTTCGAGTTTCCAAGTCTTCCATCACTCTAGTCTTGGGCCATCTTCTATTCTCCCTCCCCTGTCACTTTCTGCAGATACTTCAGGAATTTCCTCAAGACTTTCCAGGAGTCTAACCCAAAGACAGCTTAGACCTTCACTTCGGATTTTAAAGTTGGGAGATCCCAATGTGATGATTTCCATTCCACAAGTAGGAAACAAAGTGAATGTACATGCTCAGCATCTTTCCTTAGTATTTCAGTATCCATAGATTTTTGGCAATTTTTCTTTTTTTCCTATCCTGTATTCTTCTAAGCAACAGAAGCTCGTGGATAGTGCAAAATGGGCCAAGTGTCCAGAAATACTGTTGCTTAGAGGCAGATGCCTCATTCATTCATTAAACAAATATATACTGAGTATCTCTTACATGGCAGGCATAGTGTTAAGTGACCACAGTGCTAATGGGGAGCAAACCCAGTCCTGGCCCCTGGTCTCATGAAGCACGTCATCTGGTAGGAAGAATGGCACTGATCAGTTAGTAACAGATAACCCACTGCTCGTGAAGGAAAGTATTTCATACACCAGAGTGTCTAATGGGCAGATTTAACCTGGTCGGGAGGTTGGGGAAGCCCTCCCTGAGGAATTGTGGAGTGACCTTCCATCAGGGACAGTCTGAAACTTGAGATTCACTTTTTCTCCAGCTTCCTAATCCTATTAATTCACTACTATCTTTGGCCCTTTGGAGTATTGCCTAAGCCATGCTGGAACCTCTGGGGCCATTTTGGCAAATAATAGTTCCTGTATACAGAGTCCAGAATTGATTTATTTACCTGGGTCTTTAGAACCTGATAAAAACAGAAGTTAACTGCCAAGAGTACTGTTCATTTCCATACTTGGAAAAAATACAAGTTAACATTCTTATTTTGAACATATTTAGGTTGGTTTTGACAATATTTGAATGATCAGAAGCTACAAAGATATTCTCTCCCAGTCAGCTGATGTGTGTAGGGCCTTTGGTGAAAAAGTGAGTCTAAATAGTCTGTCTGAAGTCCCTGGCTACTCCAGAGCAGAGGGTCTCCATCCTCTGTGGCCCGAAGATTATTCCAAGCTTGTCCAACCCATGGCCAGCAGGCCTCTTGCGTGTTGAATGCGGACCAACACAAAGGTTTTTTGTTTTTGTTTTTGTTTGTTTGTTTTTTGTTTTTTGCTATTTTTCTTGTTTCAGCTCATCATGTATCATTAGTGTTGAGTGTATTTTATGTGTGGCCCAAGACAGTTCTCCTTCTTCCAGTGTGTCCCAGGGAAGCCAAAAGATTGGACACGTCTTATTTAGACCATTCTTAGATGCAAAATTAAGGAATTTTGACAGCATCTATTTAAAATAAATTGATTATACTTCATGCTAACACCCCTCTATTTTCTTTTTCTTTGATGATAGTTAACTTGTATTGAGAGCTTCCTCTGTGTGCTGCTCATATTAACTCACATAATCCTCAGAACAACCCAGGGCTAGGTGTGATCACTAGAAGCCGCAGCATAGGTGTCGCTCAGCTAATGAATGGTAGAACTGGAGTTGGACACTAGCTGTCTGATGCTTGGGCCTGTTCTCTTACCATGTTATGGCTCTCCCTTTTCCTTTTCTTCTTCATTTGAAGTTGGAACTCTCTTTAGCAGTTCCCAGAAGTAGAAATAAAGGTCATCTCACTCTAAAATATTGGATGTTTTGTTGACATCTATCTTAAAGTTAAAAAATAATTTCTCAGTAAATCTGAGTGAGTATATCTCCTGTCTTTCACATGGCCTGCTTTCTAATAATTGCATTCCTTAGGTTTTAGTGTCCATTTAGGGATCGGAAAGTAAAAGTGATGCATATAAAGGCAAAAGAAGTACTAGGCATATAACTGAAATACCATGGCTCTGTCTCCAGGGTTTACTTGTAACTCACACTCCTACCCTCTTGTTAGGTGGAGGGAATTTGTTTTTTGCGTTTTGTTTTTTGTTTTTTGTTTTTTTGGTGGGTAGGAAAAGGTAAAAAACTATACCTGTAAGAGGTAGAGTATTCTACCAAGGAGGAAGATGTTCATTCAGAACTAATTCCATCAGAAATCCTAATTAGAAATATTAGCTACCAGTAACAGATAAAAGGAGGTAACCTTTGTTCTCATTCTGGTCAATTTCAGGAAGAGATTATCTTGCCAGATTAGCATGTTGCAACTCTCAGCTGGAGATTTGAATGGTTTTAAAGGACTCAGGCAGTTGGTATGGCAGTAACCCCCAATTACCTCAGGTTTGCAGGGTCACTGTTTAGAATGCTGACTCAGCTCTGCCTGGGCCAGACACCGAAGTTGTCATCTTTAGTCAAGAAGCATCATTCTCAGGAGCCACTTGAAACATTAAGCACACATTTGAAGCTCAATTTGGGAAATGATCAAGTGTATGAATGTATAGTACTGTGCTTATTTTTCAGCATTTAGTTCAAATTTTGGAGAAAGCTAAATGGGAGATGCTTAGTGTGTCAGTGTTGGAGGTTTTAAGTGATTTAAAAAATCAAGCAGATGAGTGCATAAAGATTTCTATGCAAACAATGTTGAGCTTAAATTAAAGCTGCTGATTTAGTGTGAGAATTACTTGCATTGATTTGTAGAATATCTATGTGGGTTCAAGATTCCATATTATGCAAATGAATAAGCCCTGAAGAGTCAAACTGAAAAAAAAATGAAATTAACTGTGAAAGATATTATTACCCATTCAGCAAGAGGAAAATGTAGACAGAGTTAACCCTTCCTTTTCATACATTTTCTTGGGAAGATAAGTGCCAGGGATGATGGTCCGTGTCCCAGATGTAAAGAAGCTAGGCACGGTTTGCAGCCAGTTCCCCCATCCTCCTTCTGTGCTCACTTTTTTGTTTCATGCTCTCTTACCTTTTGGCCACCCAGTCCCCTCAACTAGTCCTTGTCCTTCCCTTCCAAAACCAATCTCAGAGAAAGATTTTATGAACACAGTTTTACTAATATATAAGTAACTGAGCATACTTAATGTGTTACTTTTCTGAAGCATCAGCATGTTAATAGGAGACAAAGCCAAAGAAGTAAAACCCTAAAGATAAAAACAATAGAATTTCGCACACTGGTAACCTGGTGATAGGAGACCATTTCTGAATGGAGAGAGGGCTCGTGATAAATAAACACAACCCTAGGCAGAGAATATAGGCAAATGGATTACAGTATTTAAATCAAAGTAGTATTAAAATACAAAGAGAAGATTATTTTTAATAATACATTTGTCAGTGAGCATTTCCCGCCTTTTGCCGTACATTGGAGTTGATCACATAAACCTCTATAGCAAGATGGTATGTTATTTAACATTTAAACAAAGCTTCCAGGGAAAGCCATTTGGTTTGTGGTTAGGGATTTTTGTTATTCAGTAGCAATGAACCTGAAATTCTATATTATCTTTGCATGTTGAATTTTAGAAGAAAAAAAAAGCAGCGGATCCAACTTCACTTACCTCCCCACCCCAGTTGCATTGATACAAATTGAATTGATAAATTTATTTCAAAATTGGTGTGTCCCAATTTGACATACCACAAGCATAGTGGTGTCAGCATGGTGGTGACATCTGGACATTAGGAGAGTTGGTTGATTAATTAAACTATACTTATTTTAGATAGAGTTGTTGGCAGGTAAATACCTGGCTGTAGAGTCAACGCCCTTCAGTCCCACCTCTCCCCCACCATACCCTTCTCCAGCAACCATGCTATGTTGAGTTGATGGCTCCATCTAGTGCCAGTCTGTGGAACTGTCTTGCAGGACTTCACTGTCACCTCCAGAGCTGGGTATGATGAAGAGTCCTCTTTCTCTGGGAACACACTGTCTAGCGGGGAACTGCCCTCTAGTTCCTACCTCTCCTTTGTTTTTGCAGTTTAGTTATACCTCCGTGTCTTTCTTTGTTCCAGACTTAATTTGTTTCCCTCTCTCTAGTACCCCCTCTTTGTACTTGTTTCTCCTCCTTTTTTGTTTTCCAAGTCTCAATTTTTTTTTTGGAGAACAAAACAGTACTTAAAACCGGTAAGTATAAAGATTTTTTTTCTAACAATACTTTATGCCAAAGTAAGAGAATTCTATGCATTTTAAATGAAACTATCAATTGAAACCATGTTAGAGAACCAGAATGACCCTAAAGTTGAAGTCTGAAAGTGTCACTTGGAAGACTGTGTCCCTTCATCCTCCTGTAGTTAGACATTTCCTCAAACACAGTTAATCAAGAGTATTTTCTTTTAAATGGTTTTGGAACTATCATTGTAGTATCATTTTCTTTTTAGATTATAAATTTAACCTCTCATATTTTAAGTTCAAGACATTTTCACGGACTATCAAGGAATCCTAGCTCATTGGCCTGGCCCTATTTCTGTGGGAAAATGTATTCTCAGTTCCAGACAACCAGTGTTCCTGCAGATTTTTAGGTCCCGTATAAAACGAGAGAACATAGATGAATGAGAGGCATTGTCAGACAAAGCCTGGCACATGAGATCTCAATTAGCATACAGGTTTTAAATTTCCCACATTAAACAGTACATTTTAAATTTCCACTTATGTTAAGCGTGTTGATATTGTGGGTTTGAAAGTAAGTCCCCTCTGAAAAACAGGAACTGTGCTTGTCTGTTACCAGTTCTTGTGGTCGATATGGTAACTATTTTGATTTTTCAGAAGGGAGGAAAAGCAGTTAAATCTAGTTAAAATTAAAACCAGTTAAAATTAACTGGCTCGTGAGATTTCAGTGCAGCTGTTCCACACATAGCAACACTAAGAGTGAGTTGTTTATTACCATGATTAATTATTATTAGTTGTTACTTCTTTTTGAGCAGTGGCATAGATTATTTATATTTTTGGTCTAACCTTGGAAAATAGAAACTGCAAGCGTAGAGAGGTTCCCGTTTGCTAATTTGCATGTACCCTGTTTTTGTTTTTGCCAGGTAGGTGTGTGCATCTCAAGTACACGAGAGTAATTTAGCATGTCAGCACTTTCCTACCAGCAGTGCTTGCTGACTCATGCAGCTGTTGTAGCACTCAGCTGGCCGCACTGTAAACTGCCCATAGTACCAGCACCGCCCTTGGAGAGCTCCGGGCTGCTGGGCTGGTTAGCTACTGGGAGGCTATTTTCAGATCTGTGGTCACTGCTGAGCTGGGTCCTCTTCTCCTGCCAGCAGCCAGACACAGCCTTCTGGTTGCAGGGGAGAAAATTGGACAAATTTCTACCTTTGTAGGGACTGCATAAAGATTCATAGCATTTCTGGATATGCCTCAGGAAAACTTTTTTTTTGCTTCACTTTATTTTTCTGGGAATATTTAAGGGGAGAGGCAAAAGGGGCTGATAATAAATGAAAAGGGAATGTGCTGTTATTTCCTACTAAGATCAGAAAGAGTTTTCATAAACCTTTAACTTAGTTAGGCTTTCTTGGCGTAACTGAAACCTGACCCACTTCTCCCTCAGTGCAAAGCAGTGTGTCCTGAGTAGGGAAGCAGGGGCGAGGGTGCAAGTGACTAGCCTGACATTGTTTTATGTGGCTGAAGTCCCTAAGTGATGACAGCTTTTGTTTATATCCGTTCCCTGTTATTGAGGTTAAAAAACAAAACAAAAAACTTGACCTCAGGTCATTTTAAAGCTAGCATGTATTTTCAGAGATGGTTTCACTGTTTGTTTTCAGAGTTCAGTTTTGCTTATTTTCATCGGAAAGTGTGAAATGTTGCTTTTCTGAGGCTTCTAAATAAACTTCCTTTTGTAGATACAAGTTGATCCAATCATCATAAACTGTCTTGAAAAAGGATGATTAAAGTAAGATCAGCTGGGGAAGGGAAAGCTTTGCACACCCTTGAGGAGTTTGCCTTCTTTTTCTTAAGTTTCAATAAGCATTCTGAAGCAGCTTTGACCAGTAATAAAGAAAAGCCACAGTGACTGTGTGTAACATGATGTTGATGGAAGTTCTTGGTTTCCGCCGATACGAATGACTCATCAGTATCAATAGAATTGTGACTTCTAATAATAACACAGTGCAAGACCTTCAAAACATGTGGTTTTAGCCCTTGCTCTTAGTGAAAGGTTGGAAAATGTTAGTTTGAGCTTTTTTTTTTTAATCTCTTGATTTTGCCCAAGTATAAAGTTGTTTTTTGTAGGAATGATGATCCCCCTGTTGTTTTCTCATCTTACTGTTTTTAGTTTCATTATGATTAAGGAGCCAAACTCAGATCATTTCATCGTTTAGAAATCTCTGCGCTAAGCATCTCCTGTCGGGGCTGTGTTTGAGGGAAATGTGGCTGAAAAGCAAATCCTCCCTGAATGCAGAAAGGAAAATACTGGTGCAGACTACAATCCACTGAGCTGCGTCCCTCCTACACAGCATCTATTGCGGAGGGCTGTGGTATTGCTAAGTAGCCCCATAACCCTGTGAGTCATTGTCAAAGGATTCCAAGAGGAAGGTTAACAGAAAATGCGAGTCAGAGGAAACAGCAGAGTGGAGCAGCTAGCTCAGGAAGAACTGTGCTACCTGCTGAGGGGCTGCCCAGATGTCACCAGGAATTCAGGTGTACGTTCATCTTTTTGCAGCCCATTTCCGTATGTCTACATATGGGGACATTTTTGTTTTTTGTTTAGTTTTGGTTGGTTTTGCTGCAGTTTGGCCAGACTATCAGAGATCACTATCTTAGCTTCGTATCACAGTGGTCTTATCCCAGAGCCTTTGCTTTTTGTATTTTATAGTCAAAGCAACTGAATTTCTAGACTGTAAGACCAACATGTATATTTAACATAATTCTTTTCCTTTCTAAGTGCTTTATTTATTTATTTATTTATTTATTTATTTTGAGATGGAGTCTTGTCCTGTCACCCAAGCTGGAGTGCAGTGGTGCGATCTCGGCCCACTGCACCCTCCACCTCCCAGGTTCAAGTGATCCTCCTGGCTCAGCCTCCTGAGTAGCTGGACTACAGGCACATGCCACCATGCCCAGCTAATTTTTGTAATCTTAGTAGAGATGGGGTTTCACCATGTTTGCCAGGCTGGTCTCGAACTCCTGACCTCAAGTGATCTGCCTGCCTCAGCCTCCCTAAGTGCTGGGATTATAGGTGTAAGCCGCCGTGCCTGGCCAGACCTAAAAAATTCTTATAAAATAGTTCAAAAGTTAAAAATGCATGAGGAGGCCGGGTGTGGTGGCTCACGCCTGTAATCCCAGCACTTTGGGAGGTCGAGGCGGGTGGATCACGAGGTCAGGAGATCGGGACCATCCTGGCTAAAACGATGAAACCCTGTCTCTAGTAAAAATACAAAAAATTAGCCGGGCATGGTGGCAGGCACCTGTAGTCCCAGCTGCTCGGGAGGCTGAGGCAGGAGAATGGTGTGAACCCAGGAAACAGAGCTTGCAGTGAGCCAAGATCGCACCACAGCACTCCAGCCTGGGCAACAGAGCGAAACTCCATCTCAAAAAAGAAAAAAAAAAAAGCATGAGGGGTCTTTCACTTATTGTTGGAAAAAAAAGTGAGTAGGACTTCTGTTCACTGAGTGGTAACTATGGAGAATGAGAAAACAAGCCCAAAGTGGTAAAGACGTTTGTGGCACATAAATAATACTGGTTCAGCACACATGTGAATCAATAAAAAAGCCAGATAACCAAAAAGAAAAATGATACTGTACATTCATATTCTTAAACATGCATTTCACAAAGGAAGAAACCCAATTGGCTAGTAAATATATAAAAAGATGCTCAGCTTCATTAATAAACAAACACATGCAGATTAAAATCATAGTAACATATGATTACACACTCTCTGGATTGGCAGAAATTTTAAAACCTGACAATACCATGTAAGGATGTGAATGAATGGGAGTTTTTGTATTTAGTTGACAGGAGTCTAACTTGGTACAATTATATCGGAAAACAATTTGCTGTTACCTAACCAAGTTCAACCTGCAAATAACTTACAACACAGCCATCTTACCCCTAGGTATACACCTAAGAAAAATGATTACCTATGTGCTTTAAGAAACATGAACAAAACAAAAAATAATTGATGCTGGCAAGGTTATGGAGAAAAAGGAACACTTACACACTCTCGGTGGGAGTGTAAATCAGTTCAGCCATTGTGGAAGACTGTGATGATTGCTCAAAGTCCTAAAGATAGAAATACCATTCAACCCAGCAGTTTCATTACTGTGCATATACCCAAAGGAATATAAATTATTCTAAGACACATACACGTGTATGTTCGTTGCGGCACTATTCACAATAAGCAAAGACATGTAATCAACCTAAATGCCCATCAGTGATAGACTGGATAAAGAAAATGTGGTACATACACCATGGAATACTATGCAGCCATAAAAAAGAATGAGATCATGTCCTTTGCAGGGACATAGATGGAGCTGGGGGCCATTATCCTTAAGCGGACTAACACAGGAACAGAAAACCAAACTGCACATTCTCACTTATAAGTGGGAGCTAAATGATGAAAACGCATGGACATATAGAGGGGAACAACGGACACTGAGACCTATTAGAGGGTGGGAAGAGGGAGAGAATCAGGGAAAATAACTAATGGATACCAGGCCTAATACCTGAGTGATGAAATAATCTGTATAGCATACCTCCATGACACAAGTTTACCTGTGTAACAAACCAGTACATGTGCATACCCCTGAACTTAAAAGAAAAAACATGGACAAACATATTCAAAGAAGCATTGTTCATAAGAGCAAAAAACTGGAAGCAACCCAAATAAATGCCCATCAACATTGAATCGAATCAGCACATTTTGCTGTGAGGTATTTATACACTGTGATACTATTTGGCAATGAAAAATCAACTAGTATAACCACATATAGAAGGGTGTGGAGAGGCAGCATTTCTTGGTGGTCAAGAGGAAGGATTGTGCCTGGGTTCAGATTTTGGTTCTGCCACTTATTGTGTGACCTTGGATGAATTTCTGAACTTCAGTGTACCTTAGTTTTCTCATCTGTACATCAGGGAAAATGATGTCTACCTGATAGTGTTGTTAGGAAGTTTAAATGAGTCAATGTTTGTGACATGCTTAGGAGAATGACTGGCAGACAATACATTCTATATGTGTTTGTTAAACAAATAAAAGTGCATCAAAATGGATGAATCTTACAAACAATATGGAAAGAAAGAAGCAAGATAGAAGAATATATACAGTGTGATTCTATTCATGTAAAGTTCAAAAGCATGCAAAACTAAATATGTTATTTAGGGATACATACATAGATGGTAAAACTATAAAGAAAATTAATATGATTTAATATGATTGTCACAAAAAGCAGTATAACAGCTACCTCCAGAGGTGAAGGAGTGGGTATGATAGAGAAGGGGCTCACTGGGGGCTTCTGAGGTCCTGGCAGTGTTTTATCTCCCAACCTGGACAGTGGTCCCAAGGATATTCTTTCTTCTTAATTGTTTTTAAAAACTGTCTATGTTTTTTATATATGTGTGACCTATTAGTAAACATTTTAAAGGATTTATGTGAGTTGTTATAGTAGCAAGATGACATTAAATAGAAATAACTGTAAATTGCTACATTTTAGTTAAAAATAATTGTTCAAGTGCACATGGGAACACTTGCTTGGTATTATTTCCTCCACAACATTGTGAGCCACCAGTGCAGTGTGATTCTTACAGAAGGCGACACCTCCTTAAGGCCACATTAAGAGAGCTGTCCCCTTTAGATCAGGGAATGTAATGTTCTCACTCAACTACTCTCAGGTCTGGATGTCCCATGTGTGGGATGCTATGTCTTGTCCCAAGGGATTTATTTTAAGAAAGATTTTCACCACAGAGGGAGCATTTTCTGTGATAAAGATGTTTAGGGGTCTGGAAACCTATCAGTTCTAAGAGTGGCCAAAGGAAGTGGGGATTTTCAACATGGAGAAGAGGAGATGTTGGGAGAGAAAGAGTGTCTTCCATCACTAGAAGTGGAAGCAGCCTTTCCTTGTTGCTTCCCTCTCTGTAATATACAAGTCCCTCCCTGTAATGTCTACCCTTGGAGGCAGGTTTCAAGTCCTGGATACTGGAGATGCCCAAGCAGAGGCTGTGGGACCTCCCTTAGACTTGACTGGGGCCACAATACCCACTGCCTGGTCCCTGGACCAGCAGCATCGGCATCACCTGGAGCTTGTTAGAAATGAAGTCTCAGGGCCACCCACACCTACTGAGTCTGAATCTGCACTTTCTCAAGGTGCCCCTGGGGTCTCACATAAACATCAAAATTTGAGAGGCACTGGGCTAAATGTCTCTAAGATCCCTCATGGTTCTTAAGATTTAATGATTTTATAGAATAAACTGTATGTTCAACTGAAAATTATCAGTTCATATGGTGACATTATCAATTTAAAACACCTTGGGATGTTACATGTCCACAGAACCATGTAAGTATTTGTTGCTAAATTAGTTTTAAATGGATTTGTCCAGTTTCCCCCGATGTCAAAGTTAGGTTGCTTATGTATTTGGGCACCTATAAGAATTAAAATATTACATAACGTTGTATTTTCTTCTTTCTAACATACAGGATTAGATTCTTGCTTTAAAATTCTCCATTAATGTCTTCAAATTTTTCTTTTATATTCATTGAAAATTCAAAAGCAGATTAGGGTTCTGAATACCTGTTAAGAATACTCAAAAGGGATATTTAAATAAATATATCTCATTAATACATTGATTTTATATTTAGCATATTTTTTCTTCTTATACATAGTCCATATTTTGACCTTATGGGAACCTTTGAAGTCTGAGTATTTTATAATGATTCTCCACAATACCTCTTTATCTTTTAGATTCTAGATCTGAGATCAGGCAAGTAAAATAGTTTTACCTTTTTCCCCTCAAAAGGCCATGACTAACAAGCTCATTTACTTTTTCCTTAAATATTTTGCTAATTATCCTTTTAACTGATGAAGTTCAAGTGGAATCCATGATTCATTTAATCTTTTCCCCTTTATGTAATTAGTCACTTGTTCTTTTGATGTTCCTAGCAAAACTAATATTTAAAGGGCTAGTCATAAAATTCCAAAATAAAAAGTTCTTAAATGACTTAAAATAAGAGATAAAATATGCTTTACTGTATAGTAAAAATGGAGAAAACGTCTCATGAATAGATGTTCTTTAAGGCTGTGAGTTATTTGATTTAAGCGTGTGTTACCAGGTCTGTGTTCTTTTGGTATATAGGACCAAGAAACTACTTTATGGCTTAATGTTTGCTGTACGTATGTCATCTAGATGAGATAATGTATGACAGAGGGCTTTATAAAATGATAAAGTAGTGTAGACTTTTTTTTTTTTTTTTTGAGACGGAGTCTCGCTCTGTCGCCCAGGCTGGAGT
This sequence comes from Homo sapiens, assembly GCF_000001405.40. Lineage (NCBI taxonomy): Eukaryota > Metazoa > Chordata > Mammalia > Primates > Hominidae > Homo > Homo sapiens. The sequence continues at coordinate 90,279,487 of NC_000006.12, read as the reverse complement.
GCAGTGGCATGATCTCGGCTCACTGCAACCTCCACCTCCTGGGTTCAAGCGACTCTCCTGCCTCAGCCTCTTGAGTGGCTGCGATTACAGGCATGTGCTGCCGTGCCCAGCTAATTTTTGTATTTTTAGTAGAGACGGGGTTTCCCTATGTTGGCCAGGCTGGTCTGAAACTCCTGATCTCAGGTGATCCGCCCACCTCAGCCTCCCAAAGTGCTGGGATTACAGGCATGAGCCACCGTGCCTGGCCGTATTCTTTTTTTTTTAAGAGCAAGATTTAGGAAGATTACTGCATATTCCTATAGCGTTTGTTCGATTTTAGATTTTTTCAGAATGGTTTGAAATCACATATTCTAGCTTGAACTCTAAACCTGGTCTGTCCAGTATGGTAGCCATCAGCCACATGTGGCATTTGAGCATATGAAATGTGGTTGAGATGTGCTGTGCAATATACACCAGCTTTCAAACAAAAAGGATATATATCTCCTTGATAATTTTTATTATGTTGATTACATGTTGAAATGATAATGTTTTACATATATAGGATTAACTAGTAAATATTAAGATACATTTGGCCTGTTCCTTTTTACTTTTTAATGTGGCTACTAGAAATTTAAAATTATATGTGGTTCACCTTATACTTTGATTTCAAAGTGCTGATTTAGTCTCTAAAGTCTAGAGTGATTGAGAGCTCTCAGAGAAAAGAAGATCAGAGCTTAACAGAGAGTTTTAGAGATGAGGTGCCACCGACAGAATCCACTTACTTGAAGAAATCCCAGTCTGCACCTTTGCCCTACTTTTAGAGATTACTGCTTTCTTGAACCCACAAAGTAGAGCACTGGGTAGCAAGCATTTAATATCTACAATGTACAGAGCATTGAAGGGGGATTAAAATAAGTATCACACAGGTCCCTGCCTTTAGGGAAAACATATAGTCTACTGGGGAAGCAAGATATGAGCACATGAGTTGTTAAATCATGGCTTGAGAGATACATAGCTGTTCAATGCTCAGGTCCAAGACTGTTGCAAACAGACGGTTGAGGCACTAAAAAAAGTGCTTCAAAGGAAGGAAAGGTCTCCACGGCCTGGAAAGGTCTCCATGGCCTGGAAGGGTGTCCCACCAGAGGAATGCCTTGGCTGGGCACTGACGAGTGGGTAGAATTTCAGTGGGCAGAGAGAAAGGGGGCATGGCCAGGTAGGAGGCAGGGTAGAGTGGGAAGAAGGAGGAAAACATGGAAAAGCACAGAATGGTTGAGAAGTCAGTGAGAAGAAGAGATGGATTGAACTGTGAGCTGTGAGTAGAATCATTCTCTAGTCCACTTATTATTGAAGCTTTAATATTTGACATCGTCTCCTATAATATTATGTATCTTGACACTCTTCCGAAAATTATTTACCAAGTGTCTCAAAGTAGAGGTTAGGGCAGGACACTTTAACTTTGGGTAGAATAAATGTTGCATATCTTTGATTGTTAGGAAGTTCTTTAAATGGCAAAACTGATAATATTATCTTGCCAGTTATGTTTATACTAACATTTTGTGTAGAACCATGTAACTTTAAAGGCTTCTCGGATAAGTACATTATTAGTATTTCAGGCAGTAGTGCTCAGCATTTGTATATTCTTCTTGCTTAAAATGCCTTCAGTGTTATGTCATTTGATCTTTGCTGTTGGCTCCATTTTATAGAACTGGAAGCCAGAGAAGCTAAGATTGAATAATTAATGGTAGAGTCTGGAATTTGAACCTAGCTCTTAAGCTTCTTCCATTTTACTGTGTGAAACACACTAGTTTTCATTCCTGTAAGTCTGTTTCTTAAGAGAAGCTGATTAATTTTATTTCTTTTTAATTGAATGATAATATAAATAGGGAAAAGTATGCATATAACATATATTCATCTTACTGACGAATTTCCATAAAGTGAACACGCTGTTGTAACCAGTTCCCAGATTAAGACACAGCATTATCAGCGCCCTAGAAATCCCTCAGGCTTCCTTCCAGTAACTACTTCACCCGTGGTAGCCACTACTCTGACTTGGGAAAGCATAGATTTGCTTTGCCTGTTTTTGAACTTTATATCAATGGAGATACAGAATGTACTATTTTGTGTCTAACTTCTTTCACTCGATAATATGCACAGTTAACTCATATTGTGCATGACACCATATTGACTATGGTAGTTGATTTTTCATTCTCCATGCTATATAGTATTATATTGTGTGACTATACCACTATTTATTAATTTGTATAGTTTCCAGTTTGGGGCCATTATGAGTAGCAATGTGAAGATTCTAGAACATATCTTCAGGTGAACAACATAATTATTTGTGTTGGGCATATTTAGGAGTTAAATCAGGAAAGCAGTGTAATTTTTAAATGTCTTGTAGATGAGGCTGAAATTTGACTTTGTGACACTCTTCAAGAAAAGAAGTGAAAACCTCAAACTGTTGGTGTCTTGAATAGTATATCAAAATAAATACTAAGGCAGCCATTATGAAAAGGTCCAAGGTAGAGGAATTTTAATGCCCGAACACATTTTTTCAAGGGAGGATGAAAATAGTCAATTCTCATATAGAGAGAATTTGAAAGGGTTAGGATGTTAAAATACTGACGTTATATCACTCAGGTTTCTCTTACAGTTATATTTTTTTTCTTCAAGAGAACTTTTAGCAGGTGATAGTGGAAAACTAAGGTGTGATTGGTACCAAAATGACCATTGTCCCAGGGTATAATAAGGGATGAATAACTGGGGAGTGTATTTACTAGGAAATAAGAAAATGGGGTTGGGTTAAATGGCAGGAAGGTACATTCCAAAATCTATAATGCAAGCTATGGTTCTCAAAATTTTACTGAAATTTCCTCTCTCTCTCACTCTTTTGCTTAGCGTAATCTGTAGGCAAAAGAATTTGCATTCTTTTAAAGAAGGCAATTATAAATACCATAACTTGTTTTTAGAAAAAATCTTAGACGTTTATCCAGAGGCAACCTGTCTGAATGAAAATGTAGTTCTAGGATTTGCCAACACAAAAGACTTCAGTGTCTACCTTTAATGCTTATTAACATTAATGGTGATCATTTAAAGGTGTGTGTTTTATGTTTAGACTTATAGGTGTTGTTGATCTTAAGCAGACTAGGCAGAGAAATCCTTCACATTTTCTGTGCTCTCATTCAGGATGGCCCTAGGCATGTTACATGGGAAATGAGAATATGTGAATAAATACTCTCATACTTTCTTGGGCCTCAATGAAAAGAACATTTGTTACCATTTTTAGTCATAAATTAAAATTATTTCAGAGTAGGAAATATAACATTAATTTAGAACATGGCTGTCATAGATGAAACGTTTTACACATGTATTGCTGTGGTAGACATTCCTTGCATTTATTGAAAGCCTCTCCTTTATAAAGTTAGTGAAGTGTGACTACTCTGACCTCCAAATACTGGGTGTATTTGAACTATGAAAGTAGGTTTAAAAGTTACACTTTTCTTTAATGCCCATTGATGATTTCTTTCTTTTTTTTTTTTTAAGACGAAATCTAGCCCTGTCACCCAGGCTGGAGTGCAGTGGTGTGATCTCGGCTCACTGCAGCCTCTGCCTCCTGGGTTCAAACTGTTCTCCTGCCTCAGCCTCCCAAGTAGCTGGGACTAAAGGTGCACACCACCATGCCTGGCTAATTTTTTTGTAGAGACTGGGTTTCACCATATTGGCCAGGCTGGTCTCGAACTTCTGACCTCAGATGTTCAGGCCGCCTTGGCCTCCCAAAGTGCTGGGATTACAGGCGTGAGCCGCTACGCCCATCCAGAACAACAGGCACTGGGGCCTACTGGAGAGTGGAGAGTGGGAGGAGGGGGAAGAGCAGAAAAAAAAAAACCTATCAGGTACTAGGCTTAGTACCTGGATGACAAAATAATCTGTACGACAAACCCCCATGACGCAAGTTACCCATATCACAAATCTGCACATGTAACCCTGAAGGTAAAAGTTAAGTAAATAATAAAATATTTTACATTTATTTAAAAATTCTAAAATGGTTGTATTTTAAAAGTAAAAACAAATTTTGGTTAGGATTTGAGCTTATTCCATTTTTCTTCTAATTTTCCAAATTAAATGTAAAATGAGAGCATCCCAGGTAGGGGGAGGTAGGGGAGAAACCAAATAATTTTCAAGTCATATTTGAAGAGCAGGTATGTTCTCTCACGATTTACAGTGCAGGTGCATTTTAATTTAACTGCTTTAAATGATGATAAAAATTGTTCAAGTAGAACAAAGCAAAGTTTTAGAAGTGACTTGTAAACAGCCATTCTTAATTTTTTCCTGTTTTCTCTCCACTTATGTGACTTGCATGAATTTCTGAAGCAGTCCTTTCAAATGACACTGCTCCAAACATGTGAATTGCATTCATCAACAAAATCCAGCCTTTTCCTTTGTAGGACAATGTGGGGTCACGGGGCAAGGGGTCTTTTCTTTGTCTAGCCTGGTGCCAAAGCAAAGACTAGTCCTCCCTGCGTTTGGACCCAGTGACATGTTTCCATTTGTCATTGAACACTAGGGGGAGGAACTGTAGCCTCTGAGGTACCCCCATTTGGTCCTCACCCTCTACCAGAGGATTTGCTGCTTCAGCCTCTTCAGTGCCCCAGGTATTTGATGCAAAGATTATGCACTTATGCTGCCAGTTATCAGGGTTGTGTGGGTGTCTTTAGAGGGGTCTCCCCTTAGCATCAGGTCTCAATGACAGAATCTAAATAACACAGGTTACTCATCACGAGTTAAAGATTTTTTCCCTTTTCACATTGATGCTTCTGATATACTTTTATACGTTAGCTGATTGTATGTGCGTACTTTGTGGCTGCAAAGATGCAGCTGGAAAGTGTGTGGGGGTTGTCTGCTTCCTCTGAGGCTGCTACAGGTGGTCAGGTGGGGGCGGCTGTGATAAAGGTACAGCACCCACTTCCGCCAGCTTGTCTTGTGCGCCCTGTAACCCACTGCATGAACCCGAGTGGCACTTCAACCGGATTTTCTTGTTGGCACTTTTATCTTTCACTGCTTCTGACTTGCCTGTTGAGGTTTATGACTAAGGTTGTGATTAAAAATTCCCTTTTTAGGTATGAAAAGTCTTTTCAATTACTTTGTGTTCCTTTTTTTGTTTTGTTTTGTTTTTGTTGTGTGTGGACTTTCTGGGTTTTGTAAAAATGAATCTTAAAAAAATCTTAATATTATGTAAGAGTTAGATAAAGGTTAAGTAGCTAATATATTCTCTCATCAGGGCATAGAATCAACGTATGTTCTTGGAAGATTAAGTGTGTCAAAATGCATTTTATGATGGAAGCACTGTCAGTTGTTTAGAATAGGCATGGAAAAGCCCTTTTCAGAATATTGTCATAAAATCAGACTTGGAAAGGTTTTCGTTTATTCAGTCTGTATTCCCCTATCTGTCTGTTTAATCTCTGCATATTACTGTCCTTGGAGCACGGAGAAACGTGAGCTACCCTTGGAGGTTTATAGTCCCACTGGAAGGGAACTAATGTTTACGCCTGATTATATGATAGGAGCTTTACATGTTCTTATTCAGTCTTTGAGGAAACCTTATAAATAAGATAATAACTTTTTCAGAGAAAGAAGCTGGGGTTCTGAGACATTACCCACTTAGGGGCACCCAGAGGAAAGAGCAAGACCTCCAGCTCCATCACCAGTAATTTCCAGCCTGTGAGCTTCCCTCCACACTCAGTAATTTAAAAAACAACTTGATTTAGGGACATCTAGTAAATATTCTAGAAGTTCAGAGGCAGAAAAGCTAGTTTGCAGCTGAAGTACTCAGATTTCCCACTGGCTGAGTGGGAAATCAGACCCGAGCCTTGACAGTGGGCAGAATTTGTATAGAGGAGCCAAGAGAAGAAGAGTTTCCACACTGTATAAGCCAAATGATGGAAGGTGTAATAACAAAGGAAGGGTGAGCACACAGGTTTAGGAGATGCTGTGTGGGCCAGTCCAGCTGGGAGCCATTACCATTTAACACTTAATGGAGTGCTTACTGTGCTAGGCACTCTTCTAAGTTCTTCACACCTTTTAACTATTCTTATCTTCACAGCAAGCCTTTGCAGGAGATATTATCAAGTCCCTCCTGCCCCCACTTTTTTTAGAAACAGAGTCTTGCTCTGTTGCCCAGGCTGGAGTGCAGTGGTATGATCGTAGCTCATGGTGGCCTCGAACTCCTGGGCTCGAGTGATCCTTTTGCCTTAGCCTCCTGAGTAGCCAGGACTACAGGTGTGTGCCACCATGCCTGGCTAATTTTTTTTCCCCATAGAAACAGGAACTCGTTATGTTATCCAGGCTGGTTTTGAACACCTGGCCTCAAGCGATCCTCCGCCTTAGCCTCCCAAAGTGCTGGGGTTACAGGTGTGAGCCACTGCACCTGGCCTTCATTGAGGGATGAGGAGACTGAGGCACATAGCAGTTAAGTTGTGGAACTGTGATTCAAAGCATGGCCACCAGGATCCAGAGCCTGAGTTCTTAGCTACTCTGCTGTCTTGTTTTCTCTCTACTGGGCAATGCAGGTTGCTTGTTAGAGGGGTGATGAGGATTCTCAAATTGCTGGGGATAGCGAGAGGAAGATGAAAATGGCAGGGGTAGTGATAGAAAGATCAAAATGGCAGCAGCACGCTGGCCAATTTTACAAGAGGAAACATTAGGAAAGAAGAGAAGAGGGAGTTTTTCTCAGCTAAGCAGGATCTGGTCAGTGTAAGTGGGTAGCAAAAGATAGAGGTGAGATGTAACAAATCAAGAGGCCTTGATGAATGACTGGAATTGAAGAAGAGGGAATGAGCAAAAATGAATCTAAGATTTGGAGCTTGGTTGGCTGGGAGGATAATTCTGCTATTGCAGAAATCAATGAGGTCAATAGACAAGCTCATTTTTCCACAGCAGTAGTGTTGCAGCAAGAAATGAAGGCTTTTGAAGAGCATATGCAGTAGAGATACCATATGCAGGAAAAATGGCTCACTGGAGAGTTGAGAATAAAGGAGAGGAGTTCAAGGGAGGGAATGGGGATGATTGGGGGGCTATCTGCAAGGAGAGAATTGATGTGCTGGGAACAGACGATTTCTGAGGGAGAGAGAAAAACCCAGGGCCTTAAAAAGTGTCCTTGGTCAAGAAGCAGAAGGAGAAAGAGGAGCAGGAAACCATAAAAGAAACAGGCGAAGCAGGAGAGAGAGGAGAATAAAAAGAGGAAAAAAAAAACTACTGAACAGTGTCAGACACTACAAAGAAGTCAAGGAGAACAAGAGTGAAAGGGGGACATAAGATTTGACACGGAAGAAGGCCATTTGTACCCTGCACAGTAAGTCTTGGTGACATGAGGAGGTGAAATCCAGTTGCATTAAAGTCTGTGGTATTGCTGAGTTCTTCCTCATGGGCAAGTCCCTGGACCTTTTCTAAGCACTAAATTTGCAGGTAGTTCAATGTCAAGCAGAGAAGGAAGTTGGTTAACAGCACTTGGTTGCATGATACTACGTTTTGTTATAGTGACCTAACTGATCTAACGTGTTTTGTCTTTCAGCGCGTTCGTTCACATAGCTCCCAGTTTTAACATTTCGCCACCTACTGAAGACATCATTTGGGACCAAGCTGATGAGCCCTTGAAGCACAGCAGGTGAGGCAAGGACCTCAGCTTGGTCTTTGTTTCATAAGTTTACACAGCTAGCTTACATTCCCACCAGCAGTGTGAAAGTGTTCCCTTTTTACCAGATCCACGCCAGCATCTATTATTTTTTGTTTTTCAGTTATGTCCGTTCTTACAGGAGTAAGATGGTATCTCGTGCACTTTTAATTTGCATTTCCCTAATAGAGATGTTGAGCATTTTTTCTTATGTTTGTTGGCTATTTGGATGTCTTCTTTTGAGAATTGTCTGTTCATGTCCTTTGCCCAGTTTTTGATAGGTTCTTTTTAAATTAGTTTATTAGCTTTTAATATAAACATGAGAAAAACCACATAAATTGTAGCATTCTTTTCAAAATAAAACTGCAATCAATACTTGAATGAATCTCCAAGCTCTGAACTTCATAAACAATGTTTTTTCTTTTCTTTTTTTTTCTTTTCCTTTCTTTTTTCTTTTTTCTTTTTTTTTTTTTTTTAAATGGGGTTGTTTTTATCTTGCTGATTTGAGTTCCTTGTAGATTCTGGATATTAGTCCTTTGTCAGGTGCATAGTTTGCAAAGATTTTCTCCCACTCTGTGGGTTGTCTTTTTACTCTGTTGATTTTTTAGTTTAATTAGGTCCCAACTATTTATTTTTGTTTTTGTTGCATTTGCTTTTGGGTTCTTAGGCATGAACTTTTTGCCTAAGCCAATGTCTAGAAGAGTTTTTCCAGTGTTCTAGAGTTTTTATGGTTTCAGGTCTTAGATTTAAGTCTTTGATTCATCTTGAGTTGATTTTTGTATAAAGTGAGAGATGAGGATCCAGTTCATTCTTCTACATGTGGCTTGCCAATTATTCCAGCACCATTTATTGAATAGGGTATTCTTTCCTCACTTTATGTTTTTGTTTGCTTTGTCAAAGATCAGTTGGCTGTAAGTATTTGGCTTTATTTCCGGATTCTCTGTTCTGTTCCATTGGTCTATGTGCCTGTTTTTATACCAGCACCATGCTGTTTTGGCAACTATAGCCTTGTAGTATAGTTGGAAATTGGGCAATGTGATGCCTCCAGATTTCTTCTTTTTGCTTTTGTTCTATTGGCTATGTGTACCTTTTTTTGGTTCCTTGTGAATTTTAGGATTGTTTTTTCTAGTTCTATGAAGAATGATGATAGTATTTTGATGGGAATTGCATTGAATCTGTAGATTGCTTTTGTCAGTATGGTCATTTTCATAATATTGATTCTACTCATCCATGAGCATGAAATATGTTTCCATTTGTTTGTGCCATCGATTATTTCTTTCAGCAGTGTTTTGTAGTTTTCCCTGTAGAGATTTTCACCTCCTTGGTTAGGTGTATTCCTAAGTATTTTATTTGTTTATTTAGCAGCTGTTGTAAAAGGGATTTAATTCTTGATTTGATTCTCAGCATGGTCACGGTTGGTGTATAGCAGTGCTACTGATTTGTGTTCATTGATTTTGCCTCCTGAGACCTTACTGATCTAGGAGCTTTTTGGATGAGTCTTTAGAGTTTCTTAGGTAGTACAACCACTCTGGAAAACAGTGTGGAGATTCCTTAAAGAACTAAAAGTAGAACTACCATTCCATCTAGCAATCCCACTATTATCTACCCAAAGGAAAAGAAGTCATTATATGAAAAAGACACTTGCACATGCATGTTTGTAGCAGCACAATTCGCAATTTCAAAAATATGGAACCAGCTTAAATACCCATCAACCAATGAGTGGATAAAGAAAATGTGGTATATATACATCATGAAATACTACTCAGCCATAAAAAGGAACAAAATAATGGCATTCACAGCAATCTGGATGGAATTGGAGACCATTATCCTAAGTGAAGTAACTCAGGAATGGAAAACCAAATATAGTGTATCATAAGAATGATATAATGGACTCTGGAGACTCAGAGTGAAGTTCCACTAGGGAACTTATCCATGTAACCAGAAACCATATGTTCCCCCAAAACTATTGAAATAAAATAAAAATTAAATTAAAATTTTAAAAGTTCACACAGCTGCCCAGCGTGTGTCCCACTCACCGGGGCCATCAGCTTATTCTGTGTATTTCTAAGCATCTTATGAACACACTGATTGTTATAAGGAATCCAAACAATATAGCACTGCCACACTTGGGGCTGCTATTTGTTTTAGGGCTCTTTTATTATGGAAAGTCCAACCGATATGAAAATAACCTAAATTTTCTCTGACTTCTCAGAAATTCTCAAAACATCAAAATGTGCCCTGTCTTTTGATGCTGGTTACCCCTTGGTGGGAATCCAGGATTTCCTTATTTCAGTGTCACAGCTGTGAGTTGTAAAGCATTTCATTCACCACAATGCTAGTTACAGTTGATTTTATTTAAGCTGCCAGATTTGGAAATGCACCTCACTATAGCATTAGTTTAAAAAATTTAGGAAGGGGAGAAGAAATTTGTATGTACAAATGATATTTTTTACTTTTGGACTGTAAGTATGTTTTTTGGTTCTTTATTCTTCCCACCAGTTTTTCTGGGTAACTGTAACTTGGTGTATCAACTTTTAGAAAACTCAGAAGACTTAGGAGTATGTAAGCTCTCTCCCTTCCCTTCCCACCCCTCACCCCCAGCATAGAATATTGGTAGGTGAAACTTTATTAAATAGAATCTGCACGGAGTAGTCAGACCTTAGCCCCACCTAACCCTGCCACTTGTCTCTGTTACTGTTTTCTGTTGCTATTAGCATCTTCATTCAGAAGGACGAGAGGGGAGAAAAAAATGAAAATGAAGTTAATTTTGTTCAGCAAAAGTTAAAGTGTCTGGCTGAACTCTGGGTAGCTGGTTTTGGAGTTGTATGGGGTTTCATTTATTCTCCAGGTCTCTTAGTCTTCACTTGAAAATAGAAACTAGAGTTCATTTTTCCTGACAAGAATGAACTTAATTATTTACCTAGAATGGTTAGTAATCTGTTCTTATTACCAGAAAGCTTTCTTCTGATCTATTTAGTATCTTTTTTCATAAGAGTTTGAATATATTAGCATGTATTCTCAATAGAATCTAATCTTTCATTATTAAAGTTCCTAAATATCTTATATTACTATGTTTTATCATTATGAACATTGACTCTCATTGTTTAGAGTTTTGCTTCTCTAATTATCTTGGGTGAAGGACCAGTTTTGTTTTTAATTTCCAGTATGTCATGGATTGATAATTTTATAAAATACAATAAAAATGATTTACTAGAAAAATGAAATACTAGAAAAATGAAATTTAAAGAAACTAAAAACATAAGCCTGATTAAACATTTATTATTCTTATAGTCAACAGACATAAAATTACTCTGGCAAGCTGCTGTAAAAAAATTCTAAAGGTCTACTCTCAGTTTCTGTGCTTATTCTGGGACTAGGGCTGGTCTGCAGAGTCCAGTTCGAGTTGCACTGTTGGACAGAATATATACAACTTAGGAGACTGAAGTTCAGTAGATACTAATTTCAGAACATATCCTCAAAGTGGGTTTTTGGGGACTGTCCCCTTCACATTTCTTGCATGTATAAAAGGCAAGTGCAGTTCGGGTACAGTGGTTCATGGCTGTAATCCCAGCACTTTGGGAGGCCAAGGCAGGCAGATCACTTGAGATCAGGGGTTTGAGGCAAATTTGGCCAACATGGTGAAACCTCGTCTCTAAAAATACAAAAATTAGCTGGGCATGGTGGTGTGCACCTGTAATCCCAGCTACTCAGGAGGCTGAGGCATGAGAATTGCCTGAACCCAGGAGGCAGAGGTTGCAGTAAGCCAAGATCATGGCACTGCACTCTAGCCTGGGCGACAGAGCAAGACCCTGTCTTGAAAAAAAAAAAAAAACAAAAAAGGCAAGTGCAGAAAAAAATGCTGTTTACTTAAACTTTTTCTATTTTAAAAAAAATTGTAGGACAATGCATAAAATAATATTTAGGTGAATATAGAAAAAGTTGATTGTCTTTCTCCCACTCCTCTGGTTCTTTTCCTTTCTCTATACATCATATACATACATACAAACATATACCTTTACATGGAGAAGGGACATTTTTTCTGCTATGAAAATGGCATCATAAACAATACTCTGCAACTTTCTTTAATATTTTGTTACAACATTTATCCTTATCAAATATGAATCTAGTGGCTCTTTTTAACAGTTGCATAATATCCTATGGTATCGTTGTACCATAGTTTATTCAATTATTCCCCAGCTGATATACCTTCAAGAGCATTCTAGGTTTTTACCATTCCTAACAACACTGCAGTTAAATTCTTGTACATATATTCATGTGTATCTACTTTGATATTTGAAGGATAGATTCCTAAAAACGGAGTCAGTGACTCATGCATGATGTCAGATGATACTCCAAAAAAGTTGCATTGCTGTAGAGTCACACCTGCAAAATATGAGAGTACCTGTTTGCCTCACCCCTGCCAGGTGTTAGGAGTCTTTTTAAGTGTTCTCTCTCTGCGGTGTAAAGTGATCACTAGCTGTTTTAATTTGAGTTCCCCTGATTGCCAGCAAGAGTGTGCTTCTTTTCATATGTTTAAGGGCCTGCTGGATCTTTCTATTCAATTTGGGGGCAACAAAACTTGACAGATTTTATTTTATTAGGTCTTTTGTGTACCAAGTTTTCTGTCTGTGGTACACTCAGTGGTTGGGGTTTATATTATTTGTTCGTTTTAGTAGGGTAGAGGACATGGGAAAAGAACAAAGATACAGTGTTGAGGGTTTTTTGGTGGGGGGGAGATGTCTTAGTTCTGATTTTCTTTGTCTAACATGTTTTTTTTCTTCAAGATCAGCTTACAGGAAATCCGTCCCTATTTGTGTGTAATGTAAAAAGGGCACAGGGTGGGGCATCTTTATAGCTTGGCATAGTGTATATCGTTATTCAAGATTGCTCAAAGACTATGCGTTGCCATGTGTACTTTTAAAAAATTGAGGTAAGTTCATATAGAATTAACCCTCCTCAAGTGTACAATTCAGTGGCATATAGTACATTTACAGTGCCGTGCGACTGGGACCTCTATCCAGTTCTGAAACATTTTCCTCACCCCAAAGGAAACTCCGTCCCCATTAAGCAGTCACTCCTCATTCCCCTTATCCCTCAACCCCTGGAAACCACTTCTCTGCTTCCTGCGTCTATGGTTTCACCTTTTCTGGATATTTCATATAAATTGAGTCATGCAGTATGTGATTTTTTATGTCTGGCTTTTTTCATTTAGCATAACATTTTTGAGGTTCATTTGTATTGTTGTGTGTATCAGTACTTCATTCCTTATTGTGGCTGGATAAAATTTTATTGTATGCTACAATATACAATAATTTGTTTATCCATTTACCAGTTGATATTAGGGTTGTTTCCACCTTTTGGCTGCTGTGAACAATTGCCCATGTGCACCTAGATGCCAAGTTAAGTCATAGAGAGGCATGAGGGAAGAAGAAAGACAGCTGAAAAGAACCTCCCAGGGAGCATCTTCTGTCTTCTAGAGCCTTCCTCTCTCTGTAGTTGGTCATCTACAGGCTCTTTAGGAGGCTGGGTCAGTCGTGGGGCCAGATTTGGGATCTGTTTTCACTGGCTTCAGTATCTTCGTTAAACCAGAGATAGACCCTCCATATCACACCCTCTGGATTTAAAAAGGAATTTACATCCCACCCTCAGGGCACTAGGTCTGCTCTAGCCTCCATGGGTGCAGTGGCCGCAAGGAACATTCATGGCTATTCCTCCATGGTTGTTGCCTCTACCTTTAGCATCTGGGTTGGAGCTTGTAGAATGTGGTGATCAGGAGGAATTGTGCCCACATAGTACCTGGGCATATGACAGTATAGGCTCATTTCCCATCTCTGCAGCCTTAGTCCAGTTATGTATCTCTCAGTTTTCTCCCTGGTAAAATGGCATTACTAATACTTACATCATAGGGTTGTAGAGATAGTTACATGGGATAATGTATAGAGAGCACTGTTACAGTACCATGTGGTAGTACTTGATAAATGTTCATTTCTTCTGTTCTCAGTGCTTCTCTGTCCTCTTCTATCTGGTGCCCAGGACATTACATACTTCACAAGGTAGTATTAAGTTTAAAATGAGTTGATAATGCAGAGGAAGTCTCTTAGCACCATGCCTGCAACGTAAGTCAACACTCACTATAGATAGAAAGGTACCTTACCTTGCAGTTAGGATTTCTCATTGGGAAAATGCCATCCAATTGATTACAAGCCGTCTAAAGTGTTTTAAGTGGTAAAGATTTCACCTGGGTATATTGAGTTGTTCTGCAGCGTGGTGTTTATTACCATAGACACATCGGGCTAATTAAGACAGCCATGTTCAGGATAGATGCACTATCACTAAGATCCTGATGTGTGAGTTGGGCATTTCCCATCATGTTAGCACAAATATATTAAAGAAAGTTACTTTTATATCAAAGTGTTTGCATCCCAAAGAAAATACTTGTACAGCCTAAAGTTCTCTTTCTTGTGGAAGCTGACAAGAGACTTCTGTCTTGCCCTCCAAAGTGGTTTAGTATCCTATTTTGAGCACTCTTTGGGTGCTGTTATTTAGAAATTCTATTTTAGAGCAAATGGGAAGGATTTTATAAAAAAGGGAGAAGCAACTGTCCTCCACCATGCTCTCTCTCAGCTGTGTAACAAGCCTCTCTGAGGGTGAAGTGGATCCCCATAATGTGGGCCCCATGTGTGAACCTTTTACAAGGTTTTCTTGTTGTAATGGCTGATATAATTAAAGGAGAGAGTTCATGTTTTGTCTGAAATGGAGCATGCCTTGAGTTACAATGTTTTGTTTTTCTCACCAAATATATCCTGACTATAATAGCAAACAGCTTGTATAAGATTTTTACATAAACATTTGAAAAAGCATTCTTGTCTTCACTGAAATTTTGAAAGCCTTTTAAGAATATTTGTAGCACTTATGTTTTTAAATGTACAGGTCTAACATGCAGTTGTTTATTTGGTAAATTCATTCCATGAGGGTGCTTTGAATCTACCTCCAACCTCTCACGGGTCTCCCAGACTTCCCAGGAACCACTGCTTGACAGCTGGAGAGACAGCAGGTGAACCAGGGTCTCACTGGGAGGGAAAGACGAGGAAACCCCAAAGGGACAGCTTTCTGGAGAAAAATGCCTGGCTGTGAATGCCTCTTCACCTCCATCCCAGATACACACTTCCAGGATGTGCAAATTGAGTCAACATCATGTCTGTAGAGGACAACAACATGTCTTTTGTTAGTCTTGACATTTCTTTAGCCCTAGGCCTCTCAAGTTTTGGATATGTGATGCTCAAGAAATGCATTTACAATTTGAAAACCTGGTGCTCATTAAGTAATTCTTTTAAAATTTTTTTCTTTTCCTTTTGAAAAATTCAAACCTAGAGAGGAGATGAAAGAATCATATGAAGAACATTTATATACCCTTTGTTTATATTTGCCAATTATTAATATTTGTTATTTTGTCTCTGAATTTATAGTTTTGTATGTGTGTTGGCAAGAGGGGTTCATTTTTTAGAACTATTTAAAAGTAAGTTGCAGACTTACTTTCATGACATTTTTCCCTGAAGACCTCAGCATCATTTCTGAAGAATAAGAACATTTTCCTACGTAACCACAATCCTGTTATAAAGTAAGTCTTAATTGAAAACTTCAGACAGAGGACAAAAGAGTAAAAAAGGCAGAGATTGAACAAAGCTGTAATTGAACTTGGAAAGTATAAGGAGAAGAAATATAGGGAGGTAATTAGAACTCCTGTTTGGTTCCTTAAAGGATAAATTTTGTATATACCAGCAAATCACTCAATGAATGCAGATTTTCTTCAAATATTTACTTTATCTAGTCCAAGGAGTTTCTCCTGGTGCTCTGAAGTCAGTGTTTTGGCCAGGGTTATAAGCTTTTCAGCCTGTAAATACATTTCTTCAGCATCATCAATCTAAAACCTGAGTGACCACATCCTACTTAGACTTGTGGTTAGGAGCAAATTTTCAAGGGATTTTGCTGGTGCCATTACCTTGAGAACATGGGACCTTCAGTTATTACAGTCAGAAATGTTTACTAATGGGCAGTTAGTGTAAACATGGGAGTCCTTTCCTGACATTTAATTTAGGTTTGAGTAAAAGCTGATGTGTTAGCACACTATTTTGAGAAATAATTTTACAGGCTTGGCAAAATGTTAAGCTTGATGTCATCACAGACTTTTGCAGATTTAGGCTTCAGGAGTCAGCGCAAGAAAAAATGCTACTCTTATAAAGGCTGAACAGCAGGAACAAAGTTAAGTGGATGGCATGTAGATGCATCACTAATTTGTCTATTTTAAAACAAAGATATACATTTTCTTGATACCAATAGCTTATAGAACATTAAACAAATTAAAAGGTTTATTTGGACTGTTTCCCTGAAAGCCTCCTTCTTCGGTAGGATTTAATATTTTGCCAGAAGAATTATGTTTGGGGATTTATTTTTCAAATTTTTTAAAAAAGCTATTTTCACTAAGCTTTGGGAGGGGAACCATATTAAGCTGTCTGTCTAACTAAGCACATCAGGCATCATCATGTCAAGAATGAGAAACTATGTGTTTCCTTTAACAGCAGTGTATGTCATAGAGATGTTTGACCCATGATTTTTCATGAAAAGGTCCATTTTCAGTAAACTCTTGTGCTTACCTAGTGTCTTCAATGTGATAACTGGCTTCCCACTGATCAGGGGTGAGATGCATCACAGAGAGTTTGAAACTACACATTTTGTCTTTTATTTCCTTTTTCTTTTTACTCTTTCAGCCTTCAGTGGCCATGGAGATTTTTTATTTTAAATTCCAATTTTACATATCAAATTTACAAACTGTGACTTTTAAAATAATTGTTGTACTCTTTTCTGTGAGTGAATTTTAAAAAGCATTTAATGTAAAATGCATGTGTAGTTTCTTGTGTATCAAAGCCATGCTTTTCCTTAGATCAGCTTAATCGTCTCCTGTTTCCAATTTGTGTTAGAAAGTTCTGTGTGAAATGTGAACTCTAGTTTATATACTTACTAACAGTTAATGCGTGTCCCTTGGGATAATAGCTCTTGAGCTATCTTTGTGGCTGTCTTACGTAGACCATTTGAATCTTTCTCCTTTAATGCCAAGTATCCACTTTTCACGTGTAAATTGGAGATGTCACTACCTGCACTTGGACACCAGTGTGTGCATGTAATGTTGATTGGTGTCATCATGGTTTTTGGCTACTCTGTGATAATTTTGTTTTTCAGAGGCAAATTTTGTGAGGCCAAACTTCGGAGATTGGGTCTGTACATCATTCATTCTTTCAGTCAGTAAACATCCATTTAGTGCCTACTCTGTGTCAGTGCTAGTCAAAAAGGAACAGGGCAGGATTGCTGTCCTGGAATCATGTGCACGCATGGTACCCATGAATGGGTACTAACAACACAACAGCCACTTGAATGGCCTGGGAATGGGGCGTGGGGATGGGAAGGGGCTCCACAGATAGGTGAATTGGTCTGTAAAAGTCATCGCTGTACAAATGAATCCCAAACCAAACATTGAAAGAATGCACAGTAGATTCCCCCAGTTAGGGCAGGGTCATAGAGCATTTTGGGCAAAGAGCCCATACAAGGCCATAGAAGCATGAAACATATGCCACATTGTATGAATTTCAAATAACTTCATATAATGAGAGTTTGGGAACATGGAGAAGGTAGTGGAGGAAGATCAGACTAAAACTGATTATGAAGGACCTTACGTACCATGCCAAGGAGGCTGGCCTTCATCCTGTAGTCAGTGGGGAACAACTTCAGGAATCTCAATGCAGAGGTTTCATGATGAAATTTGTGCTTTAGAAATATTCTCTTGCAGCACTGTGGAGGTACAGATAAGTAGGAATGGAATCCAAGGCGAGAGGGTCACTCTGCTCCTACAGAAGTTCATGGGGCAGTGGCAGTGGGGAGATAAGGAGATGATGGTGCTGAGAGCCAGTTAAGAAATAGAATCCTCAGAACTTGGTAACTGATTGGTTATGAGTATTGAGACTACATGGGTGACTACATGAGTGATCTCATCAGTATATAAGTATATAAGTGCTCAATTAGATCGTGAGATCAAGGGGCGATATTAATGTAGGAAACAGAGAACAGAGAGAACCAATGATATAAGCCCTAGGAAGTGGACTTTTAAGGAGGAAGCAAATAAAAAGAAGCTTTAGAAGGAATGATCTGAGGGTATGAGGAAAACCTGAGGATAGGGTGCTCCACGAACCCAAAGCAGGAATCTGCAGAAGGAGGGAGTAGTCAAGAATGTTGAATACTTCAGAGGGGTCAAGCAAGGGTTCCAGGATGTGTCAACTGGTAGGTTCAGTAATCCTAGCAAGAGCAATTAGTGGGTGGTGAAAAATAAGAAATGAGATGGTTCATTTATACTACTCTTTCAAGGAGCTTAGATACTAAGGGAAGGAGAGCAAGAGTTGTCAAGGAACATTTTTTTAATATTCTTTTTCAAGGTTAAAATCTCAAGCAAGTTTACATCCTGGAGGATAGATATAATCCATTAGACAGGAAGAAGAAGGAGATAACTGATGGAATAATGTCTCTAAGCAGATCTGATGGCACGTAAGCTAGAACACATGGCAAGATTAGCTTTGGGCTAGACAAAGGACAACTCAGTTTTTAATAGATGGGAACAAAGGAGGAAAGACTGGGTGTGGATATGGATAAGGGATTGTAGGTCTTGAAAGTTGGAAGTTTGAGGGGTGTAGTGTCCATGAAAATAAGTGCTTAGATCTACAGCTAGAAGCGTAGTTGACTGATGGCCCAACTGCTGCCCCTCTGCAGCCACCCTTGCATTGTACTAAACTACAAATTGCCACTAGCGTCTCCCAGTCATGACCAAGCACAATAGGGGCTCCTATTTCAGGCTCATTCCTGTGGGACACAGGACTTTTCCAGTGGGCCAAATTGGCTCAAGAACTCCTATTGGCCTGAGCAGACCTTTCTTGGAACTGTGTTGGAATCCAAGACTTCCTAGCCATTCCTTCTTCCTTTCCTCTCCATGTCCATAGGTGTGGTTTGAAGGACCTCCCACATTCTGTGGCTTCCTTTCTCAATATATCTTTTGTATTTCTAGTTCTATCTTGGTACTTGCTTCTGGGTAGACCCAAACTAACATAAAGAATTTGGTCGAAATGTGTATATTATTAAGGTAATGCTAGCTGCTGTAAAAATAACTTCTCAGTTCAACAACATGTACATCATTCAGACAGAAAATTAGTAAGAAATGCAGGACTTGAATTGCATTTTTGGCCAAATGGACCCAATAGACATGTACAGAATTTTCCATCCAACAGCAGCAGAATGTAAAGTTTTTCTAGAGTATACATAGAACATTCTCCAGGATAGACCATATGTTAGGCCACAAAATTTAAGATTGAAATTATGTCTAGTATCATTTCAGATATAACTTCAAACCACAGTGGTATAAACTAGACATCAGTGACAGGAGGAATCTTGAAAAATTCACAAATATCTGGAACATAAACAACATGCCCCAGAACAACCAATGGGTCAAAGAAGAAATTAAAAGATAAATTTAAAAAATGCCTTGAGACAAATGACAACGGAAACACAATATACCAGAACTGATGGGATATAGGAGAAGCAGTTCTGAGAGGAAAGTTTATAGCAATATATGCCTACATTAGAAAAGAAGAAAGATCTCAAATGAATAGTGTGACATTACACCTCAAGGAACTAGAAAAAGAACAAACTAAAACCAGATTAGTAGAAGGAAAGAAATAAAAATCAGAACAAACATAAACTAAATGGATAATAGAAAAGCCACAGGAAGAATCAATAAACTTAAGAGTTGGGTTTTTTTTTAAGTAAAATTGGCAAACCCATAGATAGTCTAACAAAGAAAAAAGAAAACTCAAGTAAAACCAAAAATGAAATTGAAGAAATTACAACAGACACCTCGGGAATAAAAAGGATGATAAGTCCCTATTACGAACAATTATATGCCAACAAATTGGGTGGCCTAGAGGAAACAGATAAATTCCTAGGAAAATACAACCTACCAGGATTGACTCAGGAAGAAATAGAAAGCCTGTAACAGACCAATCACAAATAGATTGGAGAAGTAATGAAAAACCTCTCAACAAAGACAAGCCCAGGAACAGATAGCTTCACAGCTGAGTTCTACCAGACATTCAAAGAATTGATACCAGTACTTCTTAAACTCTTCCAAAAAAATAGAACTAGAAGGAATACTTTCAAACACATTTTATGAGGCCAGGATCACCCTGATACCCAGCCAGCCAAAGACATCACAAGAAAAGAAAATTTAAACCCAATTTCTCTGATGAATATTGGTGCAAAAAGCCCCAGTAAAATATTAGGAAACCAAATCCAACAACACATCAAAAAGATTACATGTCATGACTAAGTGGGATTTATCCCTGGCATACAAAGCTGGTTTAACATCTGCAGATCAATCAGTAGTGATACATTGCATTAACAGAATGAAAGATAAAAATCACATGATAATCTTAATTGACACAGAAAAAGCATTTGACAAAGTCCAACATCCTTTATTGAGAAAAATGCTCAATAGTGTATGTATAGAAGGAAAGCTTCTCTGTGTAATAAAGGCCATTTATGAAAAACCCACAGCTAACATTATAATACATGGGGGAAAACTGAAAGTTTTTCCATGAAGGTCTAGTATCAGGCAGGCATGGATGCCCACTTTCACCACTTCTATTCAACATAGTACTGGAAGTACCAGCAATAGTAATTAGATAAGGAAAAGAAATTAAAGGCATTGAGGTCAGGAAGAAGTAAAGTTATCTCTATTTGCAGATGGTGTGATCCTATATTGTAGGGGGGGAAAAAAGCCCCTGCAGATTCCACACAAAAAAACTGTTAGAACAACGAATGAATTCAGTAAAGCTGTGGGGTGCAAAATCAACATGCAAAATCAGTTGCGTTTTTTTTCATACCAATTACAGTCTGTTTGAAAAGAACATGAAGAAAATGGTCCCACTTAACAAAGCATCAAAAAGAACAAAATACCTAGGAATAAATTCAACCAATGTGAAAGATGTGTACACTGAAAACTATAAAACATTAATGAAAGAAATTAAGCACAAAAAAATGGAAAGATATCACATGCTCATGGATCAGAAGAATTAATATTGTTGAAATGTCCATAGTACCCAAAGCAATATACAGATTCGGTGCAATCTCTATCAAAATTCCAGTGACCTTCTTCACAGAAATAGAAAAAATGCTTCTTAAATTTGTACAGAACCATGAAAGACCCTGAATAGCCAAAACAATTATGAAAAAGCAAAACAAAGTTGGAGGTATTATACTTCCTGATTTAAAAATTATATTACAAAGTTATAGTAATAAAGACAGTATTATACAGGCATAAAAACAGACACATAGACCAGTGGAACAGAATAGAGAGTCCAGAAATAAATCCACGTATATATAGTCAACTAATTTTTGACAAGGGCACCAAGAAGACACAATGGGAAAAGAATAGTCTCTTTGATAGGATGTTAAGAAAACTGGATTTCCACATGCAAAAGAATGGAATTGGACTGTTATCGTATACCACATACAAAAATCAACTCAAAATTGATAAAAGACCTAAACATAAAAGCAGAAACTATAAAACTCCTACACAGGAACATAGGGGAATAGCTCCTGGACATTGGCGTTGGTAGTCAGCTTTTGGATATCACAACAAGAGCTCAGGCCACAAAAGCAAAATTAAATAAATGGGGGCTGGGCGCAGTGGCTCACGCCTGTAATCCCGGCACTTTTGGGAGGCTGAGGTAGGGGGATCACAAGGTCAGGAGATCGAGACCATCCTGGCCAACATGGTGAAACCCCATCTCTACTAAAAATACAAAAATTAGCTGGGTGTGGTGGCGCACACCTGTAATTCCAGCTACTTGGGAGGCTGAGGCAGGAGAATCGCTTGAACCCAGGAGGCCGAGATTGTAGTGAGCCGAGATGGCGCCACTGCACTCTAGCCTGGAGGACAGAGTGAGACTCCATCTCAAAAATAAAATAAATAAATGGGACTACACCAAACTAGAAAGTTTCTGTACAGTAAAGGAAACAATCAACAAAGTGAAGTAGCAGCCTACAGATTGGGAAAAAATTCCAATCAGTATATCCCAATATTCCAATGTACATCAGATATATTGTAAATCATGTATTTGGTAAGGAGTTAGTAGCCAAAATTTATCAGGAACTCATACAACTCAATAGCAAAGAACAAACGAATTACCTGATTTATAAAATGGGCAAAAGGCCTGAGTAGACATTTTTCTAAAGAAGACACAAAGATGGCCACAGGCATATGAAAGGGTACACAACATCATATCAGGGAAATGCAAATCAAAACCACTGTGATTTACCTCCTCACAACTGTTAGGATGGCTGTTATCAAAAAGTCAAAAGATAACAAATGTTGGTGAGGATGTGGAGGACTCTTGTCCACTGTTGGTGGGAATGTAGATTGGGTATAGCCGTTATGGAAAACGTTATAGAGGTTTCTAAAGAAATTAAAAACAGAACTACCATATATGACCCAGCCATTCCTTTTCTGGGCATATACCCAAAGGAAATGAAATCACCACCTCATAAAGATGTCTGCACTCCCATGTTCACTGCAGCATGATTCACAATAACTAAGATATGGAAACAACCTAAGTGTCTGATGATGGACAAATAGAGAAAGAAGTGGCTGTAAGTATACCACATTTGGTTTATACAAAATGAATATTATTCAGCCCTAGAAAATAATGAGAGCTTGTCATTTGCCACAACATGGGAAAGCCCATTGTGCTAAGCGAAATACGCCAAAGAAAGACATATTATATGATCTTACTTATATGTGGAACCAAAAAAATTTCAAATATGCAGAGAGAATACAACAGTGGTTACCAGGGATATGGGTTGTGGGCAGGAAATGGAGAGATGTAGGTCAGAGGATACAAAGTAGTATGAACAAGTATAGAGATCTAATGTGCAGTATGAAGACTATAGGTATGGGATTCATGCTAAGTGAGATTTTAGCTGCTCTTAACATAAAAACAAAAATAGGGTAACTGAGATGATGGATATGTTAATTTGCTTCACTACAGTAACCTTTTTACTATCTATATTAAGCCTATAACATCACGTTGTATACCATAAATATACGTAATAAAAATTATTTTTCAAAATAAAAAAATACAAGATAACTTCTCAACATTTCACTGTTCTAACACAAGTTTCTTCCTTATTCACATGAGGTCTTAAATGGGTGTTGATGAATGGTAGGTGACATTTTCCTCCTGGAAATCCTTCAGGAATTCAGATTCCTTCCATCTTGTAGTTTCTCCATCTTCACCATGTGACTCCCAGAGTTACTGTGCTTGTTTGCATCACATCAAGAGAGGGGGAAAAACATGGCAGGTTACACATGGAAGGTTTTTATGGAGTAGGCCTAGAAATTAGCATAGAAATTAGGCCTAGAAATTAGCATAATCACTTTCACTTATATTTCGTGGTAGAACTCAATCACATGTCACCAACTAGCTGCAAAGGAGGCTGGAAAACGTGGCCCAGCTGTGCACCAGGAAGAAGACACTATAAGTTTCATGGAATAGTCCCTGTGGGAAGTGGGAGGACACAGCTAATGCTATGAGGCCTGGATTTATCACACTGTACGTTTTATGTGAGATTTTTTTTTTCCCCAGGAGCTTCAACATTGAGTTCACTGGTGAAGTTGCTGAGAAAGCAGGTGGTTGAGTTTGAAATTCAGAATTTGGAGGTTCAAAACTGAATAGTTTTAAAAGGAAAACTTGGGCAAGTCTCCGTTGGAAAATGTCTTTTCAGTGTTTCGGTACATTTTGGGGTTGATATGAGAAGGGCATAGTCACAACATATGTCACTCTGTGTGTTGCTGGTTTTGGGTCCTGCACCTGGACAACCAAACAGGACTGGCCCCTTCGTTCCTGCTTCACGTTGGACCCTTCAGTCGGAGATAGTATGACTTACAGAGGGAGAGATGTTTTCAAACCCTGTGAAACCACCCATTGTTCAGATGAACCATTTATCTTGCACTTTTCTCTAATACAAATGAATGAACCTTGCTGCTTCTAGCTAGTACCCTTATTCACCTGCTCTTCTGGTGGTATGCAATGCTCATTACATTTTTTGCTTTTGCAAATTTGTCTCATTGTGTTTCCTTTGCTTAAAGTTGGCTGTTTTCTTCTTCCCTCTTCTCTTCCCTTAAATCATTGTCAATCCAAATCCTGGACAACCTGTCCTCTCAGGCCCAACTCAAATGCCATCTCCTCTGTCATTCTCCCCATTTACCACAGTTGAGTGCCTCCTGTCTTCCTGACACTCTTTGGGTCTCAGTTTCACCACTCAGGTGGCCCATGGCTGCCTTGATACTTCTGTATGAGTCTTTCACCTACTAGATTTAAAACTTGATGATAGAACTGTGACTTCCTAGTACTTACTTGCTCTTAGCACAATGTCTTACACACAGTACATTTTTAGTAAACAATTGTTGAGTGAAAATGAATAAATATTGCTTATTGTGGAGCAGATAGAATGAAGTTCAGTTTGGAGAATCAGTCTTGTGTGGCCACAGATCACATGAGGAATGTAAAAATTAAATAAATAAAACAAGCCTAAGATAATGTGTTAGAAGGGGAGAAAGGCCTGTACCGATTTTTTGCATCTCTAATGATCATAGAGATATGATTTGTATTATTTATGTGGGCTAGAAAAGGGGATCTCTATTAGGGCTCTGAAGTTTGTGAAGGCTCCAGCCACCCATCTGATGTTGAAAAAGTCAATTGATTGAGAACCCACTGTATTTACAATCTTGACTTATTTTGGAGCGTTAATGGAGGCAAACTGAGATTTGGGTTGGTTGGTTGTAGGGAGTATAAGTTATATCAATGCTCAGGGGAGTAGTTTTGAGTTTGAAACATTACAATAACTTCTTCAGGCTTTTAAGATGTACATAAAATACTTGTAAGTGGATGATAATGAATTGACAAGAGACCTCTTTATACAGCTAGAATATATCAAGTTGTTACTTTTCTACAAATCTCCTTATAGATTGGGTTTTGCTGGTACTGTTTTTATGGTTGTAGTTGTTTATTGTAGGATAAAAGTCCAAGAGGAAATGTCTCTTAAATATAAAATGTATATTCTAAATATAATATATAGATACTATGTATAAGCTATTTTTCTGCTCTAGGTCCTTTTTATTTTCTTAAAGCCAAACATATTGTGTGTGATTCAAACAGGTAGAGAGCAATTAATTTAAAAGTGGCCTAAAACCCACCTTCCTCTACTACCTTTGAGGGGCATTATACCATTATATGATCCAGGATTTATATAGCAGATTATTTTATCACTACTCCCTTAGAGCAACCAATCAATCAGCTTCATTTTATTAGGATGCTTTAATATACCCATTTTAAAAATGTTTATTTAATATTTTTAAGTAATTTTTGAAAAGATCTAGGAAGATTCACATACTCATTTTTTCATGAACAAATTATGCTGTATACTTAATTGAGTCTGTCTGTAGGGATCATTTATTTCTATTCATCAACTCTTTACCAAGCTTCATACTAGATATTGAGATGATAGTCTATTGATTTTGTTTCTCTCTCTCATGTTTTTCTAGTATGTCTTATCTTTTGGGGTTTATTTCTGGCCCTGGAGATCATTCTTTTATGTCAGTTCTCAGCTAGTTGTGATTTGTTGCTAAATTACCTGCATTCAAGTTTTTATAAATGAATGTAGATATTTTGAAAACTATTTCTTTTAGGATACTAAACAGTAAGACAAAGATACACTGCACAATTGTGTACAAAAGGTCTTTTGGAATATGACTTCTTTGTTAAAAGCAATTTGTGCCATGATAGTTTAAAAAAAATAGTTCGGCAATGATGTTTTCATTTATGACTATGTACATACTGCATTTGAGCAGAGAGAAGTTTTTTATTATGACTAAGGCCTCTGTGTAACCAACTTCAGGTCAAATATGAAATATATGGTGTAACAAGTGCTGTGTTTTCTCTTTAAAATACACTTGGATTCTTCCACGAGGTATATTAAAAATGCTTTGACATCATTATTTCATCTTGAGTTACCCTTTCATTCACTAGCTTGGTTGGAGAAAATTAACTCTTCAATACATGATACAGAAAATCTGTTGATGCAGCCTCCCTCCAGTTCTTAGTATTTAATTTCATGAGGGACATAGCACTTTTCCCCATGTAATTACAGATTGGTAGAGTTGAGCAAGACCTTAAACATCCTGAAGTTTAACACCCATCAAATGCAGATACCTCTTCTAAGGTATCCTAATTTCTATATCGAAAATAATTCTAATTATCAGTTTACTTGGCAAATCTGCCATAATAAAGTCTTTTTCAAAGTTATCTATGCCCAGTTCCCCTCAATATTTCTCATAATATTAGTTCCACAGTCATTCTGATCTCACTCCTTTTTGCTTTCTCCAGTTTATCAGAAAGTTCCTTAAAAGGTAGTGGACAAATTATAGAAGTACCTCCCTTTTTTTTTTGAGGCAAGATTTCACTCCTGTCATCCAGGTTGGAGTACAATGGCGCAATCTTGGCTCACTGCACCCTTCACCTCCCAGGCTCAAGCAATTCTCCTGCCTCAGCCTCCCAAGTAGCTGGGTCTACAGTTGCATACCACCATGCCTAGCTAATTTGTGTATGTCTTGTAGAGACGAGTTTTGCCATGTTACCCAAGCTGGTCTTGAACTCCTTACCTCAAGTGGTCCGCCTGCTTTGGCCTCCCAAAGTGCTGGGATTATAGGCGTGAGCCACTGCACCTGGCCCTAAAGCTACTCTTTCTGAGCAGTTTGAGAGGGACTGTGGCTTATCTGGCCTTGAGAACAGTGTCTTTATTAATGCAGCCTAAGAGTACATTTTTGCAAACCCATCACACTGCCTGTATTGAATCAAGAGGCTGCTGGACCTCCATGTACTGACCATACAGGACCTCACATTTGAGCCTAGTAAACTTGACTATATTCATTTTGGTCTATTTTTAACCTTGTGAGAACTTTTGTAATCCTGTTTCTGGCATCCCTGGTGTTGTGTTTTTGTACCAATACAGCTTCTGGATCATTGTCTCAATCATTGATAAAAATGGGCAAATACAGACTTTCTGTCCAGAGTGATAATCATATCCATTACTTTTGCTTTAGATAAGAGTGTTGCTGTTGATCATCTTTGCCTGGGAAGTTGAATGATAAAGCCAGAAGAAAGCATGCTTTCTGATCATTGTAAGTTTTACTTTTAAGGAAAGAGACTAAAAAAATTTAGCAGGAAATTTAAATTTTATTAATATCATCTCATATACTTTAGAAGATCTAAAACTGTTAAAAGAAACAAAATGGTTTACACTGGAGCCTGGTTATAACCTTTCTTTGGTAGCCCATAGCTGTGGGGCCCATAGCTTTGGGGCCCAAAGCTCTCTTTGATTTGAGTCAGAGACCTTCCCATGTGCCCAGGAATTTTGATTATGGCAGGTGATATTATCAAGTCTTCATCAGATTTGGCTGGAGGGAAAAGCTGTCTGTCACCAAGTTGTGTGAATCTTTGTATTGCTAAAAAGGATACCCGGGCAGTCTTAAAACTGGTGCCTTATGTTATTTGAACTTTAAAATATTGTGATGTTCATGTTTGCTCAGGCTGGCTACTCCAGTTTTGTTACAACATAGTGCTGCTCAGACCATGGTTGAAAGTTTGATGCTAAAAAGCACAGTGTATTTGAGCATAGTCAATTCTAAAAAAAATTTTGTTTTCTTTCTTCCTTCCTTCTCCTTTCCTTTCTTCTTTCTGTCTTGAAATCTGTGGATTGAACTTTCCCACCCCTGGAAAAACAACTCAGAAAGTATATCATGTGTCATCACTATCATCTTCCTTTTATCAGTGCAGGTTTATAGAAAGTGTTCTCATATCATCCTGAATCATTTCTACAAACTATAAAACAAAATTAACTTTCCATTACAATCCTAACAATTGTAATAAATGCTCCTATTAGAAGCTTTTACTTCCATCCTGTGAAGTATATCATGCTGAGGGGAAAGTTGCATCTTCATTAGTCACCCATGACTTACTCCAGGTGTTACCCTCTAAGTTAGAAAGAGAGAGGGCAAAATACCCTGGTGACACATACGTTTTTTAAGGGAAAAAATTCTGAAAGCAAAAGGGTTCTCTCTTTTTTTAATATGACTAGCAAAAGAGTGTTGATTAAGATGTGTCAAGCAGGTGCTGGGTATGTGCTAAACTAATGGTTTTCAGAGTACTGAGTGGCTATTTTTAAATGTTTCTATATCATTCTCAGTTAAGCTGCTGGATGAAAAGTACAAAAGGCTAAAAATATTTACAGTTTCAGTAATGTCTGTTTTAAAAGAAACCATCCGCGTCTATGGCCACACCACCCTGAACGTGCCTGATCTTGTCTAAAAGAAACCATCCTGTGTGATTTTTCTTTATTTCCATTTGAAGGAAAAGAATATTATGGCTTACAGAGAAGTGGTTGAAAGCAGTTTGTTCAACACTGAGGTTTTTAGGAAAAAATGGCCATCAAAAGGACAGTAAGTTGGGTTACAAATCATCAGGATTAAAAAAAAAAAGTTGATTATTATTCCTTGTACTATATTATTATTACTATTTTTGTATTATTAACTGTAGTTCCAACTGAAAATAGTATTATCTTTGAAACTTTTTGTATGGAGTTAGGAGACAAGTTGCTGGTATCAGATTACTTGGGCCTATATCTCAGCTCTATCCCTTGGATATGTGATCCTGGATAAATTGTTTAACCTCTTTGTGCCTCAGTGTACCCATCTGTAAAACAGAATAATAATAGTGCCTTCCTGCTAAGGTTGTTGTGATTAAATGAGATGATGCTCTGCCTAACATGGTAAGTACTCAGTAAATGTTTGTTATGCTTATTTTTTTCATTTAAAAAAATTTTTGGTTAAATGAACACATTTATTCTCTTAACCATTTTTGAGTATATAACTCAGTAATATTAGCTATATTTACATTGTAGTGTAACAAATCTTTAGAATTTTTCATCTGGCAAAACTGAAATGTTTATTATGTTTTAAAAGCTCATTTTTCTTCAGAGTCAGTTACACAGCTGTGTGGACGTAACACAGGAATGCAAGCACCATTGGGGCAGGGAGTTTAGACTCTTCTGTTCACTGCTGTATCACAAGTGCCACAATCAGCATCTGGCCCATAACAGGGCTCAATCAATATCTGTCGAATGAATGAATGAATGAATGAATGAACAGTGAGGCTTCATTTGACAAACTACATGTGTGTTTGAAAATTATTTCTTAAATGGTAAATCCATTTTTATGAGTGATTTTAAGTATACATGGAAAGTTGACTCCTTTCGGAGGGTGAAGTGATTTCTAAAACAACTGTTTTGTAATTATTTAGCAGTTCTGGCTTTGGTAGGTCAACTTTTCTTAAACTGGAAAAAAAAATAGTATTCTTAGTGTAGATTGCAAAAGGAAAGAGGATATGTTAGATGATTTGCCCAAAATTTAAACAGGATTCGCTTTTTAAATTCAAGCCTTTTTGCTTTCATTCAGATCTGGTCACCAGACTTACTTTTTCCTTAAGGCATATATGAATCATCTTGTTCTTTCATTCAGAAATCAAAAGTTCAGGCCTAGATCAGTATTTACCAAAACTGGTGGAACACTACCTTTCCACTGAGAGTGCATTACCTTTTTTTGAGTCTTTGAAAAGAATGTCAGCTGAACATGGTCTGGAAGTGGCCAAAACTCTGTGGGTGGGGAGAAAGGAAGAAATAACCTATCTCCCATTTAAAAACCTACCACCTATTAAATAAACGGCAGTCTTGTTCTGTGGAGTATTCATTTGGGTTATCTATTCTGATGAACAAATACAAATTCTTGGTAGGGTTTTCTTGCTTCTGGATAAAATGCTTAGTGTTGCTTTTTGTTGTTCAATCTTAGGTTTTGTTTCATTTTGTTTTTCAGGGTCTCACTCTGTCAACCAGGCTAGAGTGCAGTAGCGCAATCATGGTTCGTGGCAGCCTCAGCAGCTCCCTGGGCTCAGGTGATTCCCCCACGTCAGCCTCTCGAGTAGTTGAGACTATAGGCACGCACCACCACACCCTGCTAATTTTTGTGTTTGTAGTAGAGATGGGAGTCTCACCATGTTGCTCAGGCTGGTCTCGAACTCCTGGACTCGAGTGATTTGCCCACTTTGGCCTCCCAAAGTGCTGGCATTACAGGCATGAGCCACTGCGCCTGGCCTGTTTTTATGATATGTATTGAAATGCTCCAATAGCATTTTATTTTTATTTAAACATTGCTGTTAGGTAGTTGGCACAAAATGTGTCTTATGCCAAAGTTTACTTCCTTCTACCAAGGAAAGGGGACTCTGTCTCCTGGACTTTGCAGTTATGGGAGGAAGATGACAGGAAGCTACATCATCTGCCAGGATTTTTATGGGGCCACATCACATACAGTGCCTGTCTGTAACTAAGAGCAAGAGCACATCTCTCCTTTCAGCTGATGTTTAGCAAACCCTCACTCTGCTCCCATGGCAAAGACAGTCACTCATCTTCCAAATTGTGGTATCTTGAGTCATTTCCATTATGACTTGTCTTCTGAAAAGTGATAAAGGAAAATCATCTTACCTAGTCATTTTTTCCCATTCTACAAGACAAAGTTTATCTCTGAATCAAAGAGCATAAATCTCTGTTGCCTCTCTGAGATAATAAAATATTTTTATATTTAAATTTTCTGTTAACAGGAAAATGTATAAAACCTTCCCAAATTTTTAACTCCTTCTTTTGATTCTATACCTACATAGGTTTTTATTTGGATTTGAAACCAAATAAAAGACCGTTTCATGGTCTGGGCCCTTGGGACAGGGTAGTAGTGAAGCAGCCAGTTCATTTATTCTTCATCTGCCCTGCCATGGCTTCCTGTTGCACTAAGAATCCAGCCTCCTCCCCGGAGTTGGTGGGAGTCTGCTGACCTGGCCCCAGCCAGGCTCTCTGGCCTCATGCAGCCATTTTCCCTTCATTGACCCCATACCACCACTGTGACCAGGTGCACCAGGCTCTTCCTGAGGCTGCTTTTCTCCCTGAAATGCCCACCCCACCTCCCACTTTTCATTTTTCTAACTCTCGTTCATCCTTCACTTGCATTTTAACATCACATCCTCTGAGAAGCCTTCCCTGATCTCCACCCTTAATGAGCACCACCCAGTTGTCCATACTTTGCTTTCTCCTTTCTTTCCCAGCCCTTATTAGAATTTTAATTTCATATTTGGCCATACATTTGTTTCTTTAATAGTTTTCTCTCCCATTAGTCTATGAGCCCATTAGGGATCACGGCTATTTTGTCTGCTGTATGTAATATCCACTTCCTAGCAAGCAGGACACACTCAAGGAAGAGTTATTGAATAATAATTTAAAAAT
This sequence comes from Homo sapiens, assembly GCF_000001405.40. Lineage (NCBI taxonomy): Eukaryota > Metazoa > Chordata > Mammalia > Primates > Hominidae > Homo > Homo sapiens. Next base: position 90,248,313 of record NC_000006.12, on the reverse strand, counting down.
ATTTTTTATTAAATGAAAAATATAAATATCCAATTCTAAGAATGTGCAATTCTGTCAGGAGTGTTAAGTACTGAAAAAACGACAGCAGATTAGTTAATTGGTTGATTTCACAAACATCTGTAGATTGTTGACAGTGCACTATGATGTGCTGTTCTAGGTGCTGAGTACATGTGGACGGGTTGTTGCCTGGCTTTGCAGAGGTCTCACCTTGGGGAGATAGCAAAGAGACACAATGAGGAATAAAATTAGTGCCTTTCTCTCAAGGAGCATATGTATTCATTCATGTAACAAACATTTGTTGAGCACCTATGATATACTCTAAGCTAGAAGACACTTGAATGTGATGAGTATAACATATAAGAGAGTAAAATTAATCTCCAAGAAAGATACAGAATGCTGTAGGGATGAAGATTAAGAAATGCTGTCTGATTAGGGACATCAGAGAGCATCCTGGATAAAGCAGAGACCGAAGTGCTACTTGAAGAATGGGTTCAACTTTGACAGCTGAAGCTATGAGGGAGGAAATTCTAGGCATGGGAACCACTTGGGTAAAGGCATGGAGATGGGAAGACATTCCAGGGATAGCTATTAACCCTTTTTAACTGAAGCATAGGGTGGATGATGGTGAATAAGAAGAAATTAGACTAAAAAAGTAGGTAGAGGCTATACTTTAGGGGAGTGAAGAATTCCTCTAAGTTTAGAAAAAGTTGATTTTAATTACCTTAAATAAGGCAGTAATGGTACTAATATTGCTGTTTGGTAGCCCTTAGGAAAATGATACTTGTGACTTGGTACAGTGGCTCACACCTGCAATTCCAGCACTTTGGGAGATTGAGGTGGGAGGATTGCTTGAGGCCAGGAGTTCAAGACCAGCCTGGGCAACATAGCAAGACCCCATCTCAAAAAAAAAAATAACTGTACATGGTGGTGCATGCCTGTAGTCCCAGCTACTAAGGAGGTTGAAACAGGAGGATCACTTGAGCCCAGGAGTTAGAGATTGCAATGAGCTATGATGACCACTGCACTCCAGCCTGGGTAAGACACCATCTCTACAAAAAAAAAAAAAAGAAGAAGAAGAAAGAAATTGATACTTGTTTAAATATATTACATGTCAAATGTACTACAACAGTCCTCTCCAAATGAGAATATAAAGAGCTTCATCCTTGTAAACTGCAGTCATGTTCTCGTTATAGTGGTAGTTAGTATGCAGGTCAATAATTTATATGTGGTCTTTAGCTTTGTCTTTTTCATTAAACAGTAAAAACGGTAACCTGACATTTGAAGGTTTTTTTTTCACATTTGTAATATCAAAAACTTGATTCGTAACAAGTATCGTAAATTTACAAGTATGTTTTTCATGCATATTTTAAGAAAATTTTCATAGGACTTTAACGTCAGGTTTCTTTTGAATACTTCCACATGCTCTACCTAACAATTTTAGTGTAAAGTTTCATTTTCCTTATCAAATTCTATGTAAGTGAGACATTGGTGTTTTAGCCAAGGTACCCTGCTTTATGGAGTATCTGTGTTCCTAGAAAATTTGTTTTGAAATATGATTTTGTAAATCAGATTGTATTGTAATATACTTGGTGACCTTTTGCTTCAAATCACCTTAAAATAAATTCATTTATATTATCTAATTCATATTTTATAAATCCTAATTTTTATATGTACTCATTTTTCTTGAATTGGGGGTAATTCTACAAACAATAAACAAGGTAAATGATTTTTTTTTGCCAGTTTGTACTAAGAGAACATGTTATTTTGTTTCGGGTGAATGTATGTATCTTAATACACTGTACTACATTAGACATCAATAGGGAGGAATGTAACGCATTTTTCTTTTGTATGGAAATCTGTTGAAACCTATCTTAAAGAGTTTTGAGCAGAAATTGAAGGATGAGCCTGAGGTTTTCTGATTAGTTGGAGAATATTGTTTTCAGTAGACAACAGTAAGAATAAAAGTGGAAAAATTGTATTTAAAATTGATGTTTTATAACTTTCAGAAGTTGATGTCTCCATTTTACACATTATACTTATAAAAGTACAGTAATCAACTCTGCTTTATAACTGTTTTGTGAAGATTATTTAAAGGTCAAGGGAGTGTAGTAGAGGCACAGAAAAACAGAATAAAATTGGAATCCTAGAGTTTATGTGCATTTAGGTTAATTTTGACTTAGTGGCTCCTGGCTCTCACCAATCTGGGTTGAGTGAAGGACCCACTGTTCATTGTGTTCCAGCAGTAGTCACTCAGACCCAGCTTGCCACGTTATCAGTCCAACTTAACTTCTGCCACGTCCCACTCCTCCTCCCTTGATAGCTTCTCTTGCTGACATCCTTTCCACCCCTTTGTGCTGCATTCCTCTGGCACTGCCAGCCTCCTGTCATGGAATGAGGGTCTGGGCCAGGAGACCTTTGGAGAAAATTCCTGGAGAGCAAGTTTTCATAGATTTTTGTCCAATTTTTTCTGTTTCCACCCTGTTACAAATATTTTAATCCAAATATGAAAAATCTTTAAATTCAGACTTCTCTTGTTTCAAATTCAGACTTCTCTTGTTTCAAATTCAGATTATTTCTGATCACCTCATAGCTAGTTCTTGAAGTTCATCTTAGCAGGAACAGAGCTAACTAAACTACTGAATGATGTAAATGAACATATAAAGGCTATGTTTACCTACTTAAGAAATTGCTTTTAGCCAGTTTAGAAATGTCTGCTTACTCTTTTGTTTTTAAATTTAAAAAATTCTTCAGAGATGGGATCTCGTTCTGTCAACCAGGCCGGAGTGCAGTGCCACCGTCACAGTTCACTGGCTACCTCAGCCTCTGGAGTAGCTGGGACTACAGGCACGCACCACAACACCTGGATAATTTTTTTAAATTTTCTTGTTAGAAACAGAGTCTCTCTATGTTGCCCTGACTGGTCTTGAACTCCTGGCCTCAAGTGATCCTCCTGCCTTGGCCTCCAAAAGTACTGTGATTACAAGTGTGAGCCACTGAGCCTGGTTGAAATGTCCACTTACTTTTAAAAATGAATTGTATTTTAAGGAAGAGTTTGCAATGCTTAAATAATTTTCATCAGTTTACTTAAAAAGTACTAAAGCCTTTTTTTTTTTTTAAGACAGAATCTCACTCTGTCACCCAGGCAGGATTGCAGTGGCATGATCTCAGCTGACTGTAACCTCTGCCTCCCAGGTTCAAGCGATATTCTCCCACTTCAGCCTCCCAAGTAGCTGGGATTACAGGCACCTGCCACCACACCCGGCTAATTTTTTGTGTGTTTTTAGTAGAGACAGGGTTTCACCATGTTGGCCAAGCTGGTCTCGAACTCCTGACCTCAGGTGATCTGCCCACCTTGGCCTCCCAAAGTGCTGGGATTACAGGCGTGAGCCACCACACCTGGCTAAAGCCTATTTTTAAAGCATAATTTATATTAGGTATTGTTAATCCTTCACGGTTCTTGTTTGGTTAATTTCAGCAGCTTAAGGAAGATCACTTGGAGCTAGAAAGGCCCATGAGGGTGATGATGGCTCAGAGGGGGCAATAGAAGCAGCTTTTAGGGAGGAGTCAAGTGCAGTAGGTAAACATGGGATGTGTCAGATATGATACCAGCCAGTGGTCCCCATAGCACAGGCAGCAAGTGTGAGGCACAGCACAGAGCACATGTACACGAGTATTTGTGTGCGTGTGTGCGCATGTGTGCGCGTGTGAAGGGGGGAGGGGGTGGTTGCTGTCAGGTGAGCAATATACCCAAATGGAGACCCCAGAAGCAGCTGATACTAATCCATCCAAGTAGGCAGCAGTGTCTGTCCATGAGAATGTTGGGCCCAGCCATTATCCAAGGATTCTAGACCAGATTCTGGAGAGATCACAGCAGAGTTTCTGCTTGACTTCACTGAGCTTCAGTGTTTGAATCTGTAAAATGGAAGCAGTAATAGTAATTACCTCAAGGGGTTATTTTGATGGCTAATTGAAAACATGTATGCGAAGCCCTTGAATACCATCTGGTACATAGTAAGTATTTAGTAAATGTTAGCTATTACTGTATTACATGAAATTGGGAAGACAGTATTTCTTTTTAAATGTCCTATAAATAACCGGGTGCAGTGGCTCATGCCTGTAATCCCAGCACTTTGGGAGGCCCAGGCAGGCGGATTGCTTGAGGTCAGGAGTTCAAGATCAGCCTGGCCAACATGGTGAAACCCTGTCCCTACTAAAATTGCAAAAATTAGCCGGGTGTGGTGGCACATGCCTGTTATCCCAGCTACTCAGGAGGCTGAGGCATGAGAATCATTTGAACCCAGGAGATGGAGGTTGCAGTGAGCTGAGATCATGCCACTGCACTCCAGCCTGGGCAACAGAGCGAGACTCTGTCTCCCAAAAATAAAAAATAAAAAATGAATGTCCTATGACTGAGGTTTATTGCTCCTCAATTGAGCTATTCCAATCAATGAAATTTTACTACATAAAGGTAGATGCCTTCTAATGGTTTTCTTCCCACAGGGATGGTGGGGTGAGATGGGGAACTGTTCAGGTAGTAGACCTGTTCATGAGGAAAAAAACTATTTAAATGCTGAGAAAAGGATGCTAGCTTTTTTGGATCCATCATCATTTTTGCCAAATTCATAGAATTTTTGGCCAGTGGTGTCAAACTTTAAAATTCATAGGAAAAAGAGATTCAGTAATTACTCTGTAATATTAGGGAGGGTGTGGAAATAAGGAATGAACGTTATGTAAAGACCATAATGCTAGTCAGAGAATGTTCCAATGGAAAACTGATGTTTCCTTCTGCCACCAGGACAAAACTTTTGTGATCTAAAGGCAAAACAATAACAAAAACAGCAACAGCAACAAAAACCAGCCTAACAGTCCCAAGTGGTCTTCACTGTCATGATTATTAAGCATTTTCTCCAAAGTCTGAACTACAGTTTGTTGAGGTTTCATTGAAAATGATACTAAAACAAATTTGCTTAAAAGTAAAATGGAGTTATTGGCATCACAAAGATCATAGTCACCTTCTTAAGAATTGCATAACCTTTAATGACTGTAAAGGATTTTTAAAGACGATCCTTGCGACTAGTTATTAATACATTTTTTTGAGGCTGTGGAAATCAGATAATTTGGGCCGGGCACATTGGCTCACGCCTGTAATCCCAGCATTTTGGGAGGCTGAGGCGGGCGGAGCACCTGAAGTTGGGAGTTCAAGACCAGCCTGACCAACATGGAGAAACCTTGTCTCTACTAAAAAAAAAAAAAAAAAAAAAAAAAAATTAGCCGGGCATGGTGGTGTATCCCTGTAATCCAAGCGACTCGGGAGGCTGAGACAGGAGAATCGCTTGAACTCGGGAGGCGGAGGTTGCAGTGAGCCAAGATCACGCCATTGCACTCCAGTCTGGGCAACAAGAGCTAAACTCCGCCTCAAAAAAAAAAAGAAATCAGATAATTTGCCCAAAGTCAACAGCCCAAAGTCAACAACTCCTGAATTTTTTGATCACATTATCTTTCAAGTTTAGTTAGAACCTGAAAGTTAACTGTCCTTCACTTAGGTAGATCATAAATAATGCACTGGTCACATTGTGTAGATATTAAGTTACACTTTGGTAGATGGATTTTTAGATATTGAAAATGATAGATTGGTACAACTGCTTTGAAAGTTTGGCAGCTTCTTATAAAGCTCAAGATAGGCTTAACGTACAATTCAGCAACTACGCATCTAGATGTTTACCCAAATGAGTTGAAAATTTATGTCTGCAGAACAACCTGCATGCGAATCTTGATAGCAGCTTTATTTATAACTGTCAAAAACTGGAAGCAACTAAGGGATCCTTCATTAGATGAATTGATAAACTGTGGTACATCCAGATAATGGAATATTATTCAGCACTAAAAAGAAATGAGCAATGAAGCCACAGAAAGACACAAAGGAACCTTAAATGCATATTGCTAAGTGAAAGAAGCCAGTCTGGAAAGGCTACATACTGTACGATTTAAACTATAGAAAAGGCAAAAGTCAAAACCATAGAGACAGTAAAAAGATCAGTGGTTGCTAGTTCAGGGAAGAGGGGACAGGATGAACAGGTGGAGCACAGTGGATTTTAAGGGCTGTGACACTATTCTGTATGATATTGTAATGGTGGATAGATAGGTGTGTCAAAACCCATACAACTGTGTAACATAAAGAGTGAACTCTTATGTAAACTATATTGACTGTTATGACTAGTTAATCCTATATCATCATTGGCTCATTAATTATAACAGATGTACCATACTTGTGCAAGATGGTTAATAACAGGGGAAACGGGGAAGAGGGAACTTTTGGCTTAGTTTTTCTATAAACCTAAAACTGCTCTAAAAAATAGTCTACTAATAAAAAAAAAAAAAGAAAATCAGGATAGATTGTAGCTTAGAAATAAAAAAACAATACTCCAAGACAAAACAAAACAAAAGCCTTGTATAATGTCTTTCATATAATATTCCCCACCTTATTTCTCTAGTTGTTTTTTAATTTTTTTTTCATTTATCTTATGTGTTATCTCATCAACCTTTAGTAACGGGCAGTTAAAAAAATAAGCAGTTTGGCAACTTCCTGTGGCATACATTTCAGATTGTGAGCAGAGATGCCCACCATGTGACTGGCAGGTGTCCCTCTCCCTAGCCACACCCTGTCCCTCTTTTCCACCTACCCTAGCATTAGTTGTCTCCTACCTTGCTTTTGACAACAGACAGGGTGAAAATGTGGGCTTGTGGCCATTGTGCTAAATGTTTTATTTCTATGTATTTTTTAATCCTTACAGCAGTTCCCATTTTGTAGATGAGGAAATGAGAGCACTGGAAGAGAGGAAATTCCTACCCTTGCAGTCTGACTCCATTCTGATCCTCTATCAGGCTAATGTGAACACACGTGACTCTCTGTCCCAGCCTGCCCCCTGTTGAGTAGGTGGGAGGGGGAGCCATTTGGAGGATTTGGTCCCAGTCCAGGTGCTATTTAAGTGAGCGGTTGATTTTAGCTGTGGTGAATACCACCACCCTACAGGCTAGTGTCTGCCATTGAGAAGTATCATCTCATCATTTTCAATCTATTAAGTGATACATTATCACATTATTATTATACATATATATTATTATATATTATCTGGAAACCATATAACTATAATTTTAGTCAACTCTTTTTTTTTTTTTTTTGAGTTGGAGTCTCGCTCTGTCACCCAGGCTGGAGTGCAGTGGGGCGATCTCGGCTCACTGCAACCTCTGCCTCCCAAGTTCAAGCGATTCTCCTGCCTCAGCCTCCCAAGTAGCTGGAGACTACAGGCGCACGCCACCACGCCTGGCTAATTTTTTCTATACTTTTAGTCAACTCTTAATTTCTAGCCTCATATTGACAAGTGATAGGGTTCAAAAGTAATATCTGTTGGCTTTGGAAATAATATTATATTTAGTATTATATTTAATGGAAGTTAGCAGATTTAGCTTCTTAATAATGTTTGGCTGGAGGCAGTATTAACCTTTGGTTGCTGTCTTGTGGCCTGCAGATGTTTGTAATGCAAGAGATAGGAATTTGGTCCCTAGGAGGGTAAAGCTAAGGTTCACTCTAAGAAAGCCACAAAGCAGACAGTCTACATGTTGAGGATTAAATGTTGATTTTACGTGGGTCATCATTTTTAAAGTCCATTTGCCTTCTTATTTTGTGATGAATATTTAAGATTTTGAAGTACATCTCCTCTTATTTGCTTTGTAGTTCTTATGAGGAAGAATTCCCATTATAGTGGGGCTGAGGAGATAACCATTATTTTTCGTTATGCTTGTTTTCTTAATATCGTAAAGCAGACAATAGCAGGATATTTAATGAAATACATCATGAATTTAATCCTAGACCAAAGCAAAGTATTTTCAAGTATTTTTCATTTTCACATAAATTATATTAAAATTCATATTTAAGTTAAAATTTTTGAGACAGTTTACTTGAAACATAGTAGCATTCTTCACTGATGTTAGAATTACTTTATAAGTTATTTTGCATTTCTTAGGAGGCAAAATAGGTTTTCAAAAGGATTAACATGTGTTAAACTTTTTGATATTTCATTAAAAAAGATAGTATTGGAAAAATGCAGTATTTTTTCATTTACTTCCAAATGTTTTGTATTAAACTTTTTTTGACCTAGTAGATGACTAGTACAAATAGAACTTTTAAAGATTAGGATATACCTGTTACTTGTAAGATGAATTTTTTTAATGCTTAATTCAAATAATAAAATATATCTGTTTTTGTATTTTCTGTAACAATATAGAAGTAGTTCTCAGATTTCTTTTTCTATAAGATGAATTTTTAGATCTTTATTTTACTTGGCAAGTCTAAAATAGTGGTGGTTCTGGGGTTGATTCATGTGTTCGTTTTTCCTACTGTTTGGCTAATTCTTGTATGTGGTTTTAATTTTTTTAATAGCAAATATATATTTCTGTATGTGAATAGTCAGCGTGTGTGTGTGTGTGTGTGTGTGTGTGTGTGTGTGTGTGTGTGTGTATTCCCCCCCCCTTACTATGGAGATCATGCATGTCAGTGCTGAGCTTGGGGAAAACAGAAAAACAAACGTGACCTTTGATCCCTTCAGAGATAACATAATCTCTTAGTCATATAAAGATAAGGTCCATCTCTTAGTCATATAGACGAGATTTATATCTTAGTCATGTATGGCTATATACATAAATATGTGCATATTGCCAGAGATTATTAAAGCATGTACATGCATACATAAATAATTTTTAAAGTGAAAAGAGAATCCTCCTATAACACCTTACAGGGTGGCTATGTTCTTTTAATGTTTCATGGGGACCTTGCTGTAATTTTAGAGCCAGCACCTGGCTCAGGTTCACCCATGACATTTTCAGCTGATCTTTCGCTTGTTTTCTAGTTGACCTTCAAACAGAAAGTTCATAGCCTCTTCTCAGCTGTTAATGTGATTTACTTCTTATGTCTGGGAAGTCAAGATTGTTGCTGAATTCATTGTTTTAAGGGGATTGAGGTCCTTGGTTTAATGCCAGGACATTCCCAGCTGACAGAAAACTAAATCCGCCAACCCTAATTTCAAAGATTACCAGGTTTGTGGCTCGTGGACATCTTAGATCCTAGGTCGAGCAACTCTTAGGCTGTTCCTGGCACACCACATACATATGGGGTTGTGTATTGATTTTAATTCAAGTATCATTTTAGCATTGATTGGCAAACACCCTAGTGGCTTTCAGTCAGTAAAATTCAGTGCAGCAGCTAACCTGCTGCTGCTCCTGCCTTAAAATCAGTATTTGAGTTAGTGGTCGTTTAACTTTGCAATTTTGACTCTGTGTTAAAATGTATACTTTTTCTTAATTTTCAAAATAGGAAGTGAGGTGTGCTCTTCAGGTTCTTGGGCTCACAGCAGGGAGGTTATGAAATATAAATGAAAGGAGACACTAGATGAGCTCCACACAAGGCAGTATCACAACTCACTCCCCCAAGAAGGAAGCACATCATCATTTCTTACACCGTGAGAAACAGCCATCTTGTCACAGGAAAATGAGATTGAAGAATTAGTCTGATTAAAAACAAATTACCAGAGTTGCTGTTCAGTTAGGTGGCCTGCAGAATATTAGCAGCTGTGGTTGGAAAGCCATCAGGAGTTTCTCTCAAGCAAGACCAAGCTGGTTTCCTTAGATCCCTGTCTTGTGTCCCAGCCTGTTTTATGCCTTCACCACCCTCACTTTAGCTTTTTCCCAGTAGGAAACAATGGCAAGGTAGAGGAAGAGTTTTTAAATTCATTCTTATTAGGAGTGAGTTTTTTTCTTTGTAGATATTAGTAATCTAAAAGTAGAAGTAGTGTAAATATTTTTTACAGCATATAATTCAATTGCACATCAGCAGTTGCGCTATCTGTATATGCAAATACTCTAAGAAATTTAATATTTTATCAAAAGCCACAACTCCAAAAATGAAATCTAATGACTTGTTTCTATGGTAACCACTATCGAAATATGTCTAGCCAGTGTGTGTCTTCCCATAATTTTTCTCTAAGAGTTTCAGGGAGTTCATTAAATTTGCTTTCCCAACATAGATAGATGATCGATCGATCGATAAGAGAGAACAGATACATTTTTCCCCCTAATGGGGTTATGAGACTATTATAAAATTCTCTTTAGCTTCGTATAGAGTATGACTTCATTCTTAGACATGAATGTATTTGGCTAAGGGACAAGCCTATTGTTTTATAAATTTAGTTTAAACCAGTAATAAAGCCAGGTTAGTAATAATTTCTAAAACGAGATTAATCTTGCTTCATAAATATTTTCTGGTATTTATATATGGAACTGTTGGATTGCACACACATTGATTTCTAGAATGACCCATGTCCTTTTAAAATTGAAATTCATTTGCTGTTCCTTTGAGACCTTGTTAGATTTCTTTATTGCTCGTCCACCGTTGTCTTTGTTATCTACCAGGGCGTTGAGTGTCTGTCCACCTTGATGGAGTTCTGACCTGGATTTGATCAACATCCCCTTGTGGCCTTTCTTCCTTGTCAGAGGTTGTGTGCTGCAAATACAATGAAAGTCACAACTTATTTATTTAGAGATCTTGACATTTCCCAGCAGGTTCATTCAGAAAAGCTGACTACAGTGTTTCCAGAGGTACAGAAGAGATTCCATTGCATTTTACATTTAAGAGAAAGTAAACTATTGGTTTGGTAAATTTTTCACCAGTCTCAAGGCCTGTCATGTCACAAAACAAACAGATGTGGTCAGATATTCTAGTGATATAAGTGTGCATTCACCGTGAGTATTAACATTATGGCAGGGTTCATGGAATTCTCTGGTTACATTCAAAGGGAAACATTTTGTAAAGTAAAGTGGCAGGAAATAGATACTGAGGAAATAAAACTACACTGGGTCTGACAACCTGGAACTTTCATTTAGCCTACAAAGTTGACAGACAGGCTAGGATGTCTCTGAACCTGTTAGATATGGTTGGTCATAATAACATTTAATTGTTTGTTGAGGAGGGATGACTATTTAACTTAAGGGCCCTTCCTCTGTACTTTCAAGCTCTCCCAGATTTCTAAAACAAGAGCACTGGGCTGGGCGCAGTGGCTCACGCCTGTAATCCCAGCACTTTGGGAGGCCGAGGTGGATGGATCGTGAGGTCAGGAGATCGAGACCATCCTGGCTAACACAGTGAAACCCCATCTCTACTAAAAATACGAAAAATTAGCCGGGCGTGGTGGCAGGCGCCTGTAGTCCCAGCTACTTGGGAGGCTGAGGCAGGAGAATCGCTTGAACCTGGGAGGTGGAGGTTGCAGTGAGCTGAGATTGCGCCACTGCACTCCAGCCTGGGCGACAGAGAGAGACTCTCTCAAAAAAAAAATAAGAACATTGGCCTTCCTGAGTCCTGGAGAATGGGTTTGTACAATTTCACAGTGGAATCATGGACATAGTATAAGTGCATGTAGTTTTCAATTTTAATTTGTAGTCTCAGTTCTTTCAAGAAGTAGCTGAACAGTGACAGGCACAGTTTTCTATACAGTGAGCTAAAGTAAGATAGCTTCATGGAATCAGGTGGTTTCATATCCTGAAATCCCAGAGACTCTCTTTTTTGCTCCCTCATCTATTGCCCTGTGTTCAGGCTTTACCATTTCTCTTCTGGACAAACACAGGAAACTCTTTACCTGCCTCCTGCTTTGCACATATGGCCAGCCCCTTGGTTCATCTTCCATACTGCCAACCAAATGTTCTTTCTAAAGGCAAAACTAAACATCATGGCATGACTTTGCTTAAAATCTTCCGAAGACTTCTCTTCCTTTGCAAGGTGTCTAAATCCCAGAATGTCTCAGACCTATGTATCTTTCCAGTCTACTCTTTCTGTGCCCTGGGTAAACTGTTCGCTTCCCAAGTGCTTTGTGCTAATTGTGTGAACTCTTTCTGGGTCCCACCATGCAGGCCTGAGGTCCCTCATGGCTCAGGTTTGTCTCTGGCCTAGCATACTGTTTCTAATCGTTAGTTGACGTGCCTTCCTCACTAAACTCTAAAAAGCATTTTGAGCACTGTTTATTGCTTGCTTTTGCTTAACAAATACTGAGCCCAGCACCTGGCACCTAGGTGGTGCTCAATAAATGTTTCTTATATGATTGAATAAATGAATGAAGGAATGAGTTAGTGATATCACACAGGAAGCAGTGGTGAAGGAGACACTGCATTTAGTTAGTAAAACAGGCTTGAGCTGCAATTAACAGATTTCAGCAAGAGTGAGGCTGGTTGGTTGCTGGGTGGCCCCCATAAGGGCATAGCCCTGGTGAATAGCCACAGGACCAAAATCAGTTTTATTAGTTCTTTTTGAGAGATGTGACTTGCAAGAATTGACTTATAGTTAAATTTATGAGAGATTAATTCATAATTGATATGCTCATGTATTCTTGACAATGAAAAGAGGAAGGCCAGGCAGCACAACTGACATGGGTCATTTGCTCAGGCCACATCCTGCTGGTCAGTAAGTTCATTCAGGAGGCCCAATATTAGAACTTACTAAATTCTGAGTAAATGCATCCTTTCTAATTGTCTCTAAGGGATTGTCCATCAAGCTGGATTACCCAGAAGAAGGATTATTTTCTTTTCCTATTTAAAAATGTTTTTAAATTTAAAAAAATTTTTTAGAGACAGGGTCTCACTATATCGCCCAGGCTCAAACTCCTTGGCTGAAAGGATCCTCTTTGCCTCCACCTCCCAGGTAGCTGGGAACTACAGGCTTGTGCCACAATCCCTGGCTTTTTTAGTTGAAGGGCATTTCTCTATAGATCACTGACTTTTACAACATCCTTAACAGTAATCAAAACAGTTCTACCTTTGTAATAATAATGGCTAATTCTTGAATGTTTACTGTGTTGGGCACTGTTCTAAATGCTTTATCTACTTTGACATAATCTTCACAACCCTGTGATGTAATTACTATTATTAGCTCTGTTTTTACAGACTGGGAAACCGAGAGCAAAGATGTTAAGTGATTTATCTCTGTTCTAAGGGGTGCTGGAATTTGAACCCATGCAGATGGACTCAATACCTTTGCTTTTAACCACACACTAATCTTCCTTTCTATGAATGCAACCAGCATTTCTTGTGTTTGCTTTGTGTGACTTCGTTTAATGCTCCTAGCAACTTCTGCAAATTAGGTGTTAAATCTCTTTTGCTTGCAGCCGAAAAAAGGTCTTGGTTTTTTGGTTACAAGCAACGGACTAAAGCAAAAAAGATTTTACCATGTCTTATACCTGAGCTATCTTTAGGTCAGGTTGCTGACTATGATGATGGGTGCCCCAGTTGGTATGGGGAGGGGCAACTTTTCACAAAGGAAGGGGAGCCAATGATGGAGAAACAAAATCACATGAAGAAATGGAAGTTTAAATGACTTGCCCAAGGTCACCCAGCTAGTGAGTGCCAAAGGTGGGATTTGGCCCTAGGCTGCCTCTAGCACCATCTGGGTTCACTCTGATTTGAGTGGACCCTTTGCAAACTGTACATCCTGCTGCTGCTGTTCTTTCATCAGCAGGTTATGCTATCATAACCATAACATGTATCATTTTCTTTATTCCATTCTGGTTCTAAGAATACACTGTGACCACCTTCTTTGAACCTGGCTGTTTCCCAAATGTAGTGCACATTGTTTTATTTAATTCTAAACTATCTTTTAGGATAGTTGTATAAACAGTTTAGTTCATCTAAAATTTTAACTAAAATTTGTACTGCTTTCCACTTCTGAAAGTGACCTTTTTTTCTGACCTGGCTGCAAATTCTGGAGAAGGCTTGACTGAAGCTCTGTGAGCAGACCAGAGCTTTTTCAGGCTAAGGTTTATACAAAACATTGACCTTCATGGAAATTCTGGTTCTTGATCACTTGGGTAAGCAAGTAAGTTCATGGGAATGCCCATCTATTCACTGTCAACTCACAGCCCTACTGTACAGGTCCTTGCTGGGGAGCATGCTCTCTGGAAAGTGGCTTATACTTTGCACTTCTGAATCTGTTTGTGAGGAAATGACAGTATTTTTCCGCACTTGCACCACCGACTGAAGCGCTGATCCTTGATGTGTTTAGTTTTTACCTGTGCTCATCTCTACATCAAAAACAGAGGAAGCCACAGGAAATTGCTGCCTGTATTTCCAGGAAACTTAACTACATCATCGGCTCCCCAATCCGCACAGCCCAGAAGACCCTGATGCTGGCCTCAGTGTTGCTGATGTGGGTGGTGATAAGGGGCCGAGAGTGTTCTCATCCTGTGGCTCTGCCAGTGAAAGCCTAGAAGAGATGAAGCACTCTTCAGACTAACAGGAAAACCCTGAGTCTGGTTCTATAAGCACTTAGTCTCTGAACATGCCGACAGTGAGGGTGAAGTGAGGGATAATTCTATCCCAAGGCTAGTGGTCCTCTTTCTTTCTGCTCAGGTGTGCTATCTTGTCCCTGGTCCATAGGGCCGTGGCTGGCATTCTCTCTGATCGCAGAAAATTGAAATGATCCTGGGAAAATTGTCACATGAGCCTGTGGATGGGGTCAGGAGAGATAAAGACCATAGGATTTACACTGGCCACCAGCAGTTCCTCAAAGAATTATAATAACATAATTGTAATACCAATCGCTGATATTTATTGAGCATTGACTTTGGTGTGCCAGGCATTTTGTCGAGGACCCTATGAGCATTAATGTAATCCTCACATAAACCCCAAAAGGGACTCTTTATTATTCCCAATTGTCAGGCGAGGTACCTGAGACTCATAGAGTTTGATACCTTGTCCAGGGTCATATAGCCATTAAAGGATGCAAAACTTGAACCTAAATCTGTGTCATTCTAAGCCAGCACTATACATAGTCAAGTAGGTTTTACTGGAGGGTGGAGTGGGGCTGGCAGCCTGTGTGCACAGGCAGACGGAAGCAGACAAGATCCATCCAAGGCAGGCTGAAGACTTATACCCAGAGAAGGCTTTGGTGTACATCTGCCAAAGTGATATTCTCATGTAGAAGAAAGGATTGGGTGATAGTCCAATAAATACTTTACCACAGGGAACTTATGTGTCTTCTGGGGTCTGGCCAAAGTCATGAGTGCAAGCTCCCAAATAAAAAAAAGGTGGCTTCTCACCTCCTCATGATCCCAGCTTCCTAGCATAGCACTCTTCTCTATTTTAGCTTATCAATTCCAAATGTGATTGAAACAAGTATGAGAAATTGATGTTGCTTCAGCTTCTCTGTGAACTGAAACAAATTCTTGTTGAAACATGATATCTCCTGCCTCATGGATCAAAGAGGGATGGTCTGGAAGAGAAGCCCCCATAAATATTTGAGGCTTAATGAAGGCTATCTGTTGAATAATACACCTGTATTATTGTAAAAAGTTTTAATTTGGCCTCAGAGATACTCCCCACTAAAGCAGACAACAAAAAAGTGAGAAAATGAGGCTAGGAATTAATAAAAGATGTCAAGAAAGACCATTTAAGGACTTCTTAGAGACAGGCCATAAATGTGGTTTTGAACTTTTTGGCAGCTATTATGAAGACGGAAAGAGAAGTGTCATGGGAATCAATTTTCAAAACTTAAAAGTTCTCTTAAAATTCTAGCAGAAAAATAGTTTGCAGCTCTACACAGGTATTGGCTAGCATTAGTTTAAAGTGGTTGACATGCAGCCCTACTGCACACCTCTTTATATTCCCTTTGTGTTTAGGATTAGAAAAACTCACATAGTATGATCTATCATATGTCTACTTCTGGATTATTTCAAGATTGATAATCTGGTTTGTGTATTATCTTGGTCTTCATTTCTCTTTCCTTCTGGGCCTGTTGTTCATCTACTGGACATTTCTTTTCTTATTAACATTTCTGCTAAATTTTAAACAGAGAAAAGAAAAATAAATACACAATTCCAGCTATTTGCAGAGGTGATTTCAATGCTTTGTCAGCTAAAGGGAATTTCAAGAGAGATCTTTCTACATCAGTCTACTCATAATAGAACTCCTGGCTATCTTGGGTTGAGCCTGCCTGCAGGTGTGCTTAACCTGGGCCACAGATTAAGGCAGGTAAGGGAGAAACACCTGCAGAGGTAGGTTTTGACCCCATTATACCTAAGATGAAGGTCACTCCTTGTGAATTGATATAGAATGTGAAAAGGGTAGAAACTGCTGATTAAAACAAAGTGTTTTGATTATCTGGATTTCAGTAATAAGTGTTTTCCTCTCTTCCAGTTATAAAGAGTTGAAAACCTTGCAAGGCACTCTTGTATAATTGTGTCCTTAAAAGGTTTAGATAACGGTTGGGCTTCTCTCTCTCTCTCTCTCTCTCTCTCTCTGTCTCTCTCTCTCAGACCAAATATATCATGTCTATTGAAAGTCTGAAGATCAGTACATTTCCTCCTGTTTGGAAAATAATAATGCCTAGGTTTCACTAGAATTCTTTTTATCTCCAAGGCTCTCTTAAATATTGACTAATTAAATAAAAACTAAGGAAGTCTAGCTAAATAGCCTCACTTTGAGGACCAGCCCAGTGGACTTAGAATACACAGTGATTTGCTGTATCTCTGAAACAAGCAACTAGAAATCTTTTATTATTGGCTATAATAGCAAGTGGCATCTCTTATTATGTTTGGCAGCTGACATTTCAAATTGCATTTTGGTTGGTTGTTATACATGAAATAGTAGGATATGAGTAGACTAAAAATGAGAATTTGCAGCCCAGGGATGACATGAAATATCTAACATCTAGGGGTTGCCATGACAACTCATCAGAAAGTTGCTTTGTAATCTTTTGGATTAGGCTCTGGCCCAGGGTCACTGGATTGGAGTTGGAGAACGCTTTGGTAACAGGATGTGAATGTTGTACCTTTACTCAATGGCATTTGAATTTGCAGTTTGGTCATGTTGCTAAGGTCAAGTAGAAATGACATTGAGGGAATTTTTAAATTCCCGCAGAACCTAGACAAGGTCACATTTGTCAGCAAAAATACTCAGATGGAATAGTCTGAGACTTAGCAACTGAAAGACAGGATTTCCTGTCCTTGATAGATAAAAAGTATGCACATATCCATTTATATATGCCTATCTCTAAACAGTTGTATGTAATGAAAATTTGGGAAATTAAACCCTTTTCATAATTGTCTTCTGTTATAAAATTGGAACTGAACACCCCTAAGAAAACAGTTTGGCCACAAACAAACCACAGCTGCTTTCTAGTGCTCTGTGTCCTCCCTTTCAGCTGGAAATGGCCTGCAGGGTGTGGAATTTGGACCAGGGAAGGGAATTCGGCAGAGAGAGGAAGGAAGCAATTGGGAAACAGGGTACCACATTCCTCATCCCCCACATTGGCCTTGACCACAAGGACAGCATCTTCCACATGATAATGCACCTCTCAGGCATGCTTCTCACCAGGGATGATCAATGGAAGCAACCTGGAAACTAAAGAGCTCTGTTCCTAAGTCTGATCCCAGTTCTGCCACTCACACTGTGATCTTGAGCAAAACACATTTCAACTCTGGGTTCCCCTAGGAAATGAGGGGGCTGAGTTTCCTCTGGCTGTCAAGTTCTGCTATTTATCATCATGTGGGGGCAGAGCCAGGTCTCCACATCGCTTTTCTTTGCCATTAAGCCCACATTCCCATCATAACTTTGCAGTAGAAGTACCGTTCATTGTTAGTGGGACCTCTTAATAATTAAAAGAAAGAGAAAAAATGATTTATTCTTATCCCCATACCTTTTAAAGTTGTGGTTTTCTGAAGCAAAGGCTGCCATGCAGTGAGGAAAGGATGAAATTCCAGACAGAAGACAGTCAGTTGCAATAAGTTGTCCTACGACCAGTACTGTCAGCATCAGCTCAGCTTATATTTACTGAGTATTTTCTATATGGAGACAGTGCTAAGCCCTTTATATGCATCAAACTGTTTAATCCTTAGGACATATTCACATGTACACATGTATAGGTATGATGCATGTGATTAAAATTGAACATTTGCTATGTACCAGGTGTTATGCCAAATCCGTACAATAATCCACTGAGATCAATAAATGGATTCAGTCAGTCAAGCCTCACAACAAAGGAGGTGTTATCAGTTATCTCCGTTTTTACAAATAAGGAAACTGAGCCATAGCTAGTAACTAGTGGAGCAGGGATTTGAACCCACGTAGTATGGCCTCAGCATCCTTTCTCAAAACCTCTCTGCCTGTGGTTCTCCTCACTCATATGACATAACCACACCTGGGGAACTTTAGAAATATAAGGATCTTGGGGCCCCATTCTGGATCAGTCAGAATGTCGGGGATTGCGTCCCAGACCCAGGTTTGCTAATATGCAGCCAGGGCTGGGAACCACTGCCTCAGATGGAATACCAGGGTTATGTTGTTGGAGAGTTGCCTGTAGCTCTACAGCCAGCAGATGACTGACCTAGGACTTGCATCCAGGCTGTAGGCTCTCAAGCCAAATATCTCGACGGCACAATGGGCAACAATTCAGTTGTTATCTGGGCTCATATCTACCACCATGCCTAGTTTCTCTCTCCTAGTCTAAATCGCAAAGCCGCAAGTTCATTTAGGGCTGTTTAAAGACTGTATGCTACACCAATTATGAGAATCAGAGCACAAACTTCTTGTTGCAGCCAAAGCAGTGATTTCCTACTTAAAAGTTTCAGAGGTAACCTTTGCTTTTACCTGTCACCAACTTAAATGTAAGTTATCGTGCTTTTTCCTCATTGAGCAAAATCTTGTACTGACAGAGTCTAGGACAGTGGTTCTAAAACTCTGATGCACATTAGAATCTCCTGGGGATCTTTAAGAGCTACAGATGGCCTGGCTTCCACCCCAGACATTTTTTTTTTCTTTTTTTTTTTGAGACAAAGTCTCGCTGTGTAGCCCAGGTTGGAGTGCAGTGGCATGATCTCTGCTCGCCGCAACCTCCGCCTCCCAAGTTCAAGCAATTCTCTGGCCTCAGCCTCCAGAGTAGCTGGGATTACAGGCGCTGGCCACTGCACCCGGCTAATTTTTTGTATTTTTAGTATAGACGGGGTTTCACCATGTTGGCCAGGCTGGTCTTGAACTCCCGACCTCAGGTCATCCGCCTGCCTCGGCCTCCCAAAGTGCTAGGATTACAGGCGTGAGCCACCGCCCAGCCTCTGATTTTATTAGTATGGGATGTGACCTCGGCAATGGGAGTTTGTAAAGCTCTCCAGGTGATTCTGATGTGTAGCAGAGTTTGAACAGTGGTTTAAGAACTTGGTCTGTGAGTTCACAGATGTGTTGACTTGAGAAGACTGTGGAATCACCTCATGGATAGAACTCACTTTTTAACTCTCTGACAGTGTCTCTTGCGTTTCAGCTGGCAGGATTAATTTGAGTTTAATTCCACCCATTTCACTACCTGACTTGGAATTGTACCTCACTGTCAAATGATGGTTTCTCCCCAAAGGTTGTTCTTATACTTAGGCTCATGCAGTGATATTGGCGACATGTCTGTAAGATCCCTTTGTAAAGTTCTCAGCCTCATTTGACTCTCTTATTTCCACTATAGAATATTTCTTTTTATGTTGTTTTACCTTTTAAAACTGTTTTTTCTTGAGACAGTGTCTTGCTGTCACCCAGGCTGGAGTGCAGTGGTGCCATCTCGGCTCACTGCCCCCTCCACCTCCTGGGTTCAAGCAATTCTCCTGCCTCAGCCTCCAGAATAGCTTGGTGTGCCACCAAGCCTGGCTAATTTTTGTAATTTTAGTAGAGACAAAGTTTCTTTTCACTGTGCTGCCCAGGCTGGTCTTGAACTCCTGGTCTCAAGCAATCCGCCTGCCTTGACCTCCCAAAAAGTGCTGGGATTACAGGCGTGAGCCACCACGCCCAACCTAAAAACATTTTTATGATTTTAATACATGTTGCTTTTTTTCTTCCAGGAGCAAAATAAACACCTCTTCCACATAATGCATTATAGTAATAATCCACCTATGGTTCTTTTCCCAAAATGGCTGACCATCAGCCTCACTATTGGGAGACAGCAGCTGATGTGCCTGTAGTGTTTAACGGCTGATAGCGTCTTACAGATAGATAGTGATATGGTGGAAAGTTGGAGATTATGTAAAGAAGAATTGACTCAGACTTTATCCTCAGAGATTTTAGTAAAGTCAGATTAATGTAATCAACTGGAAAATATAGATGGATTATAAAAGTATATTAAAGCAGAAGTGTAAATTTGTTGGCAAGTTTGCAAATGTACTGGATTAATCTAGAAATCATTTTTGCAGTAAGTCTTAAATAGATTTTTAAACAGAGATGTTATTTTGTGGATAAAAAGAGACAGGTAATTTACAAGTGGAACAATTCTTGATAAAGGCTGGGGATGGCAAATGGAGTGTTGCAGGCCACTAGGCCAGCTAGCTAGGCTGGTATGAAAAGTATAAACTGGGTGTAGCAGTTAATGAGGAAGGATTGCTGAGGTGGATAGAGCTAGCTATTGCATGAGATTTAATACCAAGAATACTTTGGAAGAGCTTTTTTTTTTTTAAAGGGATATATCAGGAGTTTCTGTTTTCCTTTATGTGGTTGTTGAAGTCTAGTTGATTTCTAGTCTGTAATTTTGTTGATATTTCAGATCACCAAACAAGGCTGGTAAGATGGGTTAGTTATGCTTCTCTTGAGGATAAAGCTTTTGAAATTAACTCTGCTTCTTTAGGTTTAAGAATTTCTAATTCTGTCTGTCTACATCTTGCTGCTGTAATCTCCAAGAAAAGAAAAAGGGGTTAGGATGCCTCTCTTTTGAAATGGAGGGGTCAGAGCAGGCAGGGGGCTGTCACTGTTGTTTCTCTTTGTTCAGAAATTAGAACATGTGAGCAAGTGGTTCCACCCCTCATTTTGTGAGCTGTTTTCCTCTGATATTTCCTAATTTTTCCCATGACGTTTTAGCCTGTTTCTTCACAAGATTGTAAGGCCTGAAAGACCCCATTGTTTGACAGGAGTGCAGGCTTGTGCACATTTGCTGATCTGGCTGCCCGGGGTCTGAGTGTGGGTGGTATACCGCCCGAGGGATCATGCAGACGGGAGAATGCGTGGAGCAGACTCCTGGTAGTTGCAAACACTTTATGTGTATTAAGAGTTCATAGAATGTCTTTTTGTAGACAGAAGATGCTGCACTTTGAAAATGTTATTCACAAACTGAAATCTCATTGACAGAAGTAGGGATATTCCATTAGGCTAAGAAAAGTTTCTTAATGGCAAATCAAATGGATGAAGGCCTTATTCAAACTTCATTTCATCTTCAGATAGATTCAAACTTTTATTCTTGCAGTTCACGCACATTCCTTGATGGCCTGTCTTGGATTTATGTGAGCCTTTGGAGCAGCAATCTCACATACTATGCATGGCAAATCCTAGTCAATGCATACTTTTTGAGAGTGCAAGATGTTAATTGTAGTAAGAGAAGAGAAATTCAATAACAAATGTTTTTGAATAAAGGAAGCTGAAATTTAATACTAATGGTGTTTTCTCTAAATGAAGTTAATATATTATTGTTGTATTAACTTTTCAGGAGTTTGAGGCTGCAATGAGCTGTGATTGCACCATTGCCCTCCAGCCTGGATGACAGAGTGAGACCCTGCCTCTTAAAAAAAAAAAATTCTAAGGACTTGGGCTCTGTGTTTGATTGACAGTAATAGACCAATAGAAGACATTGCATTTATATAGACTTATAAAATAGCATTCACATTTCCAATCAGATTTACAGAATTCTCCCTTATTTTTAAATGTTCTCAGTGGTAACAGTGACGTTGGGACTAGAGTCAGTATTGTGAGTCGTTTATGCACATCTCTTCACAACTCCATGTTCAGTGAGTCATACTGGCAGCTTGAAATCAGCCATGGTGGGAGAGTTTACACCATGGAAATCAAACACTACAAATTGGTGCTCCTCACCCTCAGAGTCTGTTTTTAAACATTTAGCAGCATACCACTGCCCAAAATGGAGTTGAGCAGTCAGGGAGTCTCCTCTTGAGGCAAGTCATGCAGTGCTTCCACTCAACCAAACAGCCAACATGAACATTTTGAAATGTAGGCTGTGTGGCTCCTGAAGAAAAGTCCTTCATAGCTCCACATTTTTCTGAGCCAAAGCCTTGCTGTGATCATAAAGCTATTCATGCTGTGGCCACCACCGTCCGTCCTCCTGGCTCTCACCTCCAGATGCCTGGTTTCACCCCTTTTTCTGTAGAACATCCTAGACCCACTCCTATTTTAGGGCCTTTTCTGTAGGGCAGTGGTTCTCAAACTTTACAGCACATCAGAATCACCTGGAGAGTCTGCAAAAACAGACCACTGGGTGCCTCTCTAGCATTTCTGAGCTAGTGACAAGTTTCAGGGTAATGCTGGTGGCCTTAGGACCCCGCTTGGAGAACCACTGCTTGAACTGATGGCCTCTTGGTTTACCTCTCCCCTCCAGATCTCTGATCCTCTTTTTCTTTCTCTCAGTAAGGCACACCCTGACTATCCTATGTAAAATTGCAGCCTTTCTCCTCCACCACAGTTCTAATTCCTGACTCCAATTTTTATTTATTTAAGTTCCAGGATACACGTGCAGGATGTGCAGGTTTGTTACATAGGTAAATGTGTGGCATGGTGGTTTGCTGCACCTATCAACCTATCACCTAGGTATTAAGTCCCAAATGCATTAGCTATTTATCCTGATGCTCTCCCTCCCCACCCCCCTCTAACAGGCTCCAGTATGCGTTGTTCCCTTCCCTGTGTCCATGCGTTCTCATTGTTCAGCTCCCACGTATAAGTGTGAACATGTGGTGTTTGCCTGACTCCCAATTTTTTTCAGTGCACCTGTCACCTGTTACCTTACAACAAGTTTCTTATTTGTGATTATCGTCTGTCTCTCCCCACTAACTCTAAATTTCACAAAGATAGGGAATTTTGTCTGTATTTTTTTAAAAAACAGGGTATCACTCCAATTATCCAGACTGGAGTGCAGTGGCATGATCACAGCTCACTGCAGCCTCGAACTCCCGGGCCTGGGCTTGGGTGATTCTCCCCCATCAGCCTCCCGAGTAGCTGGGACTACAGGCATGCACCACCATGCCCAGCTAATTTTTTGTATTTTAGTAGAGAGTTTTGCCATGTTGCCCAAGCTGGTCTTGAACTCCTGGGCTCAAGTGACCCACCCGCCTCGGCCTCAGAAAGTGCTGGGATTACAGGTGTGAGCCAGCATGCCCAACCTTGTTTGTTGTTGTTGTTGTTGTTGTTGTTGTTGTTATGATGTATTTCAAGCCTCTAGAACAGTGCCTCGTGGCAGGTGCTCAGTAAATTGTTGAATGAATTAATGGATGAACAACATTGAGATATGAATAATGTATTTCAAATTTTGGTCCCAGCCTTTTAAATTCTAACTCACCAGAGAATCTGAAAACACTTTCTGCAGTTTTGTTTCTCAGCTTCACTGCTCTTAGGATAATGAGGAATGGTTTCTGCCCTGGGCTGAAGTTTGGGAATGACTTGATGAGCCTTAAAATAGCAGGTGCACCAAATTGTTGTTCTTCCATTTACATTTTAACCTCAAAGTCCCTAAGCCAGTGATCTTCAAACTCTGGTCTGCAGAAGTTCCCTGGAGATACTTCAGAGGCTCTGCAAACATCTAATTTGCATTTCATTTTAATATATTTTAAACTATGTTTTATAACTATAATAAAAGAAAATGCACACAAATGTGCTACCTACCAAATTTTAACACATTAGGACCACCAGCACATTGAATTGGACTGCCAAGTCAACCTTGAAATAGTGTTTTCCACTATTTTGGCTTACATATTTGAACTTCTTATAAATAAATGAATCATTGATTAGGAACTTCCATCCCAGTATTTTTCATATTCCAGCCTGATCATAAATTGAACAGGCAAATTCCTCTTGTCACACATATTCAGCACACTTGATGACATGCCAGGCAGCGTTTCAGAGCCTCTGTGGGATGGAGGCTTCTGTGTGGATTAATGGCTAGTTGTACAATAAGTGAACACCACACACATCACTTAGTGATGTACATTCTGTTAGAGGATCATGTCTACCCACTCTACATTTTGGATACTCTTTTACCTTAAATAGTTGTCAAATTATCATTAGTGATTAAAATTTGAAATAAAATCTTGACTGCTGCATTTTCTCCAAGCTTTTAGATTAGTTTTGAGGCATATTATGAGATTATCAAATGAAATGCTAAAGAACTGTTATAATTTCCAATACAACTGTGCCTTACAATTCAAATCTGCTCATTTCCAGAATTCAGGTGCCAAAATTTCCCATTGTAAATTCCAGTGCAAAGGAATTTGAACTTGTTATGTTCATGTCAGCTTCGTTTCTCAGTTTCAGATAGTAAGTAGTAAGAGTAGCAAATAGCGAGAGATTTGTCTGAAAATTTGAGTTTTGAGAGCAGAGATTCAGATAGTGTTATCTGTATTTAGGAGTATCAGGATTCTCTTAATACAGTGAGTGCAACCAAATACAGACACAGAAGTAAATCATATTCTGGATCACTTTTAAAAATCAATTGAGGCTGAGCCTGGTGGCTCATACCTGTAATCCCAGCATTTTGGGAGCTCAGGGCAGGTGGATTGCTTGAGTCCATGTTTTCAAGACCATCCTGGGCAACATGGCAAAACCCTATCTCTACTTAAAAAAACAAAAAAAAAATTAGCTGGGTGTAGTGGTGTGCACCTGTAGTCCCAGCTACTTGGGAGGCTGAGGTGAGAGAATCACCTGAGCCCAGGAGGTCGAGGCTGCAGTGAGCTGAGATCACGCCACTGCACTCCAGCCTGGGCAACTGCAGTGAGGCCCTGTCTCAAAAAAGTCAGCTGATAGAAGCCTTACTATCTGAAAGCCCCACTCCATCTCACAAGTGCCATTGAATACATTATATGAAACAGTTCTAAGTTATACATTATGGAACATTTTGTAGGCCTCTTTGCATATCTGTTTATTAATTTACTTAATGCTCTGTTGTAATTTGTTTTGTCTCCTACACTGTATTTGAGCTCTTTGAAAGTAAGAATTATGTCGTAGCTTTGCTTCCCCAGTGCCCAGCGTTGCCTAACATGTGGTGGGTACTCAGCACATGTTTATTAAGTGTTGGAAGTAAATGCTCGGTGCCACCAAGTGAAAATAGCACCCAGGCAAAAGTTTTCTCAGCAAGGCAATTTGCTTCTATAGAAGGGTGCGTCTCATGGATGGAGCAATGGCGAGAGCACACTGGACAAGGAAGGGGAAGTGGGTCTTATCCTTAACGCAGCTAGTCCCTACTGCTGTGTCTTTCCCCTATTGGCTAGGGTTGGACCACACAGTCTAAGCTAATTCCGATTGGCTGTTTTAAAGAGAGCAGGGGTGCGCGCCAGAGTGGCGGGTTGAGTAGTTTCGGCAGGAAGGACTGTTTGAGAGCAGGTGACAGAGGATGACTAAGGACAGTGCAGGTGACTAAGGATGACTAAGGACAGAGCAGTTGACTAAGGACAGAGCAGGTGACTAAGGATGACTAAGAGCAGATGATAGAGGCTAAGAGGGGGTTGTTTACTGAAACTAGGGGCAAGGAGACATAAAGAACGAGGAAGTTTTAAACTTTAAAATGGAGAACAAAGAACAGGAGAGCTGAACATGCTGAACGTACCATATTGGTTCTTTGAAGAGGAATTTACTATATCCTACATAAGTGACACTGCATTCTACTGCAGAAGGAAGCAAGCTCAAAAGGAACAATGAAACTTCATATTAAATACACAATCAGTGAGCTTTCATTCTAAGCACAAATTTCAGCATGAAAAAAATGTAATGGTTCTGTGAGTCCTTCACTTGATCCCTCACATACAGTCTTCTAAAGTTTTCTGAATTCCTTTTACAAGTATCTTCTGACTCTGACTCTTCCATGCCATCCTACTTGCTCTGAGCCTTGTTCTTCTCTGTGTCCCTTGCATGGACTGTGGAAGCCACCTCAGAAGCCTTCTCCCAGACCCAATGTTTCTGCTTCTTCACATTGTTGCCATTGTCTCATGAAATAAAACCAAGCATATCCTTTGGTCTGCACTGCCTGCAAAATAAGGGCTAAACCTGTGCTTTCCAAATATAATAGTCACTAGCCACAGGTGGCTGTTGAGCTCTTAAAATGTGGCTTGTCCAAATTGAGATGTGCCGTAAGTGTAGAATCCACACCCTGTTTCAAAGACTCAGTATGAACAAAATTTGTAAAATAGCACATTAATACTTTTTATATTGATAGCATGTTAAAATAATACTTTTTTCTATAATATTAAGTAAATTTCTCTCTTTTTATTTGTTTAATGTGGTTATTAAAAAGTTTTAAATTACAGGTTTAGTTCACCTTGTGTTTCTGTTGGCCAGCACTGGTCTAAGCTATATCATGACATTTAGAGTTTCTTATAACCTGGACTCAGTTACCTCTTTGGCCTCATCTCCCAGCCCTTCCTGTCCCTTGCAGAATTTCTCATAACCCCCAGACTCACCAACCCTGTTTATACTTACGGGTTTTAATTTTTTTCACATTCAGTTTCTTCTTTCTGAAATGTCCCTCCTTTTTTAGGTGTCAAAAATCCTGCTCACACTTTTAGGACCTGACTTAATTGTCCCTTGCTGGTGATGTCACGCCCTATTTCCTCAAGCAGAATTAGCCACTCCTTCCCATATAGTGTCTCTCAGCACCTCCATTATTGCATTTGTCTTGCTGTTCTGCCATTAGGTGTCGTCTTAAGTAGACTCCTCAAGGGAAAGGCTGCAACTTATTTCTCTGATGACCACAGGGCAGTACCTCGTGTGTAGTAAGCACTTAATGGATGTTTATTACATTAACTTATGAACTAATTTTCATCCTGCTATACACACTGCTATTTTTATATACATCAGACCTTGATCATCTTAACCATTGGCCATGGAAAAAATTAGATGCTGAGGTGTATAGGACTGGACCTTTCAGCCTTAACCTCAATTTCAGGTTTTGTGTTCAATAAAATGGCCTCCTTTTTCTCACTGGGTGGCTTATGATTAAAAAATTATAACTTTGAACTTAAAAAATCCATGAATATTGTACAGACTAAAAGTATAAAAGGACAGTATAAATTACTGCTTTTTACCTATCTTGCTTATAGGGATTTCATATAAGATTTTGTTTGATTGAAGATTTCACTTCAGAACAAGTTTGGAAAGCTACTGTTCTATTCCTAAATTTCATTTACATTTCTATACCAAAGGTTTCATTTTTATTTTGATGAGATGGTTTCTACTATCATGTTAGTTCACATAAGGCAACACTTCTCAACTTTAGTTGCACAAAATTGGGAAGCTTTTCAAAAATACCTCCCCACTCAGGGATCCTTGTATAATTGAGCTGGAGGAAAGGGGCCCAGGCACCAGTATTTATGAAAAGCACAAATACCTGTAATAAAATGATTCTGCAGTGCTTAGAAAACCAGGTAGTTAACTATGAAAATACTGAAGTTTTAAATTGCTAATTTTTCTTTCTTTTTATTAACTATGCTGTTATTGTTTTTCTTGGCAGTCAAGCTAATGCAATTTAAAGTTTGTATTATGGTTTTGAGACCTCAAACAGCATTTAATAGACGCCATCATCTGTGGACAATTTTCCTAAGGCTTCTGAAATTAAAAATTTCCTTTTCTGTCACTCTCTAAAAACCTACATGCAGCAGAATTTTAATGTCCCTTATTGATAGAAATAGCTAACACAACACCTATTTCAGATCATGGAAATGAGGACTGACAAGGGCTGTGGGTTTAAGAAGTTTACATAGGTAGTGGCCTTCCTGGCACCCTTGTTAGCCTGAATAAACAGTCCTCCCCTGACAAATCCTCTGTAGCTCTGCCACATTGATAAAATCTGACATTCTGGTTAGTCACTTTTTAATGATATTCTTTCTTTTGTTCTTGATATGTTAGAAACCAGCCCTTATTTTTTTCAGTGTGTGGGAAAGAATTAACTTTAATTTCCTAATTCGGTAAAATGGGCTGCTAATGCAGACCTTATTCTTAGGGGGACAGGAAGAAAAGTGACCTAATTTCTATATATCAAATACATCTTCCTTCATACATTTAAAAATGTATAGAGTTATAAAGGACCTTAAATCCTGTAGCGGAGAAACTCTGGGGTAAATACTTTGGAAACATTGTGAAAAAATTCTATAAATTCTGATAGTAGGTTCCATTTCATTGCTGTGTACTATTAAAAAGTGCAGATGTAAATAAGCATAAGTTTTGCAGGTTGTCAATTTGTTACAAGCGGCTGCATGTTCTTATTCTTCTGAAGTGTCATCTCTTTCAATGTGGGCTGTTTAGGCGGAAAAAAAAAAACTCAGAAAAATACACACTTGGGATCAAACCCTTAGTGCAGAAAAAAGAATCAAAACCTGTAGTTAAGTTGGTTATTTGCAGTGGTGGTATGTCATCCTGTGTGAGACTGACGTCAGGCAGATTGAATGCAGAGGCAAACTTCGGGAGCGTGTGTGTGTGTGTGTGTGTGTGTGTGTGTATGTGTTTTAAAGCCCCACTCCCAGAATATGAAGTGAGTATGAAGGGCACCACAGCAACCCCTGGATCTCTCAAGAATGTACCTGTTTTTAACATGCTGGATCAAGTGTCAGCACTCAGTAGATGAGGAAGGGGTAGAGCCCGACTTGTACAGATTCCGCGGATGGTAAATGGCCCTCTGGCGTGTTTACAATACAGCTGTGCATTCTTAATGGCTCTGCCGCTGCCATGTCAGGTAAAGTTTTCTTTGTACGTGATGAATGGCAGAGAATTCTTTAGCAGAAGGAACCAAAGGAGCTGGGAGGAGGAAAGGGGAAGAGAAGAGCGGAAAAGAGAGAGAAAAAGAAACACACAGCTCCAGAGGGACATAGCCTGTGCTTTGCAGTTGCTTGTGTGGATAGAAACCAGATGGTAAGCTGGAACACCCGCTTGGCTATCTGAGGAGCCAAACATATGGTTAATGGTCGGGAGAAATAGCTTTCAGAGCCAGGGCTTTGCTGACTGCCTCATATTACAGATTGTTACAGTGTGTCATTACATTGCCAACCTAAGTGCTTAATACCCACTGCAGGCGCTGGGCATACACTTACAAGAAAGACTTTTAGCTCTTTGCTGGCTCTAAACAGAGAAGTGACATCATAGGGAGGCTGAAAATGTCTGGTGTTGGAGGTGGGGAGAAGGATAATTTTGTAGTGGAAACAACAATTTTTTTTCTTTTTTTTACAAGCCTTCACTCCACTGAAGTCTACTGTTTTCTGAGAACCTTTTAATACTAGACTGGTTCTCTCACTCTCTCAATCTCTCTTGCGTGCACTCTCACTCTCTGTGTCACACACACACACACACACACACACACACACACACACGGAAAGGAAACCGAAATTCACAGCCCAGGCCATGTCCCCCAACTCCAGTGGATTTGACAGGCCTCGTTCACCTGGAAGCCACATCACTGACTCAGAGGCCCTGCATTTGAAGTTTCTGTTTGGGGAGCTTTGGGCAACAGCAGGCCTGTGTTATCTAAGGAACTGCTGAGCCCATTCATCTGCTTTTCACGGCCCGTTTCCTTTTATTTTTAGCCAAATCCGTCAGGCCTGACAGGCGGGTAATTCGAGCCAGAGAAAGGGCAGAGCTCCAGGTCCTTTCCACAAAGCAATTCTTCTCCTCCCTCCTGGGAGGGCTCCAGACTTGGCCTGCTTCAGGCAGATGGATTTGTTGAGTCATGTGAGATCATTTACACAAAAACACAGTGAGGCAGTGGAAATTAAAAAAAAAAAAAAGAAAGAAAAGAAAAAGAGGAGGGTGGGGGAAGAGGAAAGAGGGGAAGCCAGGGGAATGTGCGCTGCCCTGCTGCTGAGGAGCATAGGAATTTTGCAGTGAGGCAGCTAGACTGAGGAATGCCTAGAGTCATTTGTGTATAAGGTAATGTCTAGTTTACAGAGTGGGGCGGGCCAGGCGAGGACGGCGCCTCCAGCAGCTTGCCTCTGTTTAAAAGAAGAAGGTGTTGGGAAACTTTAAAAAAATTTTTAGAGCAACACCCACCAAACAAAGACCACACTGTTGACAGCGTTGGGTTCCAGTAGCGGTAAACTACCAAGGGGCTGGTTTACAGAAAATGAGTTTGCTCTGTGATGTCATACAAGTTTGCTTTGTCCTGACGCCAACATGACACTGAGGCAGCAGAGGAGGGAGAACAGGAAAATTGGAACCGTACTCTTAGTTAATGGTTTCCAGAGATTATTTAGCAGGACTTGAACAGAGGGAGGAAAATATTGTGAAGGATTGCTGCGAGGTGTACCATAATTGCGGTAGGTAAAACAAAGTCATTACTATGGTTTTCTTGCTCAAGAAGGATTGAGCAATGACTTCAAAATGCCAAGTAAGGTATTATTTTTCCCTACCACAGTATTTATTTTCCTTTAGCTTCTGGGGCATTAAAAAAAAAGACCAACTCTCACATCATGGCAAACAGTATTAATGTTAGTGAATCAATTTTGTTTACTGTTTATACCACAAGCCTTTAAAACATTCCATTAAAAAATTGTCTCCCGCTCATTCATGAAATTCTTTTTTTCCTTCAAATTTGCTTACATGCATTAGCTTTGTTTGGATAGGGACTTTTTCCCTTTTTGGCTGGAGTAAAAGAATGCATAAAAGAATAGTGAGTAGATTATCTAAATGTACATTCTTACAACAAATGTAATGAAAATATGCCGCGTGGATGAGAGGGAATATTTGAAAACAGAAAGAAAAACAGAAATGGGGAGCATTTCAAAATAGTCACCCTGATTATCTTTGTTATGATGCATTTCTTCAATTCTGCATTTATTTAGAACCCTATTGTGCAGCTATTTCTTTTAGCCACCCTAGATAGAATGTAGGTCAACATCAACATTGTTCCTCATATTTTGTTGGTATTTTAAAAGTTGAAACATTTTGCAGTTTTTTCCAGAGCTAGATATTCTTAGGTTATTTAGACGGTTTTAGTGACCATAGAACTTCACGTATAAACTCCTTCTGTTAATAGCTACCACTGAATTTTGATAGTAGACACTCAGATCACACCTTGACCTGGAGTAAACAAGGCACTGATGATATTGATGATAACATAGTCCAACACTGAAGCTGTTCCACTTCTTCCAGGCAACTCTGATGGTCTTACTCTGTGTAAGTTACAGCTTTTACTTCGCTCAAGGAGAGAACTGGTAAATTTTTATGGTTGTTAATTGTTTACATTTTGGGGACCCCAAGTTGCATGGTGCCACATTATTATAATGTGATTATGAGTTGGCATGATTTTAAGTCTACCCATATCCTTGAATGTTCCCTCCCCGTCAGGATTTCCCAATCTCAGCACTATTGACATTTTGGACCAGTAATACTTTATTATGGGGTGTGTCCTGTACGTGGTAGGATCTTCAGTAGCATCATTGGTCTCACCCACTAGATGCCAGTAGCACCCTCCCCCGGGTCATGACAACCAAAAATGTCTACAGCATTGCCAGATGTCCCCTGGGAGACAAAACCACTCTGGTTCAGAACTTCTGCTCCACATTTCTTACTCTGGTTTAGAAGCTCACGCTTTACGTCATGAGCTGGCTGCTCAGTTACTTCTAAGATTGAATTAAAGGATATGAAATAATGTTTTAAGTTGGAATTCCAAGTTAAGTAAAGTTTTTGAAGGTGCAGGCAAGAGTACTTTTGAGTATGGTTATGCAGAACAACCTCTCTCTTGGAATTGCGACCTTAGCAGGTGGATCCCCTCAGGACTCCCTTACAGTGAGTTTCCCAGTGCTGTTTAAGAGGAAATGACCCCACCGTCTGAGCCGAGGGAAGTCGACATTAGCAGAAAGGGAACTTCCCCTCAGTCACCTGAGCAGACAGCCTAGGCCCCAGGCTCGCTGCCTGTATATCCAGCCCCAGAAAGAGGGCAAGGCAGCAGCCACAGTTCTTTCTTGGGAGCACAGCTGACCTCCTCCCCATTCCAGCGGCTGTGGTCTCAGAAGCTGAAACTCTCGTTAATAAGGAATGTGGAGCTTTCCACAGCTAAGGCAAGCATAAATTTCCTCTGTTTGTTTTGTGAGGACTAGTGTCAACTGCTGTAATGAGATCAGAGAGGACCCCAGGGTCAGCTGCTGGAACTGCTTTCTGTGGCTGTTCTCTTGGCTGCTTGCTGTCGGAGAACGCAGTGACTCCCTGCAGACCTCCCTGATGTGTTAAGGTGGTTGTGCCCTTGTTGCATTTCTTGCTGTCTTTGCTTCTCTCATTCTACTAAAACATCAGTGTGCAGTCATCCAGTTCTAAATTATGGAAAAGTTAATGGAAGGCAGATTCCTTTCCACAGAACTGAGGGCAGACTTGGGTGTGGAAAATGCAGCCTTGGGAAGGAAGGTGACCTGTTTCCTTGGGGTAACTGCCTGGACCTGCTGCTTCTGGCTAAGGGTAGGTTTCTCAAGGCCTGGGCTACCCGTAAGCACTTTCTACCCCCAATGGCACTCTGTAATGAGGATGAGTTAGTGAAAGAGTCACAGCAATTAGCTTAGGCTACAAAGAACATAATTCTAGTTGTAGCCTAAATGACAGCTAGAATTGGCTACATATGGAACCTAAATATGGCAGAATTGCATTTAGGGAACCCAATTCTGGCAGAATGGTATACTGAGCTCATGCAGCCTGGCCTACTTCTGACCACCCACCCCAAAAAGTCCTAAGCCTGGCCTACTTCTGACCACCCACCCCAAAAAGTCCTAAGGTATTATATTGGTTAAATATTTTCAAGTACATACGAGCTTTAAAGCAGGACAGGGAAATTCTTAGGTGCCAGAAGACATTGATGCCACTGGCCTTAGAGTGTTTCAGACCCAGCTGTAGGCTCTAGGCTCTAGGGGCTATGGTGTCTATACTCACACAGGAATTGCTTGTGAAAGGGGGGCAAGAAGATTTTCCCCAGTCTGTTTGGGGCTTTAAGTCTGTGTGTTGGGGCACAGACCAGGGGGATGGAAACCCAGGGTTACACTGTTTGAATAGCTCTGGGGTTCATAGTTACACTACTACCTGCATGGTATAACTTCAACTGTTTTGGCAGAAACTGGTTTGAGAGCATTGAACGCCCTCAGGCCATAGTGGAGGCAAACACTAGATCCCTGTGGAGAGGCTTAACAACCTGGGACATGGTACTCCCTCAAAAAGAATAAGCTGCACTAAGGAGATGCTGATAATAAGTACAGAATATGGCCAGATACAGTGGCTCATGCCTGTAATCCCAGCAATTTGGGAGGCCAACACAGGAGGATCACTTGAGCCCAGGAGTTTGAAACCAGCCTATGCAACATAGCAAAACCCTGTCTCTACAAAAAATTATCTGGGCATGGGTGGTGCACACCTGTAGTCCCAGCTACTTGGGAAGCTGAGGTGGGAGAATCACTTGAGCCTGGGAGGTTGAGGCTTCAGTGAGCCAAGATGGCACCACTCCACTCCAGCCTGGGCGACAGAGTGAGACCCTGTCTCAGAAAAAAAAAAAAAAAAAAAAAAAAAAGGAACAGAATCTAAGCCCCAGAAAAGCAGAGGTTAACAGTGAACCTTCAGGCCAACTAGAGTTTTCTTCTGCAGATTAATGAAAGTTTCTTCTCAAGAGGAACAAGGCATATAACCCATTCTGGCTTGCTAAGCAGTTTCAGTTGTAAGCACTAGCCCCAATTAAGGTAACATCCTACTTATAGCTTGTCCCCAAGATCTTCTTGAGAATATTTTAGTTCCTTAATTAGAAACTTTTTATTGGAGAGATAGCTGGCCCCCTTAACGCTTCTTTAACAGTGCTCCCATTGCAGTGGATCACTCTGAAGTAACCCATCAGGCTGTCTGTTATTTCAGTTTCTCACCAAATCATAGGAAATATGTTTGCCTGAATTGTACAGCAACCCCCTCCCCCCGCCCCGCCAAGGGAGAGGGAAGTTGAAATTATTTGGAGGGGTCTGGGATTCTTTCAGCATAAAATCAAAGAAACCCAGGTAAATAAGACATGGTTAGTAAACATTTGTTCTAGATGAATATAATTCAGCCTTCTCAATCCAAAGTGAACAAATGGATCAAGAGTTGCCTGGAATAGCCACTGTGTACTCCCTTTGCAGTGACGTGCACTATTGGCAAACATGAGTTGAGAATGCTAAACTTAATGCATGATTCCTTAATTTATTAATAGGACAATGAAATCTCTTTTGTTTAGTTTTTTTTCTTCTAAAGTGCGCAAAAAGCTGTCACCAGTAGTACCCAAATAGTGCCTTGCTGACCTAAAAGTGTGCCATGCTTCTTAAGAAAAAACTTCAGTATTTATTCTTAATTTGGACTTCTATAAAGTTTAATTTCAAAATATTCTGACCAAGCGAGAAGTAGATATGAATATTGACATTAAAGCATCAGAAGAGGAGAGAATGAAAGGAAATAGGTTCAACTGGTGCCAGACTTACAGGAGATCTTCCCAAACATTATAATTAAATTTGGCATATATTGAGTGCCTACTGTATGTATGTAAGGCAGCGGGATAGGTGCTGGGTATTTGGGTACTAGTACAAAATAGACAAGATCTCTTCTTGTGAAATGCTCAAAACAATCCTCAAAAGAATCTCCAGAGATATAAAGAATTTCCCCCAGCTTTAGGGATAAAGGAACAGAGACTGAGAGAGAGCCAGTAACTTGCCAAAAATCACATTCCGAGAGGTGGAGTTGATATTCAGACTGACTTGGCCCCTATCTCTCTTTGCCTACTCTTCTCCCTGGCTTTCTGTGGGCAGTGAAGCCCTAGCAGTACAACCCAGAGGGGCCAAGAGGCAGGTAGAGAGTTTTCTCTCCCGGAGGTTTACAGGAACAAAGAATCCCCTGACTGACATGGAAGGTGTGCAGTAGAAGAGGCAAACTAGCCAACCAGACCCAACTCCTACAAAATTTCCAAAGTATTAGCATGAGTTTCCAACATTAAAACAGCAAATTATTTTACACAGTCTCTCAACTCCGTTTCTTGAGTATCAGAAGCTCTTGGCACATGGGGCTTGTTCCTGCTTTGCTGGGGCTAGAGCTGAGTAGCAGACTCCCCGGATGCCCCATTCCTCACTGTCTTCCCAGACCTGACCTTTCACTCATCTCATTCTTTCTTGACCCTTGCAGTCATCTGAATTTGTGACCCCTGGTTTAAATAGTCACTTAGGCAAGGGAAGTGGGCCAGGCCAAGTAACCTCTTGGGGGCTCCTCTGTGTTGTGCCTTTAAATTGAGATAGTCCTAAATCACTGGAGACTGCGATTTACATTTTACAGTGATAGCCCTGAATCTAAAGATTAGATATCCTGACTTATCATTTGACCAAGTGCAAGAACCCCCTAGCCTGTGTGCCAGAAGTGGGTGTATGAAAGTGATGGACCCTCTACCACTTGTCACTCTTGGCCCTTCCTGGCCTCTGTTTCTCCCCATCTGGCTCTCAGACTATTTGTGTGCGTGTGTTACCAACAATGTGTCTCTCTTTTATAATTTATAATCCTCTTGTTTCCTCCTCTTTATTACCATTTCCTATTGAACCATAACTCATATATTAGTTAAAATTTCAGAACATTCATTTTCAAATTACCTAACCTATCCTTGGGGAGGAAGGCTGTTGTTGATGCTTGATGGGAAGATGCTCTTGTTGTTCTGGCTTAGAATGTCTGTTTTCCATGGTATGCTGTGAAGGCAGCGCACAGGGGAGCAAAGCAGAATGGCAAACGTCTGGTCTCTTGGGGCAGAACCATGTTATAGTGTGTTTGCTGCCTCCATGTGGGGTGGCGAGGACACTGAAGTCATGGAGAACCACAGCCACACATCTGCTGTAACTTTGAGGATGGAGAGGGACCTGCAGGAATCTCCTTGGCAAGCTCCACTCTGTTCCTCTTGCCTCTTCTTTAGGAAGCAGGGAATGAGCCAGCCACTTGGAAAGAAGGTGTGTATGCATTGGGGGAAGGGGGCAGGAGTCTAGTTTCTTTGCCTTTGGATCCTTCAATCCCAGCACCATGCCCCCTATGGTAGAAGGGAGGGATTAGCTTTCTGTAATAAAATGACCTTATATTTTTTCAGTTGAAAGTCTCCAGTTGAAGATTGTCCAGACTTAACTTCAAAGCCATGTGAATTACTCCACCCCTTAAAATAGAGTAGAGGAAATTTGGGATATTGCTCTCACCTGTCCATCTGATTTCCCAAGTTTCTAAGTCCTAGATGCAAGAGCATTTTTTTCTAGACTTCAGAGCCGGTTCACCTTGTATTACTTCACTTACTCCTTCTCCAAAAGCTCTTGGGCCTGGCATAGGCCCTCATGCCCCAGCCCTCTGCCTAAGCTGCTGGGCGTGGTGGTGGGAAGGGTAGGAACAAGAGTCCATCCCACAGACTGGCCTCATGGTACGTTATGTCTAAAAGCTAGTGAGACCTTTAACACTGCGAAGAGTGACCTGCTTGCTCTTGTTGGCCTATCTATCTCCCACAGGAGTGCCTGAGCTACCCAGCTTTGACATATATTACTGAAGGCTTCTAGAATGGACATCATAGAAGGGGGTGGGAGTTGGAGTGGGGAGAAAAGCCCAACTCACCATATTCCATTCAGTATTTGGCAGTATTAGTTGCATTTTCAAGGGTCAGGAGAGCACACACACACACACACACACACACACACACACACACACACACAGCCCTTGACACTTTTAAGCTTCTCTTTAAAGAGCATAGGATTAAAGGTGGCTTATGTTATTCTCAGCATACCTCTATACCACATTAACAGTGATCCAGGTAAAATAGGCTTCTCTCCATGGTAGATGGAGGTTGATGGTAAATAAATAGTGGTGAATCAGGTACGCCTGGTGTTTTCTCCAACTCCCATTTGCTGACACCCAAGACATCAGAGTATAACCCTCAGAGAAGCCATAGGATGTGGAATTGTCACCAGGAGCCCAAATCTCTGGGTCTCTTCCATAGCGAGGACCTGGCTGGTGAGGGGCACTTGGCCATGTTACCAAACCTATCTCTGAGTGTCTTTGTTTGCTTGCCGCCCTTTGTTTTTCTCCATTCTTTATATCTTTCATCTTTTCTTGTCATTTCTCTCTTCTTCTTAGACTTACTTTGTCTCTGCCTTTTTTTTTTTTTTTTTTTTTTTGAGATGGAGTCTCCCTCTGTCACCCAGGCTACAGTGCCTCTGCCTCCTGGTTCAGGCTATTCTCCTGCCTCAGCCTCCTGAGTAGCTGGGATTACAGGCCTGCCCCACCATGCCCAGCTAATTTTTGTATTTTTAGTAGAGATGAGGTTTTTCCATGTTGGCCAGGCTGGTACTCCTGACTTCAAGTGGTCCACCCGTCTCAGCCTCACAAAGTGCTGGGATTCTGTAATTCTGGACCACCTTTCTTCTTACCCATGCTTCTATCCACCTGGAAAGACAAATTATGTTTCATTAACCTTTTAGAAGTCTAAGATTGACCATTGAACCAACTGTTAGGATCAGCTGAGTGGAAGTCACACGGGCTTATGGGATTAACTTTCTCAAGGCACCCTTTAAAGACGTCTGTAGTTTTCCTTTTGTTCAGTACTAGAGGAATCCAACTTCTTAAAACAATAAAAAGAAACATTGAATAATAAACTAAAAAAGAAAACATTCTTGATTCCACCATGGTAACTCAGGTATCTTTTTCCCTAATGCTTTATATTTAAGATGCAGTCTCCTTTTTTAAGCTGTAGATTTTGCTAAGCTTCTTCATAAACTGAATTGGCTGCAAAACAACCAGGTTCCCTCGATTTCAAAGGAGATGGAAAGTACTTGATAGAACAAGGCCAGTCTTTTTGGTTGCTGTCCAGAAGTGAACTGACCCAGTTTCTAAAATTGTCATCTGTTCTCTGAGGCGTTTTCTGTTAAATGGTGGTCTTGGTGTGTGCATGTGCGTGTGTGTGTGTGTGTGTGTGTGTGTGTGTGTGTGTGTTGTTTTGGGGTGTGTGTTGTGTTTATTTTTTATTTCTGGTCTTTCACATGCTTTATTTCCATAGCGTCTTGAAATGAAGTCACTTCTAGTCCAGGGTCTATTGCTTATTATAGCAAGAACCAGGAAAAATTCTTTTACCTCTCTGTGTCTGGTTTCCAAATTAGGAAAACTACCACCCAGATTGGTATTAGTATTAAATGAGAGTATTAATATATAAAAGTGCATTGTACAGTTTGGGGTACTATACAGTTGTATGACATTCTTAATATTTTTTAAAAGATTTACAACCCTGGCATTAAGAGGTTTTCCTTTTTAAAAGAACTCCAAAGGCAGCTGCAACAATTATTAACATTGTTTTTAAGACCCCACACTTAAGAGTCTGTATCATCCTAGGCCCTGTGAGTGACAGCAAAGAAAAAACTATCGTAATATTTATTTTAAAACGTTCTGTGTGTCTGATGTTTCCCTCAAAGGGTTTTTAGCCTGTTTCGGTTGTAAAACAACATACATGAAAATGACATAAGAACAGTTGGGGCGGGGGCAGGAAGGGATCCGTAATCAGTTTAGTGCAAGCTATTTATCCAAGTTCTGAGAGTACGGGGATTGTGGCATGATTGGAGCTGGGTGGGGTTCCTCAGGGAAATGATGTTCAAGAATCCTTGTCTGTTATTATCTTCTTGTGCCCACATTTCCTGTGTTGATACCAATGTGTACATAGAAATTGAATTGTGACATGAGGCATCTCTGCTAGGCATTTGGGCAAGCTTTCCAGTTAAGTGCTAGGCTGTAGTTTTTACATGGATGGATACATACATTGAAAAGGAAACAGCATGTATAAAGTTCTACTTTAAAACTAAGAAATTTATTAGCACATGCTTCTGGAAATTGAAAGAGTAAAAGTTACATGCATTATTTTTTTCAGTCACTTTAAGATCAATTACAATTAGATATTGAATTTTCTTGACTTTGAAGCCATGATTACCCAGGCATCATGTACATGTGGAGATGTTTGGATGTATTCGTACTACAAAGTTGGAATTCCAAGATCTGTGTTGTACATTATTGTTAAAATATGCTATTGCTATGACTGAATGTGGTATTTTCTTTTTTATTATACTTTAAGTTCTGGGATACATGTGCACAACATTCAGGTTTATTACATAGGTATACATGTGCCACGTTGGTTTGCTGCACCCATCAACTCATCATTTACGTAAGGTATTTCTCCTAATGCTATCCCTCCCCCAGCCCCCCACCCCCCGACAGGCCCTGGTGTATGATGTTCCCCTCCCTGTGTCCATATGTTCTCATTGTTCAACTCCC
Source organism: Homo sapiens (assembly GCF_000001405.40). Taxonomy (NCBI): domain Eukaryota; kingdom Metazoa; phylum Chordata; class Mammalia; order Primates; family Hominidae; genus Homo; species Homo sapiens. Next base: position 90,208,989 of record NC_000006.12, on the reverse strand, counting down.
ACTTATGAGTAAGAACATGCGGTGTTTAGTTTTCCCTTCTTGTGTTACTTTGCTGAGAATGATGGTTTCCAGTTTCCTCCATATCCCTGCAAAGGACATGAACTCATCCTTTTTTATGGCTGCATAGCATTCCATGGTATATATGTGCCACATTTTATTTATCCAGTCTATCATTGATGGGCATTTGGGTTGGTTCTAAGACTTTGCTATTGTGAACAGTGCTGCAATAAACATATATCTGCATGTGTTTTTATGGTAGAATGATTTATAATCCTTTGGGTATATACCCAGTAATGGGATTGCTGAGTCAAATGGTATTTCTAGTTCTAGATCCTTGAGGAATCACCACGCTGTCTTCCACAATGGTTGAACTAATTTACACTCCCACCAACAGTGTAGAAGTGTTCCTGTTTCTCCACATCCTCTCCAGCATCTGTTGTTTCCTGACTTTTTAATGATCACCATTCTAACTGGTGTGAGGTGGTATCTCATTGTGGTTTTGATTTGCATTTCTCTAATGACCAGTGATGATGAGCATTTTTTCATAAGTTTGTTGGCTGCATTAATGTCTTCTTTTGAGAAGTGTCTGTCTATATCCTTTGCCCACTTTTTGATGGGGTTGTTTTTTTTCTTGTAAATTTGTTTAAGTTCTTTGTAGATTCTGGGTATTAGCCCTTTGTCAGATGGGTAGATTGCAAAAACTTTCTCCCATCTGTAGGTTGCCTGTTCACTCTGCTGATAGTTTCTTTTGCTGTGCAGAAGCTCTTTAGTTTAATTAGATCCCATTTGTCAATTTTGGCTTTTGTTGCCATTGCTTTTGGTATTTTAGTCCTGAAGTCCTTGCCCATGCCTATGTCCTGAATGGTATTGCCTAGGTTTTCTTCTAGGGTTTTTATGGTTTTAGATCTTACATTTAAGTCTTTAATCCGCATGTGGTATTTTTTTTGGAATCTGTATTTCAAATAGCCAAGGAGTGATTTGCAATTTCCTCTCTCTATCATCTGATTTATAAAAGGAACGTAGTAATATTATGTTCATAGAATAGTAATGTGCATGGAGTAGGAGTTTATCTTTGAAAATGTAAATTGCAAAATCATTTTCTTAGCAGTGAAAGATGTTAATATGGGGAATACAGCTTTGGAATTCTCCATGTCCTGGACTTAGTTAGCAGACATGTTATTCTCCAGTGTAGACAAAGGCTGATTACTAAGAACTAAAGATGGTTATGGTGGGCTTGTGGGGTTATAAGTACCTTTTTCTTTTCCTGTTGAACATTTTCTATAGTCTTAATATATTATAATTAAAAATAGTATATTTTTCATTTTTAAAAGCACTGCAGTTCCAGTTAAACCTCCGATTCCATGTATTATGGGAAGGTGCAGATATATAAATCCCTCCTAGATGCAACTTAAAAAAATAACACACAAATTGAGTATCAGGAACCTTACAATATTTTGCTCTCCTCTCAGTTCCACCTGTAAACACCTTTCAGAGGAAAAGGCTACAAGTCCATTTAAGTAATTGAAGTCATTTTTAAAATATTTTCCCCTAATATTTGACAAATTAACCTTGAAACTGGCCAGGTATGGTGGCTCATAATCCCAGCATGTTGGAAGGCTAAGGCAGGAGGATCACTTGAGCTTAGGAGTTTGAGACCAGCTTGGGCAACATGGCAAAACCCTATCTCTTCAAAAAATACAAAAATTAGCTGGACATAGTGGTGCACGCCTGTAGCCCCAGCTGCTTGGGAGGCTGAGGTGGGAGGATCACTGTAGCCGAGAAGGTTGAGGCTGCAGTGAGCCGTGGTCATGCCACTGCACTCAAACCTGGGCAACAGAATGAGACTCTATGCCAAAAAAACAAAAACAAAAACAAAAAAGACAAAGAAGAACCCTGAAACTGTACAATGACCCTTTTACTCTAAAATGTAATTCATATGAATCAAAAAACGCCATGTAAAGAATAAATAGCATGAATGAAAACATGGTGGGGGGAATTGGACTGTTTGGGGGGAATTGGACTGTTTAGTTCATTTGGCCCATGGAAGACTGACCTCCTGAATTCCCTTATGGTACACTGCCTTTCTAGGAAATCTGTGAAAGTTCTAGCTGTTGAGTCCTGGCAGCCCCCGTTTGCACTAGCTGCTTTTCAAGTGCTCAATAATAGCCACATCTGACTAGTGGCTACCATGTTGGACAGTGCAGACTTGGATCATTGCCATCATGACAGCAAGTGCCACTGGACATGGCAGTGCTCTATGCCTTCCTGGGCACCAGCTGATGGATTTCTTCTTTGTTTATATTCACAGTGCAGCTGTCTGCTTCAGAAAGTGAGGGCTCCAGGAATGAGGAGAATCTTCAAGAACTTCCTCGCACTGTGACATGTCTGATCCCTTGCTCCCATCCCTGCAGCATGAACAAGGTAAGAGGTACTTTGAGGAATCAGCACTTGTATTTCCTTTACGGTACCATGATTTTCTGGAGTACATATGTCTTTCCATGATGTGAAGAGGTTGCTTCTCCTGCCAGAAGCATTTCAGAGTTGGAGAGTCGTGTGATCCCCCACAAGCAGGGTCACAGGTGCTGGTGGCTACTCTGGCTGCGTAGTCCTCTGGAGGTGTCATTTATACTTGCCAGGGGCCTCTGAGTGGCTGAAATACTGGGTTTTAGTGTAACTGCCTTGGCATGAATATTGGAATATTGAGACTCTGGGGCTAGATTTCCTGGGACTAAATATCACTTTTTTGGGATGCTAGTGTCAGTGACCCTAGACAAGTGGCCTGACTTCTTGGTTCCCCAATTTCCCCATCTGTAAAATGCTGATAATAATGATACCTACCTGATAGGATTATTGCAAGGATGAAATGAGTTACTGCGTATACCAGTGCTTAATATGGTACCTGTCCACATTACAAGCACTTGATACATATTTACTGCTGTTGTTTTTAATGTTGGGGACACTGTTATCCCTTAGACATAGTTCCAAGAGAGTGTAAGGTGCATCTTTTCCATTTTGATTTATTCCCTGATTAAATTGGTGAGTGGTGATTTATTACCAGATGGGCCCTATGGGAATAAACGAAGAATACAACTTGAGATGCCTTTAGCGTGTGCAGACTATCTTGGGTCAACATAGTGAGTATGTTCTAGCAAGGTGTGTACCAGAAGCTTTGGAGGCACAGAAAAAGGAACATCCAACTCTGGGGAATCTGGGAAAGACAGTGTAGAGGAGGTGACATTTGAGTAGGATCCTAGATGGGAAATGGTAATTTCCTGGACAGGGAAGGTGGGGCAAGGCATTCCAGGTAAAGGAATGTGTTTAGGCACAAAAGCATATGAGAAAGCCTGGTGTGCTCAGAGAACAGCAAAGAGTTTGGTATGGCTGGAGCAGGGATTCTCAGCCTTGACACTTGGTATTTGGACCAGGTAATTCTTTGCAGTGAGAGACTGTCTTCTGAATTTTAGGATTTTTTGTAGCATCCCCTTCCCTTCACTCTAATTGTGACAACCAAAAATGTCCCCAGATTATTGCCCAATGTCCCATACGGGGACAGAATTACCCCTTGGTTGGAAACTGCTGCACAAGTGGAAGGTGGTCAAATATAAGCCCAGAGAAGGAGGCAAGGGCCAGATCCTATGAGCCACTGAAGGATTTAAAACAGGGGAGAGTTGTTTCCGGAGCCTACAAAAACAGGTGTGTTATTGTGGGCCTGTTGTATGGATTGTGGTAGAGTTGGACAGCCCTGTTCGATGGTTTGGTTGTGAAAAGAGCATATGGAATCTCTAGACTTTAGAAAGCCCATTTCCCTGTTGAAATTCTTCTACTAAAGGACCCTCTTCCAGTGGTGACTTTTCTCATGGTCATTTACTCAGCCTTCTCATGGGCACGAAGGGCCCTGGGCAGCTTCAGGGGTGGGAGAAAGCTGGAAAAGCCCTCTGTGCACTTACCCTCTTTCCCTAGATGCAAGTTTTATGGGAGACTCTGGCCGCTTTATCCTATCTGAAGAGACCAGCAAAAAAACAAGCAATTGTTTTTGAGGAGTTTTTGTTTGGCTGAGCTGAGCCAAAGAGAAAGAAACCAGTGCTGAGTTTTCCCGCTTCAACCCCACCCCAGCTTAAACACTTGGCGTTAAGCCTCCTTTGAGAAGTTAGCTGCTAGAATACTGGAAAGTAGGCAGGTGTTCTGCCCCAGGGTCATGACTGGAGGTGGGGATGAGGGGAGATCCATGGCTGCAAACCTTTTTTGGCTCCTAGTATTTGGAGTTTGGTGTATTGAAAAGCTAAGGCAACTCGGGAAATCTGTTATCAGCAAATGCAGTTTGCTGTGACAGCTCCGCCCTAAGTTTCTCCAGGGCAACCCAACATCTAATGTCATGGATTCACTCTCCACACACAGCTGGGAACCAGACTCCTCGGAAATGTCAAGTCTCAGTAGGTGTGTCTGTTGCTTGGGATATTATGTTCTGCCTGAGTGGCTCAGTACGTTCTTTATTTTATATTGTTTTAATTGAAAGTAGTGATTAAGCATGATGTGTCACCTTCATAGGTCAGCATTTTTCTTATGGCTTTCTTGGCATAAGACAAAGAATAGGTCACTCTCTGGGGAGGAAACAGCTCTTCTCAGCATGAATAAAACCAGAGAATCTCCTCCTCAATTATGGTGTTAGTTGGAGTGCTAGAAATATTGTTGTGGGTGTGACTGACGTTCTAAGTGGATTTGTTCCTAGAAAGTTGGAGACATTCGAATTGTGCACTCTCCTCTTCCTCAGACACACACTGTAATGCTCTCCTTTCTTCCTAAATCCCAGCTCACTGACGGGGCACTTCAGTTAGGGAGGTGTTCGGATGGAGGGTGGCCCTGGCGTTCTAGGGTCCTTGTTATTCCTTTGAAGTGCCAGGGCGATGCTGATTGCAGTTAGACATTGACAGCTCTCTTTTGAATCCATTAGAGACCATCCCTCTAGAAAACACAGAATCCCCCAAATCCCGTGCCACAAAAGGATTAGCAGTTGGCCGCACTAATTTAACAGGACTACCCTGATACCTCATGAGTTGCTGTCCATCAGGTAGGGCCTTCATTCCTCACATTCTTGAACTCCTATCTGTGCCAGGGTCTGAGGAAACACCAGAAAGGGGTGTACTTTGGGACTTTGGATAGCTCGCATGTTGGTGTATCAGTGCCAGCTAAAAAGAGAAGCAGAGGGCATTCCTGCGCATAAGGCCCATCAAGAATCTGCTGTCATCCCTGAGGCCAGTCTACAGGGAATATGTTAGTGTACGTGGAATATGATAACAAACTCATGGGTTTACACAGAGTAGACAGCCTCATATTTATTTATTCACCTTTTAAATATTGTAAACAGGCATTAATGGTTGTAAATTCTGACAACCATTGTAAATTCTTACATGTTAAAGAAATTGTGGGGCACATATTTTCCCAGGGTGTGCATTCTCCCAAACCCTCATGCAGACTTGACCATCTTTCCAGTGTTCATACATTCTTCGCAGCTTTTTGCAAGAGCTGACTTTCCAATCTTTATGTTGATCAAAAACTTCATAATTAGAATTTAACTCTTTTTTTTTTTTTTTTTTTTTTTTTGGAGAGAGAGAGAGAGGGTCTTGCTCTGTCACCCAGGCTGGAGTGCTCAACCTCCTGGACTCAAGCAATCCTCCCACCTCAGCCTCCTGAGTAGCTGGGACTACAGGTGTGTGCCACCATACCTGGCTAATTTTTGTATTTTTTGTAGAGATGGGGTTTCGCCATGTTACCCAGGCTGGTCTGGAACCCCTGGACTCAAGCAATCCTCCCATCTCAACCTCCCAAAATGCTGGGATTACAGGTGTGAACCACCTCACCTGGCCAAAATTTAACTTTTAAATTCTGTCAAAAGTATTTCTACTACTTTCTTGGTTATTTTCTTGCTAATATGTGTAAATATATATTACATATAGTATATTTGCCAGTAAGAAAAACCAACATTTCTGGTTTATCTGTGTTACTGCTGCATTATCATGCTATAGAGAAAGGATTTCAGTGTGTCACTTAAAAGCCATAGCCAAATGGGAAGCCAATTGAACAGGATTCTGTAGAGGCAAATTGTGCAGGATGGTGTACGTTCAGTGCATACTGACCACTGTGTACATTCACAGAAAACACACTAGCAAGAAAAGTGTTGTTCTTCTCTTGAAAGATCTTTCCTTCTTAGTAGCAACTTTGGGATTATGATCCTTTACTCTTCTCCCTCATGGTCATTGTTTTTTATGAAGGCATGTCACATGCTGTTCTGTGCTTTAAATTTATGAGGACACTCCATCTGATTGAAAAATAATTGATTTTTCCATTATTATACAAAATGACCCTCTCTCTTCCCCCATCATGAAAAAGGATCTTCTTGAGAACTGTTTCTTCCTTGTTATGTTCAGATCAAGCTGGATCTGATTTTTATTGCTTTGGACAAATGCCAAAGCATCCAAATGAAGTAGAGTAGTGCCCCTTGTCTCTTTTAGTGGGTGGATGCCACTGTTTTGCTTAATGATCTGCCCAGCAGAATTTTTTTTTCTCTGAATATTTTCCAGTATTCAGCACCACATCCTACTGTCCCAGGTCTGAGGCAGTTTCACGTTTACACGCAGATCAGTATCTCTACAGTCAACTAAAAAGTAAAACTGAAATTTAGTTTCTACCTTCATTTGGAGTTTTTCTTTCATTGCACCTCCTTCATATGAAGCTGTGAAGTCCAGACTTTATTATCCCTGCCTCTCTCACCCCAAACCTGGCATATACAGAGCTCTAGTTGGTAAAACATCAGCTCCAACACATATTTGTCAAGTGCATACTATATGCCATGCACTGTGCTTGCAAGAAATACATTATGAACGTAGCAAAGGTATTTTCTATCTAAGACAGCTGCTGTTCTGGCAAAGGTAAGAAGAGTCATCACGCCCACTGGTTTAATATTTTAACATAAACCTAATATGAACACTTTTTTCATTTTAAACTTCTTAAAGAGCAAGTTAACAGAGCTACTGGAGGTTGTGTAAGGAATTGGTGAATAATAAACATAAAAGATCTCTCTCCTTTCCAGGACACCCTCAATGGTTTGTTTCACCAAATGTCCAATCTATATTTAATAAGCCTCAACAGTCATTTTTCTGAAGGCATTGGCCAGGTCCTCCTTGTGGCAGACTTTGAAGAGCTATTGCAAGGTCTAAACTTGTGACATGGAAGAAAATACAACTAAAAATTAAATGATCTTAGAATAAAGAAGGCCTTATTAATTTCTAGTGTCAGAAATTATCAAGGAAGAGAATGTACTTAGCTATGTAACACCTCAGAACTTCTTTCAATCAAAAGACATTCTGAACTATTCTGAAAGATAAAAGACAAGCTGGGGCAGTATTTACCCATGTATGAGAAAGAGTTATTAAGAGTTCTTACAAATTAATATAGATTTATAACATAAAGATAATTACACTAATAGAAAATGGGCCAAGAACAGAAAGGTAAGACCAACAAAGAAAGAAATATGATCAACAAAATAGAAGAAAAATGTTCAACCTCAACAGCAATCAAAGAAATGCAAATTAAAATGATGAGATAGTATTTTTCACCTATACAATTGATGAAGATTTGTAACATTTACCCAGTGAAGTTGGGAGTAGGGAACATCAGGCTCTGTCATACACAGTTAATGAAAGAACACCTTTCTTAAGGGGACTTAAATAAGGTGTATCAACGCCTAAAAAATTGACATACCTTTTGTCCCAGAATTTCCATTTCTAGAACATTAACTCAAAGAGAACCGCCATGGATGTGTTCAGAAGTTTAGCTAAAATGTTCATCACAATATTCTTAAAATAGTAATTTTTGAATAACCATAGTACAGCCATATAATAAAAATGCCAAGGAGGGATTGAGGAATACTGAGTGACATAAAAAGATGTTCTAAATAAATTGCGAAGAAGACAAGTTATATAACAGCATGTGCAGTCTAATCATTTCATTTTTTAAAAAAAGGTACAGTATGCACACAGAATAAAGATTGCTTATACACATCAACATATTATGAGCATTATCTTTATTTTGCTTGTATGTTCTAGATTTTCTTAAGCAATGTGCATTTCTTTCATACTAAAAATATTTTTAAATAAAATATACTAATTATCTTTAAAATATGAACTTCATTGCATTTTTAAAATATACATGATAAAAAGACCGGAAGGCTATTGCCCAGAATGTTGACCATGGCCTTCCCAGAGGGTGGAAACATAGGACACCTTTCTTTCTTTTTTAAAAAATACTTTTTGGTATTTTCAGCTTTTCTACAATATTTGTGTATTTCATTAACAACCAGATTAGTAACCAAACATTTAAAAAATAAGTACTATTTTAGCTGTTTTGCATTTGAGGTGCAAATGGATGAAGATATTTAGTGAGCAGATAGAAAACAGAGAGTGGTCAAAACAGAGATTTGGACCTAGGGTCATTCTGCTTGGCATATTACCAGGAAGGATCATTTTAATTTACTAATGGTTTGGGGGCAGTAGTGAGTAGAGAAATGCTCTAGAAAAAGATGCCATCATTTGATTCAGTGCCTCAATTTTTAAAAATTAACAGTACATCCTCTTACTCGGTACTGTGCCATTTCTTCATTTACGTGTTCAAAGACACTGCCGATGTGTACAAGTTTGAACTAGACCAGTGGTTCCCAAACTATGGTTTAGGGACCCTTGGGAGGGGCACCCTTAGACCCTTTCAGGCTGTCTGCCTGCAAGATAAAAGCCATTTTTATAATAATACTAAGATACAATTTACCTGTTTCACCCTTTCTCTCTTGACTATACACAACGGTGTTTAAAGAGACTGTGACATGCAATGACATCACTTCTGGGATGTGTGCCTGTGTCTTCATGTTGCAAAACTTTCTTGGGTTTAACCTCCAGTATGGTAAACACTGATAGAAACAACTCACATAAACAAAAGCTCTTTAGGGTCTGCGATCATTTGTGAGCCTGTAAAAGGGCCGTGAGATGAGTTTGAAAACGACTGAGTTAGACTGTGCCTATGTCTTATATGTGGCAGGCTTTCCTCTAACAAGAATCTGGACCCTCAGTCCTGGTCAGTGAGTGCCCTTGGACATTGTAGCACTTCTATTCTCACTTTCTACATTTTTAAGGAATAATTTCCCTTAGCTCTTCAAAAAACTTCATTTTTATAGAGTTTGTGAAGCCAAAAAGAAACATTGCTGGCACCAGGCCACTGTAGCCCCTCTGTTACGTGTACATTGAGTCCTGTCGAATGTGAGGTGCATGGAAATGTTAAAGGGCAAGTTAGACCTCCAGACTCTGTCTCCACCTGCCTTGTACTGGGAAATTCTGTGAAGTTTCCGGAAGAAAATAGCACTATAACTCCCTTCTGAGAGGTATGGAAGTGCAAATTTAAAATACAACTTACCATGTAATTGAGTAGAGGGTCGATTTGGCATGAAAGAGAGATAAGATAAATTTAAAATAATTAACTGAATATGTTAACGCTCATTTGTCTTTAAAATGCGTGCATGCATATAATGTGTGCGTGTGTGTGTAAATATGTATGAAACATATACATTCCAGAGGATTGCTTCCTAAGTTACGTAGACTTCTCTTTGTACACAGTCATCTTGACTATGGAACTATGGTAATGCTTCTACGTCAGTCCCATCTCTTCTCCTCCTTTCTGTCTAACCAGAAACACATTTCCGTTGTTCTCTCTTTGTGTGCATGGCTCACCACCAAATCTCAGAGCAGTGTGTGGTGAAGCACTGGCTGGTGTCTACTTCTCCAAGAAGCAGTCTGCATTAGCTTGTTCTCACACTGCTAATAAAAGACATACCTGAGACTGGGTAATTTATAAAGAAAAAGAGGTTTAATGGACTCACAGTTACATCGGAGGCCTCACAATCATGATGGAAGGTGAGGAGGAGTGAAGTCAAAGTCACATCTTGCATGGCAGCAGGCAAGAGAGAGCATGTGCAGGGGAACTCCCCTTTATAAAACCATCAGATCTCATGAGACTTATTCACCGTCACAAGAACAGCATGGGAAAGACCCACCCCCATGATTCAGTTAACAATTACCTCCTACCAGGTCCCTCCTATGATATGTGGGAATTATGGGAGCTACAGTTTGAAATTTGGGTGGGGACACAGCCAAACCATATCACAGTCTTCATGTTCCAGGGCTTATGCTGAAAATCTGAACCTTTTTGTACAGAGAGTTTGAGCATCTGATGAATGATTGTGTTGGAGCACCTCAAAGTGAGCTCTAGCCCTGAGACTCTGTGCACCCACTACCGTGTCATATGGATATGGCAATGCCTTGTCTTGAGTGAAAGGGTCATGTGGCCTGACTTAACATCTGATAATGTCAGAAAAGATGAAGGAGAGTCTGAAGAGGTAGGAGGTAAATTAAGTCTTCGGAATAGAAAAGCTGGACTTTGTGTTAAGACCCTATAGGCCCCAGAGAAGAAAGGATCTGTTTTGACATGACTGTAATATAATTTCAAGTCTGAGAGGCCTAGCTGTGAATCATGATAACTTCTTTGAAATATGGCTGCAGCTACTGACCATCTGTCGGGTTCTAACTGAGGTCGGAGGAGAGTCGGTGGATGAGTGGCAGGCAGCTGAAAGACCAGTCAAGGAATCATGGGGGCATTTCAACATGGCTTTATTCTCTGGACACACGGGAGCTGTGGGTGCAAGCAAGCCATGGGCACAAGCAAGCCATGGGTACAAGCCTGAGGATGAGCCACAGGTGCAAGCCGTTACATACAGCATTAGCAGGGTAATTATACCTTTTACAGACAATAGTGGCTCCGAGTCAAGCATGAGCACACATGAGTGGTTACTTAATGCACCTCACATGGCATGGTTACATAACAGGCAGAGCTGTGTGCCTGCACTCCAAACTCGCTGAGTCATGCTGGACTAGATGTCTGCCTCGGCCTATTCTTGACCACAGCTCATCCATTTTCCTTACACCATCAAACAGGTTTCATTTGTAGGAAAGCACATATTCAGTCCCACTTCATTCTTGTTGCTGGTACTTTCACACACATTGTGATTGTTGGTTTTGGAATCTTGTTCATCCTCATTTTTTGAGGATTTAAAGAGGAGTGCCTAGTATTTTCTTAATTAAAACAGGCTTTGCTTCTCTGCGTCCCCTGCCCCAAACCAATGGACTGCCCTGGGCCGTCCTTCATCAGGAGTTTTAATTGCATGTTGATTGAACTGGTAGGTTCTTGTCCTACATCATCATGTTGGACTAAGCCCACAACAGCCATGCAGCCTCAGTAAAGAGGCCCTTTGGATACTCAAAGTGTGCTGCTGCCTTTTTCTTTGTGACTGGTGATGGCTGGGTTCCTACAACAACGGCCAGGGGATTCTGACCTTTATGAATCAGGCAGAGGAATGCTTCTGTCTTCTTTCTCCAAGTCCTCAACTCTGCCCTTTTTCTGTCAATTAGTAGGCCTTAATAGATACAATTAAGAGAATTCTACTTAGTTAATTGGTGATTGGAAACATGATTATTTAGGTACTTAATCTGTGGTTTGTCCATCTCTAGAATATTAACAATTGATTTTTGCCTGATTTTACAAAGGTATCATCTCAGTGGGATTGCTATGTATGAAAGGAAATTTATAATGGAATGATTGCTTCCAATCCAGTTTATTAATTTAAGTACGTAATACTTTAGATTGGCTTTATTTTCCCTTCATTTTTGTGATACAGAGGCCTTATAACGTATAGCTGTTTGCTGGTATTCTTCCCAGCTTCCTATTGTCCTTTGTCTTCGTAAAATAAGCCTAGCAGTATTTTCTATATTTTCAGAGAATCTTGTGCTTTTGAATATATGTACATCATTGGCTTTGTTTTTAAAAAAACTTCATACTGTGTGATAAAATTAATGTAATAAAAAGGTAGAGATGCCTATTTACAATTTGCAGAATAATTTGCAGAAACTCCTCAGTTACTGTTCAGAAGACACATATTTCTAGTCCAGTAGACATCTAGTAAATGATGTTTACTTTTAAATGCAGAGATTTGATTTGACTAATCATAGTTTATATGTTCTTCTGGTTTATTTGGTTTTCTTTTCTATTTTTTTTAATGGAATAGTTTTGTAATTTCTTACCACTCTCAAACTTTAATAAAGTGGCATCTTGAGGCTAGTTTCAGTTAAATATAAATATAAGCAATTAATTAAGATAACCAACCCTAACCAGAGAGATAAAGTATCATCGCGTGTCATAGTGATCAAGGAGCACCTGTTAATGAGAACTGTAGGAAAACTGCAACCAATCATGAAAAAAAAAGTGTTGGGTGAAATTAACAATGTCTGTGTTTCTTGTTATTTCTTAAATCCAACCCATAAACAATTTGCTGTGACAGCTCTAGGCTGGGATTACGGCATTTGGGATGAGGTCTGATTATAGCTAAAAATAGACACGTGTATTGAAGATAAGAAAAGGAATATTAAACAATTGAAATTTTGTGAAAGACTGATGCTGTTTCATTGTAATAATTTCCCCAAAGGCACATTAGTAATGCTGCTAAATACAGACTTTAATAGACTTTAATAATGTGTACTTTAGAGGCCTGATACACAAAGGAATAATGTATAAAACATTCATTATGAAAAATTGCTACCTTTTTTATTTAATAAGAAATCTGTTGAAACAAAACCTATGGCATTGTGTTCTTGGCTATTAGCAGGCTGAAGAATAATTGCTACCTTCTTTTACATTTTTTCACCTATTCTAATCAAGTTGCAATCATATTTTCTTATTTGTTCCATGAATGAAATGGAGATTAAAAAAAAAAAAAGTACTTGCATTGAATGGACCCTTGTTCAAATTGTGGCTCATTCTCTCGCTACCTTCATGATCTTGGGCAAGTTACCTAAAGTCAAAACTCCGTTTCTTTATTTGCAAACTGAGGATTGTTCTACCTATCTAACAAGGTAGGAATAAGTTAAATGTTGACACAGTGGAGTCCCTATGTAACAGACACTCAGCAAATGCTTTCTATTATGATTACTTTCTACATCTCTTTCTCTTTATGTTGCTTGTTTCTTTGAAGGACTGTAGTGGAGGAGCTGGAAGGGGGTTGAGAGTAGGAAAAAGCAATTAAAAAGATACCTTAGCTGCTCTGTAGCCAAGCCTTGCATTGGATTTCAATTTGATTTTAATGTGCTGCTGCTGAGAGCCATGCTGTTGAAAAAGAGAGAAGAGTAAGAAGCAGATGCTCTTAGAAGAACAGTGGGGCATTTATCTCTTTTAATGAGATAACATCATTAGAGTGACAAAGTGCAGCGAATCAATACTCGAAATGGACTGGCGCTATCTTCCCAAAGTGCGCTGATTGTTACACTTCACAACCTTAGAATCCGCTGAATCACGAATTCTGTCTTATCTGTTATTAGAGCCGCTGGCTTTGATCTCACAGACTAGATCCACACCTTAGGGATCTCCAGAGGAACAGGAAAACAGACTAATAGGATAAATGAGAAAAATCCAAGGTGATTTATAAACTGCCCTGTAATCAAGGAACCTCAGAGAAAGGTGGTTGTGCTTGTTTTTTCCTTGGACTTCTTTAAATGGCTACTCATAACTGCCTTCCCCTCTGCTCGCTCTCCTTGCTCTCTGTCTGCTTCTTGGTGTAATGTCAGAAACGCTAATCATGTCAGACTGTGACACTGACAGCCCTGACATTCACAACAAAGAGACAAGGAGGAGAGAGAGGAAAAGAGATGGGGGAGGGGGGAGGTGAGGAAAAGCAGCAGGAGAAGCATTTTTTTATTGCACATAAAATCCATAGCTGCAGAATCACCCACATCTGGACATGTCATATCCAAGGAAAATCAAGGAAGGCACAAGGTGAATTCCAATAGAGATTGAAACTGAGCTGGGGATTTTCCCCTCTTCTTTTAGATTTCATTGTGTAGTTTATATTAGAATTACTGTGACTATGATTTCTTCTCATCAAGAAAAAGGGCATTTACATTTATTTTTCCTTTTTCTTTACTACAGTTTTTCTCTTCGAAACAAAGCAAAGTTAAACACAGATCTTAGCAGGAAGTGTGTGCTGTCAGAGGTTTTCCAATTTATTACCAGATTCCCATAGTTTAATCTGAACAATAGCCAGTTCAGGAAAGAAGTCATGGGTGAGGGATGTTTTCTGACCATGGCAAGGCTGAATGTCATGACAAAGCTGTTCAGTGTCATCCTCAGGCCCTTGGCTTCTGCGGCACCTGCTTAAAGCTGCTGGATGCAGAAAATGCTGATGTTACCTGTTCCCTAACAGTTTGGAGTGGGCTTCCAAATACCTTTGAGACTTCTGTTTCTCTCAGGCACTTTCTCCATTTGGAATAATGCTGGTGAGTGGTCTGCAATCTCTGTCTTGGATCAGTCATGACCTGAAAATCGGCTGCCACATCTCACATGTGTTTTGAATCCAGATGCTATGATCTAAATTGAGCTCTGAGCTCAGGCTGAATCATCCTAGCTTTTCTATAAACATGAGAAGCCAGCTGCCAGCTCGGCTTTTGAGGTATTTTGAACTATAACTCTAAGTCTTACCGAAGATAGTTATCATTTCATTTTTTCTTCATGTCAGAAAAAAAAAATCAAAAATGGAAAATGGTATCCAGTATTTATTCTGTATCAGTTACCCTGTCATAAAAGAGGGTACATTTTTTGTCCATATTCAAACAGAAGGTATTCTGTACCTAGTGACTTCTTTTCAGATTGATTATAAAAATATTGAGAACTTTGGAAAAGGCTGATAACTCATTTCACAGTGTTCTCATCTTTAGTACCCAAGTAAAATTTTACATACTTGGGCTACTTGATAGAAATGCTCCACTTAATTTCAAAAAAAAAAAATTAAGTGGATTATGTGGCGTAGTTGAAGTTCCAGCAACTTTGACATTGTGACTTGTTTAATATTCTTGAGGAAATTCTACTTCTATTGGCAGAAGAGAGTAAATTTATACCCTATGGAGGATTTGAGAGAATTTACCCCAAAATATCTTCCTGTAAATTCAAATTTTCTTTGAAGTGTTTTTAATCCTAAAATTTTACATGGATTGTTCCCTGTGATATGTGATAGGTCCATGTTTGTTTTCATGTAAAATAATTTAAAATTACTTGCCACTTAAATTAATTAGGTCCTATAGTAGGTAATGACAGCTGGTATAACAGATAAGCCCTCAAAATTGAATGGTTTGACACAACTAGTTTCCTTTCTTGCTCAGCTCTCAGCCCAGTGGAAGTATTTCTGATCAGTGAAGTGCTTTTATTGAGAGGTGATTCAGGAATCCTGAACTCAGGTGCCTTCCGTCTTCTGGCCTCACCATCTATTTTGTCTGCTCAGGCTGCTGTAACAGAGTACCACAGACTGGGTGGCTTAAACAACAGAAATGTGTGGTCACACAGTTCTGCAGACTAGGAGTCGAAGATCAAGGTGTCAGCAGGGTTGGTTTCTTCTGCGGACTGTGAGGCAAGGATCTCTTCCAGGCCTTGCTCCTTGGCTTGTAGAAGGTCACCTTTTCCCGAGTCTCTTCACATCATCTTCCCTCTTTTCCTGTGTGTATCCAAATTTTCCCTTTTTATAAGGACACCAGTCATATTGGATTAGGGGCACACTCTCTTCCAGTATGACCTCATTTTAACTAATTACATCTGTAATGGTCCTATTTTCAAATAAGGTCACTTTCTGAGGTACTGGGGGTTAGGACTTCACCATGTGAATTTTGAGGGGACATAATTCATCCTGTAACACCATCTTGCAATTGTCTGCACCTCACTTCTTAATCACAGTCGCCTTGAAGTAAAGCACCATCTTTTCTCATATTCCTTTGTTGAGCACTAGTCACGTGGCTGCACCTGGAGGTGAAGTGGCCTGGGAAATGTAGTCCCGTGCTGAATAGTGATTGTGCTAGATGGCCACATGCACACACAGGAGCCACCCCATCTTTCTCAGAATGTGTATCAAACTCTCCTGTATCTTCCAGTGCTTCTGAGCACACCTGTCCAGAGAGCTCTCAAAAAGGTAATCAGTGTTCAAGTTTGAGAATCCTATTCTAGCATGGCTAGGAATGCTTTTCAGTTAACACCCTAAGGATTTATATGTAAGTGAGTGCCTAAGGTTGCTTACTGTTTTGTTTTCTTAAGAATCTAATATATTCTCAAGGGAATTTTACTTACACTAGGGTTAATCACTTTTTCTTCTTGTGAAACTAGTGAAATCCAAATGAATGAAGTTTAACTCTTAGCCAAAAACTTAGCTTGTGGTTAGAGTGATTTTCTACAGTACAGTAACTTTTTTTGTTACATGTTCTACTATTGCTGAAAAATGATATATTTCCAAGAGGGAGAAAAGGATATTGTGAGTGCAGAAGACGGTTGTATAACCTGCTTTGCTTATCTCAAATGGCTAGACTTTAGTATTTAATTAAAGAAGTCTTGCCTCTCCTATCAAGTTAGTCATTATTTTGAAGGTTGAACGTGGGTTTTGTAAGTGACTAATTGCTTTGTATGTTCCTTTTCAATTACAATAAGAAGTTATGAATTCTCTACATTTAGAACTGCTAAAAATTATTTAGATTTACCTGTTGAATAGGTTTATTCTTTAAAAAAAAAAAAAGGAATCGAGAAAAAATTTCCACTGTAAATTTTTGGATTCTCCAAGGAATTTGTAAGAAATCTCCCATGAAAAAGAGAGTGATAGCAATTTGAAAAGGATAAGTAGTTGCAGTCTGAAAACTCAGTAGGTAGTGTGAAAGCACATTAATACTGAACCATAATATGTAATGTAAGATTTTAGTCATTAAGAAACCACTATATTGCTGTCTTATTGTTCTGTTACTTTAAAACACAGTTTTTACCTAAAGACTTAAAACCCACCAATGGTATTATAAATTTCCTTTTGGTCAAAAAACTGACAGTTGTACTGTAGCAAAGCTAGTCATTTGAACAGTGGCCTTTTCATTTATAATGGTTATAGTTTTTAATATGTCAAAATCTTAGCAAGTATTCGAGTCATTTTAAGAATGAATTAAATCCTCATTCATTTTGATATTATGAATTCAGATTTTAGAGAAGGGTCTAGGATGAAGTTTGTCCTTTGTAGATATTTGATAAATAATCATTATTTTAAGTATTACCATTTTATGGAATCCCTGTTTGCCAGATACTGCATTAGCCTCTTTACAATAGACTATATTATTGCTAATTTTCAAACCCAATTTGCACAGTAGTTGGTATTATTCCCACTTTACAGATGGGGAAACGCAGAGACCCTTAAGTAATGAGCCCAATAATCACGTGTCTAGATAAAGCAGATCCAATATTTGAATTTGGATCTTAGTGACTCCAAAATCCATGCACGTTTCCATTCCGTCACATTGGAATGTCCTAAGCGTATTTGTTGAATTGAATTCGAAATATATTGAGTAAATTTGCAATGAACTAAACACAAATACAAAATCCCAGAATGAATGTTTTAGTTCTTAAAAGAATGAGCCATTTGCAAATGTGCGGATGAATGCAGTAGTTGAAAATTTGTTCCATCTAATCATTAAAGCAAGTCTCTAGGACTTTTACTCGGTGACAGTTTAGTAGACTGCCACTTCCTTAAATATGTGAGCAGTGTTTGATTCAGAATACTTCTTAAATATCCATTATGTGACCAAATTAGAGTTCTTTAGAACTCTTACAGTTCCTTAAAACTGGTTTCTACTTCACACTCTCACACTTGCCCTCCTTTCTGAATGTGGCCAGGTTATGCAGGTCTTACTGATTTACAGAAGCAAACACAAGAAAAGGTAGCCTTAAGTCACGGATGGGCCTGGCCCGAAGGCAAGATGAAGAAAACCAGTGAGAAGCTCAACCAGAAACCTAAAATGAAAGAAAGCTCTCCTCTTGAAACACTTCACCTTTTCTCCTTTCCTAGCAAAATGATAGGCCTGATTTGTGATGGTTCAGAGTTGCTATCTGCATCATTTTCAGTTTCATCCAGTTTACTTTCTCATAGTTTCTGCCGAGCAATTATGGCCAAGCCACATCCCCTGTTTGGAACTTGGTGTCTCCATATGTGAAACAAAGCAGTGGAATTAGATCAGAGTCGTTGGTCTGGGGTCTTAGCCTAGGTTGGCTTCAGGGGTTGTCTCTAAAATGCTGGGAAGTGAATACAATATTTGGTATGCATATACATTTTTCTGGAGGGAGAATGGTTCATAGCTCCCATCAGATTCGCCAAGGGGCTTCAGCTTACAAAGAAATCAGTGGGCCAGATTATCTTTGAAGTCTGTAGGGACTCTAGCATTTTAGTTTTCTATAAATTTTATCGTACACAGACTATCACAGGCAAGATAGTTGAGAAAATAAATGGGTTTTGTTTCCTTTCTACAGTGTGACATGTAAGGGAAACTTGGAGTGTTTTTACTATAGACAACTGCTTTTCTGTTCTGTAAGATAAGTGTTCTGGAATGTTTGTGGATAGTGACAAAATTCTGTTATTAGCAGAAGAGCAGAAATAGTAAATCAATTAGAAGTGATTCACATTTTGGTGATGAATGAACATTTTTTCAGGCCTGAATATTTCTTACAGTTATCTGTAATGGTAGCTTAAAGAGTCATTTAAAATAGCACTTTCCTATTTGGAATCTCAGACGCTTGGAATGTTAGTGCCTAAAAATGCTCAGAGTTGGCTGCTTGCGGTGGCTCACGCCTATAATCCCACCACTTTGGGAGGCCCAGGAGGGCGGATCACAAGGTCAGGAGTTCAAGACCAGTTTGGCCAACATAGTGAAACCCTGTCTGTACTAAAAATACAAAAAGTTAGACGAGTGTGGTGGTGTGCACCTGTAATCCCAGCTACTCGGGAGGCTGAGGCAAGAGAACCACATGAACCCCTGTGACAGAGGTTGCAGTGAGCCGAGATCATGCCGTTGCACTCCAGCCCAGGTGACAGTGCAAGACTCCATCTTTAAAAAAAAAATGCTCAGAGTTAATAGACCAATTCCTACCCCAAAGAAGCAGAGGCTTCAGAGGGGAGATGATATATCTTTGGTTCTTTCACTGCCATAGTCTCTGTTTGGAGAGCATACTGTCCTGCCAGAGAACCTTCTCATATGTGTCATGGCTCAGCAGATTAACCAACCTGAAGCAAGATCCCTATTGCTCAGCAGATAAACAGATGAAAGAATAAAGAAAAATACTTGAGCACCTCCTCCTTCTGGTAGGGAAGAAAAAGAATTAAGTAGCATCCCCTGTCCAGCTGTTTAGTTTGAAGCCAAAGGAAGCCCACTCTTTTTTTTTTTTTTTTTTTTTTTTTGAGACGGAGTCTCGCTCTGTCGCCCAGGCCGGACTGCGGACTGCAGTGGCGCAATCTCGGCTCACTGCAAGCTCCGCTTCCCGGGTTCACGCCATTCTCCTGCCTCAGCCTCCCGAGTAGCTGGGACTACGGGCGCCCGCCACCGCGCCCGGCTAATTTTTTGTATTTTTAGTAGATACGGGGTTTCACCTTGTTAGCCAGGATGGTCTCGATCTCCTGACCTCATGATCCACCCGCCTCGGCCTCCCAAAGTGCTGGGATTACAGGCGTGAGCCACCGCGCCCGGCCGGAAGCCCACTCTTGAAGTGTTAACTTGCACATTCACTATACTGAAACAACATTTTACTACTCTCCAGGAAATCCTAGTTCAATTTAAACAAAGACTGTCTCTTAGATGTTTAGATATGCCTTTTAAACAATCTGTGATCTTTACCTACATTGTTGCTTCTCTCCAAAAAATGTATTTGTTTTTTTCTGTTGGTGAATTTTAAGAAGTTGCTTTTAGACCAAATGTAAATATACAATATAAATTTCTATATGTGTATGTTTCACAGCCATTTACTCTCTCTGTTTCTGTTTAAATTTTAAGCATTTTGGCTCTGTTTTCTTAGGAAACTTTGTAAAAAGAGAGTAATTACGGGTAGGCTGCACTAATATTATTTGTCTTCAAAGTTGCTATGTATAATTCACTATTAAGATTTATTCTCCAGGGTGAGCCCACAATTTAAGGTCAAGAGGAGGCAAAATGTTCAGAGCTAGCCTTTGGAAACTGATGTTGTTTTTTATTTTTTTTTAATCCAATGCTAAAAAACGTAAATACTCAGTCCCCTTTCGCTTTTTTTTTTTTTTTTTTTCATTTTGGGGCCACCAGACCTTATTACTAGATTGGTAGTATGAAGTAACTATTAAGATGTCCAGTTTTTCAGTAGGAGCAGAAAAAGTAAGTATAAAATATTAGCTATATTATTTTATTCAGTTTACTAGAATAAGCTTACAAATGATCAGTGTCTTTTGGTCATGAATGAGTACACAGTATGGCACACAATTTTGTACCGTGTATACTTGTATATGTATTTTTTTTCTTTTTTTCTTCGTGTTTTATTTTTGTTTTTATATATGTATTTTAATAGATATGAATAAATCAGTGCCCGGGTACCAAATAATGAGCACCCTCAAAATTTGAATTTCAAGGAACAGTGGCAGAAAATATCATTTGAAACTGAAACTATCACAGATCAACAGAAAAATGACTGAAGTTAGCTATGTATAAAATTCCCATAAGTTAACCCACACTTAAACAAATTCATGGTGTGTCTACTGACATTCTATACAAATTCATGGTGTGTCTACTGACATTCTATCAGGAAAAATAAAATAAAATAAATGTAGATAATTAAACTTTACATTTTAGAAATTAGAACACATTTATATCAAAAGCAAACAGCTGGCTGCTGGTCTGTATGACAGTCACCAAAAGGAGTTGGGGAGCCTGAAAGTTTTAGGGATGTTCCTGATTATGACAGCCCAACTGGCAGCCATATGTCACCAGTGCATTTTAAGTCTTTAGGCTTGATGACAGCAACCTATGACCACTGGGCTCCCTTGCCAGCACCTTCTGAACTTTGTGATTTTCCGCATAGTGAGACCCGTAGCCTCAGCACTGGGGCACTTGTGCTCTTCTGGGAGCTTTGCTGCTCCTCTAACTGCATGACCTCAGCAGAGTTCCTCTGCCTCTCCAGGCCACAGCCTCTATCTAAAATGTACTTAAAAAGTACTCACACCAAAGATCGGTTGTGAGAGTTAAATGAAACCACTAATGTAAAAGTGCCTACGACAGATCCTGACCCATAGTAGGTGCTCAGGAAATGTTTTAATTTTTTAAAAAACAGAATAATCTGATCCTAATCCTCTGCTCTTCTGGGAAATTCTGGTTCTCAGATTGGTTGATAAGCATTTCAGTTAATCTGTCAGCCTGGCTTTTATGAGTTTGAGTGGAATGACCCGTCTCTGTGAACAGATCCAGATGATTTCTTCATCATGCAAAGCAGAGTCCTCAGTGAGCCTGCGCTCCTGGTGACCCATCACATAGTAGAAGCAGATTGCAGAGAAGACCCTACCAAAAGCCTCAGCTGGCTCGCCCTGCTTCATGACTGCACGGTGATGTTAGTCCTTGTCAGAGTTTTATAGATTGGGCTGAAAAGTTGTTTGTTTCTTTTTTAAACAAGACAATTAAACTAAGTATATTCGTGTACCATAGTAAATGAGAGAAGTATGCATCTCACTCACAATATATTTTTTAGATGCTGTTACCCTGATTTATTTTTACTTTGACAGATACTTCCGTTTAGGGGGTGCTTTCCACAGATAGATTCTGTTGTGCAATAGAATATTCGGTACATTTTGCCTCTAGGTTTCCTCCAGATCTGTCAGGTGGCCACACCCAAGCCTCTCAGTATTGCCGTGTTCTCAATAAGACACTTGATTTATTTATTTAGTAGATGTTCTTAGTTTCCCTCAGGAGGTTTTTGTTGGCAGAATTTCTAATTTTTTATAGGGCATCCTTCTTAATATAGAGGAAGACCAATTATGTATATGCAACAGACTCAAATTAAAAGTGGCATAATTGCGATTATTCATTGCTTTTGATTTCACACTTAATTAGCCCTCTGAAGTGAACAAGTCCTTAGTGGTTAAGAGTTTGCACTCTGAGAGTTATCAGACCTGGGTTCAAATTCCAGCTCTGACACAGAGGCGTTGTGAGACCTTGGTCAAGGTCCCTAACCTTTTCCTAAACCTATCATCTGTAAAATACTGATAGAAATGCTTACCTTCCAGAGCTCTTTTGAGTATTATGTTACATCATGCAAGTGAAGCACTTAACACTCAGCACCTGCTGAGAGCACTTGGTAAATGCTACCATTGTCACGGGGGCAGGGGAGGGGCATGAGGACCGAGCTCTCAAAAAGTGACTTCTCCAGTTTAATTTAATAAGCACTTGGGATTTCACATTTCCTGCATATTTTACGATAACCTTGAAAGGAACAGACTTAGGCCAAATTTGATAACACCGTGTTTTAAATTTCTAATAAGAATACCACCTGAAACCACACTGACAGTCATTTGTAACTTCTTACAGCCACCGTACTAAAAAAACAAAAAGCTACTGTTTATTGATAGGTACATCTTGAGAGTGACTTCAAAAGTTACAGTAACCTTGGTTATATTTTAGGGAATATAAGAACTCTGAAAAGAACTTTGTGGGGTCTGGAAAACACTGTAAATGGAAGCCGCTTCATTGGATATTACTCTAGTGTTGTAAGAGTGGTTTGACTTAGGGCTGTTTTGGTTTCTTAAGTGGAACATTTTTTGTGTGTGTCTCCCTGTATTTTATATTAATTCCAGGTCTGAGTCAGTGGCGAGTCCAGTAATTGAATTAATATGGAAATCAAACTGTAAGCTCATCCTTGGAATTACATTCATTATATAACATGGAAATGGGCTAAAACAGAGAAAATTACAGTACTGTTTTACTTTCTACTTTAAATATGGTAGAGGATCGGTCTCTTCTATGAGTGTATATGCTGCAAAAAAATTTTTTAAAAGTAGCCTATTAATACACTATGATTTTAAAGGGGGAAAACAATGTATGTTCTTATTCTGTGTCACTGTCCAAGCATCAGTAACACTAAACTGGCTGCCAGAGTGAAAAAGAACCAACTACATTTGCGTAATCATCATAAAAATTATATTCTGTCTACATTTTTAATTGAGCCAGACATTGCACAGAATTAGACACAGCCTTTGCTCTCTGGGAGTTTACAGTGTAAGACAGAAGATACTAATGTGTGTAGACGTGAAGACCAGTTGAATTTAACATTTTATAAACGTGGTTGGTTCTATTTTATGCCTTTCTGGCCTTCCCCAACCCTCATAACCCATCATCAGATGTCGTTTCATCCACAGGTAATTTTCTTCTTAATTTAAGTAACCTTATTTCTTAACTATGAAAATAATATATGTTAATTTTAGAAAAATTGGAAAGTAAAGTAGAAAGAAAAAACAAAAATCATGTATAATCCCACAACCACAAAAAGATCGTGTTATATTTTAGTGACATTTTTAATGTATCATCTTAAATGTATCTATATATTTTACATAATTGGGTTCTATAAATGCAGTTTTGCCCTGTGCTTTTTTCACCTAATGTATCTTTGCATGTTTTACATATTAAGAATTTTTTTAAAACACCATTTTAGTGATTTTATAATATTAGGATAATTGGAAAATTGAGAATCCAGCTTTCGGTCCCCTGAAACAGACATTTAATGTGTAAAAAGTCAAAGGATCATTCCAACTGTTCACCAGCCCATCCAGACCTGTTTCCGAGACAGAGCTATTGTTCACCTAAAGTGGAAGCTCACCCGGCTCTGCATATTTCCTCAGGCTGGTTGGCTGTTCCGTGTCTGTCTCCCCCCATTGACTTATCAGGCTCTATGCATACATGCACATTTGTTTATAGCAGTCTTCCTGATACGCAGCCACGCATGGGTTTTGGAAAATTGCCCAGCTACATACCATTCATACCGGCTGACATTCAGCTTCTGGTAGCTAAACAGGTACTCTTAACTCCTTCAGTCTCTAAAGAACTCACTCTACAGTGCCACAGGCCATGGAGCTAACATACTATCCTCTGAGAGTTTCTATTCATGGACACAAATGAAAAGAGAAGTAATGGCGCAAGTATTGTGAGAGGTTACTTGTAAAAATCACCAGCCCTCTGTTTGCCACCCCCTTAGCCATACCATAGGCAACTGCTTGAGTTTGTCCTCCTTCAACCTTAAGGTGATGTTTCCTGAAGCACTTGGAAAGCAGGTAGAGTCTGCAGGGACTTCCCAGGAGTGACAGAGACCATCCCTGGCCTCCTAGAGGATGGGTGTGCCCCTGGGCTAGGGCTTACCCCTTGTATTAGGAAGAGTTGCCTCATCATCCCTGAAGCCATTTCTTTCATGAAACTTCATATGGTCCTCCACTTCCCCCGGGAGCCTGCTTGTCTTCTTACCACTTCTGTTTCTTGTGGAGCATCAGAGTAGAAAGTCCAGTCTGGGTGAGTGGCAGGAAAGCAGCAGTGAAGGGGTGGAGGGAGGAAGGTTAGCCAGAGAGGTGAGTGAGATTGCAACAACTGTTGATGAGGTTCAGAATCTTTCTTTTACCTCTGCCAGCTCTTACCTTTTTTTCTCCAAAAGTGATTTTTACTCTCTTTCATCAGTCTTCCTTGTATGCAGGAATCTGAAGAGGAAATATTCACAATAATAGCATGAGGAAGGAGGACCCTAGATAAAGAGGAGATGTTAAAATGGCGTTTATTCTAGCTACAAATATCTCCACTGAGCATGTTTCAGTAGTTAATCAGAGCTTTCTTGCCTGGCACTTTTTTAAATGATATCATTATCTGGCTTGCTATTTCAGCAGTTCCAGGAATACCTTGCCTGTGGGTCAGGGTACTTGGTTTCACATAAACAACTCATAAGAACCCTTTATAATTTCAGAACGACAGACAAGAGAAGAAATAGCTATAGAGGTTATATGGACAAAAAATAAATTGGCAACATTCCTCACCTGTCTAACATAGACACTGAGAAAAGACGTCCTTTGCTACCTCTCATGGTTAAATGTTGTTTATTGTTTCCTTTCAGACCACACTGAATTTAGTTCCTTGGTAGACTAAGGCACCTTTGAAATTCCAGTGGGAGATCATGAAGTACATGCCTAATTGCTTCATGGCTGATATGAAGTCCTGGAATGAAATCCAGCCATCACTCATTAACTAACTCAGCTTAGTAAACCTTGACAGCTAACAGAACCCAGTCAAACATCCTTGATTACCAGCAGCTCACAGAGCCTGGGGAGTAGATCAGGAAGAATGGTAGAGTAGAATGAGTTATTCCAGTAACATCAGCTTCATCTGTTTGAACTTCTCTTCCTGAAATCTGAGGGTGACAGAAATAGATTTGCCAAATGCTTTTCCTGCTTTCACTGGTGGCAGTAGGAACAAATAAATGACCATTGTCTTAATTGGGATACTATTCACGGTTATTGACAAGCATAATCAGTTTTTGTTAAAACTTTTTGCCTGGCTTAAATCTATGCTAGATCATAAGGGAATAAATGTTATTAGGCATGTTAGAATTTCACAGATCACACTTCTCACAGCAGGAACCTACAGCCAGTCAACAGTTTTACTGACTGTATGTTATATATGGACATTTGGTCAAGGCATAAACTCGGTTACTATCTACTGCAAAATCAGTGTAAACATAATGATAAATCTGGTTGATTGATTTGCTTTCTGCTTCATACAACAAACCAGGTAATGTCTCTGAAAGCAAATACATTCTAAGTTGTATATAAATATCAGTCATTATTATTTCAGTAGATAATCTCACACTGAGGAGGTAAAGGTTGGTCTGAATTAGTAAAGAGGCCTTCCGTGCACACACACAATACACATCTGTCACATTCCAGCTATGATTTCACACTGAATGCCAGCATTTGAGAGGGAGTGAGAGGATTTTCCCTTTGTTTTATAAAAATGAAAACATTATGTGGTGTGTTCTCAAAATATTAGTGCAGTTTTAAGTTCAAAATATCAAAGGTATAATTGCTATACCCAGGTAACAAACCTGCACATGCGCCCCCTGAATCTAAAATAAAAATTGAAATTATTAAAAGAATTATTATTCCCATAAACTTACAAAAGAACTTTTCATAGCTTGTCCTGCTGTTGCTGAGTTGGGGAAAGGCGAGAGTGAAGATCCGCTGTGTGAGGTGTAGCCTCTTTCCTGGTAGTGATTTGGTTCATATTATTTAAAAGCAAGGGATTCTTGGCCTTGTGCATGGAAGATTGCATGTTCATTTGCCTCAGTATTGGACCTATGACTTATTTACCTTGTGAATTAATACGTTCTCAATCTCACAGTTTCATGGAACCAATATTTAATTGAAGGCTATAATGTGCCAAGCACCATGCTGGCCACTGGAACAAGGTGAGAGTGAGACCATACTCATGAGGTCTCCAGTGGAAGATCAGTCCCTAAGCCCATAATCAAAGCCTCAGTGAGCACTGCTAAGAGAAGCCTGTCCTGATTCTTGAGGGCATGCAAAGGGTGAAGCAGTTCTGCCTGGATGAGGTAGGAAATCCTTGACGGAGAACGTGATATTTGAGCTGCAACTTCAAGAATATGGAAGGGTTTTCCCAGCAGAGGAAAAAGATGAAGGACATTCCAGATAGAAGGAACAGTATGTGATGGGCCTGAAGGAAAAAAGCACACCACGTGTTCAGGGATTGACAATATGTTTCCATTTTTAATTTACTTGAGAGAGAGAGAGAGAAAAGTGTCTTTGATTCTGAGAAGAACAAATCAATAAGAGTTACTTAGCAGTGGTGATTAAAATTATGTATCTGTGCAACAGAGGGTTGCTATCAGCATCAACCAAAAGCCTCATGTCTGCAGCATCTACCATGCTATCATGCTCCACCCCAGAAGTGAGAGGTTCAAAGGACGATTGGTTGTTTTGAAAGCAGCTCCTGAGATTGACGAATAATGGTCAGGAACTCCATGCTGGAGAGGCCAATTGCAGGGCTAGTGAGTCCTGCCTGTGAATCCATAACCATCCTAAATCACAGTGTAATCCTTCAGGGCTCAGACTGCAGAGTCAGAGAGACCTAGGTACAAGTTCTGGTTCTTCTGCCATTAGCTTAGTATGGGACTTGGGGCAAGTTTCTTTCCTTTCTTAAAAAACAAAATAATAATAATAAGCCTGAGCAACAAAGTGAGACTGTGTCTACAATCAATGAATCCATCAATCAGTAGCCAGGCATGGTGGTGCCGTAGCTGGTCCCAGCTACTCAAGAGGCTGAGGTTAGAGGATTGCTTGAGCCCAGGTGATCGAGGCTGCAGTGAGCTGTGATTGTGCCAGTGCAATTGTAGTTCACTGCACTGTAGTTCAGGTAACAGAGTAAAACTCTGTCTCTAAAATAATAAAATTTAAACATGTAATATTATATAGCTGTACAATACAAATGATTTTATATAGGTACATAAATGTGATAATAGCATATACACTTTTTGGTTCCCCATTTTTAAAAAAAAAACAACAACTTTTCCTCTTTTGTCTGGATCACTCTCCTCCTCTTTTCCCTTCTCCCATTTTAACTGCACATATAGCCTTCCATTTTTCCCCTGTTTATGTAAATGTACAATTACACACACACACACACACACACACCACACAGTGGGAGTGAGGGGACTGTTATTTTGTTTTTAAAAAACAAAAACATGTTATAGAGTGTTCTCAAAGTGTTAATGCATTAAAACCACAACAACATACCACCTTACCCCAGCCAGAATGGCTATAATGAAAAAGTAAAAAAACAATAGATATTGATGTACATATAGTGAAAAGGGAACACTTACACACTACTGGTGGGAATGTAAATTGGTACACCCTCTGTGGAAAACAATATGGAGATTTCTCAAAGAACTAAAAGTAGATCTACTATTCAACCCAGCAATCCCACTACTGGGTATCTACCCAAAGAAGAAGTCACTATATAAAAAGGACACCTGCAGGTGTATGTTTATTGCAGCACAATTCACAATTGCAAAGATACGGGTTCAACCTAAGTGCCCATCAGATGATGAGTGGATAAAACATGTGAGGAATGTGTGTGTGTGTGTGTGTGTGTGTGTGTGTAATACACATAATTCCATTTCATTCTGTTTTATGGCTGAGTAGTATTCCATGGTGTGTAAATAGAATGCATTCCATTCCATTGGACTGGTGTGTATTCCACACCACACATTCCATTCACACAGTATGGAATACTACTCAGCCATGAAAAAGAATGAAATAATGTCTTTGCAGCAACTTGGATGGAACTGGAGGCCATTATTCTAAGTGCAGTAATTCAGGAATTGAAAGCTAAATACCATGTTCTCACTTATAAGCAGGTGCTAAGCTATGGGTACACAAAGGCATACAGAGTGGTGTAATGGACATTGGAGACTCAAGAGGAGGAGGTTGAGAGGTGGTTGAGGCATGAAAAGCTACCTGTTGGGTACAGTGTACACTACTTGGGTGACAGGTACACTAAAATCCCAGGATTTACCACTATACAGTTTATTCATGTAACCAAAAACACTAGTATGCCTAAAGCTATTGAAATAACATTTTTAAGTATTAGTGCAATTTTAAGTTCATAATTTTAGAGGTATAATTGCTATAAACTTAGAAACATTTAAACATTTAGCTATTTATATTTCTTTTATACTTATTTAACTTTGGAATTTTGAATAATAAATTTTACTCTTAGTTTTTTTGTGCATAATAGTTTTTATATTGATTTTAATAAGTAACATCAATATTTTAAAAAGTTAAATTTTTATTTTTCATATATTGTTTCTTGAAAGTGTATAGCATTTATACTTCTGAAATTATTAAAGTTTAAAATGCACTAAGACTTTTAGAATTCCCTGTTAAACATTCTTTTTTTATGTTTTGCTCTTCTCAGAAAACTGTGTTGAAATCTCTTCATTCAATTGATAAAGCTCTAGAACATTCTTTTTAATGGGTGCATAATATTCCAGTGGGGTAACTATTAGAATTTTTTATTCTACAATTGCCCTACTCATGGATATTTACTTTGGTCTCAGTTTTTTTGGCCATTGTCCACACTGAAATCATAAACATCTTTGTATTTGTTCTTAGATACAGTGCTATTAGTTCTATGGCATTGGTTCCCAGGAGTGGGATTGCAGGATTAAAGAGTAAATGTAATTTTAAATTTAATAGATGATACTATAAATGGCTTTAATTAATCATAATACCTTAGATTTTAGATTCATTGAAAATAACATTCACATGCATTATTTCTTTGATGCCCACAATAACCTTTGAGGTAGATAGAGTGGATATTATTCCCATTTTTCTGATGAGAAGATGGAGGCACAAGATGCTTCATAGTTTCTTATAGTTACTCAGTTAGAAAGACCTTCACTCCAGTCCAGAACTAAGCCTTATCCTCAATAAGCTCCATACAGTCTTTCTTTACCTACATTTTTTGTTTTGGTAGATCAGTTAGAAGAAAACCTTCCAAATCCATCAAGTTAAGAAAAAGAAAGGTACCTTTGGTTATGCCACCAGGAGGGGGCAGTAGTTGAAACACATTTATTTTTCTAAATATTAGCACCCCAGCCCCTTTTAGGGGTTGTATCTTTGTTTCTTTGATATTTGTAATGTCTTAATTTTAGTTTTAGGTTACTTGTTTCGTCATTAAAATCTTCATTATGACAGATGGATACATTTCATTAGTGATCAATTTCTTCCCATTTTTTTTTTAATTTATAGAAATACACACTAGAGTGTCTCCCAAGGGTTGTAATGCACATTGTTTCCTTGGTTCCCTTAAAGAACTCCTTCACATATTCGGAGTCTGACTGACTGTTCAAATGCCACTTTTGCAAACTTACTGGCAATGTGATTCGGGGCAGTTCATGTAGTGCTCAGTTTCCTCATCTGTAAAAAGGGGAGAACATACCTTCCTCCTAAGTATATTTTAACGAGTCATAAAAAATGTAAACCATTTAGCACAGCATGTATCCCAGAGCACAGGCTCAGTACCTACATGTGCATATGTGGTCCCCTGCGGAACCAGGCTAACACTGCTGATAGTAACATGTTGAGTCCAGCCATGTCTCCCAGGAACACACTGGGTGGTATGTATTTTTTAAATACTTTGCATCTGTGCCATTCTCAAAATGCCATCAAGCTCCTCTGCATTTTGTGCCCAAAGCAAGTATTGATGCAGCACAGCTCCTTAAATAAAAGTGAAATTATAGGAAGTCTCATGGCATTTCTGGGTACTTTTTTTTTGAGTGACAAGTGTTTAAACCACAGTGAATACTTTGGTTCCTGCAAGGGTTTGATTGAGAGGAACAGCAAAAAGAAATTTAGTTTCTCTTCCTCCAAGTGAACATTGTTTTCTTAGCTGTCTTTTTTGGGAGTTGGGAAGGAGTGGTTACTGAAAACTAATAGTGTGTGTAAATAGGAGCGAGGAGTACAGTTAGCGTTTACGCACTATTACTAGTAGACACGCCCCAGAAATGGGCTCAGGAGACATCTGGGAACAAACAGATTTTTTCCCTTCAAATATGTTAAGAATCTTTTTGTTTCTAGTGGGAACAGCTGTAGGATTCAGCTGTTTGTTTGTAATCTGATGTCTGAGTGAGGGATGATGTTTAAGATGTAGTATACTAATATACAGAATGTCATCTTAGGTAATAGTGAGGTGGTGAGGGAAGTGGAATGAAGCTGGGAAATTCAGTGTTAGAGCTGACATTTCATTCTCTCCGAGGTTTGTGAAAAGGCCACAGCAAACTTTGCATTTCCCCAGGAAGGAGGGC
This sequence comes from Homo sapiens, assembly GCF_000001405.40. NCBI lineage: Eukaryota > Metazoa > Chordata > Mammalia > Primates > Hominidae > Homo > Homo sapiens. The sequence goes on along the minus strand of NC_000006.12, from coordinate 90,178,152 downwards.
GGAGGTTCGGTTGGTATCACACCCTGCACATTATTTAAACACTAGCTTGTTGATTTTCTCTTCTGTGAAGAGCAGTTATAGAAAGCGTGTTTCTGGCTGACTTCATCCTGGTTCCCTGCTATTTTGGTCTACAGCACTTGGGAACAGGGAAAGTCCGGGTACCTGCTCTGTGCTGAGAACAAAAGTGGACATTTTCTTGACCAAAAGTGGCTTCTGGCATCCTTTTTCAGAAGCAGTTTTTCAGTGAAGGAAGAGATGTTTCAAGGCCAATATCTAGAAAGAGTACCTAGGTTTATGATTCACAGTACCTTCTTATCAGCTTTAGAGGTCCTTAAGAGTGAGGATATGACATGGGATCTGTTAAGGATGGCATTTCCCCCATGAGGAAAGTGAAGCCCAGAGAAAGCCTGCGACAGCCCAGAGTTGAGGTTAATCAGTGGCAGAACCAGAAACCCCATGTCCTAATGCCTCCTCTAGCATTCTGCATAAGCTTCACAGCCTTCAACCCAGGGTGTAAGTTGGGGGAGATTTCATACGATCCGATCCACATTTCGTGCATTACGTTTCACCAGAGGCCCAAGGAGCTAACGTAGGCAATGGTGTCAGAGACCCAAGTCCTAATCAGAATTCTACCACTTACTAACTGGAAGGTCCTGGGGATGTTAACCTCCTAAATCTCAGTTTCCTCGTTTGTAAAAGAGGTAATTATAAATAGTTCATTGAGTTGTTGTGGGAACTCACGTCATAACATTTGAAAAGCTTAGTATGGGATCTGCTGTACGGTAGGTGCTCAATAGATGATAGTTTTTTTATGGGTCAGGTGCTGTGCTACCCACTGGAAATACAAAGAAAAAATAAGATACCATCCCTGCCCTCAAGTAGTCTGCAGTGTAGTTGGGAAGACAGACATACATGTGAATAAAATAGTGTGCATTGAATGTAATGAGAGCAGCAAGGTGGTCCATAAAGCGAGCAGACTGCAGTTGTTTGAGGAGGCTTCAGAATGAAGTGTTGCACAGATTTTTGAAGATGAATAATAGTGTTAAGGCAGGCAAAGATTCTTCCTTTCAGAAGGAGAAAAGAGTACATAATGTGCTAATACCTGGACCCATGAAATAATATTTTAATATTAACATATTAAATTAACATATTAACATGGAGTTGGAATCAGTTTACAGTGCTGTGGTCTAAAGTCTCCAGCCAGAGAAGCCAGAAGGACGGCAGAAAGGAGGACAATCTAAGTGGCTTGGAGGCTACTCTGGGTGGATATGGGTCAATCCTGAAAGGTTTTTAAGCTGGGAAGTAATATGGTGATATTTGTGTTCTATAAAGATTACTCTGTGGCTACGTGAAGCATGAACTGGAGGAGGCAGGAGCAGGAGGGCTGGTAAGACATAATGAGGGCATTGCATCTGGTTTGGGCAATTGGACTCTGTCACCAAAACTGATTTGGAAGTGATGATGTTGAGCAGTTCTGACGCTTGTAGAAAAAGTGGAAGGAGGTAAGGGTAGGTGGGGATACACACACATTTTTTGGATGGGCCCCTCTTTTCTGCCCCTACATCCCTCTCCTCCGGTGTGTCGTTTCCCTGATCTACTTCAACCTGCAGATCTATCTAGCAGGCACCTCACTTGGGGATTTGTTCCCATACCAGCAAGAAGCTTATAAATTCCTCTGTTAGGCACCTTAAGCTGGTTGAGGTTGTCCAGGTGCCGTGAGGTGCCTCAGAGCTGCCCCTTCCCAGTGTGCACTTTCCACAGCTATCTCCTGTTTTTCGACCACTGAACTCTCAAACTCTCAGTATTTGCATATTCTTGTTTCCTGTAAATTTGCTCCCTCCTTCACTAATCTCTGCTCGCCCTGAGCTCCAGAATTGTCATTCCTGGAGACCTTGGTTAACATCTGAAACTCCTGCTTTGCTATGTGTTTTAAGAATGTACATGTTGGATATGTGATAAAATCAGTACAGCCACTGAAGGGGAAATGAGAACAGGGCTTGGAAGGAAGAAATTTGTTACATTCACAGGTCCCATAGAGGCGTGTCACCACATGCTACGCAGGGCCACAAGGGAAAACACCCGTGTTAGTCAGGAGGCAGAAGGCAGGAGCCAGGGGAGAGCTTGGGCCAGCCACAGCCTTTATTGGAGTTTCCAAGGGAAAGGCAAGGCAGGGCAGGGTTAACAGTTTAGAATTGCTAGTTGAAGTAGTTTGGTTAGGCTCCAAGCTTTCTGGGTGGTCCCTGCTTGCTTGGTACCTGGCTGTGGTATAGTAAAGGCAGAGAAATATTGCCTCTGAGGGCCAGATAGAGGAGGGGTGTCTCTAGATTGGTGAATTTTCTTGTCAAAGGCATGCTACCAGCCGGGCTCTTTGTTATCTCTGAGAATCGGCTAGCCTTGAAAGAGACAGTCTCTCTCTAGCCAGAAAGGTAGTTTTAAGATGTCAAAACATCTAATATGCAGAAAATACAAAATATGTAAAATACATAATGATACCTTCTATTCTTAGTCAACCTGTTTGCCTGTTTATTGATCTGAGATCTGATTTCCCAACCCCCAGCCACTCACCCCCCACCGCCCCAACACTGAGAATTTTGAAAAATTCTCTTTCAAAAGAAGGGATTAGGTTTTTTCCACCAAAAAGTTGTTTTTAATATGAGAAGTCAAGCCTTTTTGACATTTCTTATTAGTTAATATTCTTTCCTTACCAGTTAATTGTTCATTTGTTGTTTTTCTTCTGTCTTATACAGGCAGTTGTGAAAACAAAATGGTTGTATAATTTACCTTTAAAACCTACCAAGAGAGTTTCTTATGATTTCAGTGTAATAGGAAAACCATTGTATAAATGAGAACTCTCAACTTTCCTAGAATAAGGAATAAGAAAAAATAATAAATATTAATTTCAAAACTTAGATATAGAAAAAGAACTTCCTAAATGCCTGTGTTTTCCAACTTGAAGTAACATTGACTTTAAAATGCATTTCTAACAAAGTTCACTCAGGTTCATTTACTTCTTTAGATTATGAAGTATATCATACATGTGGAAGGGAATATATAACATGTAGATACACTTTAAAGGATTAAATAAAGAAAACATCCACATTTCTGCTACTCATCTGAAGAACATTATCATTGCTACTGAAACCCTTATGTACCTCTCTCCTATTGTTTTCTCCTCTCCCCAACTACTTTCCTGGATTTTGAGTTACTTACTGTCTTGTTTGTTTGCTTTTTTTTTTTTAGTTTTACTACATATGTACCACATATAATTTTACCATATATATATCCCAAAGCAATATACTATCTCATTTTAGCTTTTATGTAATAGAATCATACTGATTATTTTGTGACTTGCTCCCCACAAAACACAATGTTCTGAGTTTTATCCAGGTTGACCTGTGTAACTTTAGTTCATTCATTTTCATTGCTATAGAATATTTTATTGTGTTTATTTTACTGTAGTTTATTTAGCCATGCCACTGTCAAAGGGTCCTACATTTTATCATGTATATGGAAACCTTATTGGCTTCCTTATTAATAAAAGTAATTTGTAGATTCTTTATATCATTTACAAGTAATGATAGTTTTTTTTCCCTTTCCAACCCATAAAATGTTAATTCTTTTTTCTTGTCTTACTGAACTGGCAAGAATCTCCAATGTTAAATTAAAATAGTGATAGATAAAACTTTAACTTTTCATTTATATTATAAAGTATGGTATTTGTTATAGGGTTGCTTTGTGATATCCTTTATCCAGTTCAGGAAGTTTCTTTCTATTCTTTGTTTTAATCATGAATGATGAATGTTGTATTTTATTGAATGCTTTTTCTATATTCTTTGAGATAATCATATATTTTCTTCTTTCATCTAGTGAATAACACTGATTGATATTGAAGCAACCTTGAATTATGGAATAACCCAAATTTAGACACATTATTTTTCTTTGGAAATTATTAGATTTGAATTACTAATATTTTGTTCAGGATTTTTGCATTTATGTTCATAAATGAGACTGTCTTATGGTTAGTTTCTCCTTGAGGTTCTTTTATTTTTGGGTTTATATATTTTTGAAGATACATTATTAGGAACATATTATATCTTCCCAGGGAATTAAATATTTCTATTAATATGTGATGGCCCTTTTTATCTCTTTGCCTAAAATTAACTGTGTATGGGTTTAATTTAGCTACACCAGATTTCTGGGTTATTATTTGCCTACGCAGTTCTTCCCCCAGCCTCCTTTATTCAAAGACACAAAAGGCTTTAGATTTGTGCTTTGTAAATCACATAATTGGAATTTGTCTTTTTACTAGCTTTATTAAGGTATAATTTTCATATGATCAAACTCACATATTTTAAGTGTACAGTTTGATGAATTTTGGCAGGTGTGTATAGTCATGTAACCACTACCACAATAAAGCTATAGATATTTCCGTCACACCAGAAAGTTCCTCATGCTTTTTTGCTATCAGTTTCCTTCCCTCACGTCTGGCATTAGGAAACTACTGATCTATTTTTTATCACTATGTTATTTTGTCTTTTCCAGAAAGTCATACAAATGAAATCATACAGTAAGTAGACTTTTGTGTTTGGCTTCTTTCACTTAGTATAATGCCTTTGAGATTCATTTATGCTGTTACACATATCAGAGTTTCATTCCTTTATATTTTTTCAGTATAATTTCACTGTATGGATATACCACAGGTTTTTCGTTTGTTTGTTTTTTAGCTATTCACAAGTTGATGGATATTTGGGTCATTTCCAGTTTTTTCAACTATTGTGGATAAAGTTGCTATGAACATTCACATGCAAGTCTGTGTGGACATATGTTGTCTATTTTTTAATTCAATCAGTCATTGTCTTTTAAGTAAAATATTCAGTTGATGTATGTTGTTTAGCAGATTACACTAATTATTGATTGCACTAATGCATTTATATTCATTTTGACCATATTATTTTTTGCTATTTGTCCTGCTTTTCCTGAGCCTTATTTTTTCTTTATTGCCTTCATTTGGATTTTGCTTTTGTTTTTTTTTTTAAATATAGTTCCATGGTTTTTCTTCTACTAATTTAACAGTTGTACACACCATTCTCTTTTTTCCACGCTTACCCTAGAGATGTTGGCATCCTATGTAACTTAATAAAGTGTTACACTAAACAGTATTCATTCTTTTCTCAAACAGTTCAGTAACCTTAGAGTTCTTTAATTTGGATCATTCTTTTTCAGCCTAACATGCCATGGTTATTTGGTTTATAGTTTTATATTATTTTTTATATTACACATTATTACAATTTGTATACAGTAGCAGCTGTTTTTTATACTCTATTTAAACATAGTCATGTATTTACTATTTTCTTTTCTCACCATTTCTTCTTCTCAGATCATCGCTGTTTTCTGAAGCATGTCCTTTAGAAGTACCTTTAATGAATGTTTTTGGAAGTAAACTTTCTTATTTTTTGTTTGATTGAAAATACCTTCTATTCATGCTTTATTTATGAAAGGTAGTTTTGCTAGGTATACACTTACATATTCAGTATTATTTTCTTTCAGTGTTTTAAAGACATTTTCCCCAGATTTCCCCCAGAGCTTTTTTTATGATGGTCTTCTACAGTTTTACCAGGCTTTGTCTGGGTGGGCATTTCTTTTATTTAACATCCTTGGGATGCATTTGGCTTTCTGAATTTGATGATTACTAGTTCTGAAAAATCTCAGAAAAAAAAATTATTTTGAATGCTGCCTTTCCCACATTGTCTGTTTTTTCCTTCACATTCTGCCCTTTACATCTCTAAATATTTCTTTTATATTTTCCTTCTGTATGTTATGTATAATGTCTTTTTTTTTTTTTTTTTTGAGATGGAGTCTTGCTCTGTCACCCGGGCTGTAGTGCAATGGCATGATCTCGGCTCACTGCAACCTTTGCTTCCCAGGTTCAAGCAATTCTCCTGCCCCAGCCTTCCGAGTAGCTGGGATTACAGGCGCATGCCACCACGCCCAGCTAATTTTTGTATTTTTAGTAGAGGTGGGGTTTGCCCATTTTGGTCAGGCTGGTCTCGAACTACTGACCTCGTGATCCACCTGCCTTGGCCTCCCAAAGTGCTGGAATTACAGGCGTGAGCCACTGTGCCCGGCCATATAATTTCTTAAACGTAAGATTATATTTTTCATTTTTGTATAAGTTTATGTACAATTTCTTTATATCTGTTTACCAAATCACTCATTCCTACTTCAGCTGCATCTATTTTGGTATTGGACTTACTCATGTGAGTCTCTAAATATAATTATTATATTTTCATTTCTAGAAGTTATTTTTGGCTGTTTCTTAAATCTGCCTAGTCATTTTTGAAATCTTCCTTGTTCATATTTTAAGATCCTGTTTACTTTTTTAAAAATGTTAAACACATCTATTTTATATCTGTGTTCAATACATTCAATAGCTAAAGCCTTTGATGATTTCATTCTGCAGTTTTGTTTTTTCTCATTCATGTTCATGACAGCTTGATTCTTTGTTTTGTGATTTTTGATTGTGAACTTAATTACTTGGAATTCTTATGAAAATCTCTTGAAACTTAGATTTAATATTCATTATTCTAGAGAGGCTTTGTATTTGCTTCTGCTATGTGTTTGTAGTCATTTCCAACTCAGGACTTTTTACCCTATTTGGATTTGGAAAGGGCACATGGATATGTAATTTCTGGGCTTTGTTTTTGTTTTTTTGTGGGGTTTTGTTTTTTTTTTTCTTCTTGAGACAAGAGTCTCACTTTGTCACCCAGGCTGGAGTGCAGTGGTGAGATTTCAGCTCGCTGCAACCTCCACCTCCTGGGTTCAAGCGATTCTCCTAGCTTGGCCTCCCAACTAGCTGAGACTACGGGTGCACACTACCACACCTGGCTAATTTTTTTGTATTTTTAGTAGAGACGGGGTTTCATCATGTTGGCCAGGCTGGTCTCAAACTTCTGACCTCAAGTGATCCTCCTGTCTCGGCCTCCCAAAGTGCTGGGATTACAGGCGTGAGCCACTGCACCCAGCCTGGGCTTTGTATTTTTTGAGGAAATTTTCTTCTTTTTTCTCCTCTCCCATCACCAAGACTTATTCTGTCTTCTATTTCTGGGAAGATTTTTTTTTTTTTTAATTTACCCACTGAGGATTTCATCTTTCAAGGGTATTGGCTTTGACCTTCCTGTGTGGACATTAGGCTGTCCCTTTGTCTCTTAATATCCCCATCAGGGATTGACTTATGCAGGACTTACCTACTTACTTCTCTAGGTTCTAATTTCCTTGTCATTTTCAACTTTTAACAATTGCTGTTACTTTCTTGCTGCTTAGCCATATCTTTAAAAATATTTTTAGTACTCAGCATTTTTAGGCATTCCACATGAATTTGCCATGCTTGACAATCAGAAGTCCTCTTTATTTGAAAGTTGAAACATTTCCTGGAAGAGGAGCAATAGTAAATTAGTTAGATCCTTGCCATTCATGGATTTCACTACAGTCAAAAAGGTAACTTTACATCACAATAGAATCATATTTTACCTACAAAAAGTAGTATTTGGTTTGTATAAATATTAATGTTCAAGATTTTGTCTTTTTTTCTTTGGTCTTCTAAAATGGAGTTACAAAAAGGTCTTTAAGAATCAGTCACTCATTTACTGACTTTTCAACAAATACTTGTTGAGCCCCTACATTTTAGGTGCTGGAGACAAGATGTATCAGTGATTAAAGCAGACAAAAATTCTTGCTCCTACTGAGCTTACATTCTGGTTGGAGGAGATGGACAGTTAACAAGATAAATAGGTAAAGTGTATAGTATGTTGAAAAGGTGATAAGTGCTGAGGGAACCCTGGGGCAGGTAAAGGAGAATTGGGAGCTGTTCTCATTATTCTTTTTAAAATAATTTTATCCCAATAGTAAGCAATATTATTTATTTTTTAAAGAAGATATTTTAAAAGTAAGACCTATATTAACTGAAGTTTATGCAGAAAGTTCCTTTAAATATTCTACTACAGCATTATTCCTAAACTTGTAAAGGTTAAGTTGCAATTGATGTATACATTTGTAGAAGTTTCTAAATTAGAAAAAAAAAGTGTTTTATAATTCCTTGGACACTTGTTTAGTAAGAAAGTAAATGAATAGAAATATTGATCACAATAGAACTTCAACTATACGATGCCAAAACTTGTAAAAAATCCTCAGGTTTTAAAAATAGCATGAAACTGGAAAATGTTTTTTTCTGCCCACCAATTCCCACAAAGGCAAAAACAAACAAAATATCCAGCAACAACTGACTATCAAAGGGGGCTAAATATCTGTTAGACTTAACTCACTAGGCTGGTTCTGAAAGTCCCAATTGGTGAAGGTATAAAAGCCCATTCATTTCTTTAGTGCAAAAACTGACAAACAGGGCAAAAGTAACCAGAAGGGAACAAAGAGAGCAGTGGAGACCTTTAAAGACGGCAGCAGTGTACACCAGGGTGCAAAGCAGCAGGCACTGTTTTAAAAGGAGCACCGTTAATCCAGAGACTAAAGCTCTGCAGACCAAGAGCAAAGCACCATTTATAGCTCAGTTCCCACAAGGGCATGACCATGCTCTATTACAAGCACATCAGCTGAGGGACAGAGAGTCTATTATTAAACAATTGTAGTGGCTACCCGCAGGAAGTGGGGTGAATGTCTGGGTTAGTGTCCTGACACCAGTGACTTCATTGATCCAACCTGTGCAAGTATCAGGGAGGGGGTCAGAATAGGAGGAGTTATTGCAGAACGTTATTCATGAGGGAGTTTTTCATCATTAAGGCATCATCCAAGACTCCATTTTTACTGTTGTTTATGCTTAGACTTTTCTTCACAGTAAAAAATTGGGGAGACTCTCCATCTTCTTGTAAAGATAAAGAACTCTGAAAAATACATAAATCACTTTAGTGGTTTTTCTAATTGTAAAAAATAACAGATGTTTATTGGGAAAAAGTTCAGAAAATCTTTTTTTTTTTTTTAATCACCAGTAACCTGAGAGAAAGCAACTGTTAACATCTTGTTATATACCTGCAGCTCCAAACTGTGTGCCAAGATGCTCTGGGGCACCACAGCAAATTCTGGGTGCAGCTCTAGGGTTGGCACAGATACTTTCCATCATTAAGGGAAACATCGTACAACACTCTGCCAACTATTAGCTGGAGATAGTTCACAGTTTCAGCATTAGATCACACTACATTCCTTTTGATGACATCATATCTTTACAAAACCGAGTTTTCAGTGATTGCTGAGTGTTTAGTGATAAAAAGTGTATCACATGAAAACCAGCGTGGAACAGGAAATAAGGTAGTGGTGTCCAGCGATTCCAAGATTTAAAGTTATGCAGTGCCCAACAGGTGTATACATTCTATAAACAAGTTATAACAAAGTTACTTGAGAAGGAAATAGTAGTTTTCATTTATGTGTGTTTTTTTTTCAGCTGCTAAATCATTCTGACATAAATAGTTATTATGTTGTTTGGATCTAACTACTTAACAGACAGCTCTATTAGGTATTTGTTTGGGCCTGGAGGCATTGTGAAAAATTACTGAGACTCTAAGGGCTACCAGAATCATTTGGGAACCTCTAATACAGATCCTTTCGGACCTTCCCCTATATACAACCACACATATTTTTGAAACCTATTGTTTTCTTTGGGTTAACAATATATTGTGGAAATCTTTGCATGTCAATAATATGTGGATCATTATTTTAAAATTTTAATGGCAGAATAGTTTTCCATTGTTTGAATTTCCATGTTTTTTAACCAATCCTTTAATGTTAGAGGTTTAGTTAAACTTCACTTTTATGCCCTGTTGCACAGGCTGGAGTACAGTGGCATGATCATGACTCCCTGCATCCTCTGCCTCCTGGGCTCAAGCAGTCCTCTGGCCTCAGGCTTCCATGTAGCTGGGACTATAGGCACCACCACACCTGACTAATTTTTCTATTTTTGTAGAGATGGGGTCTCACTATGTTGCCCAGGCTGGTCTCAAACTCCTGGGCTCAAGTGATTCTCCCACCTTGGCCTCCCAAAGTACTGAGATTACAGGCGTGCAGCACTGCACCAGGCCTACTTTACTTTTATAATCAGCGGTGTGGTCAGCCTCTTTGCACATCCTCTTTGTTTATATAGCCAGTGATTCCTTAGGCTAGATTCCTAGAAAGTGATTTTCTAGGTCAAAGAATATGTACTTTTTAATGACTTTTACATCCATGTGTAAAATACAGGGAGAGAGAGCCCAATTGTCTTTTCAAAGAGGTTACACCAGTTTCTTTTAACCAAGTTTACAAGCCTACCTCAGCAAAAAGAAGTGAAACATTGGAGAACTCCCAAACATCTAAATTCAGATTTGTGAACTGGCCAAGCATGTTTCTCTTTCTCAATCATTGAATAAAGTGAATGAAAGCTGGGGAAATGTGTACTTTCCAGGAGCGCCTGGGAGCCCTTACAGATGAAGCTCCAGCTGAAGTCAGAGGTAGCTGATAGCAGGCCAGGCGCAGTGGCTCATGCCTATAACCCCAGCATTTTGGGAAGCCAAGGCATTTTGGATCACTTGAGGTCAGGTGTTTGAGACCAGCCTGGACAACATGGTAAAACCCTGTCTCTACTAAAAATATAAAAAATTACCTGGGCATGGTGGCAGGTGCCTGTAATCCCCAGCTATTTGAGAGGCTGAAGCAGGAGAATTGCTTGAACCCAGGAGGCAAAGGTTGCAGTGAGCTGAGATCATGCCATTGCACTCCAGCCTGGGCAACAAGAGCGAGACTCCATCTCAAAAAAAAAGAAAAAGAAAAAAGGAGGTAGCTGATAGCAACATCCAAAATGACACCCACCTAGGGAATAGGAAAACCATTTGCAAGGAAACTTCTCCAGCCTTGGTTCACTAACTAGTTTTTTAAAACATTTTACTCCTTGCAAAGCCATGCTCTACCACATAGCTTCACTCTACCTCTGTGAGGAAGAGGCAAATGATACAAATAGGAGTTGACATCAGGAATTTTTTGAGAGGACAAATTTCAGAATACTGTGAGGGTCAAACAGACTCCTTCCTGTTCCATGGTCCACAGCACATAAATTTATTATTATTATTATTATACTTTAAGTTTTAGGGTACATGTGCACAACGTGCAGGTTAGTTACATATGTATACATGTGCCATGTTGGTGCGCTGCACCCAGTAACTCGTCATTTAGCATTAGGTATATTTCCTAATACTATTCCTCCCCCCTCCCCCCACCCCACGACAGGCCCTGGTGTGTGATGTTCCCCTTCCTGTGTCCATGTGTTCTCATTGTTCAGTTCCCACCTATGAGTGAGAACATGTGGTGTTTGGTTTTTTGTCCTTGCAATAGTTTGCTGAGAATGATGGTTTCCAGCTTCCATCCATGTCCCTACAAAGGACATGAACTCATCATTTTTTATGGCTGCATAGTATTCCATGGTGTATATGTGCCACATTTTCTTAATCCAGTCTATCGTTGTTGGACATTTGGGTTGGTTCCAAATCTTTGCTATTGTGAATAGTGCCGCAATAAACATACGTGTGCATGTGTCTTTATAGCAGCATGATTTATAATCCTTTGGGTATATACCCAGTAATGGGATTGCTGGGTCAAATGGTATTTCTAGTTCTGGATCCCTGAGGAATCGCCACACTGACTTCTGCAATGGTTGAACTAGTTTATAGTCCCACGAACAGTGTAAAAGTGTTTCTATTTCTCCACAGCCTCTCTAGCACCTGTTGTTTCCTGACTTTTTAATGATTGCCATTCTAACTGGTGTGAGATGGTATCTCATTGTGGTTTTGATTTGCATTTCTCTGATGGCCAGTGATGATGAGCATTTTTTCATGTGTCTTTTGGCTGCATAAATGTCTTCTTTTGAGAAGTGTCTGTTCATATCCTTTGCCCACTTGTTGATGGGGTTGTTTTTTTCTTGTAAATTTTTTGGAGTTCTTTGTAGATTCTGGATATTAGCCCTTTGTCAGACGAGTAGATTTCAAAACTTTCTCCCATTTTGTAGGTTGCCTGTTCACTCTGATGGTAGTTTCTTTTGCTGTGCAGAAGCTCTTTAGTTTAATTAGATCCCATTTGTCAATTTTGGCTTTTGTTGCCATTGCTTTTGGTGTTTTAGACATGAAGTCCTTGCCCATGCCTATGTCCTGAATGGTAATGCCTAGGTTTTCTTCTAGGGTTTTTATGGTTTTAGGTCTAACATTTTAAGTCTTTAATCCATCTTGAATTAATTTTTGTATAAGGTGTAAGGAAGGGATCCACTTTCAGCTTTCTACAAATGGCTAGCCAGTTTTCCCAGCACCATTTATTAAATAGGGAATCCTTTCCCTATTTCTTGTTTTTCTCAGGCTTGTCAAAGATCAGATGGTTGTAGATACGCGGCATTATTTCTGAGGGCTCTGTTCTGTTCCATTGGTCTATATGTCTGTCTTGGTACCAGTACCATGCTGTTTTGGTTACTGTAGCCTTGTAGTATAGTTTGAAGTCAGGTAGTGTGATGCCTCCAGCTTTGTTCTTTTGGCTTAGGATTGACTTGGCGATGCGGGCTCTTTTTTGGTTCCATATGAACTTGAAAGTAGTTTTTTCCAATTCTGTGAAGAAAGTCATTGGTAGCTTGATGGGGATGGCATTGAATCTATAAATTACCTTGGGCAGTATGGCCATTTTCACAATATTGATTCTTCCTACCCATGAGCATGGAATGTTCTTCCATTTGTTTGTATCCTCTTTTATTTCATTGAGCAGTGGTTTGTAGTTCTTGAAGAGGTCCTTCACATCCCTTGTATGTTGGATTCCTGAGTATTTTATTCTCTTTGAAGCAATTGTAAATGGGAGTTCCCTCATGATTTGGCTGTTTGTCTGTTATTGGTGTATAAGAATGCTTGTGATTTTTGTACATTGATTTTATATCCTGAGACTTTGCTGAAGTTGCTTATCAGCTTAAGGAGATTTTGTGCTGAGATGATGGGGTTTTCTAGATATACAATCATGTCATCTGCAAAGAGGGACAATTTGACTTCCTCTTTTCCTAATTGAATACCCTTTATTTCCTTCTCCTGCCTAATTGCCCTGGCCAGAACTTCCAACACTATGTTGAATAAGAGTGGTGAGACAGGGCATCCCTGTCTTGTGACTGTTCTCAAAGGGAATGCTTCCAGTTTTTGCCCATTCAGTATGATGTTGGCTGTGGGTTTGTCATAAATAGCTCTTATTATTTTGAGATACATCCCATCAATACCTAATTTATTGAGAGTTTTTAGCATGAAGCGTTGTTGAATTTTGTCAAAGGCCTTTTCTGCATCTATTGAGATAATCATGTGGTTTTTGTCTTTGGCTCTGTTTATATGCTGGATTATGTTTATTGATTTGCGTATGTTGAACCAGCCTTGCATCCCAGGGATGAAGCCCACTTGATCATGGTGGATAAGCTTTTTGATGTGCTGCTGGATTTGTTTTGCCAGTATTTTATTGAGGATTTTTGCATCAATGTTCATCAAGGATATTGGTCTAAAATTCTCTTTTTTGGTTGTGACTCTGCCAGGCTTTGGTATCAGGATGATGCTGGCCTCATAAAATGAGTTAGGGAGGATTCCCTCTTTTTCTATTGATTGGAATAGTTTCAGAAGGAATGGTACCAGCTCCTCCTTGTACCTCTGGTAGAATTCAGCTGTGAATCCATCTGGTCCTGGACTTTTTTTGGTTGGTAAGCTATTAATTATTGCCTCAATTTCAGAACCTGTTATTGGTCTATTCAGAGATTCAACTTGTTCCTGGTTTAGTCTTGGGAGGGTGTCTGTGTCGAGGAATTTATCCATTTCTTCTAGATTTTCAAGTTTTTTGCGTAGAGATGTTTGTAGTATTTTCTGATGGTAGTTTGTATTTCTGTGGGATCAGTGGTGATATCCCCTTTATCATTTTTTATTGCATCTATTTGATTCTTCTCTCTTTTCTTCTTTATTAGTCTTGCTAGCAGTCTATCAATGTTGTTGATCTTTTCAAAAAACCAGCTCCTGGATTCATTGATTTTTTGAAGGTTTTTTGTGTCTCTGTTTCCTTCAGTTCTGCTCTGATCTTAGTTATTTCTTGCCTTCTGCTAGCTTTTGAATGTGATTGCTCTTGCTTCTCTAGTTCTTTTAATTGTGATGTTAGGGTGTCAATTTTAGATCTTTCCTGCTTTCTCTTGTGGGCATCACAGTACATAAATTCTTATCTGTGACCAAATTACCTAGCACATTTTGATCTACATTCAATTTGTACACATGAGCTGGTGTCTTCAATTATAAGTTATTAAGGAAAAAGTATATTATGTGTCTTAGACTGTGATCGTGGAAGCACAGATATATGGTACATTTTAGAAATATTTCTATTTTAAGAAAATTTTGGAGCCCTTCAGCTCTCTGGGAAACTAAGCTGTATAGAACGCCTCATTCCCAAAGTATCCTGAATGGATAAAATTTGGCTGTAATTTCACAGGATGGGAATGTATAGTATCTTTTTCTTTTTACAATGAAGATATCATCTACCTTTAGTCTTGATTTAAAATATTTTTAAATCAATTTTATAATTTTATAAAATAGTCTAGATTAATGCTTTTTGAAAAATCAGGGCTTAGCTGCTTCTGAAAAGATGAATGTACTCTTAGGGGTCCACATTTGACTTTTTTCCAAATTCAAATAAAAATTAGTGGGGCAGGATGTTAAGCAGGATAACTCTACTTAAAGCAGAAAATCTTTAAAATTTTGGTGTAGATAAATTAAATCTGTGTTGTAAATACTTATCACTTCATTGTTTTTACCTGCCTTCCATACATAGTACCAAGGACTTATTTTCACTTATATCAGAGGAGAAGTAAAAAAACGCCACTGTGGTCTGTTTATCAAACAATTGCTACAGAGAGGGCCTTTCCCCTTTTGTGTAGAAGGAGAATGTCTGAGCTGTTGGAAGTCTTCATGTGACTCTCTACTGCCACGAGATATTTTCTTTTAAATCTCCGCTAGAGAATTCTGCCAAAGTCTGGTGTGTTTGTATGCATCATCTTTAGAGAAGTTGACTGTATTGAGAGAGGGGTGATTTCTGCCTTTATCTGAGATGGGTACACTTAGGAAAAATAAGCTTTTCGGGAACTTAGGAAAATTTGAAGGCCATATCAGTTATTTTTATTTGAGTAGCAAAGTTCTCTTTATCATCTTTAAAAAACCAACTACAAGTCCGCTTTCAGAGCACTAGATGTGTTTGCAGATTTCGGAGACACACGCCAGAGTGTGTAGCGTAATTACTTAATCCTCATCTGTCATGCCCAGAGCAGTGTTCCTTCAAGATAAAAGAATGGGCAGCATCAGAGATGTCTGGGTAGTTCCTTCACCCCTGGATTTTAAATTCAGAAAATCATGATCATTCTTTGCTTGCTTGTCCTTAGAAAATTAAAATGCATATTAGTAGACAAATCTCTGGTGTCTGAATTTTTTGTTTTTATTTTATTTTTTATTTTTTGAAACAGGGTTCTTGCTCTCGTGACCAGACTGGAATGTAGTGGCATGATCACAGCTCACGGCAGCCCCAACCTCCTGAGCTCAAGTGATCCTCCCACCTCAGACTCCCAAGTAGCTGGGACCACAGGTGTGTGCCACCACGCCCAGCTAATTTTTAAAAAATTTTTTGTAGCAGCAAGGTCTCACTATGTTGCCCAGACTGGTCTTGAACTCCTGAGCTCAAGCAGTCCTCCTGCCTTGGCCTCCCAAAGCGCTAGGATTACAGGCATAAGCCACCACACCTGGCCCTGGTCTCTGAATTTTTTGTGATAATCAGGAACTTTCTTTTAACCCACACCATTTTAATTATATATTCACCGAAAGAACAAATTTTCTGATAGATGAGAGCACTAGTAATTTAAATAAATTTAGTCCTATGCTCATTGACTTATTCAACATTTATAAAGCTCCATCAATTTATAAACATTGTCCAGGCACAAGACAGTATGGCTCCTGCCCTTAAGAAGTTTGATCCTATTGGGAAGCTTTCAAGAAAGCCAGTGTCCAAAAATCGTGAAGAAGCTCTGGGGTGGAGTCTGAAGACATTCTCTGGAGCAGCATTGTTGGGTCCGGCTCAGGGCTCAGAGAAGCTTCTCTGAGGAACTCCTGCTCAGTCTGAATCTCAAAGGTTATGTGGAAGTCAGAGTACTAATAGCCATGAAATCCAAATAAATTCATCGGCCAGAGGTTCCGCTTCTTTTAGTACACATTTTCAGACCTATAACCACCATCGAGACGCTGGTTGGTACCATTGTCTATTTGAATGGTGCCTTCTAATGGTTCCAGAGCCATCCATCCTGTCTGTGGTTGGCACTGGCATTGTGGGCCACTGGCCGTTGTCTGTTACAGGTTGCAGTGGAAAGGTAGGATGTTAAGCATTCTGAGTTGCTAAGCATTCTGATATTTTTTTTCCCCAGAATAATGCCAACTGATGGTACTAGGCCTGTATTACCTAGATTTAACTTGATTGGTTTTTAAGTGAGACCTTGAATGACTTTCTAATCAGTTGCTTAACTATGCCTAATCATGATGCTTTGTATACTCACACATGCAAATAAGCACATGTGTACTTTATTGTTTATATTTATTTAAAATAAATTCTGATGTTAGTCATCTGTGATTTGGGGCAAATCATGAATAGTGATATCAGTATTACCATTTGTAAGATGTGGTTAAGAGTAGCTGTAATTTACCTAACAGGGATTAAATACTTAATGTTTGTAAAGTGCTGTGTTTCATTAGAAAAAATATCATTATTATGGTCATTAATATGATTTGCAAATCATTAGTACCAATCACAGATAATACACCTGCAAAAATAATCACATTTCTATACAAACCTCAGTTTAGATAGCTTTAACTTTTTTTAATCCCAAACTTTAATTGCTGAGTTTTTTGGGGCACAGTGCCTAAAAGTATATCTTTTTTTTCCTTCCAGTTAGATCTGTCCCATTGTAAAAGGGCTGTGTAATGATTTGGCTTCTTTAAGGGCAAAAATCCTTTTTTTTTTTTTTTTTTGAGACGGAGTCTCGCTCTGTCGCCAGGCTGGAGTGCAGTGGCCCGATCTCGGCTCACTGCAAGCTCCGCCTCCCGGGTTCAAGCAATTCCTCTGCCTCAGCCTCCAGAGTAGCTGGTACTACAAGCGCACGCCACCACGCCCAGCTAATTTTTGTATTTTAGTAAAGATGGGGTTTCACCATGTTGGCCAGGATGGTCTTTATCTCCTGACCTCGTGATCCACCGGCCTCGGCCTCCCAAAGTGCTGGGATTACAGGCATGAGCCACCGTGCCTGGCCCAAAAATCCTTTCATAAAGACCATAAGTGGTTTAAGTGAAGACTCCAACTTAGATGTCGTCTCCATGGGGTTCTTTTGTCTCAAGAGAAACCAAGTCTGAAGAACCATATAGTCTGACTGAAAATAGTGTGGCCTTTTTGGAATGCTTTACAGAAATTTCTAATTAAGAGGTGGTGTTTGTCTTAGGTATACAGACACTGTTTTTGAAAAGTCTGCAGTACAAAATTCCCATTTAGTTTATTTTTAGCTTGAGTCTACTCTGCTAGTAAAAATAAAACTATTTTTGTACGTGCTGCTTCTAGTACTTAGATCCTCATTTTAAAAGAATTCACAGAAAACAGTCCATAGTGATAACTGTGTGCACTGGCCAGATTGTTATAGAATTGTGTTTTAAATAAATGTTATGATGGCTGCATTTTAGCTGCATCACAGGATCCAGCTCACATGATTCCTGTCCCCTACAGCCCACACATGCACATACACAAAGGGCCTCATCCCCGCCTTGCTTACTTAGAGTAAGGACTTGGCTTATCTAATTTCTGTATTTGTCCAGTGTGCAAGTGCTGACTGTCCTTTGTGTATTGTCTAAGGCCTCACGTGCACAGAGAGATACTGAATACATGTCTGTGATGACGGTTCCCCTTAAGAGATGATGGACTGCTCTTTTAGGGAGTTGTGTGTTTCTATGGTAACTCCCTTTTGAAAACTTCAATTTTATCCACATATATTTTGCAGATACTGAAAGCAAGCTTATGTTGAATTTAGAGAAGCTTTAAGTTTTTAGGAGGAAACTGCAGCTTATCAGCAGATGTCAAGAGCATACATACTTTGAAAGCTCGTTGAAAAAAATTATGATTCCTTTTGTGCTTGACACTTACCAAAAACCAATGTTCCATTCAGATAATCTTTTATTGTCAGTTTTTTATGCTCCTTAGGGTAAAAGTCACAAATATATACACAATTTGATAAAATTCAAAAGGAACAAAATAAGCACTATTCCTCCTTTGGCCTGTATCCGCCTCTTTCCCATCCCCAGTTTTGTACAGTACAATGTCACTAGCTTATTGAATTAGATTTACTTTAATCATCCATTTCCTTTTCTCCTGGTTACCACAATAGCTATGGGCTCTCAGTTAGCCAGCTACATCTGATCTAGAGAAAATAGGTTATGTCCCTATTTTGAAAAGAGAATTATCTGCATGGCTCAATGCTTTGTGTATTTAATAGTTAGAATTCTGGAAGAGATGTGGACTTCCTTCCTGAGCAATAAAATATATGTATAGTGACCATTTCTTAATTCTCTAGAGAATGCAGACAAAGGGATTTGTGTAGTCTATGAGGTCTGCGTATATAAAAGTTTTCCTTTGCCTTTAGTTGCCTTATTTTACTTTTAGGATGTTTTGTTTCTTTTCTTATACTTCCATATATTTTCACTCTTTTCCCTTTCTTTCTGAAACACATATTCAGTTGTCTTAAAATCAAATCAGCTGTGCAGTGGATACTGTATTTGGCTTTTTCCACATGTGTTAATTGTTCTGTTGGCTTGTTTTGTTTACTGTTTTTGCAGACCTGATTTGCCATGGTCCGTGCCTTTCATTCTACTAGACCACGTAGTTGATTTCCCAGTAGGGAAACGATTCTGCTGTCTTACCCAGTAATTAGTTATCTCATTTCAAAAGAGACAAGTTTATCTGAGAGGACTTTGTCACACGTTAAATGTCTGCTTTAGAAGATAGAGCCCATTTAGTTACTTGCCCATCCATGTGGTAAAAGAAATGCATAATTAGTCACCATGGAAATTAAGTATTTGAAGGGCAGAAGATGGTTAATTCGACCATTTATACTCAGCTATTGAGAGATTATGATGTAGTTTATTAGTGCTAAGAAATCAAATTAAGAGATGATATTTTTCAGCCCCATGAGGGAGTGGCAGTGTTGTTTATTTCTGAAGCATATTTTCATTTGCTGAGAGAGGACTTTGTGGCACTTTCCCTTGAATAGTTTTGTGTAACCTCTTGCTATGTGAGTAAGTGCCCCCCCCCCACCAAAAGAAGACACAGAGGGAGACTGAGTTCTGCCATCTCCATATCGTTACCTCCCTAGAATAGGAGAGGGAAGTAAATTCTGGACTCTGCCCTGTGCTCCTGGGTCTTTTCCCATCCCCCAGCTCAACCACCCGTCTCTCGTTACTTACTACACATCATGAAGCCCCTGCCCAGGCCCCTGATCCTGTTCAACCCTGTCTCAAAGCCACGCTCTTCCTGATGTCCCTTTCCTAGCTTGGCCTCTTTAATTATTTTCTTCCTGTCCCAATCAGTTATGACTGTGTGGCTTCATCTTTCAACCCCGCTCCTGGGTCTACCTGTGCCTTGCCTCCCACACCTGCCTTTCTTCTCGATGAGATAGTGTAAGTGAAATGGCTAGAAGTATGCATTTTGCAAGGAAGGGGAATGGCCATTTGATAGTCACACTACATTGTGCACCAAGGCATTTTAGAGCTTTTGTTTGTGTAAAACTTTATGTGAACAAATGGTCTAATATTTTTAAAATTTAAAAAGATGTTTGTTAATCTTATCTTCTGTTGTATACAACTCATATGGACTGGCTCCTGCCTACCTCTTTAGCTCCGTCTTACTCCAAGCTCACCCTCACTGTCTTCCATCTGGGGACAGTTTTTGAATGTGCCATACCCCATCCTTCTACTTGGCCACTGCTTGTGCTCCCTTTGTCTGAAATGTTTCTCCATGCCCCTTCCCCAGCAGCTCCATATCCCTTCATCAGAGAGGCATCACCTCCCCCTCAGTTAACGCTCTCATGACACCACATACCTTTCCAACATCGCACTTAATACAGTTGCAATTTTATCTTTATTTGTATAATTATTTCATTAATGTCTGCCTTCCTCATTATTGTCTATGTGCAGGCAGTTCCTGGTCTCTGTGTTTCTAGTGATCAGTACAGGAGTGGACATATAGTAGGTGCTCAATGAATACCTTTCAAATGACCATCGTGGATATCTCCAGGGGCTCACTCAATGGCCATTAGCCCCTTTCTAGCTGGTGCAACCCTGATTTGGTTGGAGTATTTCCTCTCCTCTAAGCGGCCATCTGCTCGGGCAGCTGGTCCCAGCCCCAGTTCCTGATCCAGTGGGTGAATTTGTTGTTAGATATACAAGATCTGGTCATCAGCTTGGCTCATGCACAGCGGTATGGGTTTCCCTGGAACCTACAAAATAGGACCGAAAGATGGAAAGAACCCAGGCCCTCGAGGATATCAGTGAGCTGTGGGCTAAACCAGTCCTGGGTTGGCTTTACTTCCAGGCAACTCTGTCGTGTAAAATAATAAATTTACTTACTGTTTAGGTCAATTCAAAGTTTTTTGCTTCTGAAAATAATCTGATGCAGAATATCATGAGTGAATGAATAAATTAACAACCCAATCTCACTTCTTCACAAATTTTTGTGCCCTTAGAGTTCCTTTGTAATTGTTTTCTCTTTTCTCATTTCTGTGAAGTGTTGGTCTACCAAGTGAATATGTTGATTGGCATTGAGCCCAATGCTAAATCCCAAATAACTCATATGTTTCGAAAAGTGTTTCCTTCCACTAAATGCCCCACACCTGGAATGTGAGCTCGTATTCTTCTTCACCTCTTGCCCTTTGGCTCTGCACTTTGTTCATACCTTTTTGGGGCAAGCTCTTCTCTAAGGAGGTTGAGAGTCAGGTTAAGTCATACCCAGCAATTTCCTGTTTGTGAGCCTTGAAGCTCTTGAAGAGTGCGGCAGGTTTGACAGAATCTGTAGGTGTTGTCAGACGTGAGCTGATTCATCCCCTTTGGTAGTTAATTCTCCAAAGGTCTCATCTCCCCAGCTACCATCCCTTCTTCTCTCTGGATGCTGCACAGTTCTTCTTTGTGTGAGGATGAGATTTTCAGGGCCGCCTGGGTCATGTATTCCATGTCTTTTTTGGGTTTTGGTGCATGTATTTTAGACCCTACTTTTCTCCATTTTTATGCAAGAGTTACTCCGTGTTGTTTCATAGCATTTTTGTTGTTGTTGTTCCTGCAGGGCTTTGAATGGTCCCTGTGAAATCTGCTGCCTTTCTTTTTCATAGTCCTCCACCTCAGCTCAATATAACACAACTTAGCCTAAGAAATGCAAGGCCCTAAGTAAAGACCACCTGAAATGCCTACTTGTTTGGTAGTAGAAACTTTGGTGTTCTCTCATTATTTTCTTTATTTCCCAGCATATTGGCAATGAAAACTAGACAATCACCCATTTTTGTACAATGCTCCCCTGAAGTAAACCATGAGAGTGGGGCAGCTAAGTAACCCATCTTTGAGAATGTTATTTTTGGCCATGCCATGTAGAAAAAGGACTGAATTTGTAACCCAAAAACTTGCATTCTTAAACCAAAATAGGAACAGTCCCACTTTGGCCAACCACCCTGGGCAAGTAGCACACTCTCCAAGATTCAGAATATAATTCTTACTGCCTACAGGGGTTGTTATGAAAGTAGAGTAAGATGCAGTGGAAGTGTTGCTTATGCCTGGGAAGTGCTATACAAAAGTATTAAAATTGTAAGGCTATAAAGAAAAACTCTTGTGAAGCGTTTTTTTTACACCACTCGATACCTACCTCAGTTTCCCTCCCCACCTTCAGATATGCAAGGCTGGTCAGGAGGTTGGGCCCCATGCACATTGGGATTAGGTCCCCTGGAACTTTTCAGGTGAGTCACTGCTTCATCAGATAGCGGAACTCCCTCACTAACCTTGGAATTCCAATCTTTTTTAAAACTTTGGTGATTTCCATTGGGGAAAAAAAATCTCTTGTAGTTAGTGATGAGGCCACCTCAATTGTCATCTGAGAATAGGACTTTATGCAATATTGACAACCCATCCATGACTTTTTTTAGTCGGCCAGCATTTTTGCACACCTGCTTGTGCCAGGCATTGTTCTCAATGCATGGGATGTGTCTGTGAACAAAACAGACACAAATTGCTGCCCTCTTAGAGCTTCTATTCTATTGGAGGAAAACAGAAAATAAGCAATAAACAAGCAAATTATAGTAAGTTAGAAGGTGGTAATTGCTAGGAAAAAAATTTAAAAACAGAGCAGGAAAGAGGAGGGCCAATTTGGGGATAGGAAGAGGCTGCAGTTTTAAATTAGGTGCTTGTTGTAGGCCTCCTATATTTCTAGTCTTTTGTTATTGTTGTTGTTTTTACAGAATGTTGTGATGATTTACTATTGCAAATGAATCATCTCTGTATAAATTAAATATTGCATGAAATGAAAGGAGTTCAGCTAAAGGCGAAACCTGATTGCTAAATGCTTGCAAAAGGATGGGAAGTTGCTCTAGCCCTTGCATGGCATTCTCAGGTTATCTATTCTTAGTTTAGTTTCCTTTTCCAAAAATGATGTTTATTATATAGTCTTCGAATGGAACATATCGCTGACACCTACTGCCATGTGTTTATAGTTAAACATAACTAGCCTCCCTTCTTACAAGACCAAGAGGTTCATCCAGAATGTTTCCCTTTAGAAGTCCTAAGAAGGCTCTCCTGGTTGGCTTTCCAGCCCATAACAGTGATAGATTTTGCAGCCTTCTTAGTCTAGCCATGTGGAGAAACCTGATGTTTTGGGTAATTCACCCCTTTAAACATGTGCTTTGTGTTTTGGTGGTGGTTGTTTGGGGCTGCGGTGTCTTAGGCATGGAGCTTATTATATCCATATAAATTACAGATCGCAGACACTCCGCCTCAAATAGCATTGGATTTATGATCCCTAGCTCTCCCTTTGCAGTGCCCCTTCTCCTCATGTCTGCTGTGCAACCTGACTTATGGTTGAGCCTGCTTCAAGTTCTTCCTGCCAGTTTGTCCCCTTTTCCGCAGTCTGCCTTGGTAGCTGACTGGGAGGGGCCAGCATGTGGGTTATCCCATTGTCTGTGGCTGTACACAAGAGGCTCTCAGTGGGTCTCTTTCTACGGACAGGACCCTGCCAAAGTAACACTTGTGCTTCCTGTCCAGTACTGACTAACGCAGTGCTATTCAAAAGGCAGGCTAGAACTAGGGCCATCAGAATGAACACGTTTTGAGCATTGGCAGATATACTTCCTCCCTTCCTGGCCTGTTGTTCCCCATCACTCACCAGATTCAGAAGGTGCAGTGCTCCTTGGGAGCAAGGCTGGGGCGCTTAGAGAGAGGGTCCCTTAAAGAGGAAGGGGGCTACCCTGGCTCATTATGAACTTTTTGGGTTCTGAACCTACCACTCATTATTCTGAATTGTGCAGCACATGTCTGTCACCTCCTAGTATAGAGTGGCCTTGAGAAAGTCACCTACTCCTTCTAGGTCTCAGTTTCTCATCTATAAAAGGAGTAGATTACTCTTCAAATGACCTTCAAAATTGCTTCCACTTCTAATTTTGTTTTAAGACACTATTGACTACACTTCTCCTAAAAATTGATCTTTTTGACGTGATTGGGCTCTTGAGA
Source organism: Homo sapiens (assembly GCF_000001405.40). Taxonomy (NCBI): domain Eukaryota; kingdom Metazoa; phylum Chordata; class Mammalia; order Primates; family Hominidae; genus Homo; species Homo sapiens. Next base: position 90,154,321 of record NC_000006.12, on the reverse strand, counting down.
CTTTTTTACCCTTTGTCCTGATCTGATTCTCTCCATGAATCAATTTTGTTCATCTCATCTGTCACTCTTCCTCTGTATGCTTTGTAACCTGCATTTCCTCTACTTCTGGCACTTTTTTGCCAATGGAACCTGCAATTCTACTCTGCAAATAGCTAGGGTTGTTTCCTCCCTCACTCCCAGCCAAAATACAGCTTTTATAGTAGTATCTCTGAGTAGGGAGTTGGGCTATTGAGAAAAACATGCTATAGCCCAAAGTCCCTATTTTAAAAGAGATAGAGATTGGAATGATATGTTCTTTTTAGGGTGTGGATGTTTTAGGCTCCAATGACCATAATCAAAATAGATCTATAACCAAGCCGTAAAAGGGTAATATATGTGAATTTTCTCATAATATGAATCCTAACACAAAAGCAGTTACAATACTTTAAGCGTAAATTACATAGTCTGCACCATGATTTTTTCAAAATTTGTCTTACGAACCTCAAGGAGGAAAATGTACCCCACTGGTTAGGAAAGAATTATTTTCTCTAGGTTCCATAACATAGAAGGAGTGTTTTATTTCCTCACTGCCTTGTGCCTGGGAATACTGAAATGATAGATTCAGCCATGTTTTAATAAAATTCCTCTGTAAGAATATTAGCATGGAGAGAGATTGGTATAAATACATGAATGTGCCTGGATTTTGAAGGTAAATCCTATAGCTATCAGATTGCTATTCACTTAATTGCCACAATCTAAAATTTATCTGTTAGTGTTTCTTTTCTAATTGTTACTAGTGTGATAAAAAGAAAAACTCTTATTTATATATAGATTATTTGTTTCAGGACATTAACTGAGAATATAGTATTGAAATGACTTGAAATTGAAGGAATCAGATTTTCTACTGCTTATTTATTCAGAATATAACTTACCCAACAAGGTCTGATTTAATTTATTTTGAGGAGTAGTATTTAGAAGCAGGATTACTCTTATTTAGGAAAAGAATCTGGATCTTAGATATACAGTGACTTGCCCAGAGTCACCTAGTAAATGAAAGAACTATAAGTCACCACTTGGGCGTGTGATTCATGATCTTGACTATGAATTGATACCAGTACTTTACATGAAATGGCCATACTCTGAAAATTATATTTTTAGATATAACCTTAATAAATATACTTGCCTTTCACAGAATATTAGAACCAATTCCTCCTTATCTTCATGGAGGAGCATACTTAATGATATATGTACTGATGAGATTTCGTCTTATTTTTAAAAACTTCCAAGAAAGAATGTTTCATAGCTCCCTTCATTCATCTACTCTGGTGCTTAATTAGATTTGATACGAGAACGCTTTCTTTCTTATCTAACTTGAATCCCTCATGCTGTAGCTTAAGTCTGTTTTCTCTCACTCTGCCTAGGATGCCAAAAGCAGCTAATCACCATTATCCATAGTAATATTCACAAAGTCCTCCTTATGTTTGAAATGTTAGCGCTATAACTGACAGTAAACATAACCCCCAAGTATCAGCAAATTATAAACTAGAGAAGAGGGACTAGCTTGTAGTAAATATAGATGACATATTAGTATTTAGTTGTGATGAATGAATAACACTAAATAACGTGACTTAAGCATTAAGCAGACTAAATGAAAGGCATTCTTCTGTTAACTCATTCACTTAAATATTTATTAGGCACCTACTTTGTGATGCTATGCTACATTCAAGACTTTCAATGAAAATGATTTTTAAAAAGTAAAACTTATTAAGTATATTTCTCAGAAATGTGAATGTACAATAGCCTAATATTAACAAGATAACCCTGTGCCTTATCTAATCATCCTGTGGAATTTACCCATATTTTGGAGGTGGGGCTGAAAAATAGTCTGATTATTAGAACATTTGTGTTTATATTTACAGCTGCCCTATTACTAAAATATGCAGTTGGCATCAAAATTTTACCATACACAGTCACTGAGCCCTTCACCTGGAAGCCTCTTTATTTCAGCATTACTGCTGAAGAGTTACCTGTGTCTTTCTGTGTGCATTTGAACATGTGTGAGCATGCAGCCAGTGTAGCACTACAAGATGCTTATCGCTAGAAATAAATTATAGAGTCGTGCAGCATGAAAATTATATGCCCGGGAATGCAGAACACAGGGTTACCTTCTGCCTCCTTTCTTTGTCATGGACAGCAGAGGCAGAAAGGAGAAAGAGATTTATTCTAAAGCCATTTGAAGCTGACCAAGCAATTTATAACAGATGAAATGCTGATTTATTGCTGCAGAGAAAATAATGGGTGTTCTTGCTAAAATGCCATTAATAGCTTTATTGTTTAAAGTGCAAATTATATTCAGCAATTTGTTAGTCCTCTTTTGAGGCAAAGTTGAAGTAATTCAATGTAGGCTTTTAGCAGAAAAAAGGACAAAGTAATTAACAAATCGTAAAAGAATTCATTCACCAAGATTGGCTGATAGTTGAATTCTCTGTCTGAACTATAAAGACATAGGGAAAATTTGCACTTAAGAAATACAAGATGACTCAAGTATTTGTTTAAAACTGAAAAGCCATAAGGAAGTTGGAGTTGGGACACTACAGATTTAGGAGTATGCCTTCTGTTGGTGTCCACTGTGTCTGCAAGATGTGGTAGTCAACCAGAGAAAAACTGAAAATCACATAGTTCCTACCCTTACAGATCTTACTGTCTTATGGCAGGAGCAGATAATATAAAATTAATTAAAATATATAGCAGAGGCTAGATGTGGTGGCTCATATCTGTAATCCCAGCACTTTGGGAGACCAAGGTGGGAACATCGTTTGATCCCAGGAGTTCAAGACCAGCCTGGGCAATGTAGTGAGACCCTGTGTCTACAAAAAAAATTTAGTTTTTAATTAGCCAGCCATAGTGGTATATGCCTGCAGTACAAGCTACTCAGGAGACTGAGGCAGGAGGGTCAGTTGAGCCTGGGAGGTCGAGGCTACAGTAAGGTGTGATTGTACCACTGTATTCCAGCCTGGGCAACAGAGCAAGACTCTGTCTCAAAAAAATAAAATATATAGCAGGAAAGGGTCAGTATTTCAGGAAAGGGACACACGAAATGATTCCAAGGAGGAAAAGACAACATTCAGAAGATGACATTTGTCAGTTTTAAAACGCATAGGATTTCTGTAGCCATGGTGTGGGTTATAAAACTGTTCCAAACTGATAGAATGCCAAAAAGTGGAAAGATCTATGCTAGTCAACACTGAGTAGGCCCTTTGATGCATCTGTTGCCATAGAGTGACAATAAATTCTAGTTTGCCTAGATGGACCCTGGTTCTACCTGTCTGCCTCGTGTAATTATTGATAGGTCCCTCTTCTACTCTTAAAAGTGTCCCAGTTTAATGGTGAATTATACAGTGACTGTGGTGGCCATGAAAATGCACCGCTCAGCTCTCTTGCTTTAGGCAACACCGCTGACTGACTGACTGACTGACATCCCAACTGCTGCCCCTCTGAACCCACCACTGTTTTGGCACCAAGGCTATGCTTCCCAAGGGCTACTCCCAGCCATTGACCATGCATGGTGGGGGTGCTAAGTAAGGCATGCCCATTCCAGCAACACAAGGGGTCCTCCACTGAGAAGCTTGGGCTCAAGCACTCCCCATTGACATGGCTAAACCCTTCTCGGAACTATGCTGCACTCCAAGACACTTCACAGCCTATCCTCCTTCCTTCCTCCTCTCCTTCCCAGGGGCCAGACCTGCATCTCGATCTGAAGGCTTTTCTTGCCTCCTCCTGCACCCTACCCCAAGAAATCTCTAGCACATCGAATCCCATGTTAGTGTCTGCTTCTCAGGACATTTGAAGTAATGAAGTGGCCGTAGTAATTGATAAGTGTTAGATAGTAGATGTGAATAAGACTAGAAAGTAAAATTGAGACTATATTGCAAGCAACTTTGAAAACTGCATGGAAGAATTAAAACTACCTTTAACTCAGTAGACTCTGAGGCTCCATTGAGGAGGGTTTATCCATTGTAAAATAATTATTATTTGGTCTTGCTGATGATGTAGAAGGGTAATTGAAACAAGGAGACCAGTTGGGAGGGTACAGCAATTGTCCAATAAAAGTCCAAACTAGAGTAGTGCATGTGATTATAAACACTGGCACGGGCATGAGAGACGCTGCAGGGGTGGGCTTGGTTGCTTATCACTGTAGACAGGGATAACTACAGAGAAGGCTCTGGTGCTAATCAAACCCCTCGGAGATGATCAGAACAATAAGAAAGGGAAGAGGAGGAGACCTAATGTTTTCATTAACCCTGCAGTGAGAAAAGTACTGGGGGCTTGAAGGAGAGTAATCATGTCTTGGTTTCTGCAAGTAGCTAATAGGTGATTAAGACCTCCCATTTAATGGCATCTGGACTGTCTGCTGCCCATTTCCCAGACCAAAGAGAGGTGATATTGCAGTGCCTGCTCTTATGCTCCTCCCTAAATGATAGCCAGGATAGCAGCAGCTCACTGTTAATGCTAAGGACTTCTGGCAGTTCAAGGACAGACTAATTGGAACCCAGTGAAAGATGCAGGCTGTGTTTTAGAAGGAAAGGACCCCACATTTCTTGATACCTTTAGAGCAGGATGAAAAGATTTTCATCTGCCTATATATCCAGCAATTGGATTTTTGTAATACCACTCTTCCCTTCTCTCCATCATGCACAGGGGGAGCTGGCCTTTCCAGTTCCATGAATATATCCTTTTGAATGTTTCGTTTATGCTGGATTTTACAATGGGCATCCCCCATGTTATTGACTCACCAACTGAGATGTTTGATGCAATAGAAACTCCAGATGCCTCAGCTGATAAGTAACCTGTATGAATCGAGATATTTCTCTCAGGAGATCAAACAGAGGAGACAATGTGTAGCACGGTAGGAAGAAGATGGACTTTGGAATTTATCCTGAGAGCAAATGATAGCTCTGTTACTTGCTAGCCCTGAGACCAATGCTAGTTATTTTAACTTCAGTGTCCTTAACAGTGAGTTGGGAGTACTGGTATTTTCTGAGTTCTTTTGAGCATTACATGAGTAAACATGAGCCTTTTACATAGAAGCGCTGGAAAAAAATGTAGGTTACTTGCCCCTTATCATATCTCTGTTGTCCTAATTTTCTTACGTTCTTATTTGTTCTTGTTCCCAAGCCCAGCATCACCTTGGACTCACACCTCTGTTGAACTCACACTCTCAAATCATACATCCGCATCACTTCCACTCCACCTACTTACTCAGCCCTGCTGGGGCAACCCTTAGCAGCCTGTGTCCCTCTCTTGTTCTGCCTGCTGGGATGCCTTGCCTAGCTTTTCTGAGGTCAGAACCTTCCCACTCTGGAAGCATTTGGTTCTTCGTCTCTCAAATGAGAGAAGCAGCTCAGGGAGCCACAAGGCCCTTCCAGCCCTGGTGTTTCATAGGTCCCTGTACACGAGACCACCACCTGATTGTGTTCCTTTTTCAAAACCTATTACTGATTTTTCTCTTTATCAAAAAACAACATGTTTTTATAAAAGATGTTTTCAAAAAAAGGCAAGTAAGGAAAGAATCAAAACACTTATAATTTTACCATTCCTGAATGTGTCTTACAGTCCTGACTGTAGGTGTGCGTGTATGCGTGTGTGTGTGTGTGTAAAACAGACACTTAACCATTACATTCCCACTTTTTGGTCACATCCTTTTAAATGTTGTAATCTCTTCAATTTTTACCATGTCACTTGAATATTCCTCTAGAGCATCATTTCAAGTATCTGTCTAGAATCCATGTATGAATGCTTCATGGCTTATTACTGGACATTTTTCCACCGTTGTCTAGTTTTTCCACTGTTGGAAACAAGGCAGAGCATTATGAAAAGTGCAGCAAATAGCATCTTCTGTGTATCTATCTTTTCAGATATCCTTGAAATGGAATTACCAGATCGAAAGGCATGCATATTTTTAATGTGTTTGGTACAATATTGTCATATTTCCCAGCTGAAAGGATGGACCTGTTCATTTCCTCCCCTCTGGGCATCTGAGGCTTTGACCACCTGGTTTCTGATTAGATCAGTAAGTCCTAC